>NC_000015.10:49526874-50151874 GCF_000001405.40 Homo sapiens
TAGGAGTAATAAAATTGAATCAATTAAAAAAACAACAAAAAAGTCCAGGACCAGACAAATTCACAGTCAAATGTTACCAGATGTTCAAAGAAGAGCTAGTTTCAATCTTATTGAAACTACTCCAAAACATCAAGGAGGAGGGAATCTCATCTAACTGATTCTACAAAACCAGTATCACCCAGTACCAAAATCAGGTAAGGACACCATAAAAAAGAAAACTACAGTTCAATATTTCTGATGAACACGGATGTAAAAATTTTCAAAAAAACAACCAGCAAACTGATTCCAACAGCACATCCAAAAAGATAATGCATCACGGTCAAGTGGGTTTTATTCCAGGGATGTAAGGATGGCTCAAGATATGAAAATCAATAATGTGATATATTATATAAACAGAATTAAAAACAAAAACCATCCAATCATCTCAATATATGCAGAATAAGCATTCAACAAAATCCAACATCCCTTCAGTCATCAAAGGAACCATACCTCAAAATAGTAAGAACCATCAAACACACAGCCAACATCATACTAAATGGGAAAAAGCTGGAAACATTCCCCATGAGAACCAAAATAAGACATGTATGCATGCTCTTACCACTCCTATTCAACACTGTACTGTAAATTTGTCCAGAAAACTCAGGCAAGCGAGAAATAATAGAAGACACCCAAATTGGAAAAAAGGTCAAATTATTTGTTTGCTATGACATGATCTTTTACCTAGAAAACTTTAAGTATTCCTCCAAAAGACTCACAGATTTAATAAATTATTTCAGTAAAGTTTCAGGAAATAAAACAGTGTACAGAAATCAGTAGCATTTCTACACACTGATAATGTTCAAGCTAAAACCAAACCAAAACTCAGTCCCATTTACAACAGACATATACACAAAAATTAAATACCTAGGAATACATTTAACTAAGAAAGTGAAAGATCTCTACAAAGAGAACTACATAACACTGATGAAAGAAATCTCAGAAGACACAAATGAATCAAAAAAGATCCCATATTTACGGGTTGTAAGAATCAATATCATTAAAATGACCATGATGCCCAAAACAATCTACTGATTCAATGCAATTCCTATCAAATTACTAATGTCTTTTTTTGACAGGATTAGAAAAAACAACCCTAAAATTAATATGGAATCAAAAAATGCCTGTGTATCCAAAGCAATTCAGCAAAAACAACAAAGTTGGAGGTATCACATCACATGACTTCAAGTTAAACTACAAAGCTATAGTAACCCAAATAACATAGTGCTGGTACAATAGACACATAGATCAATGAAGCAAAATAGAGAACCTATAAATAAACCCACATATCTGCAACCAATTGATCTTTGACTAAGTCAACAAAAGTAAACAATAGAGAAAGAACACCTATTCAATAAATGGTGCTGGGAAAACTGGATAGCCATATGCAGAAAACGAAACTGGACCCCTATCTCTCATCGTATGCAAAAATTAACCTAAGATAGATGAGAGACTGAAATATAAGAACTGAAACTATAAAATAATTCCAGAAAAAAAAACTAGGAAGAATTCTTCTTGACATTGTCTTGGGCAAAGAATTTATGACTAAGACTTCAAAGGCAAATGTAATGGAAACAAAACAGACCAGTGAGACGTAACCTAAAAACCGTCTGCACAGCAAAAGAAATAATAAACAGAGTAAACAGACAATCTACAGAATGAGAAAAAGTATTTGCAAATTGTGCCTCTGACAAAGGACTAATTTTCACAATCTACAAACAACAAGAGAAAAACACTCCATTAAAAAGTGGGCAAAGGATATGAACAGACATTTCTCAAAAGAAAATATAAAAGCAACCAACAAACATAAGAAAAAATGCTCAACATCACTGATTATCAGAGAAGCACATTAAAACCACAATGAGATACCATCTCAAACCAATCAGAATGGCTATTATCAAAAAGTCAAAAATAACAGATACTGGTGAGGATGTGGAGAAAAGGTAACTTACACACCATTTATGGGAATGTATAATACAGTAACTCCTATGGGAAAAAGCATGGAGATTTCTCAAAGAATTAAAAATAAAACTACCATTGAACCCAGCAGTCCTACTACTGGGTATAAACCCAAAGGAAAGCAAATCACTATACAAAAAAAGACACCTGCACTCATATGTTTATCACAACACTATTCACAATAGCAAAGTCTTGGAATAAACCTAAGTGTCTATCAATGGATGATCAGATAAAGAAAATATGGAATATATACACCAAGGAATACTATGCAGCCATAAAAGGGAATACAATCATGTTTCTGCAGCAATATGGATGGAGCTGGATGTCATTATTCTATGAGAAATAACTCAGAAGCTGAAAACCAAATACCATATATTCTCATAAGTGGGAACTAAACAATGGGTACACATGGATATAAAGATTAAAAAAAAGACACTGAGGACTCCAAAAGAGGGGAGGTTGAGAGGAGGGTCAGAGTTAAAAAATGAACTATTGGGTACTGTGTTTACTATTTGGGTGATAGGTTTACTAGAAGCCCAAATATCACCATTGCACAATATATCTATGTAACAAACCTGCACATGTACCTGCATCAAAAATAATCTAAAATAATCTAAAAATAAACATACACACAAAAGAAAATGTAGGTTTGATTTTTTTAAATTAAACTTCTTACTTGAGATAATTGTAGATGTACATAGAGTTGCAAGAAATAATACAAGGAGATACTCTGTACTTTTCACCCAGTTTCCCACAATGGTAACACCTTGTAAAACTATAGTGCAATATCACACTAGGATACAGACATTGATAGAGTCAAGATACAGAACAGATCCATCACAAGTATCTCTCAAATTGCTTGCTTATAGTCACATCTACTCTTTTTCCTTCCCAGTTTCTTCTCTCATCTCTAAATCTTGGCTAGCACTAATCTTTTCCCAATTTCTGTAATTTTGTAACTTGAAGATTGTTATATAAATGAAATCAAATAGTATATGAACTTTTGGGATTGACTTTATTCACTCAGCATAATTCTTTAGAGACTTATCCAAGTCATTTCATATATCTATAATCCATTCCCTTTTTATTGCTGAGTAGTTTTCCATGGCACAGATGCACCATAGTTTGTTTAATCATTTGCCCTTAAGTTTTTATATGTGGCTATCTTTGAAACCCTTTTGTTCAAATTAGTTTTACTATTGACTGTCTAGAGTTTTCCATGGATATATCATATCATCTACAAATACAATTTTAATGCTTTTTTGCAATTATTATGCTTTTAATTGATTCCTATTACGTATTTAGAAAACAATATATGTAACAGATGAAGATGAGGCAATATCAATTATCCAGGAGATTCACACAGAATGGTTTTGAAATCCTGTGGTAAATTCAGTTTGGAATGTTTACTTTAGGCCACTCCTATGGGTCTTTCAAAGCATACTTCACAGCATCAATAAAATCATTCCACACACAAACTGCCTAGCAAGAACACTAACATAAATGCTCTATACTACTTAAATATCAGAATAGGTAGTTCTAACTAAAGTAAACAAAAACTGATCTTGTTTCAGGAAGTTTTATAAGGTTATGACTGGTAGAATTAATCTGAAGATATCAAAATAGTTATGGCAAATGACTAAGAGATTCTTTCTGCAAGAAAAAAAAGTTAACATTTTTTGAGATACCATTGGGTAAAAGTGAAATCAATTTCTTTGCCTCTGTTGTAATAGAACTACAATGAAAGGCTAGAAAAAATTGAATTGTATGTATCTCTAAAATTGCTCCAATATTAAATTATTAGTAGCTAAAATACCAAAAACTATTTATTGTAAAAAGAAGAGTAACAAATGTATCTAAACTGTTCAAGTAAGATATATGTTAGACAAAAAAGAATATTTCCCTTATTTGTAAACTCATTTGAGTTTTAATAGAAGAAAATATATTTTTATTAATTAAAAGTGCAACACATATTAAAACTACTGTAAATATAAAGAAATATAAAGAAAACCCTACAGAAGCACAAGTGTACAGCATTCTATAGAATCACAAATATAATACATAGAATCCTATTTCCAACAGAGAATATTCTTTTGTTTTCAAGTCATTAGATTCCATTTATAATGTTTTACTATGCATTATTACATGACAACAACTCAACACATTCTAAAATACAAGGATAATACACAGGCCACAGTGTTTAAGATAATATAAAAAAGTTTAAACTAATAATTAAATTATAAACATGAAATTCTTTGCCACTAAAAAGCACTATTTTGAAATATTCTTAGGTAAAAATACAAACCAAAATTGCAACTACATGCTGGAAATGTTCCATACCTTGATGTGTATGTTGATTTCATGTATATATGTCTGTGTACATATATTATGTATTGTGTATGCTTATATATATTATATACTATGTATCAAGGCACACCCTACAGATTTGTGTAATGTACTGGATGTATATTAGATTTCAATAAAATAATGTTAAAAACAAATAATCATAGAAAAATTTAAAAATCAGTAATAAAATGTTTAAAGTGTAGGGAAATAAGATATCTCTATCAGAATTCTTCAAGATTCAAATATTCTCTATAACAACTTGCAAATATTTAAAATCAAAATTCCATTTCTGAATATAAAAACACAAAATATCTCATTCATTGTGAAAATGTTTAGATTTCTTGGGAGCCTAGGTGAGAAGATACAGCTAATGCTGCACTTGTACATCAGCTATTTTCCAGAAAGGATCATGTCTCATGCTTTTGTTGTTTAAAAGCATTGTGCATTACTCCCATCATCTTCCCTGTCTTTAGACTGTGGGTTTAGTCCTCCAAGAGGCCCAGTGTTTCTCTCTGCCAAACGCCTGAGAGAACGTGCAACCCTGGCACAATTTAGATAATATATTCAATATGTTTACTACATATTTCATTGTTCATTTACATTTCAGCACTTATTCATTTCCTTAAGAAGGCAAATATAATTTGTGGCCATTATTGTACATTGTTGTTGAATACTGCCAAAAAACATATCCATTAATAAGTTTGTTACTAGATAAACAGGTAGTTACTTTGTCTATTAAATGACTTATGAAGAAATCCTTGGTGGGTTACTATATAGCTATTTAAGGGAATATCTATATATAATATACGTAATATTATATAGCTATTTAAGGGAATATCTATATATAAAATATACATAATATTATATAGATATTTAAGGGATTATCTATATATAATAGATAAATGATAACAGATATTTAGGGAAGCTGGTTGGGGTTTTTGAATGGCTTGGGAGCACACTGATGTTCCTCTCAATTAAATTATCAAATGTCAGTTGCCACTATTTGAAAATTTGCTATTTGAAACATTTTTAGGGATTAGAATCATATAATGAAGAAAGCCTGTGGTGAAAAAAATTATAGTTAAACATCATGAGATATAAATAAAGGTTTACTCAGGGGAAACTCATAGCCTTGATTCTTTTATTACTAAGCAATAAATATGAAAATAATGTACAAAACTTTCAGCTCTGTAAGTTAAAAAAGAACAGCAAACAATCATTTAAAAAGACTGAGAGAAAGTAATGACAATACAAGCAAAATTAATGACAAATATTTTTGTCAAGTAAAAATTGCAAATAAAATAATTGTTTCTTTGGTGGAAAATTAGACAAAATAGTCTAGAGAAAACGGGAATGAAAATTGCTTCAGAATAACGCAAAAAGCATCAAGTATGCCATATCTTCTTAAAAAAGAGCATTTACAGAATTTTTCCAATTATAATCGTAATTAATATTCAACAATATTATTAAAATATTAGAATTCTCAAAAAACCATTTTATTGTTTAATCAGAACAACTTTACAAAGTAAACAGATGAAGAAAATGATGTGATTTTTCTAAGATCATAGAGTCACACAGCTCTAACTACAAAGTTAAATAAGAAGAAAAAACTACTTATGCTCATTCACCAAAATATTTACATTTATCTTTACAAATATTTGTAGGTAGAAACCATACAATCTTTTTCATATTTTAATTGGCTAGCATATGGCCACTTGTAAGTCCTTAAGAAAGGCTCGTGTGACTAAAACTCCCTAAACTTTTTATGTTTAAAACAGTTTGTGGTGCACATTTTTGTGTGTCCCCCCCACACTGCTCCATCAATGGCACATCCTCCAATTGCTTTTGTTGTATCCCATAAGTTTTGATATGTTGCTTCCATTTTCATTTTTTCCTCAAGATATTTTGATTTTCCTTTTGATTTCTTTCTTGACCCAATGGGTGTTCAGTTTCTATATATTTATAAATTTTCCTCTTCCTATTACTGATTTTTAATTTCATGTCATCGTGGTCAGAAGAGATGCTTGATATGATTTTAGCCTTCTTAAAGTGGTTAAGACTTGTTTTGTGGCCCAACATATGATCTATCCTGGAAAATGTTTTGTGTGCATGTGAGAAAAATGTGCATTCTGCTGCTTTGGATGGAATGTTCTGTATATGTCTGTTAGGTCCATTTTGTCTTCAGTGTTGTCAAGTCCTTTGTTTCCCTACTAGTTTTCTCTGTAGAAATCTATCAATTTTTGAAAATAGGGTCTTATAGTCTCCTATTATTATTGCTTTGTAGTCTACTTCTTCCCTCAGTTCTGTTAATATTTGCTTTATATATTTAGGTGCTCCAACATCTAGTGCATATATATTTACTATTGTTATATCCTCTTTATGAATTGACTGCTTTATTATTATATGAATAACCTCTTTGTCTCCTTTTTTAAGTTTTTGTTTTAATGTCCATTTTATCTGATAGAAGTAGAGCTTTTCTCACTCTCTTTTATTATCATTTGCATGGATTATCTGTTTTCCTCTTGTCACTTTCTAAGTGCAACCTCAAAGCTGAAATAAGTCTCTTGTAGGCAGCATATAGTTGGGTGTTGTTTTTTAATCCATTCAGCCCCTCTCTATCTTTTGATTGGAGATTGTAATCCATTTAAATTCAATGTAATTGAAACGTAAGGACTTACTCCTACCATTTTGTTTTTCGTTTTCTGGTTGTTTTGTAGATCCTTTGCTCATTTATTACTTTCTTGCTGTCTTCCTTTGTGATTTTATTATTTTCTCTGGCTGTGTAATTTGCTTCCTTTCTGTCTATCTTTCGTGGGTCTACTGTAGGTTTTTACTTTGTAGTTACCATGTGACTTACATAAATCCTATTATAATTACAACAGTCTATTTTGATAGCATAACACACTCACAGGAAGTAATCATTTCCCATGAGAACCATTTCAGGTACATGAGAGCAAGAACTCACTACCTTAAGATCAAGAGCAGGTCACCTCTGCAGGTAGAGCCCAAATGATTCAGACACCTCCCAATAAACTCTACTTAAAGTTTCACCTCTCAATATTACCATGCTGAGAAATAAGGTTCCACATGAATTTGGCAAGAACACTCATATGATAGCAAAACAAAGTAGACTTTAAGCCAAAAACTGTCACAAGGGACAAATAACATTATTTTTTAATGATAAATGGATCAATTTATCAAGAGGATGTAACAATTAAAAGTATATATGCACCCAACATCAGAGTGCCTAAATAAACCAAAGATTATTTGACATGAGATGAGAAATGGATAGCAATACAATAATAACAAGAGACTTTAACACTCTGCTTTCAACACTGGATAAATTAAGAAGACAAGATTAATAATGAAATTACTGGATTGCACTGTGATAACAGACATATACAGACTATTCCATCCAACAGCAGTAGATCACACATTTCTGTCTTATGCAAATGGGACATTCTCTAGGATAGACCATATGTTAGGCCACAAAAAAAATTTTAACAAATTCAAGAAGTTTGAAATCATATCTAGTATTGCTTTCAACCACAATGGCCAGAAACTACAAGTTAATAATGAGGAATGTGGGAAAATTAAAAAACATCTGGAAATCAATGTAATCCTGGCCAATGGGTCAAAGAAGAAATCAAAAGGGAAGTTAAAGAAAAATCGGAACAAAGGAAAATGGAAACATGACATACTAAAACCTGTGGGATGCAGCAAATGGAGTTCTGAGTTGGAAATGTATAGCAACGAATGCCTATATGAAAAAAAATCCCAAATAAATAACCTAACATTATGCCTTAAGGAACTAGAATAATAAGAGCAAATTAAAATCAAAGTTAGCAGAAGGAAGGAAATAACAAAAAACAGAACAGAAACAAAGCAAATAGAAAATAGAAAAATCATTTAAAAATCAATAAAACTAAGAGTTCATTTTTTGAGGAAATAAAATGGACAAACCTTTAGCTAGACTAAAAAAAGGGAGAATATTCAAATAAATACAATAAAAAGGAAAGTGGAGACGTTACAAGAGATACCTCTGAAATAAAAATAATTATGAGACTATTATGAATAATTATATGCCATCAAATTGAAAAAACCTAAATGGAATGGACAAATACCTAGAAAAATGCAACCTATTAATATTAATCAGGAAGAAATAGGAAGCTGGAACATACCAACAACAAATAAAGACATTGAAAAGGTAATTAAAAACCTCCCAACAATGAAGAGCCCAACACCAGATGGCTTTATGGGTGAATTCCACCAAACATATAAAGAAGAATTAATATCAACACTCTTTAAACTCTAGAAATAAAACTAGAGAGAATACTCCCAAACACACTTAGTGAGATCAGCATCACCTTCGTACTGAAACCAGACAGAGATATTACAAGAAAACTACAGGTCAATTTCTCTGATGAACAATGATGTAAAAATCCTTAATAAGATATTAGCAAACCAAATTTAAAAGCACATGAAAAAGATTATACATCATCACTAAGTAGGCTTTATCCCTAGCATGCAAGGCTGGTTTAATAAATGCAATTCAATCAGTGTGACACATCATACCAACACAATCAGTTATGATAGCCTCATGATCATATTAATTGATGCAAAAAAAGCATTTGATAAAGTTCAACATTCTTTTGATAAAAACTCTCAACAGTTTAGATGTAGAAATAAAGTTCCTAAACATAATGAAGGCCATTTATGCAAAACCCATGGCTAACATTATAATCAATTGGAAAAACCAGAACACTTTTCCACTAAGATCCAGTACAAGACAAGGATACTCTCTCTTTGCATTTCTCTTTAACACAGTGCTGGAAGTACTAGCAAGGGCAATCAGACAAAAAAAAAAAAAAAAAAGAAAAAAGAAAGAAAAAACTTGAAAATGGGAAAGGAAATACATAAAATTATCTGTATTTACAGATGACATAATAGTATCTGTAGAAAATCCTAAAGCATTCACAAAAAAGTTAGAACTGATAAGTGATTTCTGCAAAGTTACAGGATACTAAGTCAATATACAATAACCAATTACATTTCTATATATTAACAACAGACTATCCAAAAAAGATATTTAAAAATTCCATTTAATAAGAGGGTCAAAAATAACTATTTAAGAATAAATTTAACTAAGGAGGTAAAAAGTCTGCAGACTGAACACTGTAAAACACTGAAGAAAGAAATTGAAGAAGACAACAATAAAGATATCCCATGCTATGTATCAGAAGAATCAATATGGTTAATATGTCCATACTACCCAAACCTATATACAATGTCAACACAATCTCTAACAAAATCTTAATGACATTCTTCACAGAAATAGAATAAACAATTCTAAAATTTGTATAGAACCACAAAAGATCCTGAGAGGGCAAAGCAATTATGAGGAAAAAAACGTTGTAGGCATTAAACCTCTTGATTTAAAATTATATTAAAAAGCTATAGAAATAATAATTTTTAAAAACTATGGTATTGGCATGAACACCGACATAAAGATGAGGTATAGAATACAGGGCCCAGAAATAAATGACAAACATATGTGGTGAATTAATTTTTGACAAGGGCACCAAAAGAACACAATGAGGAAAAGATAGTTTTTTCAATAAATGGTGCTGGGAAAACTGAATTTCTGCATGCAAAAGGATGAAATGGACCCTTATTTTATGCCACTCAGAAACTCCACAAAAAAAATGGATAGGCTACCTAAATGTAAGACACAAAGTCATAAAACTTCTAAATGAGAACATAGGGCAATAGCTTCTTGACACTGACATATGTGATGAATATTTGGATATCATACCAATAGCTTGGGCTACAATAGCAAAAATAAGCAAATGGGATGACATCAAACTAAACGTCTTCTGCACGTCAAAGAAAATAATCAACAAAATGAAATGGCAACCTATGAATTAGGAAAATATATTGACAAATAATATTACTACTATCTATTAATTGTAATATCTATAATTTATAAAGAATTCATACAACTCAAAGTAGAAAACAACCCAATTAATAAATAAGCCAATGACTTGAATAGACATTCCTTCAAAGAAGACATACAAATATATGAAAAGACACAGAAGTATATGAAAAGGTGCTCAATATTAATTTTTAGGGAAATGCAAATTAAAACCACTATGAATATCACCTCACATAGAATGGCTATTAAAAAGTCAAGAGATTAAAAAAATTGGTAAGGGTGTGCATAAATGAGAACCCTTGTACACTACTGGTAAGAATGTAGACTGGTGCAGCTATTGAGGAAAACAGTATGAGAGTTCCTAAAGAAATTTAAAATAGAACTACCATGTGACCCAGCAATCTCACTTTTGGGTATATTACCCAAAGGAAATGAAATCACCATATCATAAGGGTATCTGCACTCCCATGTTCATTGCAGCATTCCTCACAATAGCCAAGGTATAGAAACAGCCTAAGTGCTTACTGATTGATGAATGGATAAAAATATTTTGGTGTATGTGTAAAACAGAATATTATTCAGCATTTTAAAAAAGGAGATCCTGCCATTTGCCCCACAATGTAGAACCTGGAAGGAATAATCCAGTGAAATAAGCCAGACACATAAATAAAAATATTTCATGATCTCACTGATATTTGGAAAATAAGAAAAATCAAAGATACAGAAATAAAGAATAAAATATTGGTTACCGGGACCAGGCAAGGTGGGTGGGGTACAGCATGAATGGGATGATAAAGGTTAGAGGCTATGAAGGAGCAGACATGTAGGATGAACTAGTCTAAAGATCTAATGTACAACATTAATGTACTAGTTAATAAAACTGTACTGTTAAAAAAAGAATCACGGACAGAAAATTTTGAAAGCAATAAGGTAAAGAAAATTCCTCACATACAAGGGAGTGTGGTGGCTTTCAGTGGATTTTTCAACAAAAACTTTGCAAGCCAGGAGAGAGTTTGATTATGCGGTTGACACTTGAAGAATATAAATTGAAGTACTTGGGTTCACTTACATATGGATTTTCATCTGCCTCTACCACCGCCAAGACCAATCCCTGTTTTTCCTCCTTTTCCTCAGCCTACTCAACATGAAGATGACAAGGACAGCTCAGCCAAGCTTCTGATTCCCTGGAACCTGGAGCACTTCATCAGTTTGGCCGCAGAAGGCACAACTGCTCTGGGGGACCTAAGCTTAGGGTCCCTGGAAGGTGAAAGCATTGACTCAGCTTTGGCACTGGAGAAGCAGGATGCTCTGGTAGGCTGAGACTTTGGGTCCCCAGGGGGTGAGGTGCTACTTCACTTTGGGTACCAGGGGGTGCAAATGCTCCAGTGGGTCAAGGCTTCAGGTCCTGCCCTTTCTCTCTCTTCATCTGAAAAGGTTGCAATGTAAAATTTAACTCTTTTAATGGTTTCCTATAAACCCTGTAGACTTTCTTCATTCTTTTTTCCTTTTGCTCCTCTGACTGGATACTTTCAATTGACCTGTCTTAGAGTTCACAGATTCTTTCTTCTGCTTGATCAAGTCTGCTGTTGACACTGTCTATTGCATTTTTCATTTCATTCACTGTATTCTTAAACTCCAGAGTTCTGGTTTTTTAAATTCCTATTTCTTCATTGACCTCATTGTTTTCAAGTATCTTTTTCTATTGTTTAGTTGTCTATCTGTGTTCTCTTTTTAGTTAACTTAGTTTCCTTAATTATTTTGAATTCTTTATCAGGAAATTGTTGAGTATCCATTTATTTTGGGTCAGTTACTAGAAAATTATTGCATTCTGTTGGCGGTATCATGTTTGTTTTCCTTGTTTCTTTTTGCCTTGCATTAATGTCTGCACATTTGATGGTGCAGTCACCTCTTCCAGAATTTACATGCTGGTTTTGGTGGGGAAAGAGCTTCAACTATGGGTGGGTGTGAAGGCATTGACTAGGTGAGGTGTAGTGTTTCTGGCTTGGTGAGCATGCAACAGCTTACATTCCCCATGCAGCTCTGTCAGATGAGGTCAGCATCACTGAAAATTGCAGCATCCTCAGTCGCCAAGGCTAGTGGTGTCTGCAATGGCTGTGAGGGTTGTTAGCGTCTTCAGCTACAAAGGCTGCTGGGATCTTACTAATCTCTTTTTCTCCCATAGTGGAATTCATGCCCACAGATATCCCTAAAAATGCCAGGTTCAGTTTGTGGGCATCTTCGTGGTGGTAGTAGTGGTGGCATCAGTGTCTGATGTTCAGTGCCCACAAAATGGCCATGGTGCCAGGATTTGGAGTATGAGTACACATGAAGAGTCAGTGGCTCCAGGGTCTGGGGCAGTAGGGACATTGGTGCCTGTGGTGCAGGTCCCTCTGCAGCAGCATTAATAATGGTTTGTGGGACATGGGAACTTTTGGAGAAACAAGAAAATGAGGTCTGGAGAGTAAATTCAGGCAGAGCTCAGGAATCTGAGGTGGTGTTGCAGTGGGTCCAGTGTCATGGGTGCAGGTGTTGCCCTAGGATCTGGGGTCCAGAGCATGGGCATGTGCAAATTTACTGTTGCTCTAGAGTCCACAATGCAGATGCAGATGCTGCAGCAGTGGCTCTGGTGTCCATAGGAGGTGTTTATGGAGTGGCTGTAGAGCTAGAATTTAAAGTGAAGACATGTGTGGAGTAAAAGTGGCTCCATGGTCCCAGGTGCAGGCTAGCTTGTCGTGAAAATGACTTTGGAATATGAAACATGGACATGCATGCTCCTGCAACAAAGCTGAGGCCTAGAATGTGGGTATGCAAAGAGTGTCTGTGGCTCTGGAGTCTGTGGCATGCATGGTTTTGGATGTGAGTAGGTCCTGGCCCTGGGTAGCACAACAGTGGCTTCTTATTGAGGATGGAGCACAGCAGTCTCTCTCTCTCTCTCCAGGAGGTCAAAACAGCAATGGCTGTTGGTTAACCATCTCAGTGGAAGAGCCAGCAGTGTCCTGTGTCCTGAAGACAGAAAGGATGAACACTAAGGGGACATCTGATGTGAAAGCTGCAGGGAGTGTGTGGCTGCCTCAGGAACTGTTGAAGTCCTTAGTAGAAAAGGTTGCTAGGATCCTTTGCAGAGCAGGCCACTGGAGACCAGAGTGGTACCTGCCTCATGACTGATTCTGATATTCCCCATCTTTCTTTGTTCCTAGCTGTATCCAGATGTCTCACATATGCCAATCTCCCCAGAAATCCTTTCTGTGCAATTATTGGTTTTTGCTGTACTGTTTTGCTGTAGGTTTTAAATTTGACTCTTAACCCCTTCTAGGACTATTTTTGTTCATGGGTAGCTGTCTAATTATTTTGTGTGTGTGTGAGAGAGATAAAAGCTGGTATAACCTAATCCACCGTGTTGCTCATATCATTTATCTCTCCCACTTCTTATAAGGACACCAATCATATTGGATTAGAGCCCACCCATGTAATGCCATTTAACCTTAATTACTTATTTAAAGATCACACCTCCAAATACAGTCACATTGTGAGGTGTAGTAGAGATGAATTTACTTCAGCATATGAATTTTGGGGAAGATACAATTCAGTTCATAACATGTCTGTAGAAAATTCTTCTGCCCTTCATCATGTCCTTTTCTTGTAGTATCTTTGTTTGAATGCAGTGGTCATTTCGTTTTTGTTTCTTATGTTTGAATTAATTTGATTTTTTATATAACTGGCAGGAGATTCTTACCCGTGTGTATTCATAGGTGGTTTCTCAGGGTTGTTTTCAAGTCTTTACCTCTCAAAGGCTCCCTCCATAAAGTATAAAACATTTTCTTATAAAAGTGATTTGGTTAGTAAAAACTGACATTAAGCAGTTTTAAAAATCAAATAACATTTAGATTGAAATATTTACAAGAACTATGTGAAAACAGTTAATAGCTTCTGGTGGTTAATAATAATAATCTTATAAAAAATGCTGGGAGGTCATTCTAGGAACATGAAACTATATTTCTATACCTTAGTTTTAAACTCTAGTACTTAAATTTCTTGATAAATGTTCTAGGATAGAGTTTTGCTTTCCTTTAGCTTTTCAATCCTACCATTTTCACCTACACACACACAGTGATTCACAAACAGGTTTTCCTTGATTAATGTTCTCTGAGAAATTAAATTATTTCTAGATTTTATCCTAAATAATATTATTCGCTAATTAAATATAAGTAGTATTCTAAAAGCAGTTTAAAACATGTATGGTCCAAATATAGTACATACATGGTATGACTATTTCTGTGACATTTCAGTTTTCCATAATAATTCCATTGATTATAAGATATTTGGCTCTAAATTTAATAAGTAATTAATTATGGTATAATGAAATGTTCAGAAGAAAATAAATAACATTTATTTTAACACATGGGTACTGCTATGGCATGCTTTGTAAGAAAAAGAACTACCAATATTTTTGGATGGAATAAATAAAATACTGCAACCCCAAAATTTTAGAAACCAAAACAATGATTAATATTTAAATGATATATTCATACCTGAACACCAAAGAAAAATGTTATTCCCTAGATCTTCTTTAAATTCATCATTAAAGAGGTAACTCGATTCTGGAAATGCTTCATGGAACGTTGCATATATGGCTTGTGCCAAACAATCAGGATATATCTACCAAAATAAAATCAAATTAGATTAATTTTATATTTTTAAATTTTAATATATGTCAGCTGCCAAAGAAATTATTATTTTTTAAATTTGCCTTGCAATTTATTAACCGAATAAAAATTCGCCATTTTTTAAATTCTAAAATCACATTTATATAAATTAATGTACGTCACTATGCCTGAAAGCTAAATTTGAACTGGAATATGTTTCAGTAAGGAGCAATGCCACCCTCTCCACTCCCTCCAACCACCTGGAAATTAAATTTCTTTGGTTTCCTTATGATTTTAAATTTTAGTTTTTAAAACTAGTTTTACATTTATTTAATATTTTTAACTTTTATTTTATATTCAAGGGTACATGTGCAGGTTTCTTATATAGGTAAATTGCATGTTAAGAAGGTTTTGTGAACAGATTATTTCTTTTTATAAACATTAGTACAATTTATTGAGAAAGTAAGTCTGAGTCACAGCCAGTGGAGGGAGATGATGAAATTATTTGGGTTGGATTGTTGTTGTTGTTTTAAAAATTTATTTTGATTTCAATAGTTTTGGGGGAACAAGTGGTATCTAATTGCATGGAAAAGTTCTTCAGTGGTGATTTCTGAGATTTTGGTGCACTCGCCACCTGAGCAATGTGCACAGTACCCAATTTGTAGGCTTTTATCCCTCATCTCCCTCCCATTCCCATCCCCCTCCCATCCTTCCCCCTGAGTCCCTAAAGTCCACTATATGTATGCCTCTGCATCCTCATAGCTTAGCTCCCATGTATAAGTGAGACCATATGATGTTTGGTTTTCCATTCTTGAGTTACTCCACTTAGAATAATTGTCTGCAGCTCCATCCAGGTTGCTGTGAATGCCATTATTTCATTCCTTCTAATGGCTGAGTAGTATTCCATTTTATATATAAATATATATATATATAATTAAAACTAGTTATACATTTATTTAATATTTTTAACTTTTATTTTATATTCAAGGGGACATGTGCTGGTTTCTTATATAGGTAAATTACATGTGAAGGAGGTTTGTGAACAGATTATTTCTTTTTATAAACATTTCTTTTTGTATATATATATACCACATTTTCTTTATCCACTTGTTGGTTGATAGGCATTTAGGCTGGTTTCATATTTTTGCAATTGCAAATTGTGCTGCTATAAACATGCGTGTGCAAGTGACTTTTTCATATAATGTCTTCTTTTCCTCTGGGTAGATACCCAGTAGTGGGATTGCTGGATCAAACGGTAGTTCTACTTTTAGTTCTTTGAGTAATCCTCATACTGTTTTCCATAGTTGTTTTATTTGTTTACATTACCACCAGCAGTGTAAAAGTGTTCCCTTTTCACCACACCCATGCCAACATATATTATTTTTGGATTTTTTACTTATGGTAATTCTTGCAGGAGTAAAATGGTATCATATTGTGGTTTTGATTTGTATTTCCCTAATAATCAGCGATGTAGTGCATTTTTTCATATGTTTGTTGGCCATTTGTATATCTTCTTTTGAGAACTGTCTATTCATGTCCTTTGCCCACTTTTTAATGGAATTATTTGTTTTTTCTTGCTGATTCGTTTGAGTTTCTTGTAGATTCTGGATATTAGTCCTTTGTCGGATGCATAGCTTGCAAATGTTTGCACCGACTCAGGAGGCTGTTTACTGTGACGATTATTTCTTTTGTTGTGCAGAAGCTTTTTAGTTTAATTAAGTCCCATCTGTTTGTTTTTGTTTTTGTTGAATTTGCTTTTGGTTTTTTGGTCATGAACTCTTTGCCTAAAGCAATGTCTAGAAGAGTTTTTTCAATGTTATCTTCTAGAATTTTTATGGTTTCAGGTCTTAGTTTAAGTCTTTGAGCCATCTTCAGTTGACTTTTGTATAAGAGACAAGTATCCAGCTTTATTCTTCTACATGTGGTTTGCCAATTATCCCAGAACCATTTGTTAAATAGGGTCTCCTTTTCCCACTTTATGTTTTTGTTTGCTTTGTCAAAGATCAGTTGGCTGTAAGTATTTGGCTTTATTTCAGTGTTTTCTATGCTCTTCGATTTGTCTACTTGCCTATTTTTATACTAGTACCATGGTGTTTTGGTAACATAGCCTTGTAGTATAGTTTGAAGTCGGGTAATGTGATGCCTCTAAATTTGTTCTTTTTGTTTAGTCTTACTTTGGCTTTGTGGGATTTTTGGTTCCATATGAATTTTAGAATTTTTTCTAGTTCTGTGCAGAAAGATGATGTTACTTTTATGGGAATTGCACTGAATTTGTAGGTTGCTTTTGGCAGTATGATCATTTTCACAATATTGATTCTACCTATCTGTGAGCATGGGATGTGTTTTTATTTGTTTGTCTCATCTGTGATTTGTTTCAGCAGTGTTTTATAGTTTTCCTTGTAGAGGTCTTTCACCTCCTTGGTTAGGTATATTCCCAAGTTATTTATTTATTTAATTTATTTATATTTGCAGCTGTTGTAAAACGGACTGAGTTCTTCATTTGATTCTCAGCTTGGTTGTTGTTGGTGTATAGCAGTGCTACTTATTTGTGTACACTGATTTCATATCCTGAAACTTTAGTGAATGAATTTGTCAGATATAGGAGCTTTTTGGATGAAGACTTTAGGGTTTTCTAGGTATACAATCATATCATCAGAAAACAGTGACAGTATGACTTCCTTTTTACTCATCTGGATGCTCTTTATTTCATTCTCTTCTTTGATTGCTCTGGCTAGGACTGCCAGTATGTTAAATAGAAGTGGTGAAAGTGGGCATCCTTGTCTTGTTCCAGTTCTCAGGGGGCAATGCTTTCAACTTCTCCCCATTCAGTATAATGTTGGCTGTGTATTTGTCATAGATGGCTTTATTACCCTGAGGTATGTCTCCTCTTTGCCAATTTTGCTGAGGGTTTTAATCATAAAGTGATGCTGGATTTTGTCAAATAATTTTTCTGCATCTATTGAGATAAACATATGCTTTTTAATTTTGTTTTTGTGATGTATCACATTTATTGACATATTGATGGTATGTTAAACCATCCCTGCATCCCTGTTATGAAACATACTTGATCGTGGTGTATGATATTTTTGATATGCTGTTGGAATTGGTTAGCTAGTATTTCGTTGAGGATTTTTGCATCTATGTTCATCAAGAATATTGGTCTGTAGTTTTCTTTTTTTGTTATGTTCTTTCCTGGTTTTGGTATTAGGGTGATCCTGGCTTCATAGAATTAGGGAAGAGTCCCTCTTTCACCATCTTGTGGAATAGTTTCAGTAAAATTGGTACCAATTCTTCTTTAAATGTCTGATAGAATTCAGCTGTGAATTCATCTGATCCTCAAACTTTTTTTTGGCAATTTTTTTATTACTGTTTCAATCTCACTACTTGTTATTGCTCCATTCAGAGTTTCTATTTCTTCCTGATATAACCTAGGACAGTTGTATATTTCCTGGAATTTATCCATCTCCTGTAGATTTTGTAATTTGTGTGCATAAAGGTGTTCATAGTAGCCCTAAATGATCTTTTGTATTTCTGTGGTATCGGTTGTAATGTTTCCCATTTTGTTTCTAATTGAGCTTACTTGGATCTTCTATTTTCTTGCTTAATCTTGCTAATGGTGTGTCAAATTTGTTAATCTTTTCAAAGAATCAACTTTTTGTTTTGTTTGTCTTTTATAGTTTTTTGTTTCAATTTCATTTAGTTCTGCTCTGATCTTTGTTGTTGATTTTCTTCAGCTGGGTTTGGGATTGGTTTGTTCTTGTTTCTCTAGTTCCTTGAGATGTGACCTTAGATTGTCTATTTGTGCTTTTTTAGGCTTTTTGATATAGACATTTAATGCTATGAACTTTCCTCTTAGCATGGCTTTTGCTGTGTCCCAGAGGTTTAGATAGGTCATGTCAGTATTACTGTTCAGTTCAAAGAATTTTAAAATTTTCGTCTTAATTTCATTGTTCACCCAAAGATCATTCAGGAGCAGATTATTTAACTTCCATGTATTGGTATCATTTTGAGGGTTCCTTTTGGAGTAATTTCTAATTTTATTCTACTGTGGTCTGAAAGAGTACTTCATATAATTTTGATTTTCTTAAATTTATTGAGACTTGTTTTGTGGCCTATCATATGATCTCACCAGAAGGGAGCAGGAGTAGCTATTTTTTTTTTTTTTAATTTTATTATTATTATACTTTAAGTTTTAGGGTACATGTGCACAACGTGCAGGTTTGTTACATATGTATACATGTGCCATGTTGGTGTGCTGCACCCATTAACTCGTCATTTAGCATTAGGTATATCTCCCAATGCTATCCGTCCCCCCTCCCCTCACCCCACAACAGGCCCCGGTGTGTGATGGTCCCCTTCCTGTGTCCATGTGTTCTCATTGTTCAATTCCCACCTATGAGTGAGAACATGCAGTGTTTGGTTTTTTGTCCTTGCAACAGTTTGCTGAGAATGATGGTTTCCATTTTCATCCATGTCCCTACAAAGGACATGAACTCATCATTTTTTATGGCTCCATAGTATTCCATGGTGTATATGTGCCACATTTTCTTAATCCAGTCTATCGTTGTTGGACATTTACGTTGGTTCCAAGTCTTTGCTATTGTGAATAGTGCCGCAATAAACATACGTGTGCATGTGTCTTTATAGCAGCGTGATTTATAATCCTTTGGGTATATACCCAGTAACGGGATGGCTGGGTCAAATGGTATTTCTAGTTCTAGATCCCTGAGGAATCACCACACTGACTTCCACAATGGTTGAACTAGTTTACAGTCCCACCAACAGTGTAAAAGTGTTCCTATTTCTCCACATCTTCTCCAGCACCTGTTGTTTCCTAACTTTTTAATGATCGCCATTCTAACTGGTGTGAGATGGTATCTCATTGTGGTTTTGATTTGCATTTCTCTGATGGCCAGTGATGATGAGCAGAGAAGTTTAGAGGAAAAAGAATAAAAAGAAATAAAGCCTCCAAGAAATATGGGACTATGTGAAAAGACCAAATCTACGTCTGATTGGTGTACCTGAAAGTGATGGGGAGAATAGAACCAAGTTAGAAAACACTCTGCAGGATATTATCCAGGAGAACTCCCCCATCTAGCAAGGCAGGCCAACATTCAAATTCAGGAAATACAGAGAATGCCACAACGATACTCCTTGAGAAGAGCAAGTCCAAGACACATAATTGTCAGATTCACCAAAGTTGAAATGAAGGAAAAAATGTTAAGGGCAGCCAGAGAGAAAGGTCGGGTTACCCACAAAGGGAAGCCCATCAGACTAACAGCGGATCTCTTGGCAGAAACTACAAGCCAGAAGAGAGTGGGGACCAATATTCAACATTCTTAAAGAAAAGAATTTTCAGCCCAGAATCTCATATCCAGCCAAATTAAGCCTCATAAGTGAAGGAGAAATAAAATACTTTACAGACAAGCAAATGCTGAGAGATTTTGTCACCACCAGGCCTGCCCTAGAAGAGCTCCTGAAGGAAGCACTAAACATGGAAAGGAACAACCAGTACCAGCCACTGCAAAAACATGCCAAATTGTAAAGACCATCAAGGCTAGGAAGAAACTGCATCAACTAACAAGCAAAATAACCAGCTAACATCAAAATGACAGGATCAAATTCAGATATAACAATATTAACTTTAAATGTAAATGGGCTAAATGCTCCAATTAAAAAACACAGACTGGCAAATTGGATAAAGAGTCAAGACCCATCAGTGTGCTGTATTCAGGAAACCCATCTCAAGTGCAGAGACACACATAGGCTCAAAATAAAGGGATGGAGGAAGATCTACCAAGCAAATGGAAAACAAAAAAAGGCAGGGGTTGCAATCCTAGTCTCTGATAAAACAGACTTTAAACCAACAAGGAGTAGCTATTCTTGTATCAGACAAAATAGACTTTAAAGCAACAGCAGTTAAAAAAGACAAAGAGACATTTATATAATGATAAAGCAATCAGTCCAACAGGAAAATGTCACAATCCTAAACTTATATGCATCTAACATAGGAACTCACAGATTTGTAAAACAATTATTACTAGGCACAAGAAATTAGATATACAGCAACACAGTAATAGTAGAGGACTTCAATACTCCACTGACGACACCAAACAGGTCATCAAGATGGAAAGTCAACAAAGAAATAATGGACATAAATTATGCCCTAGAACAAATGGACTTAACAGATATTTACAGAATAGTCTACCAACAACTTCAGAATATACATTCTCTTCATCAGCAGATGGAATTCCAGTACTATGTTGAACAACTGGTGACAGTGTGTATCCTTGTCATGTTCCAGATCTTAGAGGAAAAACTTTCAGTTTTTCCCCATTCAGCATGATACTAGCTCTGAGTCTGTTATACATGGTTTTTACTATGCTGAGGTATATTCCTTATATCACCAATTTTTTGATAATTTTTATTATGAAGGGATATGGAATTTTATCAAATGCTTTTTTTCAGCATCAGTTGAAATGATCATATGGGTTTTATCCTTCATTCTGTTAATACAATGTATTACATTGATTGATTTGCATATGTTGAACCATCCTTCCACTTCAGGAATAAATGCCACTTGGTATTGATGAATGATCTTTCTCACGTATTGTTGAATTTGGTTTGTAGTATCTTGTTGAGGATTTTTGCATCAATATCCATCAGTGATACTGGTCTGTAGTTTTCTTTTCTTTTCTTGATGTGCCTTTGTCTAGTTTTGGTATCCAAATAATACTGCCTTGTAGAATGAGTTTGGGAGTATTCCCTCCTCCTCTCTTTTTTGGAAATAGTTTGAGTAGAATTGGTATTAGTTCTTCTTTGAATGTTTGGTAGAATTCAGCAGTGAAGCCAGCAAGTCCTGGGCTTTTCCTTACTGGGGTACTTTTTATTATGGCTTTGATCTCATTACTTGGTTTGTTCAGGATTTGAATTTGTTCCTGGTTCAATCTTGGGAGGTGGTAATATTTAGAAATCTGTCAATTTCCTCTAGATTTTCTAATTTATTGGCATACAGTTGCTCATGGTAGCAACTAATAATCCTTTGACTTTCTGCAGTATCAGTTGCAATGTCTCCTTTTTCATTTCTGATTTGTATCTTGTCTTTTTTACTTAGTCTGGCTAACGATTTGTCAATTTTTTCTAACTTTTCAAAAAACAAACTTGTTTTATTAATCTTTCTTATCATTTGTTTTCATTTCAATTTCATTTACTTCTGCTCTGATCTTTATTATTTATTTTCTTCTCCTAATTTTGGGTTTGGTTTGCTCTTGCTTTTCTAATTCTTTAAGACACATTGTTAGAGACTGTTTCTTTGAAGTTGTTCTTTATTGATGTAGGCACTTACAGCTATAAATATGCCTCTTAGTACTGCTTTCACCCTATTCCATGGATTTTGGCATGTTGTGTTTCCATAGTCGTTTGTTTAAAGAGATTTTTCAAATTCTTTCTTAATTTCTTCATGAGGAGCATATTGTTTAATTTCCACGTTTACTTTCAAATTTTCTTCTCTTATTGATTTGCATATGTATTTTATTTATTTATTTATTTTTATTGATTATTCTTGGGTGTTTCTCGCAGAGGGGGATTTGGCAGGGTCATAGGACAACAGTGGAGGGAAGGTCAGCAGATAAACAAGTGAACAAAGGTCTCTGGTTTTCCTAGGCAGAGGACCCTGTGGCCTGGCCTTCCACAGTGTTTGTGTCCCTGGGTACTTGAGATAAGGGAGTGGTGATGACTCTTAACGAGCATGCTGCCCTCAAGCATCTGTTTAACAAAGCACATCTTGCACCGCCCTTAATCCATTTAACCCTGAGTGGACACAGCACATGATTCCGAGAGCACAGGGTTGGGGGTAAGGTCACAGATCAACAGGATAAGAATTTTTCTTAGTACAGAACAAAATGAAAAGTCTCCCATGTCTACCTCTTTCTACACAGACACAGCAACCATCCGATTTCTCAATCTTTTCCCCACCTTTCCCCACTTTCTATTCCACAAAACCGCCATTGTCATCATGGCCCGCTCTCAATGAGCTGTTGGGTACACCTCCCAGACGGGGTGGTGGCCGGGCAGAGGGGCTCCTCACTTCCCAGACGGGGTGGTTGGCCGGGCGGGGGGCTGACCCCCCCCACCTCCCTCCCGGATGGGGCGGCTGGCCGGGCGGGGGGCTGACCCCCCCACCTCCCTCCCAGACGGGGCGGCTGGCCGGGCAGGGGGCTGACCCCCCCACCTCCCTCCCGGACGGGGCGGCTGGCCGGGCTGGGGGCTGATCCCCCCACCTCCCTCCTGGACGGGGGCGGCTGGCCGGGCAGGGGGCTGACCCCCCCACCTCCCTCCCGGACGGGGCGGCTGGCCGGGCAGGGGGCTGATCCCCCCACCTCCCTCCTGGACGGGGTGGCTGGCCGGGCGGGGGGCTGACCCCCCCACCTCCCTCCCTGACGGGGCGGCTGGCCGGGCAGAGGGGCTCCTCACTTCCCAGTAGGGGCGGCCGGGCAGAGGCGCCCCTCACCTCCCGGACGGGGCGGCTGGCCGGGCGGCGGGCTGACCCCCCCACCTCCCTCCCGGACGGGGCGGCTGGCCTGGCGGGGGCTGACCCCCACCTCCCTCCCGGACGGGGTGGCTGCTGGGCGGAGACGCTCCTCACTTCCCAGACGGGGTGACTGCCAGGCGGAGGGGCTCCTCACTTCTCAGACGGGGCAGCTGCCAGGCGGAGGGGCTCCTCACTTCTCAGATGGGCGGCTGCCAGGCGGAGGGTCTCCTCACTTCTCAGACGGGGCGGCTGGGCAGAGACGCTCCTCACCTCCCAGACGGGGTCACGGCCGGGTAGAGGCGCTCCTCACATCCCAGGTGGGGCGGCGGGGCAGAGGCTCTCCCCACATCTCAGACGATGGGCGGCCGGGCAGAGACGCTCCTCACTTCCTAGATGGGATGGCGACCGGGAAGAGGCGCTCGTCACTTCCTAGATGGGATGGCGGCCGGGCAGAGACACTCCTCACTTTCCAGACTGAGCAGCCAGGCAGAGGGGCTCCTCACGTCCCAGACGATGGGCGGCCAGGCAGAGACGCTCCTCACTTCCCAGACGGGGTGGCGGCCGGGCAGAGGCTGCAATCTCGGCACTTTGGGAGGCCAAGGCAGGCGGCTGGGAGGTGGAGGTTGTAGCGAGCCGAGATCACACCACTGCACTCCAGCCTGGGCACCATTGAGCACTGAGTGAACCAGACTCCGTCTGCAATCCCGGCACCCCGGGAGGCCGAGGCTGGCGGATCACTCGCCGCTAGGAGCTGGAGACCAGCCCAGCCAACACAGCGAAACCCCGTCTCCACCAAAAAAATACGAAAACCAGTCAGGCGTGGCGTCACGCGCCTGCAATTGCAGGCACTCGGCAGGCTGAGGCAGGAGAATCAGGCAGGGAGGTTGCAGTGGGCCGAGATGGCAGCAGTACAGTCCAGCTTTGGCTCAGCATGAGGGAGAGGGAGAGGGAGAGGGAGAGGGAGAGGACGCATATGTATTTTTAAATTGTTATATCCTCTTGCTGAATTGACCCCTTTATTATTATGTAATAACCTTCTTTGTTTCTTCTTATAGTTTCTGTATTTAAGTCTATTTTGTCTGATACAAGTATAGCAATTCCTTTTTTTGGTTTCCATTGGCATAGAATACTTTTCTTCATATCTTTATTTTCAGTCTATGTGTATCTTTATAGGTGAAGTGTGTTTTTTGTCGGCAACAGAACAATGAGTCTTGTTTTTTCATCCATTCAGCCAGTCTTTTAATTAGAGTTTAGTCCACTTACACTCAATATTATTATTGGTAAGTAAGGGTTTACTTCTGTGATTTTGTTATTTGCTTTCTTGTTCTGTGTTCTTCTCTTCCTTCTTTCTTTGCTCCTGTCTTACTGTAGTGAATGTGATTTTTCTCTGGTGACATGCTTTAGTTTCTTGCTTTGTATTTTTTGTGTATCTACTGTATGTTTTTTGGTTTGAGGTTACCATGAGGCTTGCAAACACTATTTTAAAACCCATATTTTAACCTGGTAACAACATAATACTATTTCCATAAACAAACTAATAAAAACTCAATGGTTTAAATTTGTCCCCCCACTTTTTAACTCTTTGTTGTTTCTATTTATATCTTACTGTATTATGTCTTAAAAAGTTGTTGAAATTATAATTTTTGAGTGGTTCCTCCTTTATTTAGTCTTTCTACTTAGGATAAGAGTAGTTTACACACAACAGTTGCAGTGTTTTAATATTCTGTGTTTTTTCTGTGTACTTACTATTACCAGTGAGTTTTGTAAATGTAAGTGATTACTTATTGCTCATTAATGTTTTTTCTTTCTAATTGAAGTCCTCCCTTTAGCATTTCTTGTAGGATAGGTCCGGTATTGCTGAAATCCCTCAGCTTTTGTGTGGGAATATCTTTATCTTTCCTTCATGTTTGAAGGATATTTTTGCCAGATATACTACTTTGGGTAAATGTTTTTGTTCCTTCAGCACTTTAAATATATCATTCCATTCTCTTCTGGCCTATAAGGTTTCCACTGAAAAGACTGCTGCCAGATGTACTGGAGCATTATTGTATGTTGTTTCTTTCTTTTATCTTGCTGCTCTCAGGTCCTTTCTTTATCCTTGACCTTTGGGAGTCTGATTATTAAACATCTTAAGTAATCTTTGGGTTAAACCTGCTTAGTGTTCTATAACCTTCTTGTACTTGGATATTGGTATTTTTCCTTTAGGTTTAAGGAAATTGCCTATTATCCCTTTCAATAACCTATCTACCCCATCTCTTTTTCTACCTCCTTTTTAAGGCCAACAACTCAGATTTGCCCTTTTGAGGCTATTTTCTAGATCCTGTAGGCATGTTTCATTGTTTTTTGTTTTTTTCTTTTGATTTCCTTGTGTTTTCAAATAGCCTATCTTCAAGCTCACTAATTCTTTCTTCTGCTTGATCCATTCTGCTATTTAAGGACTCTGATGCATTCTGCAGTGTGCCAATTGCATTTTCAGCTCCAGAATTTCTGCTTCTTTTTATTTCTATCTCTTTGTTAAGTTTATCTGATATAATTCAGATTCCTTCTCTGGGTTATCCTGAATTTATTTGAGTTTCCTCAACACAGCTATTTTTAAGTTTTGTTTCAAAGGTCACATATCTCTGTTTCTCCAAGACTGGTCCCTGGTGCCTTATTTAGTTAATTGCTGAAGTCTTTTCCTGGATGTGTTGATGCCAGTTGATGTTCTTTGGTGTCTGGGCATTAAAGAGTTAGGTATTTATTGTAATATTCACTGTCTGCGCTTATTTATAGCTGTTCTACTTGGGAAGGTTTTCCAGATACTTGAAAGAGCTTGGGTGTTGTGATATAAGCTGTATCTACTTTAAGGGACACCCCAAGCCCAGTAACACTGTGGTTCTTGCAGACTTGTGGAGGTAATTCTCTGAATTACCAGGCAGAGACTTTTTTTCTCCTCCCTTACTTTATCCCAAACATACAGAATCTCTCTTTCTGTTCTGACACCTAAAAATGTAGGTGGAGTGACACAAGCACTCCTGTGGCTATCACCATTATGACTGCTTTGGGTAAGACGTGAAGCCAGAACAATGCTGGGTCTCACTGAAGGCCTGCAGCAATCACTCCCTAACTACTGTATATGTTTGCTCAAGGCCCTGGGGCTCTACAATCAGCAAGTGGCAAAGCCAGCCAGGCCTGTGTCCTTCCCTTCAGGGTGGCGAGGTTCCCCAGGCCCCTGGTAGGTCCAGGTGTGCTGCCTGGGAGCCAGAGACTAAAGAAAAAAAACCTTAGAGCTGGCACTCAAATCACAAGATGCAGTCCTTCCTACTCTTCCCTCCCCTTTCCAAAGGCAGAGTCATCTCACCCTGTAGCCACTGTCACACCATGCCATGAGGAATATTGCCACACTATCAGCCAATGTTCCCTTAAGGGCCACAGGCTCTTAAATCAGCTCTTGTTGAATGCTGCCTGGCCTGGGACACAACCTTCAGGGAAGTGGGCTCCTCTCTGGCCCAGGGCAGGTCCAGAAATGCTGCCCAAGAGTCAAGTCCTGGAATTGGGGACCCCAAGAGCACAGCTGATGCTCTCCCCACCTGTGGCCATGCTGGTACCTGAAGCCAGCAAGTCTCAGAGTATCACCCAGGGCCCTCAATGTAGTACTTGGGTATTGCTGCTAGTTATTCAGGGCTCAAGGGCTCTTCAGTTAGCAGGTGATAATGTTGCCAGGATTGGGCCCTTTCCTTCAAGGCAGTGTGTTCCATTTTTGCCCAGTTTGTGTCTAGAAATGTCATCTGGAAACTAGGGCCTGGAATAAGGGCCTCCCATCTCTGTCTGATGCCCTATCCTGCTGGGGTTGAGCTGGTATCCAAGATGCAAGTCAAAGTCCTCCCCACTCTTCCCTCTCCTTTCCTCTAGCAGAAGGAAGGGGTCTCTTTCAGAGCTGTGAGCTGTGCAGCCTGGGGTTATGAGAGAGGTGATGCCGGTACTCCCTTGGCTGCCCCTACTGATGTGTCACTATGTTGCGTGCACACTCCAGTCCATTGTCTCTGGACCTCGTTCAGTAATAGGTCTTGCTTAAGAGTCGCAGTCCTTATGGCCTAGACTCTCAGATTTACTTGGAGACACAGAATGTGTAGCCCTCTGTGGCAAGGTTTGCAGGTTCTCAAGTTCTGACCGCTGGGATCCACAATTCCCCTCTGTCTAGGGCTGGTTTAAATGCTCCCTCTGTGGGCCGGTATCAGCTGAGTTTGGTTCGGTTTTCTTTCTGCTCTAACAGGACAGCACTGAGTTAACTATCTCACAATGTTGTGTTCTTTCCCCAGCACCCAGAAATGCTCTCTGCACTACACTGCCACTGCTGGGGGTTGGGGAGGGGTGGTGTTGGTGATTCCAGACTGCTTTTCCTATCTCTTCAGTGCCTCTTTCAGTGATATGAAGCTAAAACTAGGCACTATAAGTACTTGGCCTGATTTTTGTTTTTTTATGAAGGTGTTTTTTTCTGTGTAGATAGTTGTTAACTTGGTGTTCTTGTGGGGGGACAATCAGTGAGGTTTCTATTCTGCCATTGTGCTCTGCCTCTGCCTGTTTTATCTTAAACTAGAATAGCAACTTCTGCTTCTTTTCTGTTTGCTAGGTGGATTTTTCTCCATCCCTTTACTTTGAGCCTGGGGGTATCACTGTATGTGAGATTGGTCTCTTGAAGACAGCATACAGTTGGGTCTTCTTTATTCAACTTGTCACTCTGTCCCTTTTAATTGAGGCATTTAGCCCATTTACATTCAAGGTTATTATCGATATATGCAGATTTAATGCAGTCATTGTGTTTTTAGCTGGTTATTATGCAGACTTCTTTATGTGATTGCTTTATAATGTTGTTGGTTTAGTGGCCAGTAAAAATCTTTCCTTTCCATATTTAGCACTCTCTTCGGGACCTCTTATAAAGCAGATTTGTTGGTAGTGAATTCCCTTAACATTTGCTTATCTGAAAAGGAGCTTATTTCTCTTTCACTTATGAAGTTTAGTTTGGCTGGATATTAATTCTTGTTTGGAAATTCCTTTAAGAATGCTGAATATAGGCTGCCAGTCTCTTCTGGGTTGTAGGGCTTTTGCTGGAAGGTCTGCTGGTAAATTGGTGAGGTTTCCTTTGTAGGTGACTGCCTCTTCTCTCTAGCTGCCATTAATGTTTTTCTTTCATGTCAACCTTGGAGAATCTGATGACTATGTGACTTGGATATGGTCTTCTTGTATAGTATTTTGCAGTTCTTCACAGTTCCTGAATTTGAATGTTGGCCTCTCTAGTGAGGGTGGGTAATTTTTCACAAACAATATTCTGAAATGTTTTCCATGCTGCTTGCTTTCTCTCCCTCTTTCAAGGATGTCAATGAGTCATAGATTTGGTCTCTTTACATAATCCCATATCTCTAGAAGGTTTTGTTCATTCTTGTTCATTGTTTTTTCTTTGTATTTGTCTGATTGGTTGATTTTGGAGAATCAGTCTTTGAGCCATGAAGAGTCTTTCCTCAGCTTGGTCTATTCTGCATTAATACTTGCAACTGTATTCTGAAATTCTTGAAGTGCGTTTTTCAGCTGTATCAGTGCTTCTTCTTTTTAAAAATGGCCATTTTGTCTTCTACCACCTGTATCATTTTATTGTATTCCTTAGAATCCTTGGATTGAATTTCAATGAATTCTTTTTAATCTGTATTCTAAATTCTGTATCTAGAATTAGGTTATTATCGATGCATATTTGACCTGCTCATCGAGTCTGACAAGTGACCCGGGAACCATTTCATCCTGATTAAGAACCATTATTGGGGAACTAGTACAGTTATTTGGAGGTAAGCAGTCTATCTTTTTGAGTTCCCAGAGTTCTTGCACTTGTTCCTTCTCATCTTCATGAGCTGATGTTTCTTCAATCTTTAAAGTTGCTTTCTTTGGATTTTTTTTTCTTTTATCTTATTTGATTTTGTCAGGGGTTTAATTGTTGTATAAGGTGGCTTCAGTTTACTGACTTTGTTTCTGAAAGAAATTAGAAGGCTATACAGCTCAGCTCAGCACTCCTGGGCAGGGTGCTCTAACTCTGGAGAGCTGGTATCCTGCCCCAGCTTTGTTCCCTGGCCCCTTGAGGTTAGAAATCTGCTGTGCTGGTGGGCTAAAGTGTTCTTGGGCCACAGGCCACAACATTCTGATGTGTGGTGCCAGCAAAAGCACTTCATCAGACAGGGGCCATTCTGTTGGAACTCTTGATGGCCAGGCACTGTTTGCCACTGCAAGAGCTTTAATGTAGGCCCCCGGGAGGCAGCCCATTTGGGCATCCATTGCCATACTGCAAGCAACCATGGAAAGGCTGGACCCAAGGAGAGGCTGACAGACAGGGGGCACTCAGGTCAGACTGGCCCATCTCCGAGGCAAGGATACCCTGCTCTGTTCAGGTCTGACAGTTCCCCTAAAATGAAAGTCTCCTAGGGTAGCATGGCAAGCCTTCAGGTATGGGTATTTCTGGTTGTGCTCCATCACAGACATTCCCGCACTAATCCCTCTGGCCTCTGCACAGGCTACAGTCCTGCTCCAACATATCTCCAACCAGCTCTCCCTGCTAGCTCAAGCGTCCATAGGGGTCATGGGTCCTTTGATGCCAGGATTCCAGAGGTCCCTGGTGAGAGTGGGTTGCCCCTTGCCTGCTCATCTCACCTCTTCCCCAGGAGTCACTGGGGCCAGGAAGAAGTCCTTGTGCATGGTAGCCCCATGCAGAGTTCCCATATTCCTCCCCCTCCATCCCAGTATGTGTGTTCTCCCTCCATCCACTCTCAGTGCCTTCCCTCTGATGATATGCTCAGAGTGCACAAGTCTTCCCAGTGTCCCAGTCCCTTGGTAGCAGATATTCCTTCTGGCTGCATCTAGTCAGCCACCTTAGAAATTATTATTTACTTTATGAAATATATATGTCTTTTTTTTTCTTATAACTTGCTTTTGGCCATTTTATTACTTCTTTGTACCTTTAATTGAGGGACATAAACAAGTAAGAGTTGAAAATCCAGTCAATCTGACAATGTTTTGGGAAAAAAACTTAATTCAGATAGAGAATAAAATGAACAATTAAGATTTCATAATTATTCATTTCACTTAACTTTGCTGTTGCTTTCCTCTTTTAGAAAGTCATGTACAGAGGAGTTTAAGACGACAGATGGGAAGCAGCTAGTATACACTGCTCTCATGGAGATGAAACAAAGTGGTGAGTAAATACTAGTTCCTCAAGTGGATTGTCAAGGAGATCCCATGAAGATTCACCAAGGAAGCAACAGGACCAACAGAGAACAAGAGGAGCGAAGCCAGGCAGCTGCCCACCCAGAACTGATGGAGAGTGGGGGAAGCTCCCTCACGCAGGGAAAGGTGAGTGAGTGAGAGTCCTGAGGGGATCTATACTTCTGTGATAGACCTTTGCAATCCCGGACATGAGAGATATTCCTGACCCCCAGGAGCCTCCAGATTGAGATGGAGAGCCACCTAGAGTCTTTGCAGAAGAACCATTGAAGCCCACATGGGGCCCTACAGGCCTTGAATCCCTGAGTAGTCCAGTGCCATCTGCTGTAGCCCCAACAGAGGCTGCAGCCATGGTGCTAAGAAGCAGCCAGACTGCCCCACTGCTCCTCAGTAGGCAAGGCTTGCCAGCATGGGTTTCCAGCACAGTGGCCCCACCCCAACCTGAACCTGGGTGGTCATGGCTCTGAGTTTCTCCAGGAAGCACCCAGGCTGCAGACTATGTGACCTCCTATCCCCACTGCTCCTCATCCGGCAGGGCTTGCTGACTTGGGCTCCTAATGCCTAATGCCCCAACTTTGCCTGAATACTGTGGGTGGTCACAGCTCTGCATTTCTCCAGAAAGCACCCAGACTAAAGACCGTGTGACCCCTACCCACACTGCTCCTTGCAAGGCAGGGCTTGCCAACCTGGGCTCCTAGTGCAGCAGCCCTGGATCCACCTAAACACCTGTTGTCAGTCACAGCTCTGCATTTCTCTGGGACAAAACTCCAAAAGGTAACAAACAAGGCTTGGCACCTTTGCATTGTTCTGACAGTGAAGTCTAGCACTGCTTGGGTAAAAGTGAAGTGCAAGTGTGCCATGTGCCCCACAGCTGCCAGTCTCCATTGCTCCAGCTGAGGGATCTTCCCCTCCTCAGTGAAAGGCCCACTGCATAGCCACCCTTACCCTACTTGAACATTTCATCTGCAGTCCACAGCCATTCTGAAAACCCAACTCCCACAGGTTTGTGATATTCCTTTTGGTTCCCCCCACCTAAGTGTTCTGCCTGCCCCTGGTTTCCACCATCTAAGCATTTTACCTGCTGCCACCTAAGAGTTTGGCCAGTGACCCAGGGACCAACCCGCCACTCTTCATCATAACCAGCACTTGAACTCTGGGTTAGCCTGATTCTGGCACAGCCCTTTCAGGACTCATACCCATTGCTCTGCAAGCCATCGAGGAGCCTGGAAATTACCTACGTACCCTACCCCTACCCTGTTCCAACTCTACAGGCACTGGACCACTTCCCCAGGGCCCAAAGTCAGGCTGACCTAACCAGTCACCACCACCAGAACCAAAACTCACTCATGTGGGCCCAAAGGTGGAGACCCCCCGCCCACCCACCATTTACAAGCAGCAGCAGTACTGTCACACTGGCAAAGACGTGAGCCATAAAACTGTCTGTATCAGGTTCAGAGATTAAATTATGCCCTGAAACCACTCCCACAGAGAGTCACAAAACAGGCATTTACTGTGGCTCTCAACCTCACTGTAGTCCAGAGATAGACTAGAATATGAATCTAAACTAGGAGTCATGAGCCCTGGAACAATTGTGTAATAGGAAAACAGATCAAGTTCCTGCCTATGTAGGATAGGAAGCTGGTGCAACCATCTCAACTCCCTGCAGAGTCTTTAGTGCACTTCATAAGGAACTCCTCCCATTAACCCTCATCAGGGCAGGTGCCTGTGCTTGCCATTTGGGCATTTGTGGGAAAGCAAGGGGCTCCAGCTGTGTCTCTCCAACCCCACAGAACAGGAAACTTATGGCACCAGGTACTCCAATGTCCAGTCCTTCACTTGAAACAACAGAGAGCACCTCAATAAACAAAGATCAGGTACCTACCTACCTGCTTATGTTGCAACTGGCTCTCACCTGAGAGCACCACTGACCAACTTCTAGGTCAAACTGCACAGCTCAATATAAAACCAGCCCACGGAAGTGCATAAGGCAATAGAAGCAAAGCCAAAACACCATAAGTCAACAGAGGCAATGCCAAAAGACCCACCCACTCCTCTCCAGACAAGCAGGAACTAGCATAAGAATTCTGACACTATAGGCCGGGTGTGGTGGCTCACGCCTGTAATCCCAGCACTTTGGGAGGCTGAGGCAGGCAGATCACGAGGTCAGGAGTTCGAGACTAGCCTGACCAACATGGTGAAACCCCGTCTCTACTAAAAATACAAAAATTAGCAGGGCGTGGTGGCACGTGCCTGTAATCCCAGATACTCAGGAGGCTGAGGCAGGAGAATCACTTGAACCTGAAAGGTGGAGACTGCAGTTGAGCTGAGATTGTGCTACTGCACTCCAGCCTGGGTGACAGAGCGAGACTCCAAGACTGTCTCGAAAAAAAAAAAATTCTGACACCAAAAATACCTGAATGTTGCAACACCACCAAAAGATCACTCTAGTTCCTCCGCAATGGTTCCTGACCAAAAAAGAAACTCAGAAATGACAAGTAAGAATTTAAAGCATGGATTGCAAGGAAGCTCAATGAGATTCAAGAAAAGATTAAAAATCAACACAAAGAAACTTCTAAAGGAATCCAGGAAATGAAGGAAGTGCTAAACATCATGAAAAGAAATCAATTAGAGCACTGGAAATAAAAAACTCACCAAAGAAATTTCAAAATACCACTGAAAGTTTTATCAATAGTCTAGACTAAGCAGAAGAAAAATTTTCAGAGCTTGAAGATCAGTATTTTGAACTAACCCAGTCAGACAAAAAGAAATAAAAAATAATTAAGAAAAATGAACAAAGTATCAAAAAAATGGTATTATGTAAAGCAACCAAACCTATGAATTACTGGTATTCCTGAAAGAGAAGGAGAACAAGTTCACAACCTGGAAAACGTATTTGAAAAAATAATTCAAGAAAAATTTCCTAATTTTGCTAGAGAGGTAGACATCCAAATTTAAAAAATCAAGAGAACACCTGCCAGATACCATACAAAATGAATACCATGAAGGCATATAGTCAACAGAGTGTCTAAGGTCAATGCTAATAAAAGTATCTTATAGCCACCTAGAGAAAATGGTCAGATTATGTATGAAGGGAATCTCATCAGGCTTACAGCAGACCTCTCAGCAGAAACCTTTCAAACCAGAATAGATTGGAGGTCTATTTTCAGCACTGTCAAAGAAAATAAATTCCCACAAAGAATTTTCATATCCCACTAAACTAAGCTTCATAAGTAAGGGAGAAATAGAAAATTTTTCAGACAAGCAATCACTAAGGTAATTTATTACCACTATACCAGCCTTATAAGAGATCATTAAGGGAGTTCTAAATGTAGAAACAAAAAAATGACACCTACTAACACAAAATTAAACTTAAGTATATAACCCACATACCCAATAAAGCAAGTACATAATAGAAGATAGAAAACAATAAGCTAAGAACTTTACAATAGAATCAAAATCTCACATATCAATACTTACTTTGAACGTATATTGTCTTAATGCCCCACTTAAAAGGAACAGAGTGGCAAGTTGACTTGAAAGACAAGACTTATCTATCTACTTTCCTCAAGAGACCCATCTCACATATAATGACACCTAAAGTCTCAGGGTTGGAGAAAGATCTACCATGCAAAGGGAAAACAAGAAAAGAGCAACAGTAGCTATTCTTATAAGATAAAACAGACATTTAACTGCTAACAGTAAAAAAGGACAAAGAAGGCCCCACATAATGATAAAGGGTTCAATTCAACAAGAAGCCTTAACTTTCTTAAATATATACACATCCAATATTGAAGCACCCAGATTAATAAAACAAGTACTTATGGACCTATGAAAAGACTTAGCCACACAATATTAGTAGGAAACTTCAACACCCCACTGACAGCATTAGACAGATCATCAAGGCAGAAAACTGACACAGAAGTCCTGATCTTAAATTCAACACTTGATCAGTTGGACCTAACAAATATCTACAGAGCACTCCACCCATCAACTAGAAATGTGCATTATTCTCATCTTCACATAGAACATACTCTAAGATCAACCACATGCTCAGCCATGAAGCAGGTCTCAATAAATTCAAAAAAAGTTAAATACTACCACAGTGGAATAACAACACAAATCAATATCAAGAAGATCTCTCAAAACCAGAAAATCACATGAAAATTACACAACTTGCTCCTAAATAGTTTTTTGGTAAACAACTAAGTTAGACACAAATAAACAAAATATTTGGAATAAATGAAAATAGAGACACGACATACCCAAATTTCTGGTATGCAGCCAAAGCAATGTTAAGAGCAAAGTTGATAGCACTAAACACCTACATAGAGAAGTTACAAGGATCTCAAATTAACAATATAATATTACACCTAAAGGAACTAGAAAAATAAAAACAATATAACCCCAAAGCTAGTAGAAGACAAGAAGTAACTAAAATCAGAGCAGTTCTTAATGAAGTTGAGACCCAGAAATCCATAAAAAGGATCATCCAAGCCAAAAGCTGATTCTTTGAGAGGATAAACAATGTCAATAGACCACTAGCTAGATTAATAAAGAGAAAAAAGGAGAAGATCCAAATAAACATGGTCAGAAATGACAAAGGAGATATTACAAACAATCCCACAAAAATACAATAGATTCTCAGAGACTATTATGAACAACACTACACACACAAGTTAGAAAATCTAGAATAAATAATAAATTCCTAGAAATATAAAACTTCCCATGACTGAAGCAGGAAGAAATTGAAACCCTGAACAGACCAATATCAAATTCTGAAGTTAAATCAGTAATAATAATAATAAAAACCTATGTACCAAAAAGAACCCTGTACCAGATGGATTCATAGTAAAATCTACCAGTTGAAGAGCTGGTACCAACCCTAGTTAAACTATTCAAAGAAACTGAGGAACCTTAGCGGGGCTTCTCCTCACATATTCTACCAAACCAACATCACTCTGATACCAAAATCTGGAAAAGACAAAAGGAAAAAAAAAACTGTAGGCCAAGATCCCTGATGAACACAGAGGCAAAAATTCTCAACAAAATTCTAGCAAACAAAATCCAGCAGTACATCAAAATGTGAATTCACCATGATCAAATAAGCTTTATTCCTGTGATGCAAGGTTGGTTCAGCGTACACAAATCAACAAATGTGGTTCACCACATAAATATAATTTTTTTAAAAAATATGATCAACTCAATAGATGCAGAAAAAGCATTTGATAAAATTCAACATCCCTTTATGATAAAAATCCTCAAAAAAGTAGGCACTGAAGGAACATACCTCAAAATAATAAGAGCCATCTATGACAAACCCACAGCCAATATCATACTAAAAGGGCAAAAGCTGGGAGCATTCCCCATAAGAACCAAAAAAAGGCAAGGATGCCCACACTCACCATTCCTATTTAACTAGTACTGGAAGTCCTAGCCAGAGCAATCAGGCAAGAAAAAGAAATAAAAGGCATACAAATAGTAAAAGAAGTCAAATTATCTCTCTTCACTAATGATATAATTCTATACCTAGAACATCCTAAAGACTCTGCCAAAAGGTCTGTAAGACTGATAAACAACTCCAGTAGAGTTTCAGAATACAAAACCAATGTACAAAACTCAGTAGCATTTCTATACACCTATAATGTTAAAGCTGAGAGCCAAATTAAGAATGCAATCATATTTACAGAAGCCAAAAATAAAATACCCAGGAATGCAGCTAACCAGGGAGGTGAAAGATCTCTACAAGGAAAACTACAAAACACTGCTCAAAGAAATCATAGATGACATGAACAAACGGAAAAACATTCCACACTCACGGAATGGAAGAATCAACATTGTTAAAAATGGCCATACTGCCCAAAGCAATCTACAAATTTAATGCTATTCCTATCAAACTACCAATACTATTTTTCACAGAAGTAGAAAAATCTATTCTAAAATTCATACAGAAACACAAAAGAGCCCAAATAGCCAAAGCAATCCCAAGCAAAAAGAACAAATTCAGAGACATCACATTACCTGACTTCTGACTACACTATAAGGTTACAGTAACCAAAACAGCATGGTACTGGTTGAACAGCAGACACACAGACAAACAGAACAGGACAGATAAGCCAAAAATAAAGCTGCACACTTATAAACATCTGATCTTCAACAAGTAGACAAAACAAGCAATCAGGAAAGGACTCCCTATTCAATAAATGGTGTTGGGGTAACTGGCTAGCCATACGCTGAAGAACAAAACTGGACTTCTACCTATCACCATATACAAAGATTGACTCAAGATGGATTAAAGACAAATATAAGATGTAATACTATAAAAATCCTAGAAGAAAACCTAGGAAGTACCTTTCTGGACATTGGCCTTGGCAGAGAATTTACGACTAAGTCTGCAAAAGCAACTACAACAAAAATAGAAATTGACAAGCAGGATCTAATTAAACTAAAAAGCTTCTGCACAACATAGGAAACTATCAACAGCATAAACAGGCAACCTACAGAATAGGAGAAAATATTCACAAACTATTCATCCAACAAAGGCCCAATATCCAAAATCTATAAACTTAAGATTTAAGCAATTCAACAAAGAAGAAATAATCCCATTAAAATGTGGATAAAGGAAAAGAACAGCCAATTCTCAAAAGAAGACATACACGCAGCAAACATGTGAAAAAATGCTCAACATCACCAATCATTAGAGAAATGCAAATCAAAACCACAAAGACATACTATCTCACATCAATCTGAGTGTGCATTATTAAAGAGTCAAAAACAATGGATGCTGGCAAGGCTGCAGAGAAAAAAGAATGCTTATGCACTGTTGGTGGAAATGTTTATTAGTTCAGCCACTGTGGAAAACAGTTTAGAGATTTCTCAAATAACTTAAAAAACAGAACTACCATTAGACCCAGGAATCCCATAACAAGGCGTGTTTACCCAAAGGAAAATAAGTCGTTCTATCAAAAAGACACATGTACTTGTATGTTCATCACAGCACTGTTCACAATAGCAAAGACATGGAATCAACCTAACTATCCATCAATGGTGAACTGGATGAAGAAAATGTGGTACATATACAACATGGAATACTATACAGCTATAAAAAGGAACAAAATCATGTCCTTTGCAGCAATGTGGTTGCAGCTGGAGGCCATTAATCTAAGCTAATTAACACAGAAACAGAAAACCAAATACCACATGTTCTCACTTATAAGTGGGAGCTAAACATTGAATACATATAGATATAAAGATGAGAACAATAGACACTGGGGACTACTAGATAGAAGAGGGAGGTGTTGGGGGTGAGGACTGAAAAACTCACTATACTATACTTACTACCTGGATGACAGGATCTTTCATACAATATACCCACGTAACGAACCTGCACGTGCACTCCCTGAACCTAAAGTAAATGTTGCAATTTTTGTAAATGATGCATATGAGCCATAGCAATAAAAAGTATATTTTTAAGTAACTGTAGGTTGTTCGCATGAGTTTATATAGTGCAATCAGTACTATTTCAATATTAAAATCATAATCAGAGGCCGGGCACAGTAGTTCACACCTGTAATCCCAGCACTTTGGGAGGCTGAGGTGGGCGGATCACGAGGTCAGGAGTTCAAGAACAGTGTGGCCAATATGGTGAAACCCCGTCTCTACTAAAAATACAAAAATTAGCCAGGGGTGGTGATGGGCACCTATAGTCCCAGCTACTCAGGAGGCTGAGGCAGAAGAATCGCTTGAACCCGGGAGGCGGAGGTTGCAGTGAGCCGTGATTGCGCCACTGAACTCCAGCCTGGGTGACAGAGTGAGACTCCATCTCAAAAAAAAAAAAAAAAAAATCAGAAATCAACAAATATAAGGGACTACCAGTATCCTGTTAGCTTTCAAATCCCTAAACTATTAAATTCCTCTCAGGGAGTGACTCAACATAGAAAAACACAATATTTTTATATTAAAGACAAATTGATACAACTATTTGCATACTCTGCATTCAGATAAGTATTTATAATCACACATTAAGCCCATCACTTTGTAAAATTTTAGAATTAGAAAGTCTCTTACAAGTCATTGTGATAGACTGAATACTGGTGCAAAATATATACATGTTCTAATCCCTGGAACCTGTAAATGTTACCTTACAAGGCAAAAGCATATTGCAAATGTGATAGTTAAAGATCTTCGGTGGGGGTTAAGATTAAAGATCTTAACTTAATCCCCACTTAAAATAAGGAGATTATCCCATGGGCTGTAAGTGTCCTTGTAAGAGGGCAGCTGAGGGAAATTTGACTATAGAAAATGAGAAAGCAATTCAAAAACAGAAGCAGAGATTGGAGTGATACAACCATAAGCTAAGGAATACTGGCAACCTCCAGAAGACAGAAGAGGCAAGGAATAGATTCTCCTCTGGGCCCTCCTAAAGACATTGGTCCTGCTGACACCTTGATTTTAGCCCTGTAAGACTCATTTGGGGCTCCTGGCCGCCACAGCTAAGAAAATTAATTTCTATTGCTTTAAGCCACTAAATATATAATTTTTACAACAGTAGTAGGAGACTAATACAGTCACTTAATCTATTAGTGCTCAAATTTGCTGGTAAGTGATGGTATTCTTTTAAGATCTCCATGATTTTTCTTGGGAAGTGAAGGGAAAAGGGAAAAACTCTATAATATGTTGACATATTTAATTTTATTAAATGAGCCATGAGCATTTTTTTCTACCAGAAATGATGACATATTCTATTTGTGGTACACAAATTATACCAATGGTTAAAATTAAAATGTTGAACAAGGTGAATAAAGGGAACTTCTAAACATTTTCTATGAATATCCTGCCTTCAGGAGATGAAGGAGATTAAGTGTCAAACTATTTGGAAAATTTCTGAGAGAATATCATTGTGTGATGCTGGAAGAAAGGAAAATAAAAGCCATACAAAATATATTTAGGTTCAGATTAATTTGTGCTAAATAGTGGACTGGAAGATAATTTTTTTCTTTCTTAAATATTAATACATTTATCTTCCTTAGGAAATATAAATCAGATGAGTTAATAGTAATAAAACCCTCACTTATTTGAATTAGTTAAAAATAATTGAAATTATGGTCAATAAAAGATGAGATCCTGAAGGCAGGTGGCTCTCACACATAAATGCATGGACAGGGAGTTTTAAAGGAAGACTTAGTGCAAGTCCAGGAGTCTAATCATTAAGTACATCTTGTCTGTTCTCAAATGAGGCTTTGCAACTTAATTAAACAACTTCTAATTTCTTCTTAGAAAAAGTTACTGAAAATCAGAATCCAGAAAAAATCAAATCATGGTTTGAGAGAAGTTGTAAGTATAAGATTTATCAAAAGACACATCCACCACAAGTGAGAACATTTGGATCATAAAAGTAGAAACAGAAACTAAAGAATGGGGGATACACAATGTTACCACCATTTTATTCTTTGTCCATATTTAAAAGCCTCTTATCTTTTTCTTAAGGGCCCTGTACTAAAACATGCTTGATTTCATAAAATCATGTAGGTGGACTAGGCACTCTCAGTAAATAGTTAAAATAAAAGCCATAGAAGAATAGGCTAACTGAAAGAATATGGGTAGCAGAAACAGCTGTTTTTGTGATCTTTAGACAATTTAATTGCAACATGCCTAATCATTAACTTTTTGCTGCAAATAAGAAAAAACCTGTCAGAACATCACTGTTTGATAACAATTTAAGAATCACTGTCTTAAAATAATCAAGACCTAATCAACCTCTTCATGTGATATACAACCCAGCTGTCAACCTGAGAGGCTGAGTGGCTTGCTGAGATCACCCAGGTAATCAGTAGCATATTCTGGACATGAAGCCAAGTATCCTTATTCCCAGTCTACTAGTGATAGTTTCTTTCTATCAAACTTTACACATGTGTTTGTGAGTAAGATAGGTCAAGATTAAATATAAATATTTGGCAAATTTGTGAATTTAGGCTTGTTTATATATTCATCATGAAAGACACCTTTTTATTTTGGGTATGGCTTTCTCATGAAAACATTTACAAACTCCAAAGTATTTACTATGATTTCTGATTTACAAATTGCTAATGCAACAAAGTATTTGAATATGACTTGTGTTTTGAAATGCTAAATATTAAACTTAAAAACACCCAGTGAGATTCCTACCATCTTCATTTCACACTACCCAGGGACATTACTTATTTGAATCAATCCTATCCATCAGTTAGTACAATAACAGAAAAGCACAGCAAGCATTTGATTCATAATTTTATGTATTGTGCTTTACTGTAACAGGTGCTTAGTCCTTGGGCATAAAATAAACTTGTAAAGTCCGCTTAAGTGGATCAAGATTCATTATAAAGTAAAAGAAAAGTCATAAATAATTTTGTAGGTAAACAGAAAAAAAAACAGGAACATACATAGAATGACTCAGTAGTTTTAAAATTATTAATATGCAAACAAAGTTCCTGTAGTCACTAAGGAGATTATGTAAGACCTTGATGCCAGGGAATACAATATTTTGAGGGGTTAATAAGAGCATAACTTTCAAAATATTACTAATACTCTACACCAACTTTGCTTTCAAAAGTAACAAAATATATTCTCATATGGGTTTAAATAAAATAACGATTTTTTCTATTTCATTCACTTTAAAAATAATTAGCATAACTGTTAATTTCAATGCTTACCTGAAAAAATGCATCCTTTCGACTTAGAGGTATGCTCATGAAAAGTGTCACATAACTTTCTGAAATTCTATCGAATAAGCAATCTTGGTTTTCTCTGTCAGGCTTAAAAAAATGTGTGAAATTAAAGTCAATATTACAATTTAAAACTGGAATTTGTTTACATGATGACAGCAATTTCATTTATTCTCATGAGCAGATCAATTGGTACAGGAGAATCAGCATGGGTTTTCGCATAATGCAGACCCAAATTTTAACACTGGCTGTTATGCATTGGCTGTATTACCCTGGGCAAGTTAATTAAGTCCCGGGTTTCTCATCTGTCAAATGTAGGTAATATATACTTATCTTAAAGGCGTGCAGTAAAATTAAATAAGGACAGGGATCATATTTTTGTAACTTTTTATTTCAAGGCCTTAGCACAGTACCTGGCAACAAAAAGCATGCAAACATTTGATGAGTTAATTATCCTTACATTCCAGGAATAAATCCCATTGGTTATGGTGTATAATCCTTTTAATATGCTGTTGCTTTTGATTTGCTAGTATTTTGTTGAGGATTTTTGTCTCAAAATTCACCATAAAAGATATTGGTAGTTTCTTTTTATTGCAGTGTCTTTTTGGGCTTTAGTATCAGAGTAATACCTTCTAACTTACAGGTTGAGTTAGAAAATGTTTCCTCTTCAACTTTTTGAAAGAGTTTCAGAAGGACTGGTGTTTATTCTTCTTTAAATGTTGGTAGAATTCCCCAGTGACGCCATCTGGTACAGGGCTTTTCTTTGATGGGAGGTTTTTGATTACTGATTTAATCTCCTTAATAGTTACAATCTAGATTTTCTATTTCTTTATGATTCCATCTTGTTAGATTGTATGTTTCTAAGAATTTGTCTATTTCAACTACATTATTCCAATTTGTTGGCATATATTCATTTACAACACTCTTATAATCCTTTCAACCTCCATAAAATTGAAAATATTGCCCCCACTTTTTTATAATTTTAGTAATTATAGTCTTCCCTATTTTTTAATAGTCATTCTAGCTAAAGGTTTGTCCATTTTGTTCTTCTCAGAGACAGAACTTCTAGTTTTATTTTTTTTCTGTTTTTCTATTCTTTATTTCATTTATCTCTGCTGCAATATGTATTATTTCCTTCCTTCTGTTAACTTAGGATTTAATTTGTTCTGTTTCCGGTTACTTAATGTGTGAGACGGTGTGGTTGATTTCAGATCTTTCTTCTTTGATTTTTAATGTTTTATTATTTTGAACGTATAAATCATAATTGTGTTTATTTATAGGGTACAATGTATCATTTTGATAAATGTATACAATGTGAAATGATTAAATCAAGCTACTTAATATATCCATTATCTCAGTTACTTATAATTTGTTGAGGTGAGACATTTAAAATTTACCTTCTTAGCAATTTTGAAGTATACAATATAGTACTATTAATTGTAGTGACCATGTTGTGCTATGGATCTCAAAAAGTTATTCCTCCTGTCTCACTGAAACTCTTTACCCTTTGAACATGTGCCCATTGCCATTCAGCCCAGCCTCTGTAACTACTGCTCTGCTCTCTACTTCTGTGAGTTCAACTTTTTTAGGTTCCACATATAAGTGAGATCATGTGATGTTTGTCTTTATGAGCCTGGCTTATTCCACTTAGCAAAATGTTCTCCAGGTTCATTCAGGTTGTCACAAATGTTAGGATTTCCTTTTTTCAAGGCCCAAGCATATTCTATTGTGTACTTACACCACATTATCCATTCATTCGTTGACAGACAATTAGGTTGATTTCCATGATGGACACTTAGGTTGATTTCCTGTCTTAGCTATTGTGCTGCAATGAACGTGGAAATAGAGTTATGTATTTGACATATTGATTTCAATTTCTTTGGATGTATATCCAGAAGTGGGATTACTGGAGCATGTGGTAGTTCTATTTTTAGTTTTTGAGAAATCCATACTGTTTTCCATATTAGCTGTAGCAATTCATATTTCCAATCATATACAAGCATTTCCTTTTCTCCATAACCTCACCAAAACTTGTTATCTTTCATCTTTTTGATAACAGTCATGTGAGATAAAATCTCACACATCAAACAGTTGTGTGAGATGACATCCCATGGTGGTTTTGGTTTGTATTCCCCTAACGATTAGTGATGTTGAGCAGTTTTTCAAATACTGTTCACATAGCTATTTGTATGTCTTCCTTTGAGAAGTGTTTAGAGCCTCTGCCCATTTTAAAAATTTTATCAAATTATTTTATCAAATTTGAAATGTATTATTTATTGTGGTCACCATGCAGTATAATAGATCATTAAAACTTATTTCTCTGGTGTAAGTGAAACTTTGCACCTTTTGATCATCTCACCTTTCCCCATTTCTCCCCACCCTCGGCCTCTGATAACTACCTTTCTGCTGTTTCTATGAGATTGACTTTTTTAAATTCCACATGTAAGTGAGATCATACAGTATTTGTCTTTCTGTGACTGGCTTATTTCAGTTAGCAAAACATCCAGTTCCATCTAGGTTGTTGGAAATTACAGGATATCCTTCTTTTTAAAGGCTATATATTTTTATATTATATATAATATATAAATATATTTAAATATATATTAAATATTACATATGCATTTATATAATTTATTAATATTATTATGAATATATTTAATATTACACATTAAATATATATTATATATAATTATATACCAAATCTTCTTTATCCATTCATCCATTGATGGACATTCAGGTTGCTTTCATATCTCGGTTATTGCAATTAATGCTAAAATGAACATGAAAATGCAAATCTTTTCAACACAGCAGTTTAAACTCCTTTGGATATAAACAGAAATGGGATTGCTGGATCTTACGGTGATTCTACTTTCAGTTTTTTTGTGGAAACTTCATACTATTTTCCAAAATGACTACTAATTTACTTTGTTCCTTTTAAAATCAGGTTGTTTTCCTGCTATTAAATTGTTTAAATTGCTTATATATTTTGGACATTAACCCCTTATCAGATGTATGGTTTTCAAATATTTTCTCCCATTCTACAGGTTCTCTCTTCAATCTATTGACTGTTTGCTTTGCTCTGCTGAAGCTTTTTAGTTTGACGCAATTCCATTTGTCTATTTTTTGCTTTTGTTGCCTGTACATTTGGCTTCATACTCAAAAAATCACCGTACAAACCAACGTCATGGAGCTTTTCCTCTGTTTTCTTCTAGTAGTTTTACAGTTTCAGATCTGATATTTAAGTCTTTAATTCATGCTGACTTTTGTATATTATGTGAAATAAGGGTTCAATTTCCGTCTTCTGCATGTGGATACTCAGTTATCCCAACAACAGTTATTGGAGACTGTCCATTCTCTGTTATGTGTTCTTGGCGCCTTTGTTGAAAACCAATTAGTTGTAAACGCGTAGATTCATTTGGGGGCTCTCTTTTCTGTTCTATGCGTATATGTGTCTGTTTTTATGCCAATACTCTGCTTTTTTTGGTTACTACAGCATTGTAGTATATTTTGAAGTTAGGTAGGGTGATACTTCAAGCTTTGTTCTTTTTGCTCAAGATTGCTCAGACTATTCAGGGATCTTCTGCAGTTCCATATAAATTTTAGGACTGTTTTCTTCTATCTCTGTTTAAACATCACTGGAATTTTGTTAGGGATTGCATTGATTCTGTAGGTTGCTTTGGGTAGTATAGACATTTTAATAATACTAATTCTTTCAATCTATAAACACAGGATATCTTTCCATTTATTTGTGTCATTTTCAATTTCTTTCATCAGTATTTTATATTTCTAGTATACAGATCTCTCACCTCCTTGGTTAAGTTTAAATCTAAGTATTTTACTTTTTGTTATTACTATTGTAAACAGAATTGTTTTCTTGATTTCTTTTTTGTATAATTCATTGTTAGTGTACAGAAATGCTACTAATTTTTGAATGTTGATTTTGTATCCTGCAACTTAATTCATACATTTCTAACAGTTTTTTGGTGGAATCTTTAGGATTTTCTGTATATAAGATGTTGTTACAAACAGAGATATTTCACTTCTTCCTTTTCTATTAGGATACTTTTATTTCTTTCTCTGGCCTAATTGCTATGGCTTTCTTCTTTTTTAATGTAAGAATTTACAGCTATAAATTTCCCTCTTTGCACTGCTTGTGCTGCATCTCATAAGTTTTGGTATGTTGTGTTTTTGTTTTCATTTGTCTCAAGGTATTTTCTGATTTCCTTTTTGATTTGTTCTTTGACCCATTGGTTGTTCAGGAACAATGGGAACTCAATATATTAACAATGGGAGTATAAAATTGTACATTCACCTGGAAAAACAATGTGACATTTTCTCATTAAGCTGATCATTTTCATACCAAACAACCCACAATTCCTTTCCTTCTTTATATGTCTTATACCTTCTGTTTGAGAGCAGGGCACTTTCATAGGCCTGTAGAAACTGAGGTATATAATATTTATGCTTGGGAATAGGCATTCCTCTTCTTTTGCTAAGCCTTTAGGAGCTGGACTCAAGTCAAGTAATGAGCTGTATTTGGGTTTTGTTTCTTCTATGGTCACTCAGTGAAACACAGGCTTCAATTTGCTCTTGTGCTACCTCATTTTTAGAATTCTCAAATAACCAACTTTTGGCCTAATTGAGTTTCTTTATTTTCTCTTTTCAATGTTATTAATTTTCTCTCTGATCTTTATTATTTTATTTTCTTCTGCTTTCCATAGGTTTGGCTTTTTTTTTTCTTTTTCCACTTTCTTAAGGTAGAAGCTGAACTTTCTCTTTCTGGAGAACTTTCTCTTTTTTCTAATGCAGGCATTTTAATTCTATGATTTTCTCTCTAAATACTGCTTTAGTTATATCTCACACATTTTAATCTGTTTTCATTTTCATTTAGTTCAAAATAATTTTTGATTTCCTTATTGATTCCTGATTTGATCCATGGTAACTGAGAATTGTGTTCATTTCCAAATATTTGGGGATTTTCTAGATATGTTATTATTTTATAATATAATTCCATGTTGATCTGAAAACACTGTGTTTGACTTAAATTCTTATAAACTTATTAGGATATTTTCCTAGCTCAGAATGTAGTTAATCTTAGCAACTGTTTAATGTGGACTTGAGAAAAATGTGTATTCTGCTGTTATTGGGAGGTGCTACGATTTGAATGTGTCCCCCAAAGTTCATGTATTGAAAACTTGATCCCCAATGCAGTGGTGTTGGGAGATGAGGCCTAATGGGAGGTGTTTGGGTCTTGGGGACATTACCCTCATGAACAGATTATGCCATTATCACAGAAGTGGGTTTGTTATCATAGGAGGGGCCCTCTTGCTTGTTCCCTCTCTCACTCTTCTACTTGCTGCCAAGGGATGATGCAGCAAAAAGGCCTTCACCACATGCCGGTCCCTCTATCTTGGACTTCCCAGCCTACTGTGAGCCAATTCATTCTGTTCATTATAAATCACCATTCTGTTATTGTAGCACAAAACCAACTAATACAAGAGAGATGTTTAATAAATGTCAATTAGTCAAGTTGCTTGACAGTGTTGTTCAAGCCTTCTATATCATACTGTATCCTTACTGATTTTCTGTATATTCTACCAACTATTCAAAGAAGGGGCTGAAGTCTCTATACGTACTGATTTGTGTATTTCTCTTTGAAGTATTAAGTTTTTATTAAATGTGTTTTGAAGCATTTTTATTAGGTGCATAAATATTTGGAATTGTTATGTTAGGTTGATGAATTGACCACTTCAACATTATAAAATTACTTTCTTTATCCCTGGCAACATTGCTTTGAAATCTACTTTGTATGATGGATTAAAAAAAAACTGACTTTGTAAGTTAAATGCCTTCCTTTTGTTGCTGTTTAGAGGGGAATGATGCACTTTCCAGGTATTTGTCTTTTTTGTAGTTAAGGTCCCAAGAGCAATTTTTTTTAAACATTAAGGGTATTATAATATTATTACTGAAATTCTTCCAGTAAAACACAGTTTCAGGTGCTGTTTATTTCTTCTCTTATTGATTCCCAGATACCCCCTCTGATATGGTTTGGCTCTGTCTCCCCAAACAAAACTCATCTTGAATTGTAATCCCCACATGTCGAGGGAGGGACTGGGAGGGAGGTGACTGAATCATGGGAGTGGTTTCCCCCACGATGTTCTCGTAATAGTCAGTGAGTTCTCATGAGATCTGTGGTTTAAAAAGTGTGGCACTTGCCCTTCCCTTTCTGTCTTTCCTGCATTCCTGTGAAGAAGGTGCCTGCTTCCCTTTTGCCTTCCACCATGATTGTAAGTTTCCTGAGGCCTCCACACCATGCGGAAATACGAGTCAATTAAATCTCTTTCCTTCATAAATTGCTCAGTCTTAGGTGGTTCTTTATAACAGTGTGAAAACAGACTAATACACCTTCTTTATCTGTTCAATCCTAATCAGAATTCTCACCTTTCTAATTCTGGATCTTCTGATTAAAAATCTGACTTAGACTCTAATTATATAATATGTGATATATATTATGATAGATATAATATATGAAGTCTAATTTCAAAGATCCAGAATCTTTTGAAATCTATATTAAAGTTTTAACTCCTCTGAAAGAACTCTAGACATCATATAGGATTTCTAATGTGTGGAATGCTCAAAAACTAATCTCTGTAGTTGCATCCAGAAAAACATTTTTGTACTAGACTTATCTCTATTGAAAAATTAATTATGCCAAAAATCAACTTAAAAAATAAATTTTTAAAAATCACTATACCCTAAATTTATGGAGAAACCACCACCAAAAGGAGTCATGCAAAAGAGCAATGGAGGCTTCTGAGAGAAAATGAGTCTTCCAGATTTTAAAAACTCTTTCCTATGGAAAAAAACAAGAGAGAGATGCATGGAGATTAAAATATATTACAAAACATGTTAATGTAAATAGGCTTTATAAAGAGTATGCTTTCATTGCTTATAGATCAGCACTGTCCAACAGAAATTTAACATGAGCCACATACATAATGTTAAATTTTCTTGTAGCCACATTAAAAAAGTAAAAAGTGAAATTAATTTTAGTGACATTTTATTTAACCAAATATATTTAAAATATCATTTCAACATAATTTTTATAAAAATTATTAAAATATTTTGGATTCTATTTTTAGTACTAGGCATTTGAAATACGGTATATATTTTTGATAGCATATCTCAACTTGAACACTACATTTTCATCAGAAGTACTAGATTAATATTTAGACTTCATAGAATACATGTTTGTAATTTTCTTCCAAACATAATTAAAAGCTTTTTAATAACTAAATCAAATATAGTTTTTAGATTTATATATAAAGTAGTTAAAAGAAATACAATAAAAAATTCAGCTCCTCAGTCATACTAGTCATATTTCATATGCTCAATAATCATATTTGGCTAGTAGATATTGAAAGGACACCAAGAACAGCAAAAATGTAAGATTCATGCCATTATTTCCCCCTTTTCCACTGAGGACAAATATCAACAATCAATCATGGACTTATATTCTAATAAGCCCCTATCCTGAGCCTGTGTAGTATTCTTCCTAAGCAAACAATTAATCAAAATTGGAATAAATGGCTAAATTTGTCTACTGTAACTACTAGAAAATATAAGTTTTGGTTTAAATAGGCAGATTCAATAGATTATTTTATCTTCTTAGTCACAAAATGTTTTAATGCCAGATTGAGTAACATTCAAGATTTCTTTTAAGTGCATCCAGAGGTATGAATTCCTCTTCAAGTACAGGTCTATAAAAAGGACATCATATAAACTCTCATGGCAAGAAAATTATTATGTATTCTGTGGGGACACATCTTTTTCATAGGCCACTAAGTATAGTATGATGTACACTGATAACAGCTTCAACTTGGATTTAATACTTTTTAATGAAAAAGAACATATGTAATGTACATAAACACAAAGAGCAGAAAACTGAAATAGAGGGCAAAATGACCAGTTTTACCAGGTAACCATCCCACCCTCATTTTAGCCCTCGTATTCACTGGCTATTGATCTAATTACCTCCCAACACCTGCAGTTTTTCACTGTTTGGTTACCCTACAGGGATACTACCCCAAAATTCCCACAGACACTTGAAGACTCAAAAGAAACACCCAGAAGGGTTGTGAAGAAGGGCACTCACAACTTATTTCAGGATCAAAAATGAGCAGGCTAAAACATCCTGAGCTGACAGAGCAGGAACAGACAAGAAGGAAAAAACACCTGTTACGGTTACATGCCAAGCCAGTGTACGCTAGCAACCTCAGGGTCCCAAAGCAGTAACACAGAGTTTAATATATTCTTTTCTGGTAATTAGCGGTTAGACACATCACTGGTCTTTCCTGCCAAATTTAATGCCCAAAGGATCAAATCTTGTTGAACACCTAATTTATCATAGCTTTAAGTAAAGGTCTGATTCATTAAATCATACTGTCAAAATGTATCCTACAATAAAATGAAATATTTACATACATCAAAATTATGGGCTTTTAAAATAAAAAGATAAATTTGTTCAGCATCCAAATGTCTGGGTAGCTGAGTAAGTTCATTTGCTTTGAATCCTGTGAAGCTGCAACCCTAGAAAGAGGAAAATATAACAGGAGAGTAAATATTTCACTCTTCTCACTATAGTAGACTCATATAACTACAGAAGACCAACATTTAACTATCACTCACTAACATAATTACTTTACTTCTTTTTACTAAATTAACTAAAAATTATATAACCCATCTAAGAAAAACCTTTGGCCGTGCACGGTGGCTCACGCCTGTAATCCCACCACACTGGGAGGCTGAAGTGGGTGGATCACTTGAGGTCGGGAGTTCGAGACCAGCCTGGACAACATGGTGAAACCCTGTTTCTATTAAAAATACAAAAATTAGCTGGGCGTGGTGGCACGTGCCTGTAATCACAGCTACTTGGGAGGCTGAGGCAGGAGAATCACTTGAATCTGGGAGGCAGAGGTTGCAGTGAGCCACGGTTGCGCCACTGCACTCCAGCCTGGGCCACAGAGTGAGGCCCCATTCCCCACACCCCCTGCAAAAAAAGAAAAACCTTCATATTTTCTGCTTCTTTGAAATTAAGAACCCTAGCACATTCATATGTCATATCTAAAATAAAAACAAAATCATATTTCAGAACTAATTTTGATATAAACTCAAATGATCAAGAATTTTAGCTAGACTACACATAAGTAAATAAAGACTAGGCAGAAAGAGAAAGCTTCTATACCTGTTTCCAACTCTCTCCTCTGGTACCTCTCTCTATATTTAGAGCCTTGTTTATATTGTTGTAAACATTATTTTAGTCCTACATAATACACTTGATATACAATCTGGCAGAACAGAAATTTTAAGTACCTCTATATTCTTCTCTGTCTCCATTTCATCTGAAAGCTGGAAAACATTTTAAATAAACTCTTTAAAACTCTAAATTAAAGAAATTTTACATTTAGTAAATTTGTTCAGTTAACTAGTATGCATAGATAACTATAGATATATGTATATATATCCTACAGAGGCCTAAAATACTATTGCTGTGTTTGATATTGGAAATTCAAAGATGGCCTTTGCCCTCAAACTAGTTATGGTTCAAAAACGGAATCAGATACATATACAAACAAAACAAATAGATATAAGGGCTATAATAAACAAACTACTTATTACAGTTTGGTTCCCTGGGAAATAGACTCTCTGGGGAAGTTTAGTGTTCAGAATGTTTATTGTGAGTGCTTTTGGAATCAATGCCTTTTGGAATCAATGCCTTTGGCAGTCAAGGGAAGAGGCAGGATTGGGCAGATGGAGAAATTAGTTATGATGGAGGCCTAATAGCCACAACTGGCTCAAAGAAGAGTTCTAGAGCTGAAAGTATTGATCAGAGCTGTCCTGCATTGGACTGAAATAGCCAAGCCTTTCTGCTCCAACTTGAGCTGTCACTGGATGGTTCCTGGAAAGATGTTTTCTCAGAAGAGGAAGTTCTCTGGAGGTAAGTAAACCAATGAAGGGGCTGACAGTTGAAGGGTGTCCCTTAACAGCACTCTTAGGCCCTAGAGCACAGATCCTTCTTTGAAAAGGAATTGGGTGGCATATTTTAATGTCTACTACACTGCTTTATACACATAGATTAGTTTTTGATCATCTAGTCATGTTTAAATATATATATATAAAACATACATAATATGTATACATACTATAGACAGACATAGATAGATAGATAGATAGATAGCAGGTTAATTTCCACATTCCTAATTACTCCAACAATTACTAAGCTTACAAGTAAGTTTTACACACACAATACCACACATACACACATATTACACATACACATATATTAGAAAGAAGATGACATATGACATATAAAACAAATTGGAAAGAATGATGTATTGCTTCCAGAAAGAGGATCATATTATTCTCACTTTTTAAAGTGTACACAGGAATAAGAAAGAGAGACTTTTTAGGAAAAATGAGATCAAATATGATTGGAAAGAAGGCTATATGCTTGAAAGCTATAGATCAATAAAGATGGGGTCAGAAATGGGACTATATTAAAACAGGAGGCTGCTGTACAGCAAAGGAAACAATTAACAGAGTGATGACACAACCTTTGTAATGGGAGAAAATATTTGCAAACCATCTATTTAACAAGAGACAAATATCTAGAATATATTAGTATTTAAGCCACTGGAACAACTCAACAGCAAAACTAAACACAAATAATACCATGAAAAAGTAGGCAAAGGATCTGAATATACATTTCTCAAAAGAAGACATATAAATGGCCTACGAAAAACGTTCAACATCACAAATCATCAGAGAAATGCAAGTCAAACCCACAATGAAATATCATCTTATCCAAATTAGAATGGCTATTATCAAAAGACAACAAATGCTAGTAAGGATGAAGAGAAAAGAGAATTCTTATATACTATTGGTGGGAATGTAAATTAGTACAGCTATCATGGAAAACAGTACAGAGGTTTCTCAAAAAACTAAAAATAGAACTGTCATACAATTAGTCCAGCAATCCCACTACTCAGTATCTCTCCAAAAGAAAGGAAATCAAAGGGATACCTGCACTCTCAGGTTTACTGGAACACTATTCACGATAGCTAAGGTATGGAACCAATCTAAGTTTCCATCAAAGGATAAATAGATAAAATGTGGTGTATATACACAATGGAATACTATTTAGCCATTAAACGAATGAAATCCTGTCATTTGCAGCAATATGGATAAAACTGGAGGTTGTCTGTTAAGTGAAATAAGGCACAGAAAGACAAGTATTATGTGTTCTTACTCATATGTGGGAACTTAAAAAGTTTATTTCGTGGAGGTATAGAGTAGAATGGTGGTTACCAGAGGCTGTGAGAAGGGTGTTTGGGGAATGGAGGAGATTAAGAGAGGTTGGTTAATCTGTACAACCATATAGTTATTTAGAATGATTAAGTTCTACTGTTTGATAGCATAGTAGGGCAACTATAGTTAGCAACAATGTATTGTATATTTCAAAATAGCTATAAAAGAATATTTGAAATGTTCCTGACACAAAAAAATGATAGCTATTCTAAATAACCTGATTTGATCATTACACATTGCATGCATGAATCAAAATATCACATGTACCCTGTAAATAGGTACAATGATTATGTATCAATAAAAAAGATGAAGTCAGATTTAATTAAATGTTAAGGTTAATCTCCAAGTCCTGGCTTTATTCTGCAGGAGGAAAAGAAACAGTGGAAGTTTTCAAGCAGCAGAGTTGCAGTAACAAAAAACATAGTTTTTGGTCATATAACCTGAAAACGAGACCACAAAAATATAAATACATGTTAAAATTCTGATTGATAAATCCAATAAAACTTTTATATTTAACAAAAAGAATAACTATTAAAACTTTTGTTAGTATAATTTACCTATAGCCCATTTCAATAGATTTTGAAAAGTCATTTGATAAAACTAAGTAGTCACAATTTTAAAACTTCTTTGAAAGGAGCATGCCTTGTAAATGTGAGGAAATACAGAAGAGCCACTTGGCTGAGCGAGTGCCCAGCTACTAACCAGCATGCTTAAGCACCATCTACTGAATCACATCCCAAACTTCAACACTAAAAATACTTTGCCAATACATGCCCCGATAAAACCAAGGACAATAATTCAGCTACAAAAAAAGACCCAACACAAAGTCTCAGCCCTCTGAAAACATCCAGAAACAAAGCCAATTGACTACACTCAAACTACACCACAGTTAAAGGAACATCAGCCCACACAGATGAGAATCAGCACAAGAACTCTGGCAATTCAAAAAGCCAAAGTGTCTTTTTCCTCCAAATGACTGCACTAGTTCCAGTAATGGTGCTTAACCAGGTTGAAATGGCTGAAATGACAGGCAAAGAATTCAGAACATGGATAGAAATAAAGATCATGAAAATTCAGAAGAAACTGAAACCAACTCCAAAGAATCTAAGGATTACAATAAAACAATACAGGAGCTGAAAGTTGAAATGATAATTTTAAGAAAGAACCAAACTGAACTGACAGAGCTGAAAAACACGCTAAAAGTATTTAATAATACAATCACAAGTATTAACAGCAGAATAGACCAAGATGAGGAATGAATCTCAGACCTCAAAGATTGCTTCTCAGAAATAACTCAGTCACACAAAAATAAATAAAAAATAATGAACAAAACCTCTGAGAAATATGAGATTATGTAAAGAGATCAAATCTACACTCACTAGAGTTCCTGAAAATGGGGGAGAGAAAAGGAACTTGGAAAACATATTTCAGGACATCATCCATGATAATTTCCCAAATCTCGTTAGAGAGGCCAAAATTCAAATTCAGGAAACACAGAGAGAACCCTTGTGAGATACTATACAAGATGACCATCCACAAGACACATAGTTATCAGATTCTCCAAGGTTGACACGAAAGAAAAAATATTAAATGTGGCTAGAGAGAAGGGCAGGTAAACCTACAAAGGGAACCTCTCCAGGCTAACAGCAGACCTTTCAGCAAAAATCCTACAAGCCAGAAGAGATTGGGGGCCTATATTCAGTATTCTTTTTTTTTTTTTTGAGACAGAGTTTCGCTCTTGTTGCCCAGGCTGGAGTGCAGTGGCACAATCTTGGCTCACTGCAACTTCCCCCTCTCAGGTTCAAGTTCTCCTGCCTCAGCCTCCCAAGTAGCTGGAATTATGCACCACTGCGCCTGGCTAATTTTGTATTTTTAGTAGAGATGGGGTTTCACCATGTTGGTCAGGATGGTCTCAAATTCTTGAACTCATGTGATCTACCTGCCTCGGCCTCCCAAAGTGCTGGATTACAGGCGTGAGCCACCGTACCCAGATGTATTCAGTATTCTTAAAGAAAAGAAATTCCAACTAAGAATTTCGTATCTAGCCAAACTAAGCTTCACAAGTGAAGAAGAAATAAGATCTTTTTCAGAAAAGCAAATGTTAAAGGAATTCATTACCAACAGACCTGCTTTGTAAGAGGTCCTTCAGGGAGTGCTAAATACGGAAATCAAAGACCGTTACTAGCCACCAGAGAAACATATTTAAGTACATACACCAGTGACACTAAAAAGTACCCACACAATCAAGTCTGCATAATAACAAACTAACAACAAGATGACAGCCCTAGGGGAACTGTCAGACCTGAACTACGCAAGGCCATCTTGCCCAAAAAATGGGGCCAATCCATCTTGGGCACCCCTTGGTCTGCTGGCCTCTCCCAGGGCCCCAGCCTGGCTGTACCTGCTTGCAGTACACATACCAGTGACACTATAAAGCAACCACATAAACAAATCTTCATAATAACCAGCTAACATCATGATGACAGGATCAAATCAACACATATCAATACTAACTTTGAATGTAAATGGGGGCTAAATGCCCCCGTTAAAAGGCACAGAGTGGAAACCTGGATAAAGAACCAAGATCCACTAGTACGCTATCTTCAAGAGACCCATCTTGTGTGCAATGACACACATAGGCTCAAAGTAAAGAAATGGAAAAAAATTTACCAAGAAACTGAGAAACAGAAAAAAGCAGGAGTTGCAATCCTAATTGCAGACAAAACAGACTTTAAACCAACAAAAATCAAAAAAGACAAGGGAATTACATAATGGTAAAAGACTCAATTCAACAAGAAGACCTAACTATCCTAAATATATATGCACCCAACACAGGAGAACCCAGATTCATAAAGCAAGTTCTTAGAGACCTTCAAAGAGACTTAGACTCCCACACAGTAATACTGGAAGACTTTTAACACGCCACTGACAATATTAGGACAGATCATTGAGGCAGAAAATTAACAAAGCTATTCAGGACCTAAACCCAGCACTGGGTCAAACGGACCTGGCAGACATCTACAGAACTCACCACTCCAAAATAACAGAATACACATTTTCATTGCCCACATGGGACATACTCTAAACTTGATCACATAATCAGAAGTAAAACACTCCTCAGCAAATGCAAAAGAACTGAATTCATGACAGTCTCTTGGACCATGCAGCAATCAAATTAGAAATTAAGACTAGGAAATTCACTCAAAACCATACAACTACATGGAAATTGAATAACCTGCTACTGAATGACTTTCAGGAAAAAAAAAAGGAATTAAGGCAGAAATCAGGAAGTCCTTTGGAACTGATGAGAACAAAGGTATAACACACCAGAATCTCTGGGACACAGCTAAGGCAGTGTTAAGAGGGAAATTTATAGCACTAAATGCCGACATCAAAAAGTTAAAAAGATCTGAAGTTAACAACCTAACATCACAACTAAAAGAACCAGGGAATCAAAAGAAAACCAAACCCAAAGCTAGCAGAAGACAAAAATAACCAAAATCAGAGCTGAACTGAAGGAGACTGAGACACAAAAAAAATTGAGAAGATCAACAAATCCAGGACAACTCCCGTATTTGTTTTTTTTTTTAATTAACAAAATAGACTGCTAGCTAGACTAATAAAGAGGAAAACAGAGAAGAATCAAATAAACACAATCAGAAATGATAAGGGAATAGGAGGTCAGCACAAAAGTTTACAGATCATAAAGGCCTTGCTGATAAAACAGGTTGCAGTAAAGGAGGCGGCCAAAACCCACCAAAACCAAAATGGCGACGAGAGTGAGAGACCTCAAGTCATCCTCACTGCTACACTCCCACCAGCACCATGACAGTTTACAAATGACATGACAATGTCAGGAGGTTACTCTTTTTGGTCTAAAAAGGGGAGGCATGAATAATCCACCCGTTGTTTAGCATATCATCAAAAATAACCACAAAAATGGGTAACCAGCAGCCCTTGGGGCTCCTCTGTCTATGGAGTAGCCATTTTTTCATTCCTTTACTTTCTTAATAAACTTGCTTTCACTTGGCAAAAAAAAAAAAAAAATTATATGGGGGATATCACCTCTGACCCCACAGAAATACAACCATCGGAGAATACTATAAGCACCTCTGTCCACATAAACTAGAAAATCTGGAAGAAACTGATAAATTCCTGGACACATATACCCTCCCAAGACTGAGCCAAAAAGAAATTGAATCCCTGAACAGACCAATAATGAGGTCTGAAATTGAATCAGTAATAAATAGCCTATCAACCTATTAAAGCCCACGACCAGATAAATTCACAACTGAATTCTACCAGATGTACAAAGAAGGGCTGGTACCATACCTGCTGAAACTATTCCAAAAACTTAAGGAAGAAGGACTCCTCCCTAACTCATTCTATGAGGCCAGCATCATCCTGTCACTAAAACCGGGCAGAGATAACAACAAAAAAAGAGAACTACAGGCCAATACTCTTGATGAACATTGATGCAAAAATCCTCAACAAAATACTGGCAAATTGAATCCAGCAGTACATCAAAAAGCTTATCCACCACAATCAAGTAGGCTTTATCCCTGGGATGCAAAATTGGATCAATATATGCAAATCAATAAATGTGATTCATCACATAAACAAAACTCAAATAAAAAAATGACATGATTATCTCAATAGATGCAGAAAAGGCTTTCATTAAAATTCAACATCCTTTCATGTGAAAAACTCTCATTAAACTACATATTGAAGGTACATACCTCAAAATAATAACAGCCAACTATGACAAACTTACAGCCAATGTCATAATAAATAGGCAAAAGCTGGAAGCATTCCCCTTGAAAACTGGCACAAGAAAAGGATGCCCTCTCTCACCACTTCTACTGAACATAGTATTGGAAGCCCTAGTCAGAGCTATCAGGCAGGAGAAAGAAATAAAGGGCATCCAAATAGAAAGAAAGGAAGTCATACTACCCTGTTTTCAGGTGACATTATCCTATACCTAGAAACCCTATAGTCTCAAAAGCTCCTTAAGCTGATAAACAACTTCAGCGAAGTCTCAGGATACAAAATTAATGTATAAAAATCATTAGTACTCCTATATACCAACAACACTCAAGCCAAGAGCCAAATCAGAAACACAATCCCATTCACGATTGCCACAGACACACAAAAATATCTAGGAATACTGCTTACCAGGGAGGTGAAAGATCTCTACAAGAACTACAAAACACTTCTCGGATCTAATTAAACTAAAGAGCTTCTGCACAGCAAAAGAAACTACCATCAGAGTGAACAGGCAACCTACAGAATGGGAGAAAATTTTTGCAACCTACTCATCTGACAAAGGGCTAATATCCAGAATCTACAATGAACTCAAACAAATTACAAGAAAAAAACAAACAACCCCATCAAAAAGTGGGCGAAGGATATGAACAGACACTTCTCTAAAGAAGACATTTATGCAGCCAAAAAACACATGAAAAAATGCTCATCATCACTGGCCATCAGAGAAATGCAAATCAAAACCACAATGAGATACCATCTCACACCAGTTAGAATGGCAATCATTAAAAAGTCAGGAAACAACAGGTGCTGGAGAGGATGTGGAGAAATAGGAACACTTTTACACTGTTGGTGGGGACTGTAAACTAGTTCAACCATTGTGGAAGTCAATGTGGCGATTCCTCAGAGATCTAGAACTGGAAATACCATTTGACCCAGCCATCCCATTACTGGGTATATACCCAAAGGATTATAAATCATGCTGCTATAAAGACACATGCACACGTATGCTTACTGCGGCACTATTCACAATAGCAAAGACTTGGAACCAAGCCAAATGTCCAACAATGATAGACTGGATTAAGAAAATGTGGCACATATACACCATGGAATACTATGCAGCCATAAAAAATGATGAGTTCATGTCCTTTGTAGGGACATGGATGAAGATGGAAACCATCATTCTCAGCAAACTATCTCAAGGACAAAAAACCAAACACTGCATGTTCTCACTTATAGGTGGGAATTGAACAATGAGAACACATGGACACAGGAAGGGGAACATCACACACCGGGGACTGTTGTGGGGTGGGTGGAGGGGGGAGGGATAGCAGTAGGAGATATACCTAATGCTAAATGACGAGTTAATGTGTGCAACACACCAACATGGCACATGTATACATATGTAACTAACCTGCACATTGTGCACATGTACCCTAAAACTTAAAGTATAATAATAAAATTAAATTAAATTGAAAAGAAATCAGAGATGATACAAACAAATGGAAAAACGTTCCATGCTCGTGAACAGGAAGAATCAATATCGTTAAAATGACCATAACTTCCCAAAGCAATATGTAGATTCAATGCTATTCCTATTAAACTACCAATCACATTATTCACAGAACTAGAAAAGGCTCTTTTTTAAATTCATATGGAACCAAAAATAGAGCTAAAATACCCAAGACAATCCTAAGTAAAAAAAACAACAAAGCTGGGGGCATGATGCTACTTAACTTCAAACTATTACAAACTACAGGGCTACAGCCACCCAAACAGCATGGAACTGGTACAAAAAGAGACACACAGACCAATGGAACAGAATAAAGAACTCATAAATAAGGCCACACATCTACAACTACCTGATCTTTGATAAAGCTGACAAAAACCAGCAATGGGAAAAGGACTCCCTATTCAATAAATAATGCTGGGATAACTGGCTAGCCATATGCAGAAGATTGAAACTGGACCTTTTCCTTGCACCTTATACAAAAGTTAACTCAAGATAGATTAAAGACCAAAATGTAAAACCCAAAACTATGAAAACCCTGGAAGACAACCTAGGTAATACCATTCTGGACATAGGTATGGGCAAAGATTTCATGACAAAAATGGCAAATGCAATTGCAACAAAAGCAAAAAATGACAAATAGGATCCAATTGAACTAAAGAGCTTCTGCATAGCAAAATAAACTACCAACAGAGTAAACAACCAACCTACAGAATGGGAGAAAATATTTGCAAACTACGCATCTTACAAAGGTCTAATATCCAACTCACACGGAACTTAATAAGAAAAAAGCACATAACCCCATTAAAAAGTGGGCAAAAGGCATGAACAAACACTTTTCAAAAGAAAACATATATGCAGCCAACAAACATGAAAAAAACTCAACATCACTGATCATTAGAGAAGTGCAAATCAAAACCGCAATGAGATACCATCTCACATCAGTCAGAATAACTGTTATTAAAAAGTCAAAAAATAACAGAAGCTGACGAGGTTGCAGAGAAAAGGGAATGCTTATAATACACAGCTGGTGGGAATATAAATTAGTTCAGCCACTGTGGGAAGCAGTTTGATGATTTCTGAAAGAACTCAAAAGGAATATATATCATTCTACCATAAAGACACATGCAAATACATGTTCACTGCAGCACTATTCACAATAGCAAAGGCATGGAATCAACCTAAATGCCCATCAATGGTTGACTGCATAAAGAAAATGTGGTATATATACACCACGGAATACTATGCAGCCCTAAGAAACAACAAGATCATGTCCTTTGCAGGTATATGGATCCAGCTGGAGGCCATTATCCTTAGCAAACTAATGCAGGAACAGAAAAACAAATACTGCATGTTCTCACTTTTAAGTGGGAGCTAAATTATGAGAACACATGAACTCATAGAGGAGAACAACAGACACTGGGGCCTATTGAAGGGTGGATGGCAGGAGGAGGGAGAAAATCAGGAAAAATAACTAATGGGCACTAAGTTTAATACCTGGGTGACAAAATAATCTGTACAGCAAACCCGCATGTCACAAGTTTATTTATATAACAAACCTGCACATGTAACCCTGAACTGAAAATAAAAGTTAAATTTTTAAAAATAAAGCATTAAATGAGGTGGCTAGACTAATGGTGATACAAAGTTTTTCTAGCTCTAACATTATATAATTTTAGAACATATTTTTAAAAAGACTAAGTATCTGAAAGTAATTCAAAACACTTGCCATTTTTATCAAAATCTCAAAAATATTTTTTAAAATTGGCAAAGTAAAGGTCATCAAAAAGAATTATTAATTTTCTAAAATAAGAGGGCTGATATAGGACCTGCACTACTAAGTATGTTATAAATTATTAAATAACCAAAAAATGTAATAGTATACCTTGAAATAAGTCTTCAAATAACTTGTAGTTATGTGAAGATGCCAATACTCAGTAATACTGAGTATGAAAAGAAAGTAAGTGCAGCTATCTTTAAAACATAGAGATAGATTGGTAACAGTAGACTAAAAGGACATTTACAAAAGTGTTATTAGTGCTCATCTGTGGAAATGTAGTGTTTATATTTTCTGTGAAAATCCAACTTTCAAGGATGATAAAAACATAGATACCATACCATTATCTTTTTTTTCTTATGGTACTTCTTTAGAAATTCCCCATATCGTTCCAATTTTCTATAAGAACCTTTAAGAAAATAAGAATTCACAGTATATATATTATACATATGAACCTCCTCTAAAAATAAACAAAATTTTAAATACTTTAAACAAATTATATACAAAATTATTCAATGAAATCAATTAGCAATTGTGATAAGTATATGTTAATACACACTGTTAGCTGAATGAATAACTGGAATTATTATATAAAGTATATCTTCTGTTTCCTTTTTCTGAAATACCATGTTCCAACTAACATGTCTGTGGCACTTACTCCTATGTCTAAACTTTTATGTCAATCCCTTCTCCTAAAAAAGTCCACATTTTTCAAATAGCTCAGCCACTTACACTTGGTTGTTTCATGGTCACCTTAATTTCAATAAAGTGCAGTACTGTGGAGCAGGGCACAGTGAGACAATATGGGGGGCTCTGAAGTCAGATAACCGAGATAGACTTGAATCCAAGTTCTGATATCTACATATTGAGGACTATATATATATATATATATATATATATATATATATATATATATATATATATATAAAATTACCTTTTTTAAAAAACAGAAGGAAGATATGAAAGGATATGTTCATACTTTGTTTACTTGTGGGTATTTTATTTCATTACAAGACGAATTTATACACACACATGGGTGTCTGTGTGTATGTGTGTATGCAAGCTATATATATGTGTGTGTATTTATATATACATACACAGAAGCTATACATAACTTTTATACATTAAAAATATAAACTTTTAAAAATTTACAGTTTAAATATGAAAATTTTTAAAAAGTTAATTTAATAGAAGTGTATTTAAACACATCTTCAGAATTACACAAATCTTAGTTCAAAAAAGAATATTAAATACCAAAATAACATAATGAATCTAATACCTAAAAACACTTTATAAGTACAATTAGTATCATTTCCAAGACTTATATATATGACAAATTTGCCCATTAAATCAAGAATAAGACAAGAATAATTATAAGTATTTAAAACTATTCTGGAAATGTTAATACAATTAGATAAGAAAAATGTTATACAAATATTGAAAAGAAGTAAAAATTATCATTACTTGCTGTATGCTTTGTCATTCATTCAGCTATTCCATAGTGAATACCAGCTACCCCTAGAAACTAGCCTGAGAGCCCATATAGGTTAACTATCACCCCTTTTACTTTCAGTTTCAGATATTTCTGTTCTATCCTGACCCTTACTGATATGTTTGTTTCTAGTAAGAATATTAGTTGATGCAATCTTGCTCTCCTGTTTTCCTAATACTCTGTACCTCCACTCCAATTTAACAAAAGCTTAACAGTTTAACAACTGTTTTAAGGCTTTGTTTTAGTAATACTTCCTTTGAAACCACATATTTCTGTTCAACTAAAAAAATCTGTATTGAACCATTTTGAAATGAAGAGGTTTTAAAATAAAATATTTTTAATATTTGTACCTTAGAATTTCATTCTTTATGAGATTACACACACACACACACACACACACACACACACACACACACACACACAGACAACTGACCATTACTTTACTAACACAAAAAATAAGGACTGGCCAGGTGCACTGGCTTATGCCTGTAATTCCAACACTTTTGGAGGGTGACTCAGGAGGATCACTTGAGGCCAAGATTTGGAGACCAGCCTGGGAAACATAGTGAGACTCCATTTCTATAAAAGATAAAAATAAATAAGGCTCACTTGTCTCAGAAATCATGCTTTTCCACTTAAATATTTCAGAGGTGTGGTTTTGCAAAATAAGTGAATATTCCTTTAATTTTGATTCCATGATCAAAAGTGCTTCAAATATTCGAGGAACATTTTCCCATAGGTGTGTATAAATTGAAACAAATGAACTATCTTCTTTTATTTTTTTCAGAGTGCATGACCATTTATCATCATCTCTAAAATGGATTTCCCTTGGCCAATAATCCTGCAAAAAACGTGAAAGAGAGAATATAGCTTAAGTCATTTTTAATGAATTTAAATAATAGAGTTCAAAACCAATGAGCTATAATCGAGATTTTATTCCACAGCATTGTTTTTTATCACTTTTTAAAAATTTGAAACAATCACAAACGTCAGAAAAGTTACAAGTCCTTTACTAAAACTATTTTCCTGAATCATTTGAGAATAATTTGCTTATATGATAGCCCATCATCCTTTAAAACGTCAATGTATATTTCCAAAAACCAAAAACATTCTCCTACATAATAAATGCAACCATTAGAATCAGGAAATTGGCACTGATACATTATTTATATTTAATACAAAGACTCTATTCAAGTTTCAGTGGAACCAATTATGCCCTTTATAGCAAAAGAATCTAGTTCAGAATAAAAATGTTAAGTTTTGGCTTCATGTCTCTTTGGTCCCTTTCAGTCTACGACAGTTCCATAATATCTGTGGGGAAGGGAAGGGGGAAGATTAGAAGAGATAATTTTAACTTATTTTCATTTTTTTCTAGTTTTATTAAAGTATAATTGACAAATTAAAATTGTAAATATTTATGATGTACAATGTGAAGCTTCGATAAATGTATAGACTGTGCAATGACTGCCAAAAAGGTAATTAACATATCCATCACCTCACAGAGTTTATGTGTTGAGAACATTTAAGATCTACTCTATTAGCAATTTTCAAGTACACCATACATTATTATTAACTGTAATCATCATGCTGACCAATTGATCCCCAGAATTTCTCTCTCCTGTCTGAAACTTTGCACCCTTTAATCCATTTCTCCCTTTCTTTCACAAGCCCCAGTAAGACTCCATTCTACTCTCTGCTCCTATGAGTTCCATTTTTATACATTCCACTTATAAGTGAGATCATGCCACAGTTGCCTTTTTGTGCCTGGCTTATTTTACATAGCATCATGTCCTCCAAGATCATCCACACTGTCAAAAATAGAGAGATCTCTCTCTTCTTTTCTTTCTCTTTCTCTTTTTTTTGTTTTTTTTTTTTTTGATTTTTTTTTTTTTTTTTTGAGACAGAGTCTCGCTCTGTCGCCCAGGTGGAGTGCAGTGGTGCGATCTTGGCTCACTGCAAGCTCCGCCTCCTGGGTTCACGCCATTCTCCTGCCTCAGCCTCCTGAGTAGTTGGGACTACAGGCACAGCCTCCCGAGTAGTTGGGACTACAGGCGCCCGCCACCATGCCCGGCTAATTTTTTGTATTTTTAGTAGAGACGGGGTTTGTGTTATCCAGGATGGTCTCAATCACCTGACCCCGTAATCCGCCTGCCTCAGCCTCCCAAAGTGCTGGGATTATAGGTGTGAGCCACCACACCCTCCCTCCCTCCCTCCCTTCCCTCCCTCCCTCCTTCCTTCCTTCCCTCCTTCCGTCCTTCCTCAGCCTCCCAAAGTGCTGGGATTACAGGCATAAGCCACTGCACCTGGCCCTTCCTTCCTTTTTTTTTTTTTTTTTTTTTTTTGGAGTCTTGCTCTGTTGCCCAGGCTGGAGTGCAGTGGCACGATCTTGGCTCGCCACAACCTCCGCCTCCAAGGTTCAAGCGATTCTCCTGCCTCAGCCTCCCAAGTAGCTGGGATTACAGGCACGTGCCACCATGCCCAACTAATTTTTGTATTTTTTAATAGAGATGGGGTTTCACTATGTTGGCCAGGCTGGTCTTGAACTCCTGACCTTGTGATCTGCTCACCTCGGCCTCCCAAAATGCTGCGATTACAGGCATGAGCCACTGTGCCCAGCCTTTCTTAAGGCTGAATAATATTCTATTTTGTGTATGTGTGCATGTATACACATGCACACACACAAAGAAAATGTGTTCTATGTATATACAGCCACACACACACACCATATTTTCTTTTTCCATTCTTATGTTGAAAAGCACTTAGGTTGATTCCATATCTTTCTTCCACTTGATCGAATTGGCTATTGAAGCTTGTGCACGTCATGAAGTTCTCATGGCATGGTTTTCTGCTCCATCAGGTCATTTAAGCCCTTCTCTCCACTGTTTATTCTAGTTAGCTATTCGTCTTTTTTTCAAGGTTTTTAGCTTCCTTGCGATGGGTTAGAACATGTTCCTTTAGCTCACAGAAGTTTGTTATTACTGACCTCCTAGAGCCTACTTCTGTCAACTCATCAAAGTCATTCTCTGTCCAGCTTTGTTCCATTGCTGGCAAGGGGCTGAGATCCTTTGGAGAAGAGGTGCTCTGGTTTTTAGAATTTTCAGATTTTCTGCTCTGGTTTCTCCCCATCTTTGTGGTTTTATCTAACTTTGGTCTTTGATGTTGGTGACCTACAGAAGAAGTTTTGGTGTGGATGTCCTTTTTGTGGATGTTGATGCTATTCCTTTCTGTTTCATAATTTTTCTTCTAACAATCAGGTCCCTCAACTGCAGGTCTGTTGGAGTTTGCTGGTGGTCCACTCCAGACCCTGTTTGCCTGGGTATCACCAGCGGAGGCTGCAGAACAGCAAATATTGAAGAACAGAAAATATTGTTGTCTGATCCTTACTCTGGAAGCTTCGTCCCACAGTTGCACTTGCCTGTATGAGGTGTCTGTTGGCCCCTACTGGGAGGTGTCTCCCAGTTAGGCTACACAGTGGTCAGGGATCCACTTGAGGAGGCAGTCTGTCCATTCTCAGAGATCAAATGCCATGCTGGGAGAACCACTGCTCTCTTCAGAGCTGTCAGATAGGGACGTTTAAGTCTGCAGAAGTTGTCTGCTGCCTTTTGTTCAGCTATGCCCTGCCCACAGAGGTGGAGTATATAGAGGCAGTAGGCCTTGCTGAGCTGCAGTGGGCTCCACCCAGTTCAAGCTTCCTGCCCACTTTGTTTACCTACTCAAGCCTCAGCAATGGTGGACACCCCTCCCCCGACCAGGCTTCAGCCTCGCAGATCTCAGACTGCTGCACCAGCAGTGAGCAAAGTTCCGTGGGCGTGGGACCCACTGAGCCAGGCACAGGAGAGAATCTCCTGGTCTGCCAGTTGCTAATACCGTGGGAAAGGCACAGTATTTGGGCAGAAGTGTACTGATTTTCCAGGTACAGTCTGTCACGGCTTCCCTTGACTAGGAAAGGGAAATTCCCTGACCCCTTGCGCTTCCTGGGTGAGGTGATGCCCCGCCCTGCTTTGGCTCACCTCCGAGGGCTGCACCCTCTGTCCAACCAGTCCCAATGAGATGAAGCAGGTACCTCAGTCGGAAATGCAGAAATCACCCGTCTTCTGCACCAATCACACAGGAGCTGTAGACTGGAGCTGTTCCTATTCGGCCATTTTGGAACTGCTCTCATCTCAATTTCTTTCATCAATATTTTACAGTTTTCAGCATATAGAGCATTTACTTTCTTATTTTAAAAATTTTTTTTGCTGTCAGAATCTGCATTTTATTTTTTATTTTTATTTTTGTTATTTTTTAATTTCAATAGTTTTGGGGGAACAGGTGGTTTTCGTTACATGAATAGGTTCTTCAGTGGTGATTTCTGAGATTTTGGTGCACCTATCACCCGAGCAGTATACACTGTACCCAATGTGTAGTCTTTTGTACCTCAACCCCCGAACCCTTCCCCCAAGTCCCCAAAGTCCACTGTAACATTCTTATGCTTTTGTGTCCTCATAGCTTAGCTGCCACTTGTAAGTGAGAACATACGATATTTGATTTTCCATTCTTAAGTTACTTCACTTAGAATAATGGCTCCAACTCCATCCAGGTTGCTTCAAATGCCATTATTTGGTTCCTTTTTATGGCTGAGTAGTATTCTATGGTATATGTACACCACATTTTATCAACTTGTTGATTGGGCATTTGGGCTGGTTCCATATTTTTGCAAATGCAAATTGTGCAGCTATAAACATGCGAGTGCAAGTGTCTTTTTTATATAATGACTTCTTTTCCTCTGGGTACATATCTAATAGTGGGATTACTGGATCAAATGGTAGATCTACTTTTAGTTCTTCAAGGAATCTCCATACTGTTTTCCATAGTGATTGTACTACTTTACATTCACACCAACAGAGTAAAAGTGTTCCATTTCCACCATATCCACAACTATATTATATATAATTTTTTAATTTTGGCAATTCTCGCAGGAGTAAGGTGGTATTGCATTGTGGTTTTGATTTGTATTTCCCTGATAATTAATGATGTTGAGCATTTTTTTCACAGGTTTTTTGGCCATTTGTATATCTTCTTTTGAGAATTGTCTATTCATATCCTTAGCCCACTTTTTGATGGAATTATTTCTTTTTTTTCTTGCTGATTTGAGTTCCTTGTAGACTCTGGATATTAGTCCTTTGTCCAATGCACAGTTTACAAAGACTTTTTTGCAACTCTATGGGTTGTCTGTTTACTCTGCTGATTATTTATTTTGCTGTGCAGAAGACTTTTAGTTTAATTAAGTCCCATCTATTTATCTTGGTTTTTGTTGCATTTGTTTTGGGGCTCTTGGTCATGAAGTCTTTGCCTCTGCCAATGTCTAGAAGGGTTTTTCCAATATTATCTTCAGATCGTTATGGTTTCAGGTCTTAGACTTAAGTCTTTGATCCATCTTGATTTGGTTATTGTATATGGTGAGACATGAGGATCCAGTTTCATCCTTTTAACATGTGGCTTGCCAATTATCCCACCAACATTTGTTGAACAGGGTTTCCCTCCCCCACTTTATGCTTTTGTTTGCTTTGTTGAAGATCAGTTGGCTGTCAATATTTGACTTTATTTAAAGGTTCTCTGTTCTGTCCATTGGCTTATATGCCTGTTTTTATACCAGTACCATGCTGTTTTGGTGACTACAGCCTTATAGTGTAGTTTGAAGTTGGGTATTATAATGCCTCCAGATTTGTTCTTTTTGCTTAGTTTTGCTTTGGGCATGAAGGCATTTTTTTGGTTACATATAAATTTTAGGACTGTTTTTTCTAGTTCTGTGAAGAATGATTATGTTATTTTGATGGGAATTACACTGAATTTGTAGATTGCTTTTGGCAGTACGGTCATTTTCACGATATTGATTCTACCCACCATGAATATGAGATGTGTTTCCATTTGTTTGTGTCATCTATGATTTCTTTCAGTAGTGTTTTATAGTTTATCTTGTAGAGGTCTTTCATCTCCTTGGTTAGACATACTCCTAAGTATTTTTAATTTTATTTTATATTGTATTAATTTAATTTAATTAATTGTAAAAGAGGTGGAGTTCCTGATTTGATTCTCAGCTTGGTTGTTATTTGTATATAGCAGTGCTACTGATTTGTATACACTGATATTGTATCCTGAGACTTTACTGAAATCATTTATCAGATCTAGGAGCTTTTCAAATTAGTCTTTATCATCTTCTAGGTATATAATCATATCAACAGTGAACAGTGACAGTTTGACATACTCTTTACCTATTTGGATGCCCCTATTTCTTTCCCTTATCTGATTGTTCTAGCTAGGACTTCAGTACTGGGTTGAATAGAAGTGGTGAAAGTGGGCATACTTGTCTTGTTCAAGTTCTCAGAAGGAATGTTTTAAACATTTCCCTGTTCAGTATAATGTTGGCTGTGGGTTTGACATAGCTTTTATTACCTTAAGGTATGTCCCTTCTATGTTGATTTTGCTGAGGGTTTTAATCATAAAGGGATGCTGAATTTTGTACTCAAGAAAGCACCGAGAAAGGGGAAAACAAACATGAGGGAATTAAAATTAAATACAGAATATGGACAACAAAAACTCCAGAGAAATACATATCATAAATAAAAATCACAAATTCTGGAATGAAAGACACACTTAGAAAAACGCAAAAGACATTGAAAAGTTTCAACAATAGAATCAAACAAGTAGAATAAAGAACTTCAGAGCTCAAAATCAAGAAGGCTTTTAAATTGACCCAGTCCAACAAAGACAAAGGAAAAATAATTTTTTTAAAAATGAACAAAGCCTCCAAGGAGTCTGAGATTATGTTACATGACCAAACCTAAAAATAACTGGTATTCCTGAGGAGGAAATCTGAAAGTTTCAAAAACTTACTTGAGGGAATAATCAAGAAAGACTTCCCTGCCTTGCTAGAAATCTAGACATGCAAACAGAGGAAGCTCAATGGACATCCAGGAAATTCATTGCAATATAATCATCACCTAGGCACACAGTCATTAGGTTATCTAAAGTCGAAACAAAGTAAAGAATTTTAAGAGCTATGAGGCAAAAGCATCAGGTAACCTATAGAGGAAAACCTATCAGATTAACAGATTTTTCAGCAGAAACATTATAAGCCAGAAGAGACTGGGGTCCTACCTTTAGCCTCCTTAAACAAAATTATTATCAGTTAAGAATTTTGTATCCAGCAAAACTAAGATTCATAAATGAAGACAAGATAAAGTCCTCTTCAGACAAACAAATGATGAGAGAGAGACTACCAAGCCAGCACTAAAAGAACTGCTAAAAGGAGTTCTAAATCTTGAAACAAATCTTGAAAACAAAACAAAACAAAACAAAACAAAATAGAACATCCTTAAGGCATAAATCTCACAGGGCCTATAAAACAATAACACAAAGAAAAAAAACCATGGTATTCAAGTAACAACTGGCATGATGAATAGAATAGTACCTCATATCTCAATACATTGGATGTAAATGGCCTAAATGCTCCACTTAGAAGATACAGAATGGCAGAATGGATAAGAATTCATCAACCCAGTATCTGTTATCTTCAAGAGACTCACCTAACACATAAAGACTCACATAAACTTAAGGTAAAGGGGTGGAAAATGATATTCCATGCAAATTCACACCAAAAGTGCAGGAGTAGCTATTCTTGTATCAGACAAAATAAACTTTAAAGCAACAAGAGTTAAAAAAGACAAAGAGGGACATTATATAATGATGAAAGGCCTAGTCCAACAGGAAAATATCACAATCCTAAATATATATGCACCTAAAACTGCAGCTCCCAAATTTACAAAACAATTACTACTATACCTAAAAAATGAGATAGATGGGAACACAATAATAGTGGGGGACTTCAATACTCCACTGACAGCACCAAACAAGTCATCAAAAGAGAAAGTCAACAAAGAAATTATGGACTTAAACTATACCCTACAACAAATGGACTTAACAGATATTTACAGAACATACTGGCCAACAAATGCAGAATATACATTCTATTCATCAGCTCATGAAACATTCTCCAAGATAGACCATGTGACAGGCCACAAAACAAGTCTCAATAAATTCAAGAAAATCAAAATTACATAAAGTACTCTTTCAGACCACAATTGAATAAAATTGGAAATCCACTCCAGAAAGAACCCTTAAAACCATGCAAATACCTGGAAATAAAATAACCTGCTCCTGAATGGTCGGTGGGTCAACAATGAAATCAAGATGGAAATTTAAAAATTGAACTGAACAATAATATTGACACAACCTATCAAAACCTCTAAGGTACAGCAAAACCAGTGCTAAGAGGAATGTTCACAGCATTGAATACCTACATCAAAAAGCCTGAAAGAGCACAAGAAGACAATCTAAGGTGACACCTCAAGGAACCAGAGAAAACAGAAACCAAACCAAACCCAAACCCAGCTGAAGAAATGAAATAAGATCACAGCAGAACTAAATGAAATTGAAGCAACAAAGACAAGACAAAGATAAACTAAACAAAAAGCTTGTTAAATTATTTGAAAAGATTAACAAAATTGACAGACCATTAGCGAGATTAAGCAAGAAAAGAAGAGAGAAGATCCAAATAAGCTCAATTAGGAAAGAAAGGGGAGATATTACAACTGATAACACAGAGATACAAAAGTTTATTCAAGGCTACTGTGAACATCTTCACACACATAAACTAGAAAACCTAGAGGAGATGGATAAATTCCTGGAAATATACAACACTCATAGATTAAACCAGGAAAAAAATAGAAACTCTGAACAGACAAATAATGAGCAGTAATATTGAAATGGTAATAAATAATTACCAACAAAAAAAAAGTCCAGGACAAGGTGGATTCACAGCTGAATTATATTAGATATTCAAAGAAGAATTGGTACCAATTCTACTGAAACTATTCCAAAAGACAGAGAAGGAGGGAATCCTCCCTAAATCATTCTATGAAGCCAGTATTACCTTAATACCAAAACTAGGAAAAGACAACAAAAAAAGCTACATGCCAATACCTCCTTCTTTAAATTTATCCATAAGTATTTTTTCATGTTATTGTAAAAGAGATTGTTTTCTTGATTTCTTTAATAGTTAATTGCTAGTACCTAGAAATACTACTCATTTTTGAATGTTGATTCCATGTTGTGCAAATTTACTGAATTCATTCAGTATTTCTAACAGTTTCTGGAATCTTTAGAGTTTTGTGTATACAAAATTATGTTATCTGCAAGAGACAATTTTACTTCTTCCTTTCCTATTTGGATGGTTTGTTTCTTTGTTTTCTAACTGCTCTAGGAGAACTTTCAATACCATAATGAATAGGAGTGCTGAGTGGGAATCCTTGTGTTGTTTCTGTTCTTAGAGGAAAACCTTTCCATTTTTCACTATTGATTATGATGTTAGATGTGGGCTTTCATATACGGTCCTTATAATCTCAAAGTACATTCCTTCTGCACCTAATTTGCTGAGAGTTTTTAAAATCATGAAGCAATGCTAAATTTTGTTAACATGCTTTTTCTTCATCTGTTGAGCTGATAATAATTTTATTCTTTATTCTGCTAATGTGGTTTATCACATTTATGGATTTGTATATGTTGAAACGTCCTTGCATCCCATGAATAAATCCTACTTGATCATGGTATATGATCCTTTTAATGTACTGTTGAATTGGGTTCGCTTGTTTTTGTTGAGGATTTTGCCATTACTATTCATCATAAGAGATAATGGTCCACAGTTTTCTTCTCTTGTCGTGTCCTTGTAGTATCAGGGTAACCCTAGCCTCATCAAATAAATTTGAAAGTATTCTTTCCTCTTCTATTTTTCAGAAGAGTCTGAGAAAGATTGATACTAATTCTTCTTTCAATGTTTGGTAGGATTCATGAGTAAAGTTAAAGGGTCCTGGGCTTTTGTTTATTGGGAGGTTTTCAATTACTGATTCAATCTCTTTACTCATTATTGGTCTGTTCAGATTTTCTATTTTTCATGATCCAGTCAAGGTAGGTTGTATGTTTCAAGGAATTTATTCATTTATTTTAGGTTATTCAATTTACTTGTATATAATTTCTCATGGTAGCCTACTATAATTATTTATATTTCTGTGGTATCAACTTCAATGTCTCCTCTTTCATTTCTGATTCTATTTATTTGAATCTTTCTTCTTTTTTTCCCTTAGTTTAGCTAGAGATTTGACAGTTTTGTTAATCTTTTCAGAAAACACAATTCAGTTTTGTTGATCATCTCTATTGTTTTTCCAGTCTCTCCATTTATTTCTGCTCTGATCTTTGTTATTTCCTTCCTTCTACTGACTTTGGGCTTAGTTAGTTCTGCTTGTTCTAGTTACTTGAGATATAAGTTAGATTGTTTATCTGAGAGTTTTTCTTAATGTAGGCATTTATTGCTATAAACTTCCCTCTTAGAAATCCTTTGTTGCATTCCATAAGTTTTGGTACATTATTTCCATTTTCATTTATCTCAAGATAATTTGATTTCCCTTTTGATTTATTCCTTGACCTACTGGCTATTCAAGAGCATTTTGTTCAATTTCCAGTTCTCCTCCTATTACTGATTTCTAGTTTAATATTATTGTGGTCACAAGAGGTACTTGATAAGACTTCAATCTTATAAAATTTGTTAAGACTTGTTTTGTGGCCCAATATATAATCCATCCTGGAGAATTTTCTTTGTGTACTTGAGAAAAATTTGCATTTTGTTGCTTTTGGATAGAATGATCTGTATGTGTCTGTTAGGACCATTTTGTCTAGAGAGTTGTTCAAGTCCTCTATTTCCATATTAATTTTCTCTCCATATGATCTATCCATTTTTGAAAATATGGCCTTAAAGTCTCCTATTGTTAATGTATTGCTGTTATTTCTCCCTTCAATTCTGTTAATATTTGCTTCATATATTTAGGTGTTCTGACACTGGGTGCATATATATTTACAATTGTTAGACACTCTTTGCAAATTGACCCTTTTATTATTATATGAATACCCTCTTTGTCTCTCTTAAAAGATTTTGACTTTAAAGCTTACTTAATCTGATAGAAGTAGAGCTATCCTAGTTCTCTTTTATTACCATTGCATAAATTTATTTTAATCATCTCTTCACCTTCAGTCTATGTGTGTCCTTAAAGCTAAAGTGAGTCTTTTGTATGCAGCATATAGCTGTTTCTTTCTTTCTTTTTTTTTTTTTTTAAATCCGGCCAGGCATGGTGGCTCATGCCTGTAATCTAAGCATTTTGAGAGGCCAAGGCGGGTGGGTCACCCGAGGTTAGGAGTTTGAGACCCACCTGACCAATATGGTGAAACCCCATCTCTACTAAAAATATAAAAATTACCCAGGTGTGGTGGTGTCTGCCTGTGGTCCCAGCTACTCAGGAGGCTGAGGCAGGGAGAATCTCTTGAACCCGGGAGGGAGAGGTTGCAGTGAGCTGAGATCGCACCACTGCACTCCAGCCTGGGTGACAGAGCAAGACCACATCTCAAAAAAAAAAAAAAAATCCAGCCAGCCACTTAACATCTGTTGATTAAAGAATTTAACCCATTTACATTTAAAGCAATTATTGACATGGAATAATTTACTACTGCCAGGCCGGGCGTGGTGGCTCACACTTATAATCCCAGCACTTCGGGAGGTTGAGGTGGGCGAATTACCAGGTCAGGAGTTCAAGACCAGCCTGGCCAACATGGTGAAACCCCATCTCTACTAAAAATACCAAAAATTAGCTGGGTGTGGTGGTGTGCGCCTGTAATCCCAGCTACACCGGAGGCTGAAGCAGGAGAATCACTTGAATCTAGGAGGCAGAGGTTGCGGTGAGTGGAGATCGCGCCATTGCACTCCAGCCTGGGTGACAGAGCAAGACTCTGTCTCAAAAAAAAAAAAAAAGAATTTAATACTACCACTTTGTTCACTGTTTTCTGATTGTTTTGTATTAGGTTGGAGCAACAGTAATTGCGGTTTTTGCCATCACTTTTAATGGCAAAAACCACAATTACTGTTGCTCCAACCTAATAGTAACTTCATTCTCTTCTTCCTCTATTCCTCTCTTCCTTTGTGATTTGATGATTTTTTAAATAATGGTACACTTTGATTCCTTTCTCTTTATCTCTTGTGTATGTACACAAGGTTTTTCCTTGTGGTTATATAAGGCTTACATAAAACATCTTACAGTTATTATGTTATATTTTGGGATGATAACAACTTCATATGTACCACATACAAAAACTCTACACTTTAACTCCCACTCTCACATTTTATGCTACTGATTTCACTATTTACATTTTAAATATATTGTGTATCCATTATCAAATTATTGTAATAATTTAATTTTAATTTTTGTGGGTGCATGGTAGGTATATATATTTATGGGGTATATGAGAGGTTTTGATATAGGCATGCAATGCATAATAATCACGTCATGAAAAATGGGGTAACCATCCCCTCAAGCATTTATCCTATGTGTCACAAATAATCCAATTATACTCTTTTAGTTATTTTAAATGTACAATTCAATCATTATTGACTACACTCACCTTATTGTGCTATCAATACTTGGTCTTACTCATTTTTTCTAACTAACATTTTTGTACCTATTAACCATCCCCATCTCCCCACAATCCTCCCACTCCTTTTCCCAGTTTCTGGTAACCCTCCTTCTGCTCTCTATTTCCATGAGTTCAATTGTTTTGATTTTCAGAACCCAAAAATAAGTGAGAAATGCAATGTTTGTCTTTCTGTGCCTGGCTTATTTCACTCAACATAAAAATTTTCAGTTCCATCTATGTTGTGTGGATAACAGGATCTCCCACTTTTTTATGGCTGAATAGTACTCCATGTGTAAAGGTACCACATTCTCTTTATACATTCATCAGCTCATGGACACTTAAGATTGCTTCCTAATCTTAGCTATTGTGAACAGTGCTGCAACAAACCTGGGAGTGCAGATATCTCTTTGACATACTGATTTTTTTTCTCTGGGGTATACACTCAGCAGTGGGACTGCTAGATTGTATGGTAGCTCTATCTTTAGATTTTTGAGGAACCTTCAAATTGTTCACTGTAGTGGTTGTACTAACTTACATCCCCACCAACAGTGTATGAGGGTTCCCTTTTCTCCACATCCTCACTAGCATTTGTTATTGCCTGTCTTTTGGATATAAGCCATTTTAACTGGGGTGAGATTGTATGTCACTATAGTTTAGATTTGCATTTCTCTGATGATCAGTGATGTTGAGCACCTTTTCATATGACTGTTTGCCATTTGTATGTCTCCTTTTGAGAAATGTCTATTCAAATATTTCGCCCATTTGTTAATCAGATTATTAGTTTTCCTATAGAGTTGCTTAAGCTCCTTATATATTCTGGTTATTAATCATCCCTTATCAGATGAGTAATTTGCAAGTATTTCCTCCCATTCTATGGGCTGTCTCTTCACTTTACTGGTGGTCTCCTTTGCTGGTCAGAAGCTTTTTAGCTTGATGTGATCCCATTTGTCCATGTTTGCTTTGGTTGCCTGTGCTTGTGGCATATTGCTCAAGAAATCTTTGCCCAGACCAATGTGCTGGAGAGTTTTCCCAGTGTTTTCTTGTAGTAGTTTCATAGTTTGAGATCCTAAATTTAAGTCTTTAATCCCTTTTGATTTGATTTTTGTATATGGAAAGAGATAGGGGTCTAGTTTCATTCTTCTGCATATGGATATCCAGTTTTCCCAGCACCATTTATTGAAGAAACTGTCCTTTATTCAATGTATGTACTTAGCACCTTTGTTGAAAATGAGTTCACTGCAGGTGTGTGGATTGGTTTCTGGGTTCTCTTATTTTGTTCCATGGGTGTATATGTGTTTTTATGCCAGTACCATGCTGTTTTGGTTAACGCAGCTTGTAGTATAATTTGAAGTCAGGTAATGTGATTCCTCTTGTTTTACTCTTTTGCTTAGAATAGCTTTGGCTATTCTGGGTCTTTTGCGGTTTCATATAAATTTTAGGATTTTCTTTTCTATTTCTGTGAAGAATGTCGCTGGTATTTTGATAGGGATTGCATTACATCTGTAAATTGCTTTGGGTAGTTTGGACATTTTAACAATATTGATTATTCCAATCCATAAACATGGACTATCTTTCCATGTTTTGGTGACCTCTTAAATTTCCTTCATGATAGTTTTCATTGCAGAGATATTTCACTTCTTTGGTTAACTTGATTCCTTAGGTATTTCATTTATTTTTGGCTACTATACATGGGATTACTTTTTAATTTCTTTTTCAGATTTTTCTCTCTTGGCATATAGAAATGCTGATTTTTGTATGTTGTTTTGTATCCTGCAAGCTTACTGAATTTTTTTACCAGTTCTAGAGGGTTTTTTGATGAAGTCTTTAGGTTTTTCCAAATATAAGATCGTATCATCTGCAAACAAGGAGAATTTGACTTTTTCCTTTCCAACTTAGATGCCATTTATTTCTTTCTTTTGTCTGATTGCTCTACCTAGGACTTCCAGTACTATGGTTGAATAATAGCAGTGAAAGTTAGAATAATAGTGGTGAAAGTGGGCATCCTTGTTGTGTTCCTGATCTTACAGGAAAGGCATTCAGCTCTTCTCCATTCAGTGTGTTACTAGCTGTGGGTCTGTCATATATAGCTTTTATTATGTTAAAGTATATTCCTTCTATATCCAGTTTTTTGAGGATTTTTATCTTGAAGGAATGTTGGATTTTATTAAATGCTTTTTCAGCATCAGCGGAAATCATATGGGTTTTGTCCTTCATTCTGTTGATATGACATATCACGCTGACTGATTTGTGTATGTTGAACCATCCCTGCATCCCTGGAATAAATCCCACTTGGCCATGATGAATGATACTTTTAATGTTTTGTTGAATTCAGTTTGATGTATAGTTATTTTAAATATTTTTGCCTTTTAACTCTTATAATAGAGTTAAAAGTAATTTACATACTACCAATACACTATTACAGTATTCTGATTTTGACTATATTCTTACGTTTATGGTGAGTTCTATACTTTAATGTTTTTATATTGTTAGTGTTCTTCATTTGAACTTGAAGAACTCCCTTTAGCATCTAGTGGTGATAAACTCCCAACACTTTTTCCATGTGTGCAAAACTTGTTATCTTGACTTCCATTTTTGAAGGAGAGCCTTGCCAGGTTATCAAATTCTTTGTTGGCAGTTTTTTTTTCAACACTTCGTTATCATCCCACTCTCTCCTGGATTTCAAGGTATCTGCTGATAAATCTGCTTATAATCTTATAACTGTATATAATAAATAACTTTCTTCTTGCTGCTTTCAAAATTATCTCATCTTTGACTTTTGAGAATTTCATTATAATGTATCTTGGGGAAGATTTCTTCTTTGTCTTAATCTATCTGGAGTTTTTTGGGCTTCATGGATCCTGCTGTTTATTTTGCTCTCTCAATTTAGGAATATTTCTATCATTCTTTCTTTAAATAAGCTTTCTACCCTTTTCTCTTTCTCTTCTCCTTCTGGAATTCCTATTATGTATATATGTTTCACTTGACAATGTCCCATGTCTCATAGGCTTTATTCACTATTTTTCATTCTATGTTTTTGTTCCTCTGACAGCAGTTTCAAATGATCTGTTTTTGAGTACCCCTATTCTTTCTTCTGCTTGATCACATCTGCTGTTGAAGCTTTCTATGGAATTTTTTGGTTTAATCATTATGTTCTTCAGCTCCCAGAATTTCTGTGTGTGGATTTTTCATGATTTTTTATCTCTTTTATAAGCCTCTACTTTTGTTCCTTTATTGTTTTCCTGATTTTCTTTGTGTTCTCTTGTTTACTAAGCTTCTTGAAGATGATATTTTTAAGTCTTCATCAGGCAGTTTGTAGATCTCTATTTTTTTAGGTAACTGATGCTTCTATTTGTTACTTTGGTGATGTCATGTTTCCCTGACTGCCTTGTTTTGATGTCTGCACATCTGAAGAACAGGCGCCTCTTCTGGGGGCTGGCTTCAGCACAAAAGCCCTTCACCTGTCAGCCCACCCAGAAAATGTAGGCAGGCCAGCTGGTGGGGTCCATGGACTTCCTGTTGGAATTGTCAGGTAAGCTGACTTGGTATCTGGTTCAGTATGTGGGCAGGCCTGTTACCTGAGCCCACAGTGGCTAGCCTTGTAGTTTGGTTTATGGGGTTGGGCCTCTGGGTTCCCTTAGGTGGTATTACCTCTTGGGTCCACCGGAGTGGTCCTGAGTCCTAGGCTCAAGGGATGTTGACCTGGCACAGCAGTCCACTGGGTGCAGCCTGTACACTTAATCTGTGGAGGCAGGACTGAAGCCTGGGTCCACAGGGGCCAACCTGACACTGAAGTGGGGGTTGGCCTGGTGCTGGGGTGGGCCTCGAATCTGTTTTGGGGGATATCCTGGTTCCTGGACTTGTGGGGTTTGGCTTTAAGCCTAGGTCTCAGGAGCAGTCCTGGAGCCTGGGTCCATGGGCTGGCCTGGTGCTGGGGTCTACTTGTGCAGACCTGGTCCTGAGTACACTGGAGTGGACCTGAAGTCTGACTGCCCTGGAGCCTGCCTCCCCTGGAAATGGCCTGGAGCCTGCAGCAGCCTGGTGCTGGAGTGGGCCTGGAGCCTGGGTCCTCATGTGGTAGCCTAAAATCAAAAATCCAAGGGGCTGGCATGGAGCTGGAGTTTGAGTCTGAGAGGGATAGCCTGGGGCTGTGGGAGCTATCCTGCCACTGGAGTGGACTTGGAGACTGGGTCTACAGGTGCTGGCCTGGAGCTTGGGGCTGTGGAGGGTGGGCTTGCACAGTCCTCTTGCTGCGGTCCACGGCAAAGTTATGTGCTCACTTCATTCTCCTTTCCCTTTCCCACATGAAAGGTATCTCTCTCCACACTGTTCTGCCCTTGCTTGGTAACTTGAAAATGTCCTTCCTAACCTCTTCAAGGTATCTTTTCTTATTTCTGTGCCACGCCTAGGACTCCCATATAGTGAAGACTAGTAATATCTCACCTGGATTCCTTAGCTCTTGTAAAGGTATTTTTCTTGCAAGGATAGTTGTTCAAATTGATATTTCTGCAAAGGGATAAAGGTTATTTTGCCATCTTGCTGGAGTCATTTCTCCTAAGTATTTTTTTTTTTACTTTTATATATTCAAAGCCATGAGTTCACACTGATGCCTCTAATTCCAATTCTAACCATTCTAGTTTTCTCTCTTTCCGTATTATAATTGCCATCCCTAACAATTAAAAACCTAGCTACCATTATCTTTAATATATTTACTTATTTGATCAATCCTTTTATGTAACCAATCTCTCATATTTGCTCCCAGACTCTTCCTTACGTGGATATCCTTTTCATACTACTTGGGCTCTAATATCGCATGTTAGGTTGCCAATTCTGTGAGGACATCCTCCTTACCCCCACTTGATCTCTGACCTCCCACATCAGAGTGAAGGCTACCTTCCTCTTCTCCCTTTATGTGTGAATATCATCATCATTCCCTTGGATTCTGATACCTGTGGTGTCACATGGACATCCTCCTCACCATTGTTGGGCTCAGAAATCTTGCTCTGGGCCACCAAGCAAACCCTTCTTTCTCAATGTGGAAGCCTGCCTTGTTTTGGCCACCAGATGGCTTTAATACTAAATTGTTTAGGAAAGGAAGCAGATGGAATGAAAAGGAAACAAGGGAAATGAAGAGAAGAAGGGAAGTGGAACCACAACATTAATATTTGCAAATCTAAATACAAGATCTTTTAATATAACCAAATAATAGCAAAACAAAGAAAGTTAGTCAACATAATTAAAAGTTTATGAATAAGAGAATACTTTTTGGGATGGTGGGAGACTTGTGTAGGATGAAACTCTGCAATGGAGTTTGGGTAAAATACACTGGGGCCTTAGCTTAAGGGGAAGAAATCTGAGGTCTGCAGATCAGAAATTTCAAACCCACCTTGGTCTGTTCCATCTCCTTTTTTCTTCCTTTAAAAGCAATCCTAAACTCATCATACATTTGTTCATTTATTAACTGTGCTAATAGTAAGATATGAAAATAATACCCAGTGCTTAACACTGCAAAACTTTTCCAAAAAGGTCCCCCTGTCATTTTGAAAAAAAGAGTGCTATATAAATACGTTAAGTGCCCTCTTCCAAATCCTGTAAATGTGTATCTTAAATAAGACGCATAGCCACTTGGGAAAGTTTTCCAGCATTGAAATCTGGAAAACTGTGTCAAAAATTTAAAAGATTTTGAAGAATAAGAGAAGGTCACAGGGTAAAATCCCTGAAGACCAACACTGTCAATTTAGAATGGCAGCCACATTTGAAAACACAGTCCTTATGAGTCATGTGTTGCTATTGTTAGGGGAGTTGAGGGAGAAGGAAGAGGCTAAAAGGAATTTGAAAAGATGTTATAATATGTACAAATCTTTATGAAAATGTCTTTATGTCAGTTCTTTATGTCAGACTTGTTATATCACAATCCTTTTCCCCAAGATATTGAAATATTATGAGCTGAATAAAGTTTCCAAAAATTCCATAAGGCTGATGAGACTCTGTCTTCTCTACATCACCAAGGTAATCAAGGGATAGACTGGTGTCCCAAAGTCATTAATATAAAGAAGGTGATTTTTAAATTCTTTTAATTCTTTGTGGCTGTATTATTAAATGGATACCAGATGATTATCTTGGAGTAGATCATATCTTGTAGCAGATCATAATCTATTTTCCCCATCTCATTTCTCTATTACTTTCCTTCCTTATTCCTTTATATTTTGCCTTCAATAAGGTACCTCTTGAATAGAGTGTTATCTAAAAAATAAATTTTGTGGCCAGACCTAAAAAGGCAAATCGAGTCAACTAGCAGCTAACAGGCAGATTAGCTGTCAGGCAGTTCATACTGCCCGAAAGAAAATCAACACTACTACTAGAGTATGAGCATCCAGAGTCTATGGTGATTATATTAATTAAAAGTAAATAAATGTATTCAAATCCCAAAAGAACAAAAGAATTGGACTAGAAGTTTTTGTTCCCTAAGGAGTTAAATTCTACATTATAGCGCTGTGGTCCTTAGTGATAAGTAAGAAGAACATTTACCTTGTTTAAAACAGGGTCAGTGAAGCAAGAATTGGCTATGTATTTGTCATGTTTATTTTAATTATAGCAATTAACTTTGGCAGTGGCAGAAGCACAAATTATTATATGCTAATATAAAACTAGAGATGGAGAAGGGAGAGTAGACAGACAAAAGGGCTCTCGTGGAGTTTAGAGAGGAATTTTTTTTATTGAATATATGGGTAAGTCTTCACCCATGTCCCAAAGCCCAAGAGACAATGCTGAAGTATCAAACAGAAGGTAAGAAATAAGAAGCATGACTAGAATTAGTAAGAAAAGTGACTATTATTTAGCTCTTTTTCCTTTATATTAAGCTTTGATATAAGGATTTAAATGGATTAATGAATAAATAAATGAATAAACAAATAAGCAAATAAATCAGGCTATTCCCTCAAAAAAGAGAATGGGATTGAAATTATTATTTTCTCTATCATAAAATAATTTTGATCCTCTAAGAAAAATCATATCATGGAGTACTCTTCAGACACAGATTACGAATCTAACAGGCCTGTTAACAAAAATTAACATTGATGAACTAAGAAAAGATGAATTAAAGTTCTACCAGATAAAAGTTGCATGGACACAGAAAAAAGGTAATAAGAAATAAATAACATGAAAAATCAAAAGTATAATATATAAATATGGAAGAAATTGGAATCAACACTTTGTACTTGAAGAACCAAAAAGAATTTTTTAAAGTGTGACAGTAAAGAGAGATGAGACAAAAAGGGGGAAGATAATGTAGATTCCTTAAGAGTAGAATCTTTTGTCTTTGTTCATAGCTGTAACTCCAGTGCCCAGAAAAATATCTGGCAAATAGTGGGTAGTGAACGGAAGTAACTAAATGAGTGAATGAATAGGATAAGTAAGAGAGCTGACACTGATACAACAATAGTGGAAAAAGAAGATGTTATAAAAACATAAAAATATTTTTATAAAAATAAAACTAGAAATAGAATTGTGATGGAGTAAAGGGAATGTGGGAAATGATCAATAGAGAAATGAGAGGATAAAAACAATTGAAGATAAAAAGATACACAGAAGTACAACAGGAGATAGGAAGAGGTGAAAGAGAGGAGTAGATGATATAAAATATTAAAATTACCAAAAAAGATAGAAATGGTAGGAACTGGCAAAAAAGAGAGGACTTTAGATGATATGATAAAAGATTAAGTAGAAGACAAGAGAAACAAGTAGCTAACATGTAGGTTGCAAGTACTATTATAATGCTAGTTAACAGCAGAGCTTGGATTAATAACATGATTCAATTCTAAAAGAATAATAGCTCCATAAGGGCAGGCATCTTTGCTTGTTTTTATTCACTGATATATCCTAAGCATCTATGTGCCTGGCACATAGCAGGTGTTCAAAAATATTTCTTAAATGAATTCATGGCAGTCACTACTTTTCTACCATTGTCTATTGGACAAAGACTTTGTATAGCAAACAAAAAATTAAGCATCTAGTCATTTTATTCCTGAATATTTTCAAATATCCAATAGTTTGGCAATGTATAAACATAGTCAAACCATAAAAAATAACTACAGAATATGGGTATTTGGTTGGGAAATTCAGAAAATATGAAAAGATTTACAGAGAAACCTATAAATGACAAAATGATACAGATGGATATGTTGTTTTATCAAATGCTACCTGATAAAACTTGAAGGCTATAAATATAGCCTTTGAATACAAATATAAATATATCCTTTGCATACAAAGATGATACTACTGACATACTATTAATAAGACATGGTTTGATTTGATTTTTATCCTGTATTTAGTGAAGAGCTGGCATAAACCCACTATCTTGATTTGATTGGTATCATTCTCAATTTAAGCAAAGGGATAACATATTTACTACTTCAAATAATTAGAATTTTTTATTTAAAATCCTAGGTCCTCAAACATGTATAATAATACAGTCTCCATTATTTGCTGAATTTAGATTAATTTTAACTTAAAACTTAAAACATTAAAAAGTCCTTAAACATTGTCATTAGGCTGCAGCACATTTGCATCATTATTTAAATCAAAATAGTTACAAAAAGTTTGTTCCAAAAGTATTTCAACATACTTAGATACACCATGTGACTGAAGTAAACTTTTATGACTAAGAATGTTTTCATCTGAGCGCAATCCTTTCCCAAAACATTGAAAGTAAAAAAAAAAAAAAAAAAAAACTTGTCTAAACAAATATAAAAACAGAAGATAGATATTTAAAAGTAGATATTTCTGAAACTACATTGTTAGCAGTTTAATCATAGCAAATACTATTTACATTTAAGCATAAATAAATGTAAATTATTTATATTCCAATCCACTCAAAATACAAACATATCTAATTAAAAAGCCACCTTTTTTCTGTTTTCTATACTGACATCTTTCTTCTGGCCCTTACTTGACATTCCTCAATGCAAAACAAATATGACCTTCACACTTGCAGATGCATGGATCCAAGGGAAGACTTAGCAAGTCCAATAACCCCAGGCGAAGTCAGTAATTTTGCATAACAATGGAAACTGAACTTTTAACATGAAAACACATTTTGAATTTTTCACTCTGATTCAATAATCAAGGAATATTGATGTAACACCTCTACAGATTACCTGTCTCAGGTGTGGTGCATAAATAAATGAGATAAGTAAGCATAACTGTTGGATATTCTTTAAGGTGTAAATACATAAGACAAAAATCTTACAATAACAAAAGTATATAGAAATGTCTGTATAGGGCTAGAATTTTTTTAATGTGAAAAAGAGAATAGAATGTTGACAAGAGGGAAGACTACAACATAGAGCCTACTCAAAGGACATAAGTATTTATATACACACTTTCCTCATTGAAACATATTTCTGAAATTTCTAGTCTTAAAGTTTATTCTAAGCCTTCTAAATCTCCATAACTGATATTTTAAAATGATGTAATGGCACATAAAATAAGATGCTTTACTCACCCAATTTTGAAACTTTAAGAATTCTTCAATGCTCTTTGGAGGTTCTTGCATTTTCTAATAAAGTAATATCAACATTGTTCATTGGCATAAACTCACTAGACTGTTCATAATATTTACAAATAATTTACTTAAATAAAATGATACTCTATTTATCATTTTCAGAGCGGTAAGATATCATAAAATGCTCACTTTATACCATCCCTCCACTTTGAAAAGGGACACACATAAATGTTTAAGTTCTTAGCCTCCAAACCAAATTTTGTAATAGGCTTCCCTCTTATACACTAGCCCTAGAGAAAAACTCCACATGAATCTTGCTTTAGGTCCTCATTTCAGATTCCTAAAAGAGTTCCAAGATATTTTGGGCTATCATGGATAGCCTCTATAATAAATCCAGAGCCAAAAATATAATATGTTCTTGCTGATAAAGTATTTTAAAAAGTTAACTAGTTACATAGTTAAAATAAATTTAAATGTTTGGATATTTCAGTCTAATAGATAAAAATCACATTTTTTAGTAGTTTCTTTGTGATTTCAAAATGTATTCAACATTACACAAACTAATTTTAATCCAGACCACAACTTTCTCCTTTTCGCCTTAGAGACTTTGCCTACATTCTTCCTTCTGCCCAGAAGTCTCCCTTTCCCAAACCCTCTTTCAATCCTTTCTTGGCCTATTTAACTCTTACTTCAAATAACAAATTAAAAGTCACTTTGTCCATCAAGCCTTTCTTATCCCCCAAAGTTTTCTCCGTGGTAACATACAGCAGATTATCTCTATGAGGATAGAAACTATGGTGCAATCATGGCTGAATTTTCTTTTTTTTTTTTTTTAATTTGGTATGTTTATTTTGTAGCCGGCCAATTCCTTGGAGAGGCTATTTTTTTTTATTATACTTTAAGTTTTAGGGTACATGTGTACAACGTGCAGGTCTGTTACATATGTATACATGTGCCATGTTGGTGTGCTGCACCCATTAACTCGTCATTTAACATTAGGTATATCTCCTAATGCTATCCCTCCCACCTGTCCCCACCCCACAACAGGCCCCAGTGTGTGATGTTCCCCTTCCTGTGTCCATGTGTTCTCATTGTTCAATTCCCACCTATGAGTGAGAACATGCGGTGTTTGTTTTTTGTCCTTGCGATAGTTTGCTGAGAATGATGGTTTCTACCTTCATCCATGTCCCTACAAAGGACATGAACTCATCATTTTTTATGGCTGCATAGTATTCCATGGTGTATATGTGAATCATGGCTGAATTTTCTAAATTTCACACAGTGGCTGGTTCATAGTCAATGCATAATAAGTACTCGCAGTGTGCATAAATTAAAGCATAAATGAGTAGATGAATGTCAGAAATATATAGGTACTTGAAAAATAATAAAAATACTTCTAGAGAATGAAAATCCAGTGAGAAGGCAAAAATAAGAGGAATTCAGAAGTCTAATATCCTAATATCCATGATGATATCACTGAAAAGATTGTACTACATTTTTATTTATTAAAACACATATTTCATATCAATATATAAAGTGGTCAAGATTACAGAATCACAAGTTCATGTTTTAGAAAAAAATGCTAAAAAATAATTACATATTTGAATTGGGGGATATTTCATTCATCTAAATATATGATGAATATAAGAAAATATATAACTGATAATACAAGAAGAAGATAAAGAGTGTATGTGACAACCATTATAGAAAATGAGTATTTAGTGAGAGTCAAAAAATTAAACAATTGAACTCATGGAGATAGAGATAGAATGATGGTTGCCAGAGGCCGAGAAGGGTAGTGGGAAGTGAGGGGAAAGTGGGTATAGTCAATGGGTACAAAAATATAGGTTAGGGTCAAGCACAGTGGCTCATGCCTATAATACCAGCACACTTTGGGAGGCCAAGACAGGAGGACTGCTTGAGCCCAGGAGTTTGAGACCAGGTTGGGCAACACAGCAAGAGCCAATCTCCATAAAAAATTTTAAAAAAAGGTAAAACAAAACAAAACAAAACAGAGTGGCCAGGCATGGTGGCTCACGCCTGTAATCCCAGCACTTTGGGAGGCCAAGGCAGGTGGATTGCTTGAGGTCAACAGTACAAGAGACCAGCCTGGCCAACACGGTAAAACCCCAGTCTCTTATAAAAATACAAAAAAATTAGCCAGGTGTCCCAGCTACTCGAGAGGCTGAGGTGAGAGAATCGCTTGAACCCCAGAGGCGGAGGTTGCGGTGAGCCAAGATTGTGCCACTACACTCCAGCCTGGGTGACAGAGCGAGACTCTCTCTAAAAAACAAACGGACAAATAAAAACAGCTAGAGAGAATGAATAAGATCTAATATTCGATAGCACAACTGGCTAACTATAGTCAACAATAATTTACTGCACATTTTAAAATAAATAAAAGAGTATAATTGGAATGTCTACAACATAAATAAGTGATAAATGCTTGAAATGATGGATACCCCACTTACTCTGATATAATTATTATATATTGTATGTATCAAAAATTATCTCATGTATGCCATAAATATATATATACTTATGATGTACCCTTAAAAATTAAAAATAAAAATTTGAAAAAGGAAAGCAAATGTTTAGACAGAAGCAAAGATGCATAGAGATGTGAAGAACATGTTATGGGAAACAGGGAACTCTAGAGCTAGTCAAATTGAAAAGAATGAGAGATATGAGAGATGGTGCATGCAAAAGGCTTACAGACAGAAAAATACTCACGATATAATATCTCTAGCTTCATGGGTATAGCAATTTGGCTAGAAGGAACTCACAATACATTTACAAATATACAGAATCAAACTTAATGAAAACAATTTAAGCATTGACTTTTTTTTCTTGTAATGGCTGTCAAACCACTCCAAGTACAAAGCACCAAAAATAATATGCACATTTAAATTAAAGGGAATTAGAAAAGTGAAGAAAGTGAAACTTGCATAGTGAAGTTCTAACTAATTTCAAAAATTCCATGTTTCTTTTGGGGTAAAATTAAAATAAGGTAAGGTATAAATTAAACAGATTTCTACTTTTGGTAGGATGTAGAAGGATATAAAACACCTACACTTCCATGATAATAATAAGACAAACTTGGACAAAAAAAAAATCATATTTTTCTATGGGGTTAGTGAAAAGTGGTGAATGCCAGGAGGCAGGACCAGTTAAATAACTTGTAAACATTCAGAGTTCCTTGTTCAAAATTATTGAGTTTGAAGATAATAACATCAGAGCATTAAACCAAATGCATGTACTTCTCAGCATAAGGCCCTGTGCAACTGCAGAAGTTGTAAACCCATGAAGCTAAAAACAAGCCTAACTGTCCCATAGAACTAATGTTTATGGTTTCTTTAAATAAATATAGAAATTAATCCTTCTAGTCTTAAAACTTGAGAAAGTTACATTGGTCTTATCTGAGTTCCTTTCCCAGAAAACTAACCATCAGGCCTCCCAGATAGTGTCAAGGAACTAAAACATACCAAATCACTATATCTTGACAATTAGCCTCTAGACTCCTCACCATCACCCATCATGATTGCCTAACTGACTACCTGTTTCCTGTTAACCAACTCCTCCTTCTTACCACCACTCCCTAATTTCTGTTTTCCCACACATGGTTACATTTCTTCCTTGCTATATAAAACCCTAATTTTAGTCAGTCAGGGAGATGGATTTGAGACTGATCTCCCATCTCCTCGGCTGCAGCACCCTATTAAAGCTTTCTTCCTTGGCAATACTCATCTCAGTGATTGGCCATCTGTGCAGCGAGCATTAAGACCTAGACCAAACCCTTGGTGTTTCAGTGACAAAGCCAGCTCTACCTGGGAGCCCTGATTACCTGAAATTCCAAGAGAAATATAACCTTTGTAAGTGAACATAAAGCTGTGGAAGCTTCCTTACCCCGGGGCCAGCTCTGCTGCTCCTCCTTTGACATGTTCGTTGGCCTGCCATGGTACAGTAACTTTGCAGAAATGAAGAGAAATCAGCTGGGTCTTAGGCTTCAATGTGAGTTGGGCGACCAAACTGGGGTATGAAAGACACCCAAATGCAAAAATAAATGACTCAGCCAAACAATCCCTTTCCCCTCACCCACAAACCTCACTTCTGACTTTTACCAAGTCAGATAGTTTGGCTCTGTATCTCCACTCAAATCTCATGTTGAACTGTTGGAATCCCCAGTGTTGGAGGTGGGGCCTGGTGGGAGGTGATTGGATCATGGGGGTGGTTTCTAATGATTTTGCAACATCCCCCTAGTGCTGTTTTGTGATAGACTTCTCATGAGATCTGGTTGTTTAAAAGTGTGTAGCACCTCCCCCTTCACCCTTTTCCTCCTGCTCCAGCCATGTAGGACGCATCTGCTTCCCCTTCACCTTCTGCCATGATTGTAAGTTTCCTGAGGCCTCCCCAGCCATGCTTCCTGTACAGCCTGTGGAACTGTGAGTCAATTAAACTTCTTTTCTTTAAAATTACCCAGTCTCTGGTAGTTCTTTATAGCAATGTGAGAACGGACTAACGCAGCAGGGGAGGAAGGGCTGGAAAATATATTCTGCTCATGAAGCTGGAGGTTCTACTACGTCACATGACAAACGACATGCATATAACAAGAAATGGACAAGGGAAGGCTAATAATATAAGCTATTATAATGTTTATAAGAAAGATTGGCCTGAATTTTTCTATCTTATAATGTGAAGATTTGGAATTAAGGCTATTATGGTCTCAAAAAAAATGAGTTGGGAAATGCCTCTATTTTTTTCTATTATCTGAAAGAATTTAAAATCTGAAAGATCAGTACTATTTCTTCCTTTCTTCCTTAAATGTTTGGTGGACACTGCTAGTTATGTTCCCTGAACCTGAACCTGAAATTATGGGGGAGTTTTAAATTAAGGATACTGTTATGGACCTAATCATGCCCCCACCCCAAATTCATATGTTCAAGCCCTAACACTTATAACAAGATGTGACTTTATTTGCAGATGGAGCCTTTGAGGAGACAATTAAGGTTAAAAGAGACTAAAAGAGTGGGGCTCTAATATGATTGGTGTCATTATGAGAACAGACACCAGAGAGCTTGCTTGCTTATACTCTCTCTCCATATACACACAGATATTTTATCTGTGAAAATATCTAGAACTATGAAATAATAAACTTTGTGTTGTTTTAAGCCACTTTGCTTGTTGGCTGTTTGTTACAGCAGCAATAAGAAACTAATATGAGGAGAAAGAGTGATTTTTTTTTTTAGCATTTTGCAGATGTGAAAAATGCCACACACTTAACTGATGCTCTGTCTATATAAGAGAAGAGGCTTTGTAAGGACATGGTGAGAAGGCAGTGGTCTACAAGCCAGGAAGAGAGGCCTCACTAGAAACTCACACTGATGGCACCTTGGTCTTGGACTTCTGGCCTTTAAAACTGTGAGAAAATAAACTACTGTTGTTTAAGTCATCTACTCTGTGGTATTCTATTACAGCATCCTAGGTAGACTAATACAGATATAAGCTATCAAAATTAATATAGGATCATTCAGCTATTCTATTACTTCTTAATTTTGGTAAATTATCTTTCAAGAAAAATTGAAATGTCAAGTATTTTGATATAAATATTTATTCTTAATATCCTCCTATTATCTTTGCAATCTGTAGTGTCTGTGGTGATGTTTCATTTTTCATTTCTGAAATTTGTACTTTTCTTTATCTTGGTCAGTCTATCTAAAGGCTTATCAATTTTATTAATCTTTGCAAAGAACCAGTTTTGGCCTTGTTGCTTTTCTTTAGTGCACATTTGTTTTTAATTTCATTGATTTATTCTTATCTTTATTAGTCCCTTTTCTTCTTTAAATGTTTGAGAAACTTCCAATGATAAACCTTGCTCTACTATGAAGCTGAATGCTTGACAATTCCTGTTGAGACACCATGAGGCTTTCTATCACCATTTTAATCCTTGTATTTCAAAATGGATAGAAAGCTAAAGATTATTATTTATGGACTAATTGTGAAATAAAAAATATTTTTAAAAAATGGAAATCCAAACAAGTGACTAAAAATAAAATCTAGGCATATACAGACAATGTGGGGAACAGAAGGAAACTTCAAAAAAGTCTTTAAGACTCATAGAGAGCTATAATAAGATAATGCATCCCTGAAACCAAAACTGCATGTTATAAATGAATACAGAATAAGAAAAAATGCAAAGTACAAATATGATATAAATTATTCAACAACAGTCTAGTGAAAAATAGCTGAAGAAATCTTCTAGAAACTAGAACAAAAATGTTAAAGTAAACAAGAATCAGAGGATAAAAAAACAATAATTTAGAGGATTATGCCAGAAAATGACTTTCAATCTGTAAATTTAAATATAAACAGAGCATCAATTAAATGTGTGGCATTTTTCAGATTTGCAAGATACTAAAAAAAAATTCATCTCATATTAGTTTCTTATTGCTGCTGTAACAAACAGCTAACAAAGTGGCTTAAAAAATCACAAAGTTTATTATTTCACAGGTCTAGAGGTCGGGAATCTGAAATGGGTCTGCAGGGCTATGCTCCTTTCATGTTTTGTGTGTGTGTGTGTGTGTGTGTGTGTGTGACAGAGTTTCACTCTTGTCGCCCAGCATAGTAAATTTACTTGTGTAACAAAAAAAACACAAAATATCAATGGCTTAATACACATAATTTTTTCTCCCAGAAGATCTTTTTGTGAGAAAAGGGGCTTCTAGCAGTCACCTGCTATCCTTTGCTCAGAGCTCCTCCCTCTATCTTCAAAGCCAGCAGTGTAGAGTCTTCTCCCCTCTCTTGACATCTTGTCTTCCTCTCATAAGAACTCTTTGATTATGTCCAGCCACCCAGACAATCCAGGGTAATTTAGCCCATCTCCTTAATCACATATGCAGTTCCTTTTGCCATATAAAATATCAACAGGTTCTGGAGGTAAGGATATAGACATCTTTGGGGGCCATTATTCTATCTACTACACTCCTATTTACCTTTTTCCAAGAAGGTATTAGAGAATGTAGTTCATTTTTAAAAAGGGATTAAACAAAGAAAAAGGAAACAAGGGATCTAACACACAGGAGAGCAGTATTATGTTGGAGAAACCAGCAATCCTAAATAAACTAAAGGCTGTAACGCTGTAGGAAGAGTATCTGTAAGGAAAAAAAATCTACTGGATTAACTGATGTATTTCACTGTGATGCTTTAGCAGTTTGCCAGTGTTTGAGAACAGATAAATAATACATTAAAAATGGCAGTTAAGAGAAAGGAAAGTAAAAAGTTGTATTAAAAGTTAATGCGATCTTAGTATACTATGTGCCTTGGGGTTGAATGACATTTACCTAGACAGTAGTGATAACACTAAATGTTGATTTAGCCAAAGCCTATGATATCACTATTGACAGGTGAAGGGACAAGAAGAGTGTATGAGGTAGAGAGGGAATGTTCACACACTTGGAGGTGGTGTTGTTACAAAAGACCTTTATCACTGCCTTCCACAGGAGAAAGTCAGTGGGTAATGTCTGAAATTGGAAAATCAAGAAACTGCAATGTAAGTATATTTAGACATGGGGGTAACAGATGAAATATTTAAAAGACTTGAATTTTCCTTTGGTGAGAAGAATTGAGAATAGAGTAGAAGGGTTGGGTACTACAGGGTTTTCTTTAACCTAGAATGTGGCAAACTGTTAGTGCTCACCAATATGTGTGTGTTTCTCTACATTTCTCAGGATCCCCGGCAGTTAAAGTGGGGGCCTTGGGACTAAATTCTGGCCAACAGAATGTGGCCAAATTGATACATGTCATTTTTAGAGTTAACCTTGGGTAATTTGCCATACTTTCTTTCTTGTCAAACAAGCTAGTCCTAGAAGGCAGCAGAACCATTAAAAATAAAAACATCTGGCCTTGAATTTAACATTTCGTCTGCCTAGAAATAGCCACAATGGATCTTTTGTGAGGAAAAAAAAAAGTGTATTAAACCACCGATATTTTGGGGTTTTCTGTTACAGAAGTAAATTCACTATGCTGGTTTTAAAACATGGACAAGAAATCTTTGCCAATCCTTTGAGAAGAGGGATCTATGTCTCCTTTCCTAAAATGGAACAGGACTTTGACACATTTGTAAGCAAAAGAAAGTGGGGGAAGTAGCACCGCGTTACTTTTTGAGGCAAGGTCAGAAAAGGTCAGGCAATTTTTGCCTTGTTCATTGCAACACTCCCTTTGGAGCTCTGAGTTTAAGCTAAGAAGTCTGACTACCTTGCTGCCATACTGTGAGGAAACCCCGGCCATATAGTTACAGAAGCTCTGCTAGCATGCCCACTCTAGTCTTTCTAATTGAGTTACCAAAGAAAAGCTGATGACTATGCCCTATTGACAACACCACCTGTGAACATAATAAAATGGTTGTTTTAAGCCACCATATTTTGGAGTAATTTATTACATACGATAGCAACCCAATGCTCAATCTAACAAGTAGTATTATTTGCTTTTTAATCTGTGCAATTTAACTACTTTGATAAAATTTAGAGTTAAACTAAAAAGGAAAATGGTTGTGAATTCTTCTTGGCTTATAGACTTTGCTATTCTACTTTCCCTACCCAGAAAATTCACCTTTCTCCCTAAATCACTGGCTTTCAAACTTTTTAAGGTTTGAAATACAGTAAGAAATACATTTTACAAACAAGCCCTAGTGCACACATACACGCATATATACAATTAAAAGCTCCATAAAGCAGTACTTTACTAACTAACACTAAATTTACTTACATGCGCTGATATTTCCAATCTATATTGTTTCTTTTTTTTAAGTTTAAAGAGATTTCCTTGCTTACAAATGGGTCAAGACCTCCACTAATGGGTCCCACACAATCCCCTTTCCAGTTGAAAAACACTGTCCTAAACCTAAATCATTCTTCAAGGCCTTACCCAAGTCCGAAAAAGAAGCCTTTATTGACCACTCCATTCTCAGCTTTCTTGAAATTCCTGTAATTTATTAAATTCCATTTTTTATCTCAGTAGTAAGAATATTGCATTTTCTGTACTTGAATTTAACATGCTTTACTTGATATCGTGAGCACTTCTAGGGCATTGTAATGTCCTTTATCTACCACTTGATAAATTCAGAGTAGTCAATAAAACATTGCTCAACATTTGACCATTGTGTTTTAAAATCTTAGTTGTTAGAGTGCACTTCCGTTTGCGCATTGTTTGGGGAGAGGCACGGACAAATGTTCTAATAACTTATCCACATATTATACTTCAAAGTGGAAAAACACAAAGTACTCTTAACTCTATATGCGTGTTTTTATGCAAACTAAATCATTAAGATACAAATGATTTTTCTAATAGCTTTCATTACCACACAGCACACGAAATAATGATATTGATATAGCCACGAAAGACTAATGTAACCAAGTTCTCACAATCAAAATATCTTTGAGGTGGGCAAAATGCAAACTTTTCTCTGGGATCAACATTTCTTCACAACTCACTGCAACTACGCCTTGACAGTATGTTTCGAGAACCGCTTCCCAATTTTGTTGTCCCAGCAAGAATCGGGAGGAAACTGGGTGAAAGGCTGCGAGGCTTGAGGCGGGTCCCGGACGAACGCGGCCCTGCCCCTCGCCGGAGCCTCTCGGGAGAAGTGCGACACCGCCGCTGATTGAGAGGCTGAGGCGGAACTTCCCGTCTAACCCCCCCCCCGCTGTCGTCCCAGCCTGTTGCTTAAGCCGCGCGGTGTGCGGTGTGCGCGGCCCCTGCCTTAGCAACGACGCTAGTAACTGCCTGGCTCCTCCCTCTGGTGTCTCCCGGAAAGCGCTCCGTCTGGTCCGTGCGCGATCACGGCCCGGCGCGTGGCTCGGGCTCGGGCGGAGCTGGAGACGTGTGGAGCTGTTCGAGGACTCGCGGGTGTGCAGGTCTGAGTACCACTCCGATCCCTGGTGGAGGTCCCCGCGCCTCTCTGGAGACCAGTGGTCTGGCCCCAGAGGTGCGGCCGCGGGAAGTGGACATTCTTTGTCAGGACCCTAGCGGAGGTCGCGCTGGGTGTCGCCTGTGAGGGGGATCCTCGGTTTCTGCGCGGTCTCTTGCTTTTTTTAGGATCTTGCGGGCCCTTTGGGAAAAAGGTTTCCAAATTTTTCCTCAAAAAAAAAATTATTTTTCCTACCAATGATTTTCGGTGCATTCCGCCCCAACGAAAAGTATGTCCTGGCAAAGTCAGTTCCCTAGGAACCCCATACTTTATTTTATTTTATTTTTAGTATTTGGAGTGGTTTGTGGGGGTTTGGTTATCACGGAAGGGGAAGCGTAGTACAGACGTAGAATTAGTGATGCCATGCAGTGTATTTAAAATATTGAGGTTGTGGTTACATAATAAGCAAAAGAGCCTGTTTCTTACGTCTAAATTATTTATTGGGAATGTAGGACAAATAAGGAAGTATATTAACATTTTCAGTCGCCAGGCCCACAAAGTTGGATGGTAAAATCAATACTGTAGATCGCAGCATGTAAGGACTAACCCAGTGCACCATGAAAACGAAGGCAAGACAGTTTGTTACCATATGGCGGGTGGTGTGGGAGAGGCCATTGATCCTATATGAAAAAGGGTACTACTACCTTGGATTATGAAAAATGAATGTTGGACCTGTAGGTCCTATGTGACCAAGTTCTTAAAAACACTCTAAAGAAAATTGGAAGTGGTTTTTTTCTAATACTGAATTGGTCCACAATATAGGACAGGGGAGTCTGTATAGTGTTCCATTGGGAGGTGAGTCAGCTTACAATAATGGAAGAGGTAGAAGCTTTTTGTTATTATTTTGGAGAAAAAAAAATTGCCAGCCTGCCACTTGTGCTAGGCTGCAGACGGCCCATAAAGGTAGTTTGTCAGATACTTCAGTAGTGAGATGCTTACTGGATGTGTTTTGCAGAATGGTTTTGATTTAGTTAACAAGTGTTTGTTGAGTTCCTGCTGTTGCATAAGAATCAGGAATAGGTGAGATCAGGGAAGGAATCTGCTCTTACAGAGTTGAATGCTGGAGGGGATAGATTCACTAAAGTACCTCCACAATAAATGCATTTTTCCATGTCAAATATGTGGAACTAATAATAAGTACTCAAAGAGGTTTAAGACATTGCTGTGGCCCATCTATGAGTTAATAAGGAACTGAATTAGAATCCTGACTTTGAGAGTGAAGATAGAGGATTATATACAAGGTAGATGCAACTTGGTGAGTATAATTAATTTGGGGTGGAAATTGGGTAGAAGGAGGAATAAAAAATTAATGTATTTTTAGCCTTAAGTTCCAGAATGATGGACGCACCATCAAGGTGTTAAAATTGTTAGTTCCTTAGGAACAGTCTTTATGTTTTCTAAGTCTTTTTAGCCCCCATGACTCAAATTGTACTTCCTTGCACATATTTGATGTTAACAAGTATGTTTTAAAAATTTTAAATAACCCCATTTGCAATAAAATCATTTGCAATGATTTTCTCACAGTCGAGGCAGGCTGTTGGCTCGGTTAGGACAGATGCCCTGATCATGTAGTTTCAGAGACCACTGGAGGGAGCTGCCCATGATTTACAATTGCTGGCCTCTTCTACGTGGCCACCTCAGCCATAAGTGAGAGTATATAGGTGAACTAAGAGGTGGAGCCATAAACATTTCTCTTTTACTGTCTTACAGGTATTTGTGGTGGTTGATTTTTCTAGAGGAAGGTTATTTATATAAAGCTTCACTAATATCCATTTAGTTATGTGGATAGCAGGTCCATGAACTGCAAAGTGATATTTCTGAGGTATCTCTAGGAGGAATGCACTTTCAGTGCCCTAGGATAACTCCAAAAACTCACCAGTAGTTTTCTGTTAAATGTCAGGCAACCACAGTAACTTTCATGACATCCACAGGAACTACATTTTTCAGTCCCACTATGCCTGGGCCTTTGAGTGGTACATGCATTCCCACTAAATAGCTACTCCATTACCCAGGGAAATGAAGTCAGGTTGAGCTACTCCAATCAAATTTCATTTTTTAGGATGAATCCCATCATCTGAATAACTCAGGACTATTAAAGCCTCAAAATGTTTCTCTGTAAGAACCTCAGGCAACACCAGGACAAACCCAAAGAGAGTTTAGGTGAAACTTAGCTTCGTATGTGCAGCAAAGAGACGCCAACAGAGCATTTGCAACTCTCATTTCTGGGGACTATTAGGATCTCTTCCCAAGCTTTTTTTTTTTCTCTGTTTTAGAGATGGGATCTCACTTTGTTGTCCAGACTGTTCTCAAACTCTTGTGCTCAAGTAATCCTCCCACCTTAACCTCCCAAATGCTAGTATTATAGGCATGAGCCACCATGCGTGGCCCTTCCCAAGCTTGGAACTTCCTTACCTGGGTCGTAGATGGACTCTAGGAGATCTCCAAACCTCCTGAAATTGTGTGCAAAATATTGTGTCTGTATATGCATTTTCTAGGGATGCGGTTTAATATTTTCATGTGATTCCTAAAAGAATCTGAGGCTCAAGAAAAGAGGGCATCTTAATATCCTGCACTTTCAGTCATTGAGGGCATGATCACAAAGATCAAAGCCATTTTTAGGCAGGTGAGTTGGAGTGGCAGTCAGAAGTAGGTAAGATTTTCTATTTGTGAGGCAGGAACAAGGGATTGGACCATTGTTCTTAAATACTGCTTTCTTACCCAAAATGCAAATCTGTGCGTAATCAGTACACAGCAAAAATATTTACTGTATTTTGTTTTTCCCCTTGGGTACATTTGGCAAGTGCCTTTTTCTACTATAACCGGCGTTTTTGTATCTCTTTATTTGTATCTCAAACTCACTGGGACTTACAATCTTAAAAAAAAAAAGAAAAAGAAAAATTCATTTGATGAGTAATTAAATTAGTGCCACTAACTTCTTCTCAGCAAATTATGTTGTATTTTATGTTTCTCTGGACTTTTTGTTCACTTTCTGTTTGGGAGACCACAAAATGTTTCCTGCTGGAGTCACAGCATTTCTCTTGTCCCTGTTTCTACTTAAAGTGCCTGGAGCTTCGTAGTTAAACCACAATGCCAGAAGGCTTTATAATAAGAGAATTATTTTACAGCTGTGGAATGCATATCGAATCAATAGGGCACCAGTGTTGTTTCTCCCTTGAAAGATATCTTCCTTACAGGGTATACAGATAGCAATTTTGGCAGCCATCACCCTTCTTTGAAGAAAATATTAAGTGGGAAAGTTATTTTACCATTTTTCTCTAGTACTAAAGAATCTGAATGATGTATGTTTTTAAAAAACATAAATTCTTAGAGTAAGTGGACATTAATGTTACTCTGTAAATTTTTAAAATTTATAGGATAATATATTTTACCTTATGGGATATTTTACAAATTGTAATGAGTAGTAGATGCCTCTTATTTTTTATTGGATATGAAGTTTTATATGTATATGCACACATGTACACAGACACACTCACACATATGTAGTGTGTGTTTAAGTTGGAGAGGGTTATATCTTTTAGAACATAACCAACTAAATTTTGCCAATTCCACTAGAATCTTCTATTTTTCATTAATGTCAATTCAAAGTCAGAGCCAACAGGGTTGAATATATCCCTGTCTGATGCTAACGTGAAACCATTGCATTCCTAATATCTGGAAAACAAAACTGCCATCTCTGGAACAAAAAAGGGTTCTTGAAAAATGGATTCTCAGTACCTGAACTTTATATTTGAAATAACTTTCAGTTTATTGCTTTTAATCTTATGTTTTAAAGTGTGCCAATTTGGTGGTTTAAAACATGTTTAATAAGTACTAAAACAGCACACAATTGTGACTTAAATTGAGTAATTTTCTTTGTAGACTGAGTAAAATGTTTTCTGTTTTTATTTTTCCTTCTCTTGATACTTTTTTTTTACAGTGCACCTATGATATGTGTTTTAGAAATAGCCGTTAAACTTTGGTTTGAATGAAGAATGTCTCTCAATCCACCTATATTTCTCAAACGAAGTGAAGAAAATAGTTCAAAATTTGTGGAAACAAAACAGTCACAAACTACTTCCATAGCTTCAGAAGATCCCCTTCAAAACTTATGTTTAGCATCTCAAGAAGTTCTTCAAAAAGCTCAGCAAAGTGGGAGATCAAAATGTCTCAAATGTGGTGGTTCCAGAATGTTCTACTGCTATACATGTTATGTTCCAGTTGAAAATGTACCTATTGAACAGATTCCACTTGTGAAGGTTAGTAAGAAATTTAATTGTTTGAAAGTATGAAAATAGATTTTTTAAAAACATCTCATGTATACCTACTCTAATTGATAAACTTAATAAATAATGTTATTATTGTTAGAAACAAGTGCTTGTTGCTGCAAAGAAAAACTAGCACTTAGACAGAAAATTTCTCAGCAGGGCACATTTACTTCTGCAGAAGGGTGCTGCGCCTGATCGCAAGAGCACACCGAACAAAGGAAGGAAGGGATTTTTAACCCTAATGCAGTTCCTGTCCCTGTGTCCTTCCCTTATTGGCTAGGGTTGGACCACACAATCAAAACTGATTCCAGTTGGCTAAGACTTAAAATTTTCCAAATAGGGTAAATGCACGATTTGTAAAAGGAGGGGTTAGGAGTGGTCTGTCCACTATAGTATAAGGCATGTCTGGACATGTTTGGCCATGTCAGGGCACAACAAGAGTGGGAGGGTTGTTTGCAGGCTGGAAACGAGAGTACAAGGAGCTTGGGCTTCTGAACAAAGAATAAGAACATCACACAATTAAACATTTTGAAGAGGAATTTATCATTCCTAGCATGAAAACCAAGTGTATTTATGGAAAATTTAGCCCTACAGACCACTAAACCTCTTTGTTTTTCTTGTCTCTGGGTCTGAAATGGTGTTTTTAATGAAACCAATTAATTTTTCATTAATGATTTTAATTTATTTACAACATGGGAAAAAATGTGTGATATAAACTTATGAATACTAAAAAAAAAGTTTATAGACACCCTGAAGGAGCTCCAAACACTCATGTCTTTGGACTGCTCCTTGAGAAAATACTATTCTAGTAGAATTAGAGTTGATTTTCACCTAAGATTTTGTGACTTATCCTATACATGGGGATGGAGCAGATTTCATTGACCAAAATGAAAATAAAGTAAAATTTAAAAACTAAGACCAATTCCCTGGGCTGTGTTATCATTAGAGTGATTTTAAGCCCGATTTGATTGCTTACCTTTATACTTTTTGGGCTCACCAACACTACTTTTGTATAGGTAAAAGGTCTGTAGAACGTCATGTCTACATAATCAAAGAATTTATTATATATATGTTAACTTGTCTAACATTATCCCAAACTTTAGGAATAAATCAATTAATGTATAAAATTTGACTGTGTAAGACTTTAGAGAGACTAAATTCTACACATGGACTCATTAGAACTTGCCAGTAAAAAAAAAATAAGTTGTAGCTATATTTTAAAATTTGTTTTGATGATTTTAAAGTTCATTTGAATTTGAAGTAAGAAGAGTACTTTGACACTCATATTTTATTTGAATTTCAGTTTAGCCTATATCATCTTGGCCAGTCCATGGTCTCCTCAGCATCTAAAATCACATGTATAGGCTAATGGAAAGTTTACTAGCCAAGAATAAGTAAGTGTGGAATTTAATATGATCTTCACAGTTTGCTCCGAAAAAACAAGAACTTGAGGGTAATAATTATTTTCAAGTTTCCCATTATCTTACAGGAATGTTACATTTTGAAGTATGGTTTTTGAAGTATACGTAGAATTATTCTATTTTACATTTCTCTCATAGCCATGTAAAGAAGGGATTCCATTAAAAGTTTTATCCTAAGGTGTATTGTATTAAAAAATGGATTGCATATTATAATAATAATAATCAGTAATATAGTTACAGGGCTGATATTTTCATAGATATTTAATAATAGAGGGTATTTTCCAAATCAGTGGTCTAATATACACCATTTAATAGAAATGACTCAAGACATTAGTGTTTGATCATCTCTCAATGGTCTGGACTGTGCAGAGTTTTCTAAAGTGTTTATATTTTAATGGCCTTGTATAAAATTTGATACTTTAATATACATTAATGGTAATAACAGCTCTACAAAATGTCCTTTCCAATTTTTACTTTATTTTTATTTTAACAAATCATTCAGCATTTGCTTTTAGATAGCCTACTTGGGAAAGGAGGATGACAATATAATGAGTAATTCCCTCCCAATTTTAGTCTAGGGAATGCATTCATAAATATAGTCATATGTCTCCTAATGACAGGGATACATCCTGAGAAATGTGTCCTGAGAAATGAGTCGTTAGGCAAATTCACTGTTGTGCAAACATAATAGAATGTACTTACACAACCTTCATAGTATAGCCTACTATACACCTGGGCAATACCTATTGCTCCTAGCCTACAAAATCTGTACAGCATGTTATTGTACTGCATACTGTACACAGTTGTACACACAATGGTATTAGTGTATCTAAACAAATATAAGCATAGAAAAGTACAGTAGAAGTACAGTATAAAAATAGTAATCCTTTATGGGCACTTAGCATGAATGGAATTTGCAGGACTGGAAGTTTTTCTTGGTGAGTCAGTGGTGACTTGTGAGTGAATGTGAAGGCCTGTGATGTTACTGTACACTACTGTAGTTTTTATAAACACTGTATACTTAGGGTACACTACATTTATGAAAAATATTTTTCTTCAATAATAAATTAGCTTACTGTGACTTTTTTACTTTATAAACTTTTTAAAAAACTTGTGATAACACTTACATTTAAACACAAACACATTGCACAGCTGAACAAAAATATTTCTTTATGCTCTTATTCTGTAACCTTATTCCTATTTTTATTATTTATTTATTTTTACTTTTTAAACTTTTTTTGTTGAAAACCAAGACACAAACACGTTACCCTAGGCTTACACAGTGTCAGGATCATCAGTATCACTGTCTTCTTCCACCTCCACATCTTGTCCCACTGGAAGCTCTTCAGGGGTAATGTATGGAGCTGTCATCTCCTATGATAGCAATGCCTTCTTCTGGAATACCTCCTTAAGGACCTGCCTGAGGCTATTTTACAGTTAACATTTCTTTTTTCTAATTAGGATGAGTGTACTCTAAAACTAAAAAAATTAAGTGTAGTATAGCAAATATATAAACCAGTAACAGATTTATATTATCATTATTAAACATTATTGTATAGCATGCTTTTATATGACTGGCAGTGCAGTAAGTTTGTTTACATCAGCATCATCACAAGCATATAAGTACTGCACTGTGGTGCAATGTTACAATGGTTACACTTCGCTAGGCCATAGGCATTTAGAGCCTAGAATTTAAAAGGCTCTCTTGGGGAAAGTTGATAATCCCATGGGAAAATGCTTAGGTCTCCTTGTCAGTAGCATTTTGATAAACTTGGGCAGAAGGATTTGTGGTAAGTCTCTTTTATAAAACATAAGTGTTCGAGAGCAGATTGATATTCTTTACTTGTTTGAAAACAGAATGTCTCTACTCAGACTGCCCTCTGGTCAACACTATTTTTTTTTTTTAAACACAGTTAAGCTTTAATGTCCATACGAAGCCTCAGAGCAAATGTTTTTGTAGCTTGTAAAAAAGCAAATTTTTTTTCTTTCTTTTTTAATTATACTTTAAGTTCTTGGATACATGTGCAGAACTTGCAGGTTTGTTACATTGATACACATGTGCCCTGGTAGTTTGCTGCACCCATCATCTACATTAGGTATTGCTCCTAATGCTATCCCTCCCCTAGCTCCCCACCCCCAGACGGGCTCCAGTGTGTGATGTTCCCCTCCCTGTGTCCATGTGTTCTCCTTGTTCAACTCCCACTTATGAGTGAGAACATGCGTTGTTTGGTTTTCTGTTCCTGTGTGGTCAACACTATTTTGTTACTCTGTACTCTTGTCATTATTTAAGAAATAATCTTCTTTTAACATGTGTGAACTAGAACACAAACATGGATTTCCATGATTTGATCTGTTTCTGTGCTTTGGTTTTATGATGTGAGAGATCTCACGCTCATGGAAAACTAACAATACCTTGGATTGTGTACAGGTTTTGCATAATTATGCTTGCAGACTTTAGTTCATAAAGCTTTTTCTTTTATCATATAATTAAAAAAATAGGCTAGGCACATGATTTATAAAATTTGTCAATAACACTCCTGTGTTCTTGATATAAATGATACCCTCCAAGATAGCTAGCTGATCAGAAATATTGATAACTTTTGGAATTTTCAGCTTTACTCATCAGCCATATAAGAAGTTCACATTTATGATCTGCTTTCTTTTTCTTTTCTTGTCATGATCTGCTTTTTTTTCTTTTCTTACTTCCTACCTTCCCTGGGCTAAGATAATACTGATGTGGTGCTCAGAGACCCTAGGGAGAGGGAAGGTAGTTTCAACTGAGACCGAGCGTCATGAGGAAACTCTGATGTAGTGTTCAGCCAGAAGTAGACTGATGTAAAATCATTTGTGAACTGCCTACTTAAATGGTAAATTTTCCATAACTAGAAGTTGGTTTGATGATTAGAAGCAATTGGGCCTAACTTATAAATGATCATTGGGCCTAACTTATAAATGATTGCTAGGCCTAAGCGGGGAGGGTAGGAGATACAGCATTTGAAACCCTAATTGAAAACTATTTGAGGAATTCATTTGTAGGCCAAGGTCCTCCAGGGGTGTATTATTTATACTGTTCTGTCCCCAACATAATTGTCCAGGAAGAAAAAAATTTGAAATTGAAATTATTTAGTAGCTGCTCCATTCAAAAATAGTTTTGGAACTAATGACACACACACACACACAACATGGAAGAACCTCAAAATAATTATTCTTAGCTAAAGTCAAATGAAGAGGGTATATTGTATGATTTCATTTATATAAAATTCTAGAAAGTACAAACTATAGTGGCAGTGGATTACTGATTGCCTGAGGAGGGCAATTGTTGATGGTGAGAGGAGAAGGAAGAAGGGCTTGAGAAGACTTTTGATAGTGGCAAATCATTATTTTGACTGTAGCAGTGGATTCAAGAATTTAACATATGTTAAAACTTATTAGATTGTACACTTTAAATATGTACAGTTTAAGACATAAGAAAAATAGTTTTGTCCTCCAGGGTAAAATAGTGTGCCCAGGGTAAATTCCTAGAATCCTACTTATTTAGCATGGGATGGGAACTTGGAGATGGTGGGAACTACCAAATAAAACAAAAGGTCATTTAAAAGCTGAAGTCAAGAACACATCTCCAGAGGGTTTCTTATATATAGTAAGGGAGATATGATTTGGCATTTTTTTCATAATCATGGCTGAATGCAGTACTTGTATAAGCATTACAAAGAGAGCTAAACCAAAAAAGCCAAAGTGAAATAAGAAAAATATAATTTACAAAATCCAAGAGAATATTATTTTTGCATAGAGACATGTTACAGACAACATCTATAACAAATAATGAAACTTCAAGGGAAATACTTAGGCAACAGGGGTCCCCAATCCCCAGACCACAGACCAGTACCGGTCCTAAGGAACCAGGCCGCACACCAAGAGGTGAGCTGCTGGAGAGCAAGCGAAGCTTCCGTCTGTATTTACAGCCGCTCCCCATCACTCGCATTACCACCTGAGCTCTGCCTCCTGTCAGATCAGCGGCAGCATTAGATTCTCATAGGAGCATGAACCCTATTGTGAACTGTGCATACAAGGGACCTAGATTGCATGCTCCTTAGGAGAATCCAATGCCTGAAGATCTGTCACTGTCTCCCATGTCCTAGATGGGACCATCAAGTTGCAGGAAAACCAGCTCAGGGATCCTGCTGATTTTACATTATGGTGAGTTGTATAATTATTTCATTATATATTATAATGTAATAATAATAGAAATAAAGTGCACAATAAGTGTAATGTGCTTGAATCATCCCCAAACCCTCTCCCCAAACCCTGGTCTGTGGAAAAATTGTCTTCCACGAAACCAGTCCTTCTTGGTGCCAGAAAGATTGGGGAGTAGTTAGGCAAGATGATTTTGAAGACAGTTTTGTGATATAAAGATTACACCTCTTAGGTCTATTGTTACTATTTTTTAATTGATAATTATTTAATTTGTGCTATTGAAAATGTGATGCCGAAAATCATGATGTTTCCTGCAAAGGATAACAGTTTTGACTTGAAAGTATGTCTAAGGAACAGAATTTCAACTTGAATTTTAGATCTGAAGCTTTTTGCCCAAACTTACATTTCTTTTTAAAATAGCGTAAGAGGCCAGGTGTGGTGGCTCACTGGTAATCTCAGCACTTTGGGAGGCTGAGGCAGGCAGATCGCTTGAGGTCAGGAGTTCAAGACCAACCTGGCCAACATGGTGAAAACCTGTCTCTACTAAAAAAATACAACAATTAGCTGGGCATGGTGGCAGGTGCCTGTAATGCCAGCTACTTGGGAGGCTGGGGCAGAATTGCTTAACCCAGGAGACGGAGGTTGCAGTGAGCCGAGATCACACCACTGCACTGCAGCCTGGGTGGCAGAGTGAGAGTCCATCTCAAGATAAATAAATAAAAATAAAATAAAATGGCATAAAATAGGCAAACCTAAAGTTTATAGGATTTATTAAAATGTCCTTGGCACACATGGTGAAATGCAAAGAATTGGAGTTAATATAACTTAAGTGAAAATGACATTGGAGCTTTGCTTTAAGAGAAGATTCTCTGTTAAATGAGTTGAAAATAGTTGTCCTAATACATGAATAACAATGCCAAGGAAGAAATTTGGGTTGGTTTTGTAACAATCACCATTCTTAATATTATGGTATATCTTTTAAACCATATGCATATTTATAGGAGTTTATTGTGAGCTTCCTATTTAGCTTTAAAGACCCTTTTTATTAACATAAAAATTAAAATGTTTATATATTTTTTTATTTGTGCTTTTTTTACCTTTAGCTTCCATTGAAGATTGACATCATTAAACATCCAAATGAAACAGATGGCAAAAGTACTGCTATACATGCAAAACTCTTAGCACCTGAATTTGTAAACATTTACACGTATCCGTGTATTCCAGAATATGAAGAAAAGGACCATGAAGTAGGCAACTTAGTTTTTATAACTCTTCACATTGGATATAAAAATGAATTTTAACCTCCATTGCCTTTCTGAACTTACTCAAACATAATTTAATATTTTTCTTAGTAAAGTATTATGCTCAGGTAATGTTAGACAATATACAGTTTATTTCATTGATATCTTCAAAGATCAGATGTTTCTAGACTGCTATGCGTTTTTGAGTCTTTCTGCATTTTATAGCTCTTCTGCCTTATTTCTTCAGGTTTTTACTCCTTGCCAATACTATTGTGCCTGCTTTTACCTTTTCTCCTCTCCTTCTCCTGTTTGTGCTACATATAGATGATCTAATTTGATGCAAACTGGGAAACCAGATTACAAATATTGTTGGAATTTCTCTAAAAGAAGAAAGACTGAGTTAGGATATTCAGGAATCCTCCTAAATTAAGAGCTTTAGTGCATAGCCTTTATAACATTTCTTTTGGCTGCTCAGAGGCCTTCCTTGCTCATTTTTAGATTCTTAATTGGTTTTCACCCAGTTGCAATTGTCACATTGGTGAGAAATTATGGGTCTTCTTGCTGAAAAGTAATTTTACAATGTGTCTCAAAAAATTAAGGCCTTGGGTACTGAAAGAAGCATGTAAAAGCCTTTTGGTCTCTTGGAGGCCATTTGTTGGTGTGGCTAGTATAGAAACAAAATTAAAAATTAGTGCATTCATTTGTTCCAGGAAGAACTTGGTAAATTTTTACTTTCCTATTTATATCTATATCTATATATATATATATATATATGTATTTTTTTGGTTGAGTTTATATAAAAAATTATGTTTGTAAATAATATTTGAGTTTTGGATCTAGGAAAATGTTTCTTTCTCTGGTCAGCTAGACTCCATTTATGTTGATTAAATAGAATGTAGTGCTATGTTCTGTAAGGAGATGTGATACGCTTATAATTTAAGAAAATTCAGAAGCCCTGGACTTTGCTAACTGGATATAGGGGGAAATATAGACATGTATTATGAATATTTAAAAACTTTTACAACTTTGAAATGTATAAAATTCAAGGTTTTTGCTTTTTAAGAGTCGTGCTCTGTTGCTCAGGTTGGAATGCATTGGCATGATCACAGCTTGCTGCAGCCTTAAATTTCTGGGCCCAAGCAATCCCCATACCTCAGGCTCCCGAGTAGCTGAGGCCATGGGTGTGCGCCACTACTTCCAGCTAATATTTTTATTCTTTGTAGAGACAGGTCTCACTATGTTGCCCAGACTGGTCTCGAACTCCTAGGGCTCAAGTGATCCTCTCACCTTGGCCTCCCAAAGTGCCGGGATTACAGGTATGAGCCACTGTGCCCGGCCAAGATTTTTTGTTTCATAATTTTATTTTATTGTGATTTTGTTTTTATCTTTTTATTTTAAAAATTTGTGTGCTCATTGAAGAAAATTTGGGAAATAGAGAAACATATGGGGATAAAATTCCCTTGATTCTCCAACATTTATTCATTTAACAAATATTTACTTGGTGCCTGCTTTGTGCCAGGAGCTGTTCAGACATTGGAAGCTCTAACAATATAAATCTCAGTAAAAATGTGCGGAAAGAAAAGTGGTATCATATTTATGTAATTTTTCCTGGAAGGTTAGATTTTTTCATTTTAATTTTTCACTGTAATAAATATACTTAGATATTGTAAGTGTCTGTGTTTAGGATTATTTTATTACATTCACATAATGAGATCGTTGAACCAAAGGGTATGAATATTTTAAGACTCTTGATTTAAATGGTCAAATTGCTTCCATGAAGAGTTATGCTATTTAATCCTGCTCTCAGACCACCATTTCCTCACCAGCATTCACTGTATCATTTGTTTTATCTTTGGCTTATGATATAGATGAAAATGGCATTTAATCATTGAACAGTTTTCAGTGGTTCTTTTACGAAGTATCATGTACTTTGCTTTTTATCTTATGAAAAATTATATAATTTAGTCTTTTTATTTCAAGTATGACTAACTTGGCATCTATCAGTCAGTGAATAACTTATTTTGAAATAATAGTTTTAATTATTATATTATGATTATAAATTACTAGGGGAGAGCCAAAAACTTTACCATACATATTAAAGAACCATATACAATAGAACCAACCTAATGCTTATTTCTCAGATATTCAACATATCTTTCTTAAAATTTTAAGTCAATCAAAATTTATATATTTTGAAGATCATAGTAGCACACTGCTAACCCAATTTTCTTTGTTTTAGGTTGCACTCATTTTTCCTGGACCTCAGTCTATCTCAATAAAAGATATTTCTTTTCATCTGCAAAAAAGGATTCAAAATAATGTTAGAGGCAAAAATGATGACCCTGACAAGCCATCTTTTAAACGCAAAAGAACTGAAGAACAAGAGTTCTGTGATTTGAATGACAGCAAGTGCAAAGGCACAACACTGAAAAAAATTATATTTATAGATAGCACCTGGAACCAAACAAACAAAATATTCACTGATGAGCGACTTCAAGGTAAAAAAAAAATGTTTTTTTGGACTGCTCCTCCCTCAGACTTATTTTGAAAAAACTTCAAACTTACAGATAATTTGAAAGAGGAGTTACACTGAATACCTATACATTTTGCCATATTTACTTTATTTCTCTCTTTTTATTATATATGTGAGTGTGTATTTATATATTATATATTTTTTGGTTGATCAATTGAAAGTAAGTTTCAGGCTTTGTAACACTTCACCCTTAAATATTAAGTGTACATTTTCCTTTTTTTTCTTGAGACAGTCCCACTCTGTTGCCCAGGCTGGAGTGCAATGGCACAATCTTGGCTCACTGCAACCTCCTCCTCCTGGGTTCAAGTGATCCTCCCACCTCAGCCTCCCAGGTAGCTGGGATTACAGGCGCCCACCACCACACCTGCCTAAATTTTGTATTATTAGTAGAGACGGGGATTCATCATGTTGGCCAGGCTGGTCTCAAACTCCTGACCTCAGGTGATCCTCCTGCCTTGGCCTCCCAAAGTGCTGGGATTATAGGCATGAGCTACCACGTCCAGCCTAAGTGTACATTTTCTAAGAATAAGAATATTCTCCTATATTAATAAAGAATGACATCTCTTTTATAAACACCCTAATGGTGAATACATTTACTAAGAAGTTAGATCTTCTATTTTGTTTTTTTTGTTTTTTGCCTTACAGGTTTTTTGTTGTTCTTGTTGTTGTTTGTTTGTTTGTTTTTGAGAGGGAGTCTTGCTCTGTTACCCAGGCTAGCAGTGGTGCAATCTCAGCTCACTGCAACCTCTGCCTCCTGGGGTCAGGCGATTCTCCTGCCTCAGCCTCGCTAGTAGCTGGGATTACAGGCACACCATCACCACGCCTGGCTAATTTTTTTGTATTTTCATAGAGACGGGTTTCACCATATTGGCCAGGCTGGTCTCTAACTCCTGACCTCAGGTGATCTGCCTGCCCTGGCCTCCCAAAGTGCTGGGATTACAGGTGTGAGCCACCACGCGCAGCCTTCCTTACAGTTTTTAAAAATAACTTTTTTGAGTAAGAATTAACATGTAGTAAACTACATGTTTCCAGAGTATTAAAGTTTTCTCATATGTGTACAGCTGTGAGACCATCACTACAAGTTAGGAAATGAACCTGTCCATCCCCTGCCAAAGTTTCTGCCTGACCTTTTATAATCTTTCTCATCCAGCTTTCCCCACAGCACACTTCCACACTCTCCAACCCCATCTCTAATCAATGATCTATATCTAATCATTATAGATTAGATGCATTTTCTGGGATATTATAGAAATTGAATCATATAGTATGTACTCTTTTCCTTTTTTTGGTTTGGCTTTCTCACACAAAATAAATAACTTGACACTCATTTTTGTTGTAGCATGTATCAATAGGTCATACATTTATTGCCAAGTAGTATTTCGTTGTATGGATATGCTACAATTAGTGTTATCTATTTATCTGTTGATGGACATTTACACTGGTTGTTTCCCATTTTCTACTATTTCAAATAAAGTTGCTATGACACTTGTGTAAAAAAAAAAAAAAAGGATGTTCTCCTGTATAATAAATACAGTACCATTATCACTCCTAAGAAAATTAATGAAAATTACATAATATCATCTAATATACTGTCCATATTCAAATTTCCCTAACTGACCCAAAAATACCTTTTGTAGCTTCCCCCCATATAGCATTTAAACTCGTCACGGTTTATTTCATTATTATGTATCTTTAGTCTCTTTTAATCTAGAGTAGTCCTGTTTTTATTTTTCATGACTTAGACTTTTGTGAAGAGGACAGGTCAATTGTCTGAATGTTTCATTGTGATTAGTTTCAGTCTAAATATGTTGCCTAGGATACTTACAGGTAAGGATAAATCCAGGGTTGTCTATGTCTAGTTTATATCTATCGTTTGGGTATAATTATTAATAACATGTAATTTTACTCTCAGAAATGAACCTTTTAGCTGATAAATTGTATGGCTAACCAATTCATAGGTGAATTCATACTTTATTGTTGCATCAAATTAGGAGGCACATAATGCAAATTGTCTATCATTTGTGATAACTTTCATTACTTGATTAAAGTGGTGATTACCCCATCTCTCCATTATAAAGGTTTATTTTTTCTCTTTGTAAGTAGTGGTAATCTATGGGGTGATGTTTTCAGACTGTGGACTGTTTCCCAAAAACTTTTCACCAGTGATTTTAGTATTCATTGATGATCCCTGCATAAATTGAATAATTACATTGAGAATTGAAAAATAGTGAAATTTTAATTACATGATTTCTTCCTACATTAGTTAGCCAGTATTCTTATGTAAAGAAGAGCTTTTCCTTTTTCTCCTGTTCTTTATTTCTTTCTCTTTCCACCCCTTTTTGAGATCATTATGATCTTATGGATTTTCTTTTTAATTCAATATGCTATAATAAATTATAGTGTAGCATCAATAAAGATGCTAATCTTTTTGATAATAATCTTTTTGATGCTCTAGTTCTCTCAAATTTTGCCAGTGGAAACCCTTCAAGTACTTCATGGCATGGCCTCATTTGTCTTTTTGGTGCAACAGGCAAGTTCACTTGTACTTTTTTTCTGTCTCAGACCTGGAATCAATTGTTTTTCTAAGAAGCTATAGTTTCTTTTAATAGGAAATGGTATTAGAAACTAAGATCTGGTAAATTCATTACTTTTGGGATGTCATTGCTTCAATGGATAGAGCCAGGAAAAATACATAGTTATGTATCATGAGTTCACACAGATAGTTCCAATTCATATTTAACATTATAAGGATTTTTATTTCTTTTAGAGTGAAAAACTTGGTTCCTAATAATAGTGATTTAAAACAGTTACTTTACTTGTCCATGTATGATTAGAAGGCAAGAAAGCTATTCAGTTGATATTAGGCAGTTGCTAAAACAGTTTGTTTCAAACTGGGAGAGCTTCTCTCAGGCTAGTGTTAAAAATGTGCATTATCTAGAAAAGAACATTTTGACACTTTTTGGAGTCTGATTGGTGTTCATTAATTCCAAGCTGAAGTGAGTGACAACACTAGATTTAACGAGCTTAATTTATATAGTTTATGCATCTGAGATCTTCATACACATTAGTAAAGTTGCTTTGAAAGTCTAATTGTGTGCGCTTTGTGTCTTATGTGTGTGGGAGAGAGTGAAGGGCAGGTACTACGGAGCATAAGATCTTTAAGAAATTTTGTTGCCGATGTTTGATAGAAAGACAAACGCCTAAGCCCTAAGGCTGTGCTCTTTGAAAGAGAGAAAGGGAACACTGCCTGCCACATTCCTGTGGATGTTTACAGCAGCAGGTTACTTGCCAGTTTGAAGATTTTTCTGAGCCATTTTTCTTTATAGTTACCTTATATGGTAATTGAAAAGATAAATGAAAAAACATAAGTAAAAACCCTTGACAAAACTATAAAAGGAATTATTGTGGTATTATTCAAAATCTCTTTTCAGAGTGTCCAAATTTGGCTTGCCTAAAATCAGATTTGTACAAAAGATTTTTGTTATTCCTTCCCAATTCACATGGAAAGTATCATATATTTCAGTTCTGTGCTAGATCAAAAATTTTTAAAGGGGCTTCTTAATCTCTTTAAAATCATAAAAGGAACAGATTTCTAAAGGCAAGTTTTCTGCATGACCTACTTCAACCCCTGTCCTTTGTGGCTCTTCATTGCACCACAGGAAACAATTAGGGCTCTATACATATCTATAACCTCTGTATATGTGAAATACTGATTTCTGAATAAACCGAGTTACTTCCATAAGAAACAATCCATGGTTTTTATAAATTGTTGGCTTTAGGCTTTAAAACTTCGTCATTTCGTGAGATTAATCTGAACAAACTGAGTCTATACCTCAATTAAACCCTCAGGTGTATTGGAAATTATGTTTCCATTATTTTACTATGAATGCTGAGGTTAAGAATCCCTTTAACAATGTAAAACCTTACTGTTTTGCCAAATTTTTACAGAAAAATAGCTCTGTGTGTTCTACCAGTGTCAAAATAAAACACTTGAAGGTAGAGTGCCTAATTTAATTATAAAAGGTAAACCTAAACCTACAGGTGAAGAATGATATAACATTCTTAAAGATTTATCATAGGAAGCCTTGGCAGAATGTAGGGGGAGACATTGTTTCTTTTTGTTGGATGTGAGTCCAAATTATATTTAAATGGCATTATACTGTAATTGGTTATAAAAATTAGCCAGCTCTTTCCCTTCAGTTTGACTGTATTGATACAACTTTTAAAGTGATAACTTTATTCATATTATAAGCTTTGCCTAAACTACACTCCCTGTCAGTGAGTGCTGTGTCCTATACTACCTTATTCAATCCTCACATCAAATATATGAGGTAAAGGATGTCACCCTCACTTTGCAATTGAAGAAACTGAGGCAGCACTTTTGGAAGGAAAAGCCATTTGTAATTATCTACTTTAAGTTTCTACTGCTAAAATATTTTACTAGTTTTGAGCCAGGTGTAGTGGCTCATTCCTGTAATCCCAGCACTTTGGGAGATGAAGGTGGGAGTATCACTTGAACACAGGAGTTCTAGACTAGCCTAGGCAACATAGCAAGGCCTACATCTCAACAAAAAATAAAGTAATTAGCAAGGCGTGGTAGTGTGCACCTGTAGTCTTAGGTACTTGGGAGACTGAGGCAGGAGGATTGCTTGAGCCCAGGAGTTCAAGGATGCGGTGAGCTATGCTCATGCCACTGAACTCCAGCCTGGACAACAGAGCAAAATCCCACCTCAAGAAAAAATGTTTACGATTTTTACTATAATTTTATTATAAAGTTACTGATTGTTAGAAATACTAGGGTATAAAAAATATTTTGCATTCAAGAAACTGAAATATTTAATGTTGTCTAGAATGCATACATATATGAGAATGGTAAAAGAGACTGGAGAAATTCAAATTATGAATGTCATATTTTATTCAGCATGCTTGGGCATTTGTTCTTTTATCCATAGTGCTGTGGCATCATTAAAAAATTTTTAAGCTTGTCATTGACATGATTAGATTGTATTTTAAGTCTAATGGAAAGAATTGGGCTGGGACATGACTTCAAGCTCCAATTCCTTCACTAAATAAGCAAAGAGGTTTTGTTTGTTTGTTTTTAACTGTTTTATATTTTTAAATAAATTGTGATACATATGAAATAATATATACACACACACACGTATATGTAACATTAAGTTATAAAGCATAGTGATATAATGAACAATTAAGAACTCAAGCACCAGTATTTCTAACTTCCATTTACCTATGTTTTCCCTTGTGCCATTCCCCTTCTTCCCCTGACAGTTATTTTCCTGAATTATGCTTTTTTAGATTATAGTGTTATATATATGTTTTCATAAACTATATATGATTTAGTTTTGCTTTATTTTGAGCTGTGTGTTGTTTTCTTGGGACTTGCTTTCTAAAGTCACATTTTGTTTCTAGGGTTTATATATATTGTCATATCACTGTAGCTATAGTTTATTCTATTTCACTGCTGAATAATATCTGTGATATACTACAGTTTATCTGGTTTCCTGCTAATGAAACACTTTGGTTATTTCTAGTTTTTCCTATTGCAAATAATGCTACTACACACATTCTTGTGCAAGTACAAGCTCCTCTAGGAAACATCCCTAGGAGTCACATTGCTGAGTTGTTGAGTATGAGAATATTCACCTTTACAGGATAATGCCAAATTGTTTTTCAAAGTGGACATACAAAGGAATATTTCCATCATTAATGTATAAGCGCTCCATTGATCCATAATCTCTCCTACCTTGGTATTATCAAATGTCTGATTTTTGCCAACCTAGTATTTTAAAATGGTGTCTCATTGTCATCTTCATTTACTTTTCTCTAATTACTAATAGGATTGATAATTACATTGTTTATTTGGCCATATACGTGTCCTATTCTGTGAAATATCTATGCCCATTTTTCTGTGTTTTATCTTAATTGATTTGTAGAAATTCTTTGTATATTCTAGAATATAGATAATGTTGCAAAATATCTTCTTGCAGTTTGTGGTTCATCTTTTCAATTTCTTTTCTTTTGAGGAAAAAAAACTTTTAGTGTGGAATTTATCACTATGTTTGTGTCTTGTTTGAATCCTTCTCTTCTGCAAGATACTATGTGGCTAATGATTTGCCTGAGGTTTTTTGTATTTTCTGTGTAAGTAATGCCAATTGCATTTCTTTCCAGTTCTTATCCTTCTAATTAATTTATTGTTCTTTATTACTATGTTAAATAAGAAAGACCTCTAATGCAATATTTAATTGAAGCCAGTTATTTAATTGTAGGGGTCATCCTTCTCACGTTTCAATCTGATAATCTATGTCTTTTAAATATTAAGTTTAGTTTATTTACAATTGCTGTGAGTATTGAAATAATTGGATCTACTTTCTACCATCTTAATTTTTATTTCTATTTGTCCTTTTTTATAATTTTTGTTTCTTTTTTTGATTGAGGTTTTTTCTTATTCTATTTTTATTCCTATTTCAATTATTTTAGAGAATTGCCCATATCACTTAAAAAGTTCAAAGCCAAACAATGTTTAACCTCTCCTTTTTTACATTGTATGGACTTTGTATGCTGAAGCTTCATTCAGCCTCCTCCTGGTTCACATTGTTATTGTTAATATCATTATTTTTGTCTGTCGTTTATTGTCAGTCTACAAATTAGATATTATTATTGTTTTTGTTTTATACAGGCAACATTTATCTGGATTTGCATAGATGTTTACCATTTTCTTTACTCAGTGTTTTATCAAATACATCCTTTAGGAATTCCTTTAATTTGGTCTCTTGTTGGCGTATGTTCAGTTTTCATTTGTCTATTAAATGTTTATCACTTTTTTCGTGATAGGTTGTTCTGCTGGGTTCACAATTTTAGGTTGCCAGTTCTGTTTTTTTGTTTGTTTGTTTGTTTGACACTTGGAAGATATTATTCTAGTGTCTTCAATATTCTGTCTTTGGTCTTTGGTCATTCTAATTACCTTTTCTTTGTATATGATCTGTCCCTTCTCCATGGCTTCTTTTAAAATCTTCTCTTTATCTTTGGTGTTTTTCAGTTAAATATGTAATAGAACTAGGCACTGATTTGTTTATATTTATCCTGCTCGAGACACATGATGTTTCATGTATCTGTGGCTTTTTATAGTTTAAAATAATTTCTGGAAAAGTCATAGTCATTATCTCTTTAACCGCTCCCTCTCTTCCATTCTCTTTGTTCTCTCTTCCTCGAACTCCTGTTAGTCATTTGATCCTCCATATCTCTGAATATTTTTGTATTTCTTTTATTATTTATTTCTTGTCTCTGCTACATTTTACATTGAGTAAAAGTGGGATGTGACAGTGGGAAATCATTAGTGACTTAGAAATTCCAGTTGGTCATTGGGCCAATTTTGATGCTACCTTCTCTCTTTTATTTCTCACTTTAAAATAAAATTTGCAAAAACAAAAAATTAAATATAGTATGAGTCCAGTTACTGGCCTAAGGAGCTAAAAGCATTCTGGGTTTGTATGAAGACAGCTGAGTTATAACAAATGAGAGTACTGTTGTGTGACTGCATTAATTATTCCCTTTTTAAATGTACAAGAGCAAGGCATTCTACCTGACTGTGTTATTGAGCTCTGCAGCATACATGTGACAGAGCTAAAACAAACAAGCAAACAAAAGAAACCACAGCTTTAGGATACTCTGTTCATGAATATAGCCTGAAAATGATAATCAAGAAGTAAACTTTTACCAGTATTAAGGAACATTAAGCTGCCTATCTCTCAGTGAATTTCAGAATGATATTTTAAAAGTTAGTTTAGGCTGGGCACTGTAGCTCATGCCTATAATCCCAGCACTTTGAGAGGCAGAGGCCAAGGCAGGAGGATCACTTGAGCCCCGGATTTTGAGACCAGCCTGGGCAACATAGCAAGACACTGTCTCTAAAAAAAAATAAAAATAAAAAATCTTAGCTGGATATGGTGGTGTGCACATGTAGTCCCAGCTATTTGGGAGGCTGAGATGGGAGGATCACTGAGTCCAGAGTTTGAGGTAACTGTGAGCTATGATCACACTGCTGCAGTCTAGCCTGGGTGACAGAGTGAGACCTCATCTCTAAATAAACAAAAAAGTCAGTTTGTCAAGGAAATGAAACCCTTCTGAAAATTGGTGAATGCAGTCCTGTCAGAGATTTAGATTTTTGAAGATGCTGATACATAGAAGATTGGAAGACATGAATATCTTAAATGTTAACTACTTTTAATTCATTGGTCTAAGACTCAGTGTTAACTGTCATGTATAAGATTTTATTATTTGTTTTATGTTGCTTCTGTATATACCTTGAGGTGTTTAAGAAAATATCTTGTTTCAAACTGGGATTGAAGGAAGTTATCTGCAGTCTTTAAAAAAAAATTCTTAGAATAATTAAGAGAAATCATTATTATTGTACCAAGCCTGTGGTTAAGAAGAAATATTTATATTTTTTCTTTCTTTCTTTCTTTTTTTTTTTTTTTTTTTGACAGGGTTGTTACAAGTTGAGTTGAAAACAAGAAAAACTTGCTTTTGGCGCCATCAAAAAGGAAAGCCAGATACTTTCCTTTCTACAATTGAAGCCATTTACTACTTTCTGGTAGACTACCATACTGATATATTAAAAGAGAAATACAGAGGGCAATATGACAATCTTTTATTTTTCTATTCTTTTATGTACCAGTTGATAAAGAATGCCAAATGCTCTGGAGATAAGGAAACAGGAAAACTTACACATTAGTTTTTAACAAGCCACTTATGTCTTTTTATTTTGCTAACATTAATAAACTTATATTTGTGCTTTGTTTTTTCTTAAGAAATAATCATATATAATGCCTGTAAGACCATTTGAAAAAATTCCAGTTTCATATATATCACTTCATATTTCTTGAAGGAAATTGTATCTGGGGGAATTTTTCAGAGATACTGTTGATTGAAAAACTTACTTCAGAAGTTATTTGCTCAGTGAAACCTCAGTTTCATTACTACATTTTAATATAGTGTGTTATGTCTCTGTGATTAGATATAACATATTCCATTAGATCTAATTAGCTATTTATTTCAACATCTTTATATCTTTTCACCTGTACTCATGACCACCTTTAGAAGTAAATGGGGTTACAATCTGCTGGCTGAAAAATAGGTCATAAGTGATTTTTCTTGAGGTTAGTAGCAAACATAGGCAGAACTAGAATTAGAATTCTGGTATCTAGGGCTGTTTCTTTAAGTCCTAAGGTTGTTAAAAGCAGAGACTCTGGAGCTAGACTACCTGAATCTAAATCTCAGCCTTTCTGCTTATCAGCCATGTCATTTTCTTCCATTTGTACAAAGCAGGCAATACTGAGCAACTACCTTATAGGAATAACTGAGTTAATATCTAAGGGGCTTTCAGCAGTACCTGAAATATAGTAAGTGTTACATATATGTTTACTCTTTTTATTTTATTTGGAATTGTGAACTGATAATAATTGAAGCCTACCTGCTAGTGGCCATCTCTGCTGCCAGGTGAAAAGAGCCTGACTTAGAATGAAGTCAGCGAAGGAAAGCAGAGTGGAGAGAAAAAGAGAGACTGAGTCCTGATGACATCATTTATTTACCTAGACCTAGCTGCTTGTGAATAGAGCCCTACTGTGCTGAATAGCTTCTGTCTGCTCTTTTCTATTCTGCTCCCTGCTCTGTGAGGTAGGTTCCTTTGCTCTCTTGCTTTTGGTTGGGTTCAACAAATGGGAAGCACCAGTGGGAGATTAGAAGTTGAGAGGAAAATGAAATGATGTTATTTATTTCCCTGGCTCCTTTCCTGCCATGTCATCATCAGTTGGCTGTGTTCCTCTACTAAATAGTACCTTATCAGGAATCCTATCTCTTCTGTTCCCAAGCAGTTACCCCAGTTACCTCACTAGGTTTAGTTCCTGCTCCCTCCCTTTACCCCTTTTCACTTAGGGTTGGTAATAGCTTACAGTTATTACTAGCCCCAGTATAGTTCACTACAACTTGTTGCTTTACCTAAACCCTGCTCATACATTTGTAAATACTGTAGTTGTTTTATTACACTCTTCTCAAATGTCCCCACTTGAAATAGCCTTCTATTTCTTTTGGGGACTCTGATAAATTCACCTGTTTGGGTGAAATAATAGCACATTTCCTGAAGTATATACAGTGGGACACATGATGTTTTATGGGGGAAAGAGTTCTTGGTGAAATTAGTTTGCTGTACATTACGTTGTTTCCCTCCCAGGGATTCAGAAGGCAAAACATATTAAAGGTTCTGAAAAGTCCTGAAATAAACATTTTGAACTTTATTTAAGCTGATATATCTTAAACTTACTTGAATATGTAGCACCTATTAACATGCCATGGAAATAGGACGTTTGGAGTATTGTAATTAAGAACAATTCCTATTAATATACATGGGGCAACTGAGAATTAAAGAGGTAAGTAAATTATTGATAGATCATACACCTAGTTAGTAGCAGAGCCTGTTCTAGAATCTGGAACTTCTGATTTGGTTTGGTTCAGTAAGGTCACCATTATATTATGCTATTCATAAAAAGGAATGTGGATTATATAAGGCTTGAACATTATTAGTCTTACAGTCTTAGCCAAATAAACTAACTGGCTTGCTTATTTTAGCAGTTATTCTACAAGAATGGAATTAAAATAGATTTTTTTTTTCATGTTTAGAACTTGGCCCTGGGAATAGAGGAAGGCTTGAATTGATTTAAGCAGGGCCAAAGTTGGATTTCTCTAGGCTAAATTTGGACTTCCCTGAGCCAAAATCTATTGCATTTAACTGGCTTTACAAACCAACTAAACATAACAGTTCAGAGGGAAAAGAAAAAAAAAAGCGAGAGACAGAGAACAATTCTATCACTCATTTGCCTCCATCTCTCAGCTGGCATAAGAAAGATGACCCACGTACTTCATAAGAGCCTAATTTACAGCTAAGGCCAGATAAAATCTCAGGTTCTTTTCAAAAGAAGTTAGTAATACCTATTAGAACAATGAATTGACTATACTTGTCTTAGTTTTTTTTGTTTGTTTTTTGTTTTTTGTTTTTTTGGTGTGATAGATGTAACAGTGGCCCTAATTCTTTATCCTTGCTTGTATTCATGGTCATTTTTCAGGTTCCTTTGAAGTACTCCCCCCACTGTGATTCTGGGTCATCTGCATTCAGAGATTTAGTGCATTTTTACTTACACTTGTGCTTCTGCTGTTGACATAAGAATATGCATGGCTGAGTTAGCCTGCTGGAGCATGAGACTCCATGGAACAGAGCCAGGTTGCCCTGGTCACCCTCACTGAATCTTGTCTAGATTGGCTGATGGCCAGCCAAACCCAAGATATGTGAATGATTCCAGCCAAGATCAGCAGAGTCATCTAACTGACACCTACCTGATTCCAAACATGTGAGCAAGGAATGTCTATTATGCCACCAATGTCTTATAGCTATTTATTGTGGCTATAGATATCTCATCTTTGGATGCATTATCAGATCATCTTCTTCAAGTACCTTAGAAGATTCTCAGTCTCATGTTTCTTGGGCTCTTGACCACTTGCTTTGCCTTAGCTACCACCTCATATAGTAACAGATTACCAGCAGGTTTGTATGATTCCTCTGCTTGAGATCAATTAGCCATATGTTCAGAATCCCTGGCCTATAACAACACTTCTGTGCTTTAAAAACCCCATGCCACAATGACTGTTAAAAGGGCTAGGCGATGTAGTCTGGTAGGTTTGTGAAGTTAACTGTCTGAAAAACTTGGATCAATGGACTAGAAAAAGCTGCTGGGTAAATTGCTCTTCTTCTGATGGACTGTATAGAGACACTGTTTTTCATCTTGCCTGTCCAGAAGCGTACTCTGTGGCCAAGCAAGTGTACTTGCCACATGATTGGCAGTGTCTCTTCATGGCTTTTCATGAAACAGCAGCAAGTGCTACACAGTAATTTATCAGTTTGCATTTGCCTCCCATTATTGCCAGCCTCACTTCCTTTCTTCCTCGCTCTTACCAGCCTGGATTGTACCTTTAATAAAGTAGTGGATATATTTCCTTTAGGGTCTCTTTTTCTAGGGAAGTCAGGTGTTTTAGTCTGGATTTAGTTAGAAAAGCAGCATCGTTACAAGTATTACATGAATAAAGAAGTTTAGTAAAGAAATTAAGGTTTACCCCAATGTGAGAATTACTGGGGTAATAAAGGTCTGGAAGGCTGCAGCAGAAGAGATTTAGAGAAGCAGTGACTAACTAGGTCAGCCGGAGATTCTCAAAGTACTCATGACTTCATTTGTAGAAACATGTATATCTTAAGCATATCAAGTGTCTCATTCCTCTAATCTTTCTAGGAGCCCTTTGGTTCATCCTGAAGGTCCCCCTAAATCCCTTCAGAAGTCTTAAAAAGGAGTAAATGGCCACACCTTTTATTTGTTCTTTTCTTTGAGGCCATGTTAATGGCAGTCCCTTGATTTGGTCTTTGTACTAGGCTGTTTTTAATGATCACATTTTATTTGATGAGAAACAATTTTATTTTCTAGTTCTGCATATCCTAGGTTATGTATTTCATTTCAGTTCCATTTCCATACCCATTGCCTTAATTTTGAGCTTGTCTGTTTCTTACATTTCTCATTTTGACAGAATAAGCTGACTGTTATTAAGTACAATAGATAAGGTACCTAAGAGCCTCGAAACATCACCAAATACCATGAATGCATTAGGTATATTTTTTGTCTTCCATGTTACTGGAAGCATTAATTATAGCAACTTTTTATCTCCAAATACTGACAATTAAAAGACCCTAGTGAAAACTTTAACCAAACACTTACTGACCCTACATTGAAGGCCACCAGCCAAAAATCACCACCCATACATAAGAGCCAAACATCACTAGACACTTGGTGAAATCCTTCAAATATAAAAGGGGAAAAGGAGGGGAGAAAATCCAAAGGAAATAGACAAACGGAGAATAATGGCAACAAAAAAAAAACTGTCTTCAAAATAAGAGTATATTATATTCACAAAACAAGAATAGGAGAGTGTGAAAAAGAACAAGCAATAAAAAAGATCTCAGAAATTTAAAAAGTGATTGCTGAAATAAAAATTAAATATAAGAGTTGAAGATAAAATATAGCATAAGAATAGAAAATTCTGAATTCCAAATACCTAAGGCCAATCTTAGTTAAAAGTTGTAAATGCAACCATAGGCTACATGTTACATTGTATTTAATTAAAAACCTTAAGAGGAAAGGCAATAGAGCTTGTAACAGCTATTACCCTTGGTTGTAAAGGAGAAGGTTGGAGATTATTTGTATACCAACTACTTAAGTTTACAAAAAATAATGAGCATTAGGTAGATGGAATGAAAGTCTATTCATACACTGTATATTAAGCTCTATATACACTGCATATCATCATCATGACATTGAGTTTCTAGCTGGATTGCAGAGATGAGCCAAAGCGCTTCTCCCCAAATTATTATTTATTCATTTTTGAGACAGAGTCTCACTCTTGTCTCCCAGGCTGCAGTGCAGTGGTGCGATCTCAGCTCACTACAACCTCCACCTCCCAAGTTCAAGCAATTATCATGCCTTAGCCCCCCGAGTAGCTGGGATCACAGGCATGTGCCACCACACCCCGCTAATTTTTGTATTTTTAGTAGAGATGGAGTTTTGTCATGTTTGGCCAGCCTTATCTGAAACTCCTGACCTCAAGTGATCCTGCCTTTGCTTCCCAAAGTGCTGGGATTAACAGGCCTGAGCCACAACACCCAGCCTAAATTATTTTTAATTATGACATTTTTTGTATTCCCTTGAGGCACTGACAACTATAGTCTTATTTTATATGTTATAGTGAATCATATTTATCTCATTATATATTACAGAATATTTTGTTTGATGGAGAAAATTCACTGACCTGTGCTGTAATGTTTATACCAGCAATTAGCTGATTGATTTACTATGACCTCACTCTTTATTCAGCAGTTCTGCCACTATTACTAGCTAATCCAACAACGAGGCCTTATTTTGGCTTTCTTTCGAAAGGTCATTTCTGACCCCAGCTTGAAGTTTGTTTATTTTCACTTGAAGAGATCTCTCAGAAAGTCAAAGAAAATAGGAGGAAAAAAACTTAAGATTAAGGGCCAATCTAAGAGGTCCTTCATTTGAATAATAGGAGTAACAGAATGGGAAAGGCGTGGAAAAAAATTTGTGATTTCTAAAATTGAGGACATTAAGTCATTAGAGTAAAAAAAAGATGTACATTAAGGCTTATCATCAAGGAATTTCAGAACACTGTGGATAGAAAATACTAAAAGATTTCAAACAGAAGAAATAGGTCGTATATCGACCAATAATCAGGATATTAAAGGACTTCTTAACAACATTGGAAACTAGAAGACATGGGGTGATGCCTTTAGAACTTTAAGTGAAAATAGTTTTCTATTTGGATTCTATTTTTAGTCATGCAATTAATCAAGTATGAATATAGTATAAAGACACAGAAGGTCTCAAAGGTATTACCTCCCATATATTCTTGAGATAAAGATGCTTAGGAGAATACTGAAGATGTTTTCCAGTAAAACGGAGAAGGAAACCAAAAACCAAAAAAGAGAGCATTAAGAAGTCAGCAGGCCAGGCGCGGTGGCTCACGCCTCTAATCCCAGCACTTTAGGAGGCCAAGGCAGGTGGATCGCCTGAGGTCTGGAGTTTAAGACCAGCCTGGCTAACATGGCGAAACTCTGTCTCTACTAAAAATACAAAAATTAGTCGGGTGTGATGGCATGTGTCTGTAATCCCAGCTACTCGGGAGGCTGAAGCAGGAGAATCACTTAGAACCTGGGAGGCAGAAGTTGTAGTGAGCCGAGATGGTGCCATTGCACTCCAGCCTGGGTGACAGAGTGAGACTCCGTCTCAAAAAAAATAAATAAAAAAATAAAAAGTCAGCAAAGGGAAGTTTCAGGGTTTCAGGATTCATTCATCCATTCTAAAAAATTTTGAGTGCATACTATGTGTCAAATTATTGTCTAGGTGATGGCTATAGCATGCCGAGGTAGTAAGTGCTAAGAAGAAAATAAAGCAGAGTAAGGAACTGATAGTGACTGGTGCAGGAAAGGGGTGCCAGTTTAAATAGCATGGTCAGATGGAAAAGCCTGTGATAAGGTAAAATTGAGCAGAGACCTAAATGAGAGAGAGTGAACCATGCGAATAATTAAGTGAATAATGTTTTAATTATAGGGAACAATATGTGTGTGTCTATATATATATATACACACAAAGGTACTGAGGCAGCAGTATACTTGGCATGTTTGAGGAATAACAAGGACACTAGTTTGGAACAGTGTGTGGGAGGGAAAAAATGATAGAAGATGACATCATAGGGAGTAATGGTGTGGAGCCATGGTAAGATGTTAAGATTTTACTCTGAGTGATGAGATAGGAAGCCATCAGAGAATTTAAGCAAATGAGTGACAGGATCTGACTTATATTTTTAAAGGATTATTTGGCTTCTTTATGAAAAATAGACTGCAAGAGAGTAAGAAATAAAATAGGAAGATCAATTAGAATGCTATTTCAGTAGTCCATTTGAGAGATGATATTTGCCTGGACAAGGGTTGTGATCATGGGCGAGTGGTACAGAATGACAAGATCCTGCATGTATTTTTAAGGTAGAGCCAGTATTTGCAGATAGTTTAGACATTGTGGTAGATATGAAAATGTGCTGCCTATATCCCCCTTCTAGGAAGGACTTGCTAATTAGCTGCAGGGAGTGTGAAGAACAGAAATCCACCAGTATCAGCACTTCATCTGCAACAGCTATAGAAAAAGCTTCACCTGAGGTTACCCTCGTCTTAGATCTCAGGGCAGCCCTCAGTGGAGATGTAAGGCCTTGCTACTTCAGCCTCATTTATTACACTGTCAGGCAAAACCTTCCTCAGAGCTCCCTCTATTACAACTTAATTTCTTCTTCTGCCCAATCCTGCTTCCTCCCCTTCCCCTGAAAGGTGACACTTTCTAATAAACATCTTACACCCCAAACTCCATCTCAGCATTCCTCTTTAGAGGACTCGACCTGTGGTAATTGTTAGTAGGAGTGATCTGAGCTGCCAATGAGAATCCCATCACATGTGGCACATGGAACAAAAGCCCATGGCTCAAGGTGGTAACTTTTATTAGTGGTAAAATGAGAAGATTTACCCACGGAAGAGAATGTGCCAGCAAGTGCAGTATATCAGGTATTTGAGACTCATGAAGGAAATAGTAAATTTAAGAATAACAGAATTGAATGGCCAAGTGCCACTAATGCTCTGTAGAAAGAGGGCTTCTTTGGTTGCATACAAATCTCATCTAGAATTTAATAGTCCAAGTAGCCAAACTGGTATTTGTCCTTAAGAATAAATACTGGAAGATCAAGCACAGAAAGTCTAGAATAGAGGCATGTGAATGGACATACTTGTGTCAAGTATGTACATGAACTGTGAAGGTCTCTGTATTACGTGCAGTGCCCACCAGAGAGCATTCAGTACTGAAGAGTCTCTAAACAATAAAGCAAACTAAACACATTGCCTAGTTGACGTCATCCTTCCTGCTTCAGTTATTCGCCACCCAGTGCTAGCACAGTGGGCACATGAATGGAATGTCCACTGTGGAAAGGATGAAGACTAAGCATAGGGTTCAGTAGCTTGAGTTTCAACTTACCAAGGCTGCCTTAGCTGCTGCTGCTGTTGAATGTCCAACCTACAAGCAACACAGACAATACTGCACCCCTGATATAATACCATTCTTCAATATCAAGTTGGTTACATTGGGCCCCTTCCACACTGGAAGGACCAGCATTTCCTTGTCATAGAAATAGACACAATTTCCAGATAGGAGTTTGCTTTTCCTCTTTGCAGAGCCTCAGTCAGTATCACCATTTGAGTTTACTTAGTATTGTATTGACCAGCATGCGATCTCACATTATATCATATCAGATCCGGAAACCTATTTTATGGAAAACCAAGCGCAGGAGTGGACCCATATCCACAGGATCCACTAATAATATCACTTTTTTCACCACTTGGAATTTGTCAGCTTGATAGAACATTGGAACAACCTGCTGAAGGTACAGCTGAACACCAGCTCATAGGCAAATTCTACAAGGATAGGATGCCATACTCCAAGATACAGAGTATGTACTGGATCAATTATCCTTATATAGCATGTGCCCCAATATGAAGAATAAATGGGTCTTGGAACCCATTTATTCCTAGGGGTAGATGCAAAGAGAGTAGAAGAAGAGGTGCCTCCCCTCCGTGCCATCACTTTTAATGACCCATATGGTACTTTGCACCTCTTCATAACTCTGAACTCTGCAGTGAGAGGTCTTGGTCCCACAAGGGGACACAGTTTTGCTGAGAGATATATAAAAAATCTCACTGAAAAACATAAGCTGCAGCAGCTACCTGGATACTTTCGGTTCCTTGTGTCTGTCTAGGGAGCAGCAGCCAATAAAAGGAGTCAAGATCAGTTGACCCTAATCAAGAGGAGATTGGAATCCTGGTTACACAATCTGGGCAGAAGTAATAAATGTGGTGCCCAAGTGATAAACCTACCAAATTGAGACTAATGTGTAGGTGTGGCAACCCATCCTCAAAAGGGCATGATGGCCTGGAACTCAGGCCTCTCAAGGAATGTGGGTCTGAATTATACCAGATAAACCACCAGGAGCAGCAGAGGTGGTAGCAGAGGCTGAGGGAAATCTAGAATTGATAGTGGAGGATGAGGGGATGTGACAAGTATTGATGGCATTCCCAAGCCCCACTGCAGCAGCAAGCACTGTAATTTGTCCCACTAATCTCCCATCTTCTAAATTTCTGAGAGGTCAAGAAAAGAGGTCTCTTGATTCCTTTAGGAACTGCTCCCTAAGCATACAGGGAGACATAGATCTATGTGGAGCAAAGGGTGGATTGTAATAAGCAAAGAGATACACTGCCTGATTCACTTTAAGAAAGGACTGACCTCCCAGTTGCAAGGAATGAGGTCAGCAGCCTCCAACTGTCAGCTCCTTCAGAGTCTGCTTCAACTGCAGAAGGACACTGTGCTTGAGGTCATACCCTTCCCATGTCTGGTGACTGAAGTCCAGCTGAATGTAGCTGCCAAAGTTACCTTAATGCCCATGGGAAGCAAAAAATCAAAGAGTTTAAACAGAATTTTGAGAAATCCCAAATCAGTTTTTTTTCAGCATATGACATTTTGGAGTAGTTTGTTATTCAGCAATAGATAACAGAAATTGGTATCAGGAGTGGGGTGTTACCATAACAAAAGGTTAAACCTTACATGGTAAAAAGGACTTTGCCTCTGTCATTAAGTTAAGCACTTTGAAATGTAGAGATTATCCTGAATTATCTAGGTAGGCTCAATATAAGCATGAGTCCTTAAAAGTGGAAGACGGATACATGAGAGGATGTCAGAATGATGTGAAATGAGAAGAACTCAACCTGCTATTGTTGGCTTTACAGGTGAGTGATAGGAACCACAAGCCCCAAGCAGCCTCTGGAAGCTGGAAAAAGCAAAGAAACAGATTCTTTCCAGAGTGTCCAGAAAGGAATGCAGTTCAGCTAACATCTTGATTTTAGATCAGTGAGATTTTTGTGTTGGACTTCTACAGAACTATATAAGAATAAATTGTGTTGCTTAAGCACACTATAATACATGTGGCAAGAAGCTGCCAGCTAAGCCTTGAAGAATAGTGAACAAACTCTTACTGGAGGATGGGAAGGCAGTAAATAAATTATTGAATTATTGAAATAAATGGAGGATTGAGTTATGCATTGACAGAATGCTTAGCAATAATTTTGCTTGTCTTAATGTGGAACAGAAAATGAAACTTAATAGCTTGTAGATGTCTTAAGGAGATTTCCAGGTGAATGTTGAAAGTACTGATGAACTTATTATGGCTGCATCTCATAATGTACAGGAAGACATTTACTGAGTGAACTAAAGAAGGAACTGTTCAATTTGAAAGCAGAATTTAGAGGAAATTTTTCAACCTAGTACTTGTCATTTTTTTATAGAAAAGGAAAAATAGATGGAAGATGGAGCCAAAATCCCAGAGGGAGGAGCCAAGAAGCAAGGAGAGCAATGGATTAGGAAACCACTACCAGAGGGATGAACTGAACCACAATCAAGGAATAGCCTCTTCCTTTGGTGTAGGGGGACCCTGAAAACAATTTAATTTTATGCTTCCTGTTTCCTTGTCTCCTTTTTTGAATGATAGTCTCTGTGTGGTGTTCCTATCCTAGAAAACCTTAACTGGGACAAGCTACTCTCAAGCATCTTCACTTGAGAAACAGTAACTGAGGAAGTTTATTGTATCTGGACATGGTTTAGATGATAAGATTCTGAACTTAAACTTATGCCATAATGGAGTGAGACTCTTAGGGTACAGAGTAAGTACATTTTTGCATGTTAGTGAGACAAGAACTGTGGCCGGGGGCAGACTGTGATAGTTTTTGAAGATGTCCCTCAAACAATTCCTTCCCTTCCTTGGACTCCTCTCTTCAGAGGGTAGAGTCCATTTCCTTTTCCTTTTAATCTGGATTGGCCTTCTAACTCACTTTGACCAATAAAATGTGGTAAAAGTAAGGTCTGGCAGTTTTCACTTTCACTCTCCTGAACCTTCATATTAGAATTCCAGGATATCCTTCTAGAGATATCCATATCTCTAGGGACATGGTGAGTCCCTAGAGACACCACATGGAAAGGCCACCTAGGGAAGAACTGAGATGCCCCAGTCAATAGCACTGCCTTAGTCAGTTTGGGCTAGTATAACAGAAATATCATAGATTGAGTGACTTTTTTTCTTTAAAAAAATGAGATTGTGGAACCTGAAAATACAGTGTAGTAAGAGTGGAGAGAAAGGCCACCTAAGGAAGAACTGAGACGTCCCAGTCAATAGCACTGCCTTAGTCAGTTGGAGCTACTGTAACAAAAAATATCATAGATTGAGTGACTTAAACAACAGAAATTTATATCTTACATTTCTGGAGACTGAAAATATGGAAATCCAAGATCAGAGTTTCAGCATGGTTAGGTGTTTAGTGGGCGCTCCCTTCCTGGTTTGCAGACAGCCATCTTCCTGCTATATCCTCACATGATGCAGAGAGAGAGAACTCTGGTATCTTTGTCCCCTTATAAGGGCACCAATCTCATCATGGAGGGTCTTCAACCTCATGGCTTCTTGGAACCAAATTACTTCCCAAAGTCCTCACCTCCAAATCTAGCACATTGAGGTTTAGGGCTTCAACATATGAATTTCAGTGCATAGAAAGCACCAAGTCCTCAGACAAAGAGAACTTGAACCTTCTAACTCAGCTTAGCCATTATCTGCATGCAACCACATAAGTGACCCTGGGTAACACCATCTGGAGCTGAAGAACCACCAGCCAGTACACAGAAATGAGAAATTTTAAAATGGTTGATTTAGGTAATTAAGTTTTGGGGTGGTTTATTACATAGCAATTGATAACTGATACAACAGTCTTTTCGTTAGTAGAAGAGGGGGTAAGAAAGAAAGACTTATGAAGAAAAGACCTGTAGAAAATCGGGCCTACGTACCTCTATTTTTTTTTCATACTCCCGTGTTTTTTTTAGTCCATGCTGGTGGTATCCTCATCAATGCAATTTTCTTTAAAACTCTGTGAGCCTTTATATCAGATTAGTCCACCCCATTAGAACAAAAGCAACTTCTATAAATATTGAGACATTCCCTTTCTACCTTTGGCTAAGAATTGGGGTGCTATAGATAATTCCCAAAAGATTATCTAGCCTACAGGGCCGATGAGGTATAGCTTGAAGTCATTCTAAAGTCTTCACAAAGGATCTTACAGCCTTTGATTTTATTATCACTCTGGGACCACGTTTTACTGTTGGCACGTTCGGCTTTTCTCATCTTTTCCCTGAGATCATTTATGATGTGGAAATTACTTTGCTGGCTGAAGTTGGGAATAGAAAACAGTAGAGAATACTTCAAGAGTATTCTAGGTATGCACTAAGTTTATGGGAAGATATGCCATCTACATAATTTACCTTCCTCTCTAGGCCCATCATAAAAATCTTTGAAAAATTAATACTACATTTTAGTATGAATATAAGTTAAACTTAGAGGTGATATCTATTTTGTGGTTAAATGTGTTATAAACATTTATTTAGTGAAATACAGTACAATTACAACAAGCATCAATGAATATTTAATGAGCAGCTGTTAATTTCTGAAGCAGAAAGAAAGATGAATAAAAGTTCTGGTTTTACTTTTAAAAGTGAAGGCTAACTGTTAGCTCAAGAAATACTTTATGTTTGTCCTATATGAAAGTGTTGATTGCACCTGGTTCTTTGCTGTAAATTAAATAAAAATTCAAATATTTGTAAAAGAATATTTCTTTCTTTAACCTCGAACACTAAGACCTTAATGTTTATAATTTTATTATCAATGTCAACTTTTAAAAACAAACATACATATTTGGCAATGCTGCAAATAGAATCTAAATTATTGAATCAATTTTTCTAATTGTTGATTATTATTTATTTTTTAATTGATGATATATTTTGAAATTTTATAACCACCCTGATTCTGAAAAATAAATTAGTTTGTTGCCTTCAAGGATTCTTAGGTCCAAGTAAAATGGATTCTAAAACAAAAATTAAAGGAAATCTAGATTGATTATATTCTCGGAGATTACCTAATATTCTTATCATTTATTATAGAGGATTTTTTCACAGTCACAGTGATATATATTCCTGTCTCTTTTTGTATTATTAAATATTTGCTATTGTAACATTTTTTTCCCTTCCAGTTTCTCAAGCAAATATTTCACAAATATTTTAGGCAACTCTAGAGAAATTTTTAATACTTCAATGCACAATACATTCTGATTTTCATGCACTTTGTCCAGAGGGAAGGGAAGAAGGAAAGAAAGAAAGGAAGAAGGGAAGAAAAAAAGAAGGGAGGGAGGAAGGAAGGGAGGGAAATGGAAGGGAAGGAGAAGGCAAGAAGGGAAGAAAGCAGGGAGGGAGATAAAAGGGAATGAAAGAAGGGAGCGAGGGAGTGAGAAATGGAGGAAGGAAGGGAAAGGAGGGAGGGAAGGAGAGAGGAAGCAAATACCCTGGCTGAACCAAGTGGCCTAATGTTTTGTAATCTTAGGGAAAATAATTTCTTTTTTTTCTTCCAAGACACATTTCCCTGAAAACATGTTGTTTGTATTTAAAAGACAGAAGTCTTTGTTATTTTTGGAAACTATTTTTGAAAGTTAAAAATGTTTTCCAAATTTAAGCTTGGACACCTCAGTTTATTTGAACAATGGGAATTAAGAAGCTATTCCAAAAGTAAATTAAGATGAAATCAATGCACAGAGATATTTAAAGCTGGAAGATGGCATCTTCAGAAATCTAGGCTATCCTGCTGGAGAGAAGGACTATGTGGCAAGTCCCTGGAGACACTACAAGGAAAGAAAGGCCACATAGGAAAGAGAAGGAATAATTGAAGTACTCCAGTCATTAACACCAAGGAAAGAAGGGAAATAACTGAAGTACCCCAGTCAACACCAAGGCCCCAGCCAGGTAAGAGAAGCCTTCATGAACTTGCTCGTTCAGCTTAGCTAACAGGTGAACTCAGCCATAAGAGCAACCCCAGCTAACATCACTTGAAGCAACTATTGAAAATAGTTAATCTGAATAACACATAAGCACCATATCAAGAAACCAGGTAGTTGACTGATTTTTTTCATTATCTAGTCATTAATTCTATTATATGCTGTCAGTTTGTTGCATATGGCCTTTATTATATTGAGGTTCACTTCTTCTATACCTTAATTTGTTGAGAGCTTTGTTATGAAAGGATGTTGAATTTTGTCAAACGCATTTTCTATATCTGTTGAGATGATCATGTTTTTTGTCCTTCATTTTGCTAATGTGGTGTATCACATTTACAGATTTGCATTTGTTGAATGATCCTTGTATCCCTCAGATAAATCCCACTTGGTCATGGTGAATGACCCTTTTAGTTGAATTTGGTTTGCTAGTATTTCGTTGAGGATTTTTGCATCTGTGTTCATCAGGGATATCAGCCTGTAGTTTCTTTTTTCTTGTAGTGCTCTTGTCTGGCTTTGGAAGTATTCACTGTTCTTCAAATTTTTGAGGAGTTTGAGAAGGACTCGTATTAGTTCTTCTTTTAATATTTGGTAGAATTCAGCAGTGAAGCCAACAGGTCCTCGGCTTTTCCCTGATGGGTGACTTTTTATTATTGATTCAATCTCCTAATGTGTTACTGGTCTGTTTGGATTTTCTATTTCTTCATGATTCAGTCTTGGAAGGTTGTGTGTGTCCAGGAATTTATCCATTTCTTGTAGGTAATTCAAATCATTGGCATATAATTGTTCACGGTAGCCTTCTTGTATGATACTTTGTTTCTGTAGGATCAGTTGTAATGTCTCTTCTTTTGTTTCTGATTTTTCTTATTTGAGTCTTCTCTCTTTTTTTCTTAGTTGAGCTAAAGATATGTCCATTTTGTTTATCTTTATAAAAACCAACTTTTGGTTTCATTGATCATCTTTATTGTTTTTATAATCTATATTTCATTTATTTCTGCTCTGATTTTTATTATTTCCTTCTTTCCGCTAACCTTGGGCTTTGTTCTTATTTCTCTAGTACTTGAGGTGTAACTTTAGGTTGTTTGTTTCAGATCTAGCTTCTTTTTGATGTAAATGTTTATTGATTTAAACTTCCATCTTAGAAACACTTCTGCTGCATCCATATTTGTAGTCTAATTTTCCAGTCCATGCTAGAATAATGACAAACTCCATTTTCTTTTGATCTAGGAATATAGTGCAATCAATCTTTTTTTTTCAGTAAATCTTTTGTATTCCTATCAGTCTTCTGATTTTAGGTTATTGGCCAAATAAGTATTTTGGTAGTTATAAAAATTTTTGCTTTGACTACAATTTTAATACATAAAGTAATGGTTCTTTCTATGTCAAGAGATGAGCCAGTCATATATTTAGAAGTTTTTTAAAGCTCTTAGCTTACTTTTAAAAAATTTATATATTTAGGGTTAGGCACAGTGGTTCACACCTGTAATTCCAGCACTGTGGGAGGCCAAAGTGGGCAGATCACTTGACGCCAGGAGTTCGAGACCAGCCTGGCCAACATAGAGAAACCCTCTACTAAAAATACAAAAATTAGCCAGGCATGGTGGTGCATGACTGTAATCCCAGCTACTCAGCAGTCTGAGGCATGAGAATCGCTTGAACTTGGGAGGTGGAGGTTTCAGTGAGCCAAGATCACACCACTGCACTCCAGCCTAGGCAACAGAGCGAGACTCTGTCTAAAAAGAAAAGAAAAGGAAAGAAGAGGGGAGGGGAGGGGAGAAAGAAATGAGTAAAGCAAAGCAAAGACAACAAATTTATATATTTAGAGCCCGTTTGTCTGTTTGAATAGTTAGATAAAAATAGTTTCATTACTGAATGCTTTAAAATGAAGGCTATGTTTCCCTTTTGGTGTCTCAAATAAACTTTCCCACTTCACCCACTAACATAGAACATTGCTCCAGCTATTAAAAAACTACAGTTTAGGAATGTAATAATGCAACAAACTAAAATTAATCACAAATAACCTGTATGTATTGACTTCACCAAAGAGGTATCTTGTCTGACTAGACACCTCTTGTCTGACTAGATACCACTTGTCTGTGATTTTCATTCTAAAATTAGGGTTGGAAATAGGTGTATAATACTAATTTGGGGGGACCTGGTTACTAATTTGGAGACTGCCATTTTCAGAAATGTTAGTCTTGAGATTTGTCCCTCTACATTTGCATCGAAAGGTGAATAAGTTCAGTGTAATTAAGGTCACTAAGATTATGCAGATATAATTTTTAATTTTTAATGATAAATGTTAATTAACCCAAGTGTACAGAGCATGTAACATATCACAGAGGTACATGAAGCTAACATTTTCGTAGAAGTTTATCTTACAAGAAGGATATAATACCAATTTCAATACCACAGGTAAAGGGAATTCAATCAAAATTAAGGTAGATTATTCAATATAATGTTTTAAGCCTGTTTGGCTGCTTCTAGCTATACAGCTTATTCTACACTGCTATTGTCCATGAATAATTGTTATACTGTCAAGGATATCAGACCATGTTAATAATACCTAGAAGAACATATCTTGAAATGTAAGTGTATTGAAAAACAAAAATAGAATACACTTGAAAGTCCAATTGCATACTTACTCATTCAATAAATATTTATTGAGCATCCACTACATGCCAGATATATCTATCTTGCTTGTGACTGTTTTAAAATTTTTTTTATTTCCAAATGTTCATTGCTAGTACATATGCTCCTCCACTTAACTATAGTTAATTCCTGATGAACACACTGTAAATTGAAAGAATCTTAAGTCAAAAGTGTGCATAATACACATAACCTACCAAACATCATAGCTTAGTCTAGCCTACCTTAAACGTGCTCAGAACACTTACATTAGCCTATAGTTGGACAAAATCATCTAGCAACACAATACACTATAGAGTATAGGACGTTTACCCCCCTGATCTCCTGGCTGACTGGGAGCTGCGGCTTGCTGCCACTGTCTAGCATCATGAGTGAGCATCTTACAGCATATCTAGCCTGGAAAAAGATCAAAATTCAAAGTACAGTTCCTACTGAATGCTATCACTTTTGCACTATTGTAAAGTAGAAAAATTACAAGTCAAACTATTGTAAGCTGGGGACCATCTCTTTATAAAATGTGATTTATTTTATAAAGTGACCTTGTATCCTGTGAATTTGCTAAACTCACTTATTAGTTCTGTGAACATTTTGCTAGATTCCTTGGGATTTTCTGTATAGACAATCACATCATCCCTGAATAGACAACATTTTATTTCTTCCTTTTCAGTAAGTATGCTTTTTATTTCTTTTTCTTGATCAATTGAATTGGCCAGGACTTGAATATTGGATAGATGTATAAGAACAGACATCCTTTCCTTGTTCTCAATCATGGAGGGAGGGAATTTAAACCTTCACCATTAAGTATGCTAGGTTTAAGTTGTATGTGCATGTTCATGTGCATGTGTGCACATGCTACCCATTATGGGATTAAGAAAGTTCCCTTATGTTCCTAGTTTGCTGAGAGTCTGTTGAAAAATATACAATGAATGGAATTTGAACTTTATCATTTTTTCTGCATATATGTGGTTTTTCTTCTTTAGTATGTTTATATGGTAAAATACATTTCTCTAATTGTATTTTCTAATTTGGGACCAATCTTGCATTCCTGGGATAGACTTTGCTTGGTTATTTATTATCATTTTTATGTTTTTGCATTTGATTTGCTAATACTTTGTTGAGAATTTTTGCATTTCTGTTTGTGAGGTATATTGGGGCATAGTTTTCTTGTGCAGTGTTTCTGTAGTTGTAGTATCAGGGTACTGCTACCCTCCTAAAATGAGTTGGGAAGTGTTATCTCCAGTTTTCTTGAAGACTTGCAATTTTTGTATTTACAGATTTTTATTCTTTCTTTCCTAAATGTTTGGTAGAATTAATCAGGGAAACCATCAGAGCCTGGACTTTTTTATTTTTGGAAACTTTATACTTAAAATTCATTTTTTGAAACAGATATAGAAACATTTAGGTTAACTTTTTTCTTGAGTGAGTTTGTCAGTTTGTCTCTTTCAAGAATTGGTTCAGTTCATCTAACCTGTGGAATCTATAAGCAGTGATTGTAGGATTCCCTTCTTCTACCTTTAATGCCTGTAAGGTCTATAGTTTTCTATTTTTTCTTGATAAATCTAAGTAGAGATTTATCAATTTTATTGATCATTTCAAAGAACAAGTTTTTTGTTCCCTTTTGTTTCCTTTACTTTTTGTCAGTTGTATTGATTTATTCTATTTATCTTTTCCTCTTTTGATTGATTTGGGTTTAATTAGCTTTTTTTCCTACTGTTTTAAGTTTGAAACTTAGATTATTGATTTGAGGTTTTTCTGCTTTTTCAATATAAACATTTAATACTATAAATTTCCTTCTAAGCACTGCTGAGAAGGACATAGCTGTAGCTGCATCCCACAAATTTTGACATGTTGTATCTTCATTTTCAATCGGTTCAAAATAATTTCCAATTTCATTTGAAACTTCCCCTTTGACCCATGGGTTATTTAGAAGTGTGCCACTTAACTTCCAGGTATTTGGGGATTTTCCAGAATTTTTGTTATTGATTCCTAATTTAATACCTATTTGATTAGAGAATACACTTTGTATGATTTCAATTATTTTTAATTTTTTAGGATTTGTATTATAGTCCAGGATATTATCTATATTCATGAATATCCATTTTCAATTGAAAAAAAAAGTTTGGAGTCTGCTTTACAGTTAGATCAGGTTGATTGATAGTGTTAGTCAAGTGTTCTAGAATCAATGGGAAAGATAGGTTGTAGTGGGATTACTCTTGGCCAGCAGTAGAAGTTTAAGTCGGATTTTGAACTCAGATTTTTCTGACTGTACAGTTGATATTGTTTCCATTATGCCACAACGAAACATGAAAAGCTCCTAAAAGGTCTAAAAATCTGCTAGGTATTATGCAGCAAACATAATTCTTGATCCTAAGTTTACCCTTATGCTGCAAGTAAATTCTATTTTTTGCTTAAAGAGGAAAAGTCAAAACCTACTTAGGAAATGTACAAGTTTTCTTGTTCTTTGCAAACAGACATTAAATATTTTATTTAATTTCTCATTGGAAACAGGCTTTAAATATGTTTTCTAGTCTACCCAATTTTGAAAGACATGTCCTTCTATCTCTTTTAAAAGTTAATAACTTTGGAGTCAAAGGGCTACTTCCCTTTTACTATAGAGGGAAACACTGAGGCATAATGAGGAAAAAAATATCTTAAACCACTGCATTAGATATCAAATTTGAGCTTTTCTTCACTTTTCACTCACACTCCTCCCTGCTTCCTTCTATTCCATGAGTTAGAGGGGTAGATTAGAGAAGTATTTTCCAGTCTTAAAGAAAAAAAAAACACCCACATTCTCTGTTCACAAATATAAGTATCCCACACTCTCCTTCTGTTACATTTAAATTTTATAAGTAAATGAAACTTTTACTTAAAAGTTTTAAATAGTCATTTTATTTTTTTTTTCAAATTTCTTATGTCCCCCTCTCCTGAATTTCATGTGTACTCCCTAAGGATGACATCCCATGTTGGAAGTGCAAATCATTTCTTCTTCCAGATTCATCTAGATCTTCCCATCTGGGGATCCTTTGGCAGTCTTCTTGTTCTCCTCAAAGTCTTTTTCACCTTAACCTGTCACACTGTGGCTCATGTGTATGCTCTGAAATGGATCCATCATCATAGATGACCTTCTCCTTTTCCCCTGTAAACCCATGCCTTCCATAAGGGAGCAGGCCACAAAGCTAGCTAACCCATGCAGAAGTGTGCAAAGAAATCTATGTCACAACTCATGAGGACACTAGTGACAGGTCAGGGTTGATTGGTCAAGGGCTAAGGCCAAGCAAGTTCTCCCAGGAACGGTAGGCATCACCAGCAGGTCACTAGTAATGAAAAACTTTCTTTGCTGTTTATTATGGCAGTGAAACCATATTTGGCTCTGCTACCAATTCTGCCATTATTTAATCAGAGCCAGCAGAGAGGCTACCAGACACATCTATTCTTTAACAGGTGCCTTCTCCAAAATACTTAATAATAATGGAAAATGAAGTAGTATTTCTATGGGTCATATTAACCTCTCACTTTTTCATAAGTTGGTTTTGGAGCTTAGGCATTTGGCTATGGGATGATGCAGGATATTTTTAAGGATTTGCCCTAAAATTTGTATAGTATTACATAAAATATAAGAAAGGGTTAGAGAGGTATGGAGGAAAGGCAGTAATTAAAATAAAAGAGAGAGAGGTGATCAAGAGAATGGGTGAGGGTGAGAATGAGTGTGTGCATGAAACTAAAGACTTGGTATATTTTAAGCCTGAAAACAACATTATTTTTTAATCCATCCTCTTGTCTTCTTTACCACCCTCCTTAAATTGAGCTTCTGCTCCTATGCCAGTGTCAATCCTTAAGCTGCAAATGTAACTGTATTGGTCCTTTACTTAAAACATTTTAGGGGATGAAGTCTTTCCATGATCTGATTCCAAACTTCTGCTTTAGCCTCACCAGCTGCCAACCTTAACCTTTTGTTTAGACAATTTTCATTTCTTTTGAGTTTCTGAAGAACACTAGGCTATGTCATTCCTCTATGCCTCTGTATTTTTTATTCCTTCTGCCTGTCGTGTGATTCTCTTCTCTGCTGGCCAATTATTCTACAACACCTCCTCTGTGATGTCTTCCCTGACCATGCATTCAGTGAGAATTAATAACTTGTTCTTCCAAGAAACATTGTATATAGTATTTTCATTATAATAAGCAATTGTTATATGGTTATCATTGGTTTTGCTTTTGTTTCCTCACTGGTCTGTGAACTCCCTGTGGGCTGGGTCAGTGTCTTTTTGTCATTCTGTCATGTGTATCTAACATTGTGCCTGGTACAGTGTAGGCGCTTAGAGAATATTGTTTGATCTAAATCAAACAGCTTATATAACAAGAAGTCACCAGTCTTTCACGATGTAGATTCTTATGTCAACTACACTGCTGTGTTGTCACTAATATGGTATATAATGTATCTGCTCTAGGGGAGAAAAAAGATTTTTAGGCAGATCAAGCTAGATCAAGTAATCATCTCTTTTTTCATTTGAATAAGGTTACCCCAAAGGAAAATGTAATAAACAGAATATTTTTACATCAATCTTTTATATTTAGGGGAGAAGAGGATTTGTAAATTTTTTTCACGAGCTAGTTAGAAAAACTAAACCCCTATGCAATGTTGTACTTCTCAAAATAATATCCAAAGGAACAGCAGTTCTAGACTAAATACTAAATCCAAATGGGGCTAGATTCCATCTTCATTTTGGAAACAGCTACAGCTGTGGCCAGCCCAGCAGCTGATGGAATGCAGTTGAGGGTTTGATATGGGGGAAAGGAAAGGTTTTCTGCACAAAGGCAGTTGGTGCATAGACCCTGCCCTTCCCTGCCCCTGCATCCTGTTCCCAACGCCTCATCACTACCCAGGAAATACATTGGTGATCTTGCCAAGATCTGGCAATTGGATTCTGTACTGTTGGGAATATCATGGTAAAGGGCCTCAAAATAAAATCTAAGATGACAATATTATATTCTATGTCTCAAACTCCCACCAAGTTTGGACAATTATCGAGTTAAGCCACAGAGAATGCTTAAAAAATTTCTATAAATTGTGTTTTGCAATTTATCTGAGGCAAAAGAAACCTAATAGTTCCAATGTAATTAAGCCTCTCCTTTTCCAAAAATATTACAGTACAAGATCATATGCCTGCTGGAAATGACACACTAGTCTTAACCAGCAAATTATGGAGAAGATAATTTCCAGTCCTTTCTTCTGCATCTGCCCCTGTACTCTACCCACTTTTTCCCCATTCCTTATTAATTCATCAGGAAGCACATTTGATAAAAAATGAGTGTCTGATCTATAACAGTTTAAGAGGTATTAGCATCTCCATGGATGTAGCATATTTATCCTGTTAAAGGGCTACTAGGAAAACTAATTATGGCTGTGGAAATCAGGATAGTGGTAACTAAGTGGAAGCATTGGAAGGAGGCACAAGGCGGGTTTCTGGGGTGCTGCTTATGCTCTGTTTCTTGATCTGGGTGCTGGTTACATGAATGTGCTCAAGCTATGAAAAAAAATTAAGCTATACCCTTATTATTTATACACTTTTCTGTATGTATGATTACTTCAATAAAAATAAACAATAATTATAACGATTATGATAATCAAAATATCAGTCTTGTGTTGGTTCAAAACACGAGTTTATGTCTTCAGCTAGATATCAGTTTATAGTCTTCACAAATACTATAAAGATCAGTAAGTCTATGTCTAGACTATAAAGTCAGTATAGGTATGTGGAATATACCTTTTAGTAAGAGGTCATTTGTTTACTTTGGGAACAGGAGGCCCAGAAACCAGCTGAAGAGGCCTGTTTCTCAGTGAGTAGAAAGGCTGGAAAGGTTCTTTCCAGCTCTTGTTGCCCACTGCCCAGTTCTTCTTCAGTCATCTTCATGTTATTACTGAACAACCCTTTGGGAAAGACAGAGCAGATATAATCAACCTAACTTTTAAAAAGAGGAGACTGAGGCACATAGTTTTTTTTAACTTTTATTTTAAGTTCAGGGATACAAGTGCAGGTTTGTTACATAGGTAAACTTGTGTCATGGGGGTGTGTCGTACAGATTATTTCATCACCCAGGTATTAAGCCTAGTTCCCATTAGTTATCTTTTCTGATCCTCTCCCTCCTCCTACCCTCCCCCACTGATAGGCCCCAGTGTATGTTGTTCCCCTCTAGGTGTCTATATGTTCTCATCATTTAGCTCCCACTTGTAAGTGAGAACATACAGTATTTGGTTTTCTGTTCCTACATTAGTTTGCTAAGGATAATAGCCTCCAGCTCCTTCCATGTCCCTGCAAAGGACATGCTCTTATTCTTTTTTATGGTGTGTAATATTCCATGCTGTATATGTACCACATTTTCTTTATCCAGTCTATCGTTGATGGGCATTTAGGTTGCTATTGTGAATAGTGCTGCAGTGAACATACATATGCATGTGTCTTTATGGTAGAATGATTTATATTCCTTTGGGTATATACCCAGTAATGGGATTGCTGAGTCAAATGGTAGTTCTGCTTTAGGTCTTTGAGGAATTGCCACACTGTCTTCCACAATGGCTGAAGTAATTTGTACTCCCACCAACCGTGTATAAGTGTTCCTCTTTCCCCACAAGCTTGAGGCATATAATTATTAATAATCTGTTCAAACTAATAAAGTCGGTGGTGATGCTAGGATTAGGACCCAGATCTGCTGATTCCTGATGTAGAATTTCTATTTTATACAAGTCAGTGTGTTGCATCCAAGTCAACAATCACTGTGTCCAGTTCCTTCTTTTTGACATTAAATCAATAAAATACTATGATTATTGACATAGCATTTGGACTTTATTGACCTTGATCAAAGTCTTCATGCTTAAACTCTTTTCCCTGACAAATCCTGCCTAACCTCCTACCAAGGAAACAATACCCATCCCTCTCCTGTGGTCTCCTGCAGGCAGAAAACCATTATATTTCTCAGCTTTCCTCAAGTAGCAGACAAAATTAGCAGGTCTGTGAGAGGAATTTTTGGTGAAAGAGGATGGTGGAGTTTTCTGGGGTACCCCAATTGTGAGAATCCAGCAGTGGCTTCCCAAGGGAGGCTATAGGGTGGGAGGATCTGTGGGGGAGCAGTCTGCAATGGGTACAGGCAATTAGAGGGTGCATTTTCTGCAGAGAATTTGAGAACAGTAATAAAGCCAACTAAAAGTTGTTGGTCAGCTTTTTATTATCACCATGTGCCTAAAAATCCTGAGCAGCCCTTCCTGCAGATATTCCTACAGACTGGACCTGAGAGTAGTAGTGAGGAGTACAACTGACCATTTCCCTACCTCCACCCCTTTGCCACATTTTGACATTAAAACTCTTGTAGTTGTAGGACATGACATTGCCAACGCACTGAGAGGCATGAACTGTTTGTCTCTAGGGCCAGAGGGATAAGACACTTGTTTGAGGAAGGTGTTATAGGTAGACATTCCAGTTGGTTCTAGGTCTGCATCCTTCTCATGAACATATTTTCAGCATCTATTCATAGAACTGCAGCCCACAGACCTTGAGCAGATAATTGAGAACACATAGACTTCAGATGTAGAATTTGGCTCAGAGGCCTTCATGGAGGTGGCACTTTCACTTGGCTCACCTTTCAAGACCACAGTCTTTCCAAGGTGCTGCCTACTTACCTGGGTTAGTTGAATAACTTCACCTTTTCTCCTCTGATATTGATCTTCTGTGACTTTAACTAAACTTTAGTTTCTGAAGTGCTTCCTTTTAAAAGGAAGAGAATTTTGTTATTCTTAACTTTTCTTTCATAATAGCTTCATACCTCCTTGATCCCACCCCAGAACACAATAGCTGATTACAAAGATATTTTCTGCAAGGAGCCTCATTTGGATTTACCTACACCAAGCTGAAATGCCTGAGTACCATCCAAAAGGGAAGAAAAAAAAATGTGTCCTGTAGTATCAAAAATGCTGGAATGGAGATATAAAGTAATGTATAGTCAGTGAGAGCATGTTTTATATCTATGACAGAATATTCTGACATTAGAAGCGCAGACTAAAATCAAACAAAATGAAACAACAGTATGTCCAGCACTCAGCTTTGTAAAAATCCCAGGCTGTAAGCACATTTAATTTATTTTTCAGGATGACACAGCAGCTAAAACAATTTAGTCCACAAGAAGATTCCACAAACAATGCATCAACAGTCTCCCAAAATATACATATTTACTTTTAATTCCTCAGTTGAGGCCATGGAAATAAAAATGGAGGTGAGTGAGAAAATTATTGTGGACCCTGATAATCACTGAACTATTGATAATGGGGATAAAATAAACATTTGGGGAACTTTACTGGCTACTCAGTGTTATACCCATTCACATTAGAGGTTTAATTCTTAAGGAATGATTTATGAAAAAATAAAGGGATTCTACTGGAACTTCTTGAGACATACAAACCCTGAGAGAGGCTTAGTATTTTAAAAAAAACCTATAGAAAAATTTGCACTTGGATAATCCTGTAGTACCCCAATTAATTAGAAGAAATATGTTCCAGGGAAGCATTTCATTTCTGAAATCCTGCAACACTCTCCCTAAGACAATGAACAGGATTTACTGTGGCTACCAAGTCGTCACTGACCCTGAAGATTGGTTCCACTCACTCTTTGTGGTTCAAAAAAAGCACACCCAGCTTACCATTTGGTTTTAGCTTCTTGCTCACATAGTGTTTGAGGGGTTTTGTTGTTTCTTTTTGACATACCATGTGATTTTATTCTAAGGAGGTCAAGAACAGGCAAAAATATAGGGAAAAATTTAAACAGTGGTTGCCTCAGAAAGTAGAGATCAGGGGTTGATTACCAAGGGGCATAAGGGGACTTTTGTTTTATATCTTCATTGGAGTAGCTGGTTACACAGGCATACACTGTCAAAACATTTAACTGTTTATGTGACATCTGTGTATTACATTATATGCAAATTTTATCTGAAAATGTAAGCTAAATATGACTGTGCTCAGAATTAATGGAAAAGTGTAGACCTTCCTAAACTCCTTTCAACCCCTGGGGGTGATGCTTTAAAGCCAGCGAGGTTTCTTTGTATCCAGACAGAGAATGTGAGTCCCAGCATGTAACAAGGGATGAAGTGGAGGCTAGGCTGGGGCTGAGTATGATGACATGAGGCAGTGTCAATCATACTAAGAGGACAACCTGGGACAGGGATGTGGGCTGCAGGAAGATGCCCCTTAGGACCAAAACTGCATCAGGTAAGTGCCTGCCAAGAGCTGTCTTCTGAAAATGGGCATCTGACCTTATTAAGAAAGGTTGGTTGGGTTGGCTGTTGAAGGCCTCTAGCCAGCTCTTGCACATGGCTGAATTATCTGATGGAACCAGGACGAGCTTAATGTTTCTGAGAGGCTTCACAGTATGGTGCTTCTCTTTCCCAGCCCCACTCTACCCCATTCTGAGTAAGCAGAGTTGGTCTATTTACTCACTAATTGGTCTATAATTGTCAATGCTTCTTCACAGGGGACAAAGGAGTTGAAATCTTACAGGGAGTTTAAAATATTCACTAGTAGACTGTCAAAGGCAACTGAGAAAAAATCCTAGAATGTTAAATGCCATAAGACATTTCTCTCACCTTTCCTTTTACTCTACACAAAGAAATAAAGATCCCAAGAAATGGTTAAAACATAAAAAGGCATATAAAGATTAAAAGGCATTTTTCTTAGTTTTTAAAAAATACATAGACTCGTTTTGACTTTATAGATTTTAAAATAAAGTGCAAATGCAAAGGCCATATTTATATGGGGATCTCACAAATAAGCATAATTTGTCTTGTGGCTCAAATGACTACTGATAAAGCTACAAATAGTGTTTACTAGGGGGAAAACTGTGATCTTCAACTATTTACCACTTAGTCAAGAAATATTTGTTAAACAAAGAACTTCTCACTAAAGAAGATTCACAAGGTAAAAAATGAGGAGCACATGATGAGAATGAATTACTCAGAGAGAAAAAGGGAAAATATGAACACACACGAACATGAGAGAAAACACCTGCTTGTCTATGAACATTTGACTTAATACAGTTCCCAGAAATGTTACAATGAAATAGCTGTTAACAAAAAAATCAGATTAAATTAAATGACATTACAATTTCAAAGGTCAGGAGATAAAAATGCCTTTCTTCTCTTTTTACTTCTGAGATTTCTCTTTTCCAGAATTCCCTGGTGATGAAACCAACAGATGGAGTTATTTCTTTTTAAGCTTAAAGAAAGGTCACCAATAGCTTTTAACAGATTACAAATGACTTGACACATGATTTCAGAAGTGGGGAAAATTCTATGGAGGCAAGAACACTTCAAGAATCGATGAAAAAAGATTTCATAACAGCGCAGGCCAAAATTAACATTGCTAAAGTGGTTCTATTTTAATTAACTAGGTGCAGACCATCTTATAGTCCTCTGAATCAATTGTGACTGTTGTATTAGACAATTTTGAAAATTCTTTGATATTTAAATTTGATATTATTGCTTAACAATGAAAGGCCTTTTGTTACCTTAAGGTAAAACCTTCACTTTCATACCCAGGCCCAGTCTGTGGTGTAATTACAAAGGCATTTGCCTGTCCAACATTATTTTCATTAGACTCAACCAAAACAATATTCCCATTCTATGCTCCCTGTCTGTGATAGAGACAATTGTTGTTGCTATGAATGTCAGGGCTTTCCTTCATAAAGATGGAGTGATCCTTAGAAATGACTGGCCCCCAGTTTTCCTGAAAAGTTTCTTATATTGGGAGAAGCTCTAGGATACCAAAGCTGTACTTAAAAGAGGGAGGTTAGAGGTTAAAAAAGAAGGTATTTTACTGCTTAAAGAAGAGCAACTTTGAGATCCCTTTAACCTTGCCATGTGAATCCTCAAAAGAATACAGTATTTATTTTTATTTTTAATTTTTATTTTATATCTTTTCTAAGTGATTTCAAAGATATTGAAAGGGCTTGTTGGAACCATCAGAAGTCTTAAGCTCTCTTTAGTTATTAATCAATGGAGGTCAGTGAATTACAGCAATATGTAGTAAATACATTTATTTCAGGATCATTATTAATAAGCCAGCGCCCTGTACTAGTAGTGGTTAGGAAGAATTGCTTTAATAGGGATACAGTTATGCTTATCTTCTTTCTCACCTCTGCCCATGCTTAACCTGGTAGCTTAGGGTGTCACAAGCTTCCTCTCAAAGTTAAAAAAGAATTTGTTAAATTATTTTCCTGAATAGTCTTATATATGTTTCATAAATATGTAACCTTAACAAGAGTTACTTCACCTATATCAGTCTTGATTTCCTCATTGGTGAAATGATGGGTAGTTTAAAAAATTTCTTCCAACTCTAAAAACTTACAATCAGTGCAGATTTTTTTGATGAATGATGTAATTCCATGATACTCAGGAGTCTGTGTTCACCACCCATGCATCCTTCCTCCCAAAATTCTAAAAAAAAATGCTTCACCAATATAAGGAATTAATTAAAGAAAGAGGAATACAGAGGATCTAGGATCTTGATAAGTCAATACAGGAAACATTAGGGAAGTCCAAAAGAGAATATTGAACAAAAATCATAGAACAATGTGTAGCAAGCCTGCAGAGTAGCTAGTCTAGATCAAAATAAGAGGACAGAGGCCTTCGGAAAGGCTACTTTTAATGAAAAGATGAATGGAACTTCTAACTTTTCTGTTGACTTTGACCATGAAAACAGTTTTAGAATTCTTTAGAAGAATTTGGGGGTAAATTAGAGTTAGTACATAGAAGAATAAGCTTTGAAAAATTAAGCTGTTATTAACTCCGGGGAAAACATAAGATGTACATGGAAGATAACATATACTATGTGATTCTGCTATAAACCATATTTATATCTTAATAATGCTGTTCCTTTTTATTCAATCAAAGATTGTTATATTAAGAGAATGGGTAGGAGTTCAGAGAAGGAGTTTAGAATGTGTGTATGCTGGGGGAAGGCATTGGTCTGTGTAAGGAGCTATATCATAATTTTTATAGACAAAAATCAACAGATATTGTCTAGTAATAACATTTTAATGTGTGCAACCTAGAAATATGGAAATAAACTCCAGGAGAAACAAACAAAATTAAAAGTGGGTTGCCTCTGGGAAGTGGGGCTCCACAGTAGGGGAGGGCAGTAGGGACAGTGTCCCTACTCTGAGTAGCGAAGGTAATCCCCTGTATTACTGTAGGCAGAGTAGGGACGGCAATCCCATGTATTACTCTACTGCTATTTGATTTCTCAAACTATATAAAACAAACACTTTAATAAAAATTAAAATGTTTTTTAAAGAATTGTCCTGTATATGTTTAGAGGGAAAGGCACCATAATTTCAACTATTTCTACTGAGACAAAATGATTCACTTTTTTTCAGAGTGGTGCTTATTTTTTTGTTGTTCTTTACATTTGCAGAAATGAGATTGTCTATACACTGATAAATAATAGGTATTATACATCTATCTCAACATGGATAGGAAATCAGTCACCAAGATTTGAGTATTGAAGATGGTACATGGGCTGATTTTCAGCAGTCACCCCGACACAGTCCCCTCTTTGCCACTTCCAACATGTTCTGCCTGCCACTTGCTAAGATTGCCAGATAAAATACAAGATGCCTTGTTAAATTTGAATTTCAGATAAATAACAATTTTTTAAGTATTCAAGTGTATCCTAAATATTGCATGGGATAAATAATTTAGTATGGTATTTTGTTCTCCAACTCAGTATATTAGAATAAAAAATTTTGAAGGATTTAACAAATATTGATTGGTTCTGGACATGGTTTGTTAAGTCAGTTTCATCAACTGATATTTATCTGGATAGAGCACATTTCTTTTTTTTTCTAAGATGCCAATAAAGGACGTTTACTGCAGGTTTAATGCAAATTACACAATGTGAGGGGTAAAGTGTACAACACATAAAGCCCCCAGCATCAAACAAACAAGCAAGACAAAACACCAGCATGACACATTTGCTCTAAATTCACAGTAAAAAAGCAAATTATGGAAATGATGCAGGAGAGAATAAACACTGGCATATTTTCTTCTTCCTTAAAGAAAGTCACATCAGTCATTAATATTTATTCCCCTGTGAAGTTCTTTGTTCTAATTTCCATTACCCAAAAGGGAAGTTCTGTCCTTGAGGACACCTAAAATGATGCTATTACGTGGCGGCATCAACAGCATTCTCAGCATTGGAGGCCAAGCAAGTCATTCTCTGTACAAACTTGTTGCTCCATAAATAGTGTAACAATAGGATCATTTCACCATTACCAGGGCTCTTGCAAGCGTCCCTACATGCCTTGTTCAGTGAGTTCCTGAGGTCAGTAGAGTCATAGCTGAAGAGGGCACGGACACTTCTAAGTAGTAAGGCACAACAGTATGGGAGAAGTTTCCAGCAGTGGAACCTTTCTGTAGTTCACACAACACTTCAGATGAACTAGATATAGTTTCCCAGAAGAAATCAAAGTTCAATTCTGATAGCTTTATCTTACTTAAGCAGTACTTTTCAGGGCTGCTTCAACTCTTAAACTCCGAAAACCTAAGGAGGAGAAAAATGACTCTCATTTCTAGGATTTGAGATTCTAACCTCTATTCACTTGGCGGATGGATACTGAAACCTGCTAGGTGTCAGGCTTTGCGTGCTTCCTGTCTCTGAGTTGGCCTGATGGCTTTAGTAAGAGTAAGTTGGGAGCTGTAGCACATACGTTTGCTTAACTTTATCATTTTCCTTTTTTAAATTGTAGATTCTACACATTGCCTCTTTTAACTATTTTTACTTTAGAAAACCAAAATACCTGAGGCTTTAAGGAGTTTCAAATGCCTGATAAAGACATAGTGGGGTAATCTACAAAATAATCAAAATGAATGAATAGCATTAGGTACTAAAATCAAATAATCTAGTGACTCAAACTTCTGTGACTAATCTTGTGTCCAAACAGTTAATGAAAGAAATAACCTCCCATAGAGCTTTTTGAATCTGTAATTCAGTGGTACTCCTAGTTCTAATAAGAAGCTGAGGTTTAGTAATGTACAGATAATCTTTATCAGAAGGTATGTTGATACTTGAAATGGAGATTGACTATTGATGGACTTGCTTCAGTTGATCCGGCATCAATCATTCTTGGAAAAATAGCCACACATGTTACTTGGATAGAAGCAAGAAAATTTCCAACCCTGAATGCTTTCATAGGCTAAAAATAAAATATAGATCCAGAATCGCAAAAACAAATAAATCAACAAACAACCCCAAACTCCATTTCAGGTGGAATTCGAAACCACAGACTTAATGTAGATGACCTTGTCTCACAGTAACTGACATTCCAGAGCACTCTATAGTGCTACTTTTGGTTGAGCAGTTTGCTCAGGCAAGGCTTTCTGGCAATTTGCACAGGAAAACTGTACTAAAAATTTCTCTGAACTGTAAAATATTTGTTTTATGCAAATGTTGAAAGAATCCTGAGACCAAAAGAAAAGGAGGGGGAGTAGAGAGAAGAAGAAAACAAATGTAGAAGTCTTAAGTTCTGACCATCAGACAGATTTCCCAATGGCTTCTTACATCTTTTACTGCTGTATTTTTAAAATCTACAAGGAAAGAAAAAGAAAATTGTTGAGCATCTGAATATTATTAAAACAGAAAGACCACACAGACATTTAAATGATCCCTAAATGGCCTTGTCTCCTTCAATTCATCATTCTTTGGCATGTTTTTGACCCCTTTGTTTTTATTGTTAGGAGAAAAACAGGAGGAAAAACATTTTTTTTTTTAAGAAGGAAAAATAAAGTTTTCTGTGTCAGGCCTATAATCACCTTCTACAGTTACCGTGGCATCTTTGCTTAACATTTTAAGACCATGTACATTTGTAGTGCTAAATCTATTAATTTGCATAATTTAAAGCCTTATTTCATGGAACTTTGGGATTCTGGAAAGAACTTGCTTCTTTCTACCTCCTTTCTGTAGACTTTCTCTGAGCTTCCTATCTTCTTGTAACCCCAACAACTGGCTTGACTAATTTTCTGTTTGAGATCAGAAAATAGTTTGCAGTTGAGTAAACACAGTCTGAATCATCTCATGGGTGAGGTTTAAACAATAGGATGAGAAGGTTCAGCCAATTGTGAGTTTTATTTACACATCTGATATTCATGGGCCTAAGGAGCAGCAGAAGAACTGAACACTCACCTCTACCAGCAGGGGCAAAAAAGGAGTTTCTCTTCTTACAGTAGCTTTGTAGGGTATTGTTAGGCATCATGGAGAAAATGATGAGAGAGTTTGACTCTTTTAGCAAGTATGGATCCAAGGGAAATTATTTTTAAATTTTTGTAAAACTGAACCTTGAGATCTTTGTGTTAGAAAACCTTGATTTATAAATTGGCATTGGTTAAAGATCTTGGAACCCAAAAAGCTATTCCTTAAGAATGAGACCTAGTAAACCAAGAATTCCTAACTGATAAAAAAAAATTGACAGCAAGAAAGAAAAAAAAAGGGAATGTGTAAACATACTATTCTAAACCTAAAAGCACAAAATTTTGTGCCTTTCTTCTAATTTTCATTTTCCCCTTAAAGAAGAAAAAGCCAGATATATTTTCTTTAAACATGTTTTTACAGCTATTTATTAGGTTGAATGTTCTTCTACATAAGCTTAACCCTGTTGCTGATAGAAATTTCAAAAATAAAGTAAAAGTTATGAAAAATGCATCCTCTAATCTTGTCTGCCTTCTATGTGAGCAGAGGGAAAAAAATGTACTCCCAATATTTAACTTTTGTTCATTAATCAAATGTCTGTATGACTGAAACATGAGGCATCACTACCAGAGATAGGAGAATCTGTTCTTGAGATGGTTGCAATTATTGGCTTTGGATACAGAGTATTGAGTTTAAAGTAATGGTGTTGGCATATCTTCGTGGAAATATCCAGCAGAGAGAAAGAAATTCCAAACTGGGTCTTGGGATATTCAGGACTGAAGATATTGATTTGATGTCATCCACCCATCCAAGTGTAGAGGAGAGGATAGAGAGAAGGAAAAGCAGAAGCTCAAGATATAAAGCAAGTAAAGCACCCACAGTCATAGGCAGAAGAAATGAAAAATCAGAAGAGGCATGATTTCAAAAAGAGAATTGAGAATTGTAGAAGCCAAGAGGAAAATATTTTAATAAGGTGGGTTTCAAGAATGACAAATAGTGTAAAGAGGGCAAGAAGAACAAAGACTGAGAAAAAGATGAGGAGAGTGTCATTGGTGACCATTCAATGGATGCTGAATGATCTAATAAGGGTTGAAAACCTATTTTTGAATCTGTTCCATTTAGAGAATAGAATTATTCTTAGGGCTGTCCTCATGTGATTCCCTGATACTTGAGTTACATAGGAGGCCCTGATGTAAGGATGTAGTTGTGCAAAGGCATGCTATCTATAAATCATGAATATAAGCTCTTCAGTTTACCATCGGAGGAGAGAGATGAGAGATGAGAGACCACTTCACCAAACAAGGGCAACTCATAAGTTAATATTAGGAGACCAGTGTGTGAATAAATACTTCATTACTGCTTATGATATATAAAGATAATCTGTGTCAACAAATAGTAACATTCTTTGTCTAATTTTATTTAAGTTCACTAAGGCATTTTGTGAAATTGAGGACCCATTTATGCCAATGGGCCACAATTTTTCAGGGCCACAATTATTTATACATGGATAAGTGAAACTTACAATTATAGAAATGCTATTTCTGATCTCTAAAATAGCCATGGAGTGTACATGGTTTTCTATTCCTAGTTAGAGGCATTTTTTTCTACCAGCTCTTAGTACACACTTACTATCTACAATATGATAGCAACAGTGAGAGTTTATCCTATTTTTACAGAACCAGGCATAGCAAACTTAAAAGTATTGCCCAAGATCACCCAATAAAGAGGAATAAATGACATACAAATATGTACAAGGAATATAGCTGCAGATAAATGGGGATGACTCTCTTAATCCAGACAAGAACAGCTTCTCAGAGTTGGTGACATTTGAGCTGATATTTGTTTGTTTGTTTGTTTGAGATAGGATCTAGCCCTTTCCTGGAGTGCAGTGGTGTGATCACAGCTCACTGTAGCCTTGACCTCCCAGACTCAAGTGATCCTCCCATCTCAGCCTCCCAAGTAGCTGGAACTACAGGCACGTGCCACTATGCCTAGATAATTTATTTTTATTTTAACTTTTGTAGAGATGAGGTCTCACTGTGTTGCCCAAGCTGGTCTTGAACTCCTGGGCCCAAGCAATCTCCCACCTTGGCCTCCCAAAGTGTTGGGATTATAGACATGAACCACCATGCCTGGCTTGAACTGGGTTTTGAAGGACAATGAAGGGCATCTGTAATTAATAGAGGGTAGAGATGGCATTGTTGTACAAAGGCAGAAACTCATTCCACCACCAAGATGGACTCTTGTTGGGCTCTAACATGAGGAACTTGGTATAGGATGTAGGGATAGAATATCACTTGCCTGAGGGCTTTCCTGCTTGGAACCAAATGTGAGAAAACAAGAGGAAAGCTTTAAAGAGAAACTAGGTAAAAAGCTAAGTAGGTCATGGAACTCTACTTAGAACCAAAGGAATTTGACAGAGAAGGAAAATGTAGGTATAACATGATGACAGTTATGGAACCTAGATAAGAGGCACTCCTGGATAATTCCCTGAATAACACCCAAAGCATCCATAAAGACCCCATACAGCTATTTAGGATGTGCTGCATGGGGTCCTTATAGATGCTTTGAGTGTTACTCAAATAGTAGCTGTGAAGGCACTGACTCCGTCTGAATAGGGACAGAGGCATGAAACGCCTTGGAAAGTTCAAGATACCTCACTATTGGAGGATAAAGAAAAACTAGAACACAGTTTCAAAGGGCTAGATCATAAAGGGCCTTAGGTGCCATGCTGGGGAGCTTGAACTTTCATATATAAGAATTTAAATGCCACTGGGAGATGGGGTTAAGAAAGGGAATTATAAGATTATGACTTAGAAATTTCGCTTTTATGGCTTGGTGAAGGAAGAATAGATAGGATGGGTAAAGAGACTAGAAGTGGCTGAGACTAGTTTTAAGGTAATTGCACTTGTCCAGAGGATAGGTAATATGGGCCTGAAATAAGGCAATGGTTGTGGCAATGGTGATAGAGAAGAGAGATTGTATTTCAGAGATATTTAGAATATCATACATAAAGCCAAGGCTGGTTGATAGGTATGGAGAATCAGGGAAATGTAGGAGTTGGAAAGTCCTCTTGGCTTCCTGGTTTAGGTATGTGATGATGCCACTAACTGAAGTAGAAACTCTATGAGGAAGAATTTGTCTTGAAGAGAAGATACTAGGTATGTTGAGGTTGAAGTATCTATGACATCCTAGTAAAGATGACTTACGTGCAGTCTGATATATAAGTCCTGAGTCCCTAAAATAAAAAGTCACTAACTCTCTCCAAGTATAATAATATAGTATCTTAATATAAACCCATGTGTTGGTATTAGAAGTACTGTTTTGAGTAGCTTCACATGCTTATCATTCTGTATGGGTACAGCTCGTACTCGGAGAGAGATGCCCCGATATAATCTACAAACTCTGCCAAACACTTAGAAGTGTTTGTCTGCTTTGGTTTTCTGACTTCCTGACTTGTGAACTTCTGGGAGAAATTAAGGGAGAATTCACTATGCTCTAGGACAATGGGAAAACTATTGAATGAGTGTTACATCATGGAAACTTAGAAAACTGTATGCACATTGAAGAGTTAAGAGTCAGAGAATGAATTCAGAGACAGACATTCCCAGAGGAACTATTGCACATGAAACAACACTTATTCGAATATAAAACAATTTGCCTTTCCCTGTCCCATCCCCTAGTTTCATGACAGGACAAAATGTCAAGACTTACTTTACCTATTTGTTGAGAAATTGTTTTATTTCTTTCCTCTCCTGAGACAAGAATATTAAGGAATGGAATTCGACAACCAACAAAGTTTTGAAACCTGCTTCAAAAATTTGTTTTATCTTGTACCCTATTCCAAACCTTGGCAAGTGAGAAAAAATAAAACTAACAATAAGCAACAGACAAAAAGCACTTGCAAAATGATACATCATAGACTGAGTTGCCTCTCTTAAATATTTCTGAATAATTCCAACTGACAGCAATGAAAGTTGAATCTGAGGGTTTGGGCAGAAGTTTGGCTGAGTTTAGTTCTCTTAAGTAGATATTACTTTCATTGCTTTGTCTTAAATGAATTAAAGTGAAATCTTCTAGATGCTTACTTATTTGACATTTCTGTCACAATGATCCTAACTCAGTGACCTCTGGATTATGACTGTTGTTCAAAACATGCTCAACAAAATGCAAAAGGTCTTTTACCTTTGCAGTGGATTTGAGGGACAAAAAGGAGAAAAGAACTGCAGATTTCCAAACTTATATAAAAAACTCAGGGTAGTACAGGTCTCGGTGATTTGCCCCATGTTGGGGTCTGACTTAAGGGAATTTGGGTAGTAGGCAGAAGGACCGTGAGTACACATGTCCTGCCTCCTTCTGTGGTGTGCCACTGCTTTCAGCTTACACAGCCAGGATCCCAAGAAGCTTTAGGCCAGCATTGACACTGACACTTAGCCCACTTTCTAGAGCTCTAGAAATAATCAGCTACAGTCAACAATTATCTTTTGTGATTCAGGTCTAGGCAAAGTAATGAGCAGAAGGATCTGAAACTCAACATACCTAAAACTGAACTCATTAGCTCCACACTTGTCTGAAAGACATCTGTTGCTCCTTCTGTGTTCCCAGTCTCCATAAATGGGATGCCATTCACCTATTTACCCAAGTCAAAGGATGAACTCCTACTCTGGAATACAAAAAGGCAGTGTGGTATAGTGGTTAAGAGGAAGGAGGCTAGAGCCAAACTGCCTAGGTTCAAATTTTAGCCTTATCATTCATGAGCTTTGTTAACTTAAGCAAAAGTCTTGGCGTTTGTTACTTGGTCTCCTCATCCATAAAGTGAGGATGATTATAATACTACTTACCCTCATAGCGATGTTATAAGTTATACAGGATGAGTTAATATTTATAAAGTGCTTAGATCATGGCTTGACACATTAGCACTATGTAAATTCTCGTTAAATAAATTCAATTGTGTGTCATCCTCAGATCCTTACCGATCACTTGGACTCTTTGTATAACAGTCTTCCAAATCATTCCTATTTGAAGCTGCCCAAGCTATTCAGTTTCCAATACCAAGTTCAAGCATTCATTGATCCACTGGACCATTCTCCTTATCTAACATAGGCACAGTTAGATATTCCCTTCTCTATGCTCTCATAGTACTTAGCACATCATCTATCAGCACATTGTATTACAAATATCTGTCTGTGCTTATCTCCTCTACCAGGCTGGAGTTTCCACGGATATCCCCAGTACCAAATTCAGGGCATGTCATATATTTGGAGATAAAACACAAATAAAGCACAAAAAATTTACCTTTGTCTCTCTAAAGAGTAAGAATGTAGTATTATGTATTTCGGAAATGTATGGTGAACACATGCAGAAATGTATTTCATATGTTAAGGCTGAAGTCAAAACTCTTTATGAGGTTAAAGTGAGCTGGTTAAATAAGATTTAACAAATGATCAACTAATAGTTTGTTTATAATTAGTGTTTTCCCTTCTGAGTAGCAGATAAAGACCTTAACACTTATTTTTATGAAATATTTGAACTGTGGCTTGCCAATGCTTATTCTTACACTGTACCTGGCATGTACTTCACTTGATTCTACATGCAGAGTCATGTAGAAGTTTCTATCAAATATAATAATTATACCAATATTAGTTATAAAGAGTTAATTCAAGCCTAAAGCTCCTCAGAGGAATGCTCTCACTATTATGAAAGAGCAGTGAAAGTATTAAAATGGAACAGAATAGAGAATTCAGAAATAACTCCACATATTTACAGTCAACTGACTTTTTTACAAAGGTGCCAAGAACATACAATGGGGAAAGGACACCTTCATTAAATGGTTCTGGGAAAATAAAATATCTGTATTCAGAATAATGAAACTAATTCCCTGTCTCCCACCATTAAAAAAAAAAAACTCAAAATGGATTAAAGACTTAAATGTATAGACCTGAAGCCATAAAAGTCCTAGAAGAAAACATAAGGGAAACACTCCAGGACATTGATCTAGGCAAAGATTTTATGGCTAAGACTACAGAAGCACAAGCAACAACAACAACAAAATAGACAAATGGGACTACATTAAATTGAAAAGCTCTGCACAGCAAAGAAAACAACAAACAGAGTGAAGAGACAATCTGTAAAATGAGATAAAATATTTGCAAACTATCCAACAAGGGACTAATATCCAGAATCTACAAGGTACGCAAACAACTCAACAGCAAAAAACAAATAATCCCATTAAAAAGCGGGCAAAGAAAATGAATAGACATTTTTCAAAAGAAGACGTATAAATGGCCAACAGGTATATGACAAAATGCTCAACCTCACTAATCATCAGGGTAATGCAAATCAAAACCACAATGAGTTACCATTTTACTGCAGTTAGAATGGCTGTTATTAAAAAGACAAAAAATAACAGACGCTGGTAAGGATACAAAGAAAAGAGAACTTTTCTATGCTTTTAGTGGAATGCAAATTAGTTCAAGCATTAGGAAAAACAGTATAACAATTACTCAAAAAACTAACCATGGAACTGCCATGCGATCCAGCAATCCCACTCCTGGATATTTATCCAAGAGAAAGAAAAACGTATATCAAAGGCAAACCTGCACACCATGTTTATTACATCACTGTTCACAATTCCAGAAATAAGGAATCAAATTTAATGTCCATCAACAGATGAATGAATAAAGAAAATGTGGCATATATAATATACATAAGAGAATACTATTCACCATAAAAACGAATGAAATCCTGTCATTTGCAGCAACATGGATGGAACTGGAAGTCATTATGTTAAGTGAATAAGCCAGACACAGAAACAAATATCACGTGTTCTCACTCATATAGGAGCTTAAAAAGGTGATCTCATGGGGGTGGAGAGTAGAATGGTACATACCATAGGCTTGGAAGGGTGCCTGTGGGGTGAGGGGAATAAAGAGAGGTAGGTTAATGGGTACAACCATGCAGTCATGTAGAAGAAATAAGTTCTAATGTTTGGTCACACAGTAAGGTAACTATAGTTAGCAACAATGTATTGCATGTTTCACAATAACTAGAAGAGAGGATTTAAAGTGTTCCCAACACAAAGAAATGATAAATGCTCAAGGTGATGGATATCCTAAATACTCTGACTTGATCGTTTCCCATTCTATGCACTTATCAAAATTCACATGTGCCCCATAAAAACGTACAAGTATTATGTATCAATTTAAAATTTTTAAAAATAGGAATAAGGGTGCCAAATATTTTTAAAACTAGATTTGTTATTCCTTGGTTAAAGGCATTCTTTTCCAAGGACTCAGAATGGCCTGTCCCTCTATCTTCAAGGAGAGAATTAGGACTGATAATTCATAAGTAACCTATCAATCCTGCCATGTGACGTTGCTAAGGAAAAAGCCATAACTGTAACACTAGTGCATATGTATAAAGTGATAATGTATACTTAGAAACATATGTATAATGTGAATGTATAACATTCACAGAGTACTGTATAAGCTAAATTTTTAATGTTTCATTAAAAAGTCCCCTGTCCCTCTGTTGCAACTCCAGCTCTCTGATATTCAGTAATCAATTGCAACTTCATATTTTCCCTAACCCACCTGTCTTTGGACAAAATCTTCCTGCCATCCTTACAAAGTCCCTTAGATAATTAGGCTTTTCAGGAAAGACTGTTCTTTATGAAAGATATTCATGAGGAATTGGAAAATTTCTAGTTTTCTTTTACAGGTGAAAGCATACAATTTTTAATATGCCTACTTCAAGTTTTTTTTCCCAGTGTTTTGCTCATTCATCCATTCGTTGGTATCTAAATTCACATGTCTTCCATGTGAGTAGTTAGGAAATCTGTAACCAAAGTATCTCTTTTCCTGCATATTAGTATTATTGAAGCATACCTATTCCTCAGTCAATTAAGCTGGGATGTTTTTATTTCTTTGGAATTGATTTCAGCTCCAACAGTTATCCATTCCCTGGAATGAATAAACTATTTCAAAATAGCCAACATACTCTTTCTCCTCCCCAACTCCTCAAAACTAGTACTTCCTTTTTTATCTGTTGATACTTTCTTAAATTGTCCCAGAATATTGCTAGTTGTACCTAAATGGAACATTTCTTACTTTTCTTTCAGCCACAAACTGAAAATAAAGCATAGAGTGCCCAGTCTTAACAAATGAATCTCCCAATTTTTATTGTCAATTAATGTATTTAGATTTTTCTTGAATATTAAAATCCAATGGATAAAAAAGTGACGTCTCCATCTTTAAGTCATAAATTGGCTATTTGGTTCAGTCAAACCTGAATAATTCCATTCAGTATTCATGTTGTAACTGACAAGATAAACACAACTATCATTTCATTCTCACTTTCCATATCATTGTTTCTCTGATGATTCCAACAAATCCCTTATTAAAACTCATCCTTTGGCTTAAGGTAAAAATAATCATTGCATGGAGAAAGAGTTTTTAATCAATTCAAGATATAACTGGAATAAATGCTACTGGCCTGAGTAGCCATTGTTCTTGGCAAATCCCTCTAAGCAATAAACAGTGAACACCATACACTTTTGAGAAAGTAGGAGAGGGATGGGGATAGTCACTGTTTCATGTCACACTCCTTAATGCTCTTATGGTCCATTTACATGCAGTTGGAACTGACATGTAATATATTTGATGAATACAGAACAATCAGCAAAGAAACAACGCTGAGCTGCTGGAGACAAGTATTCGAAGTGCTTAGTTTTATAAGCTTTGCATTCAGTCGTGAAACTAATGCTTGTTGCAGAATCTACTAAAAAACACTATCAATAAGCCAATAGCAGATGATTTTGGAAGCTGTTCAAGGATTGAGCTATAGATCCACTTGGTGGAGAGAAAGGAGCAAAATATTGGAAGCTTTGAAAGCATTCGTTACTTTTCCCATACAACTTACATATTAGCAGTGAGTACCTTGTCAATTGTGTTGTCATTCAATCATTAAATAAGATTTTAATAAGTGATAGCTTTTATAATTATGTATTTTTGATATTCCTAAAACAATGTTATATTCTCTATCATGTTAAAATTGATATTTGTGGTTCAATGAGGGTGGGAAATCCAATTCCACAACTCCAAACACTTCATGGATTTGAACTTTGGAGCCCTTAACCTTAAATTGAGAAGAATTTCTTATAGCATTGATCACCCTTCCTATTAAAGAATTCAGACCTAAATATCTGGGCTAAACATCTTGCCAACTCATGGATAGTCAGTGTTTTAAGCCATACAGGTTAAGTGAAAAGAGAGAATGCTATGATTGACAGTATAAGTCAGCTCTAGATTATACTCACCAAAAAAGTGTTGCTTTGGAAATACAGACCATCCCTTGACCTCTACCCAGAAAAGGAAGCAATTTTGAAGTCAAGAAAAGCTCATGGGATGCACCACATTTAGGGAGGCAATTCAACATAATGGCTAAGAACATAGGCTTTGGATTCAGAGACCCCAAGACAGAAGTTTTGGCTCTACTCCTTTCAAATTTGGGGAAAGTTACTCAACCTCAATTTGCACACTGTCATAAAACTAGTACCTATCTCATGGAGTTACTCAAAGGATTAAATAGGGCAATACACATAAAGTGCTTGGCACAGAGCCTGAATATCACATTATACACACATACCCACATACACACACGCACATGCACACACACACACAGTCTTCTTTCATGGATTCTGTATTTGTAACTTTGCCTACTTACTAAAATTTATTTGTAATCACAAAATCAGTATTGGGTGATCTAAGGTAATAATCTAATAAATGACACAGTGTAAAGAGCACTGTAGCAGAAAACATGGGTCATAATCTCCATTCTGCCACTAACTTGCTGCATGACCTTGAGCAATTTTTTTAATCCCCATGGGTCTCACTTTCCCCATTTGTAAAAATTATGAGTTTGGACCAGCTGACAAGAAGTTCTTCCAGCTCTCTATGATCATACAACGGTGAATAGAATTCATCTCTTCTTCTTTCACAGAGGGAGAGCTGATGGAGGCCCAAAAACAGAGTTAAGGCCTGCCAGATCAGGTCTCTGACTGAAAGCAATATAGGAAACTCCTGCCAGGATCTGCCATGTGCAGCAAGATACTAAAAAGTGGAGACACCTTTATGCAAGGGTTGGATAAAATCCCAAAGAGACCAAGTTTTTTAATCTGCATAGCTAAGGCTTTCTTATCTGGTAGACAGACCTGCATGAGAAACCAAATTGTAATGAGGATTACATAGTGTGCATAGAATTACAGCAATGGAGCAAGGGAATAAAAGGAGGAAGAGTTGAATGTCAAGTGTTTGCTAATAGAGTTTGAGACCCCCTTTTTCAGCACGACCAGTAATGTTATTCTTGTAATTGTAAAAGTCTGATTGCCAACAATCGCTCCCTTCTAACAGTGCTTTGGTGTTTGCTGCTAAAGTTTGCATTTGTGACCTTCCTTTTCTATCTTCCTAGGGTACACCCTCTGATTTTCCTTCTGTATGTATTCTTTCTTTGGTTTGTACTTTTGTTTTAGCCATATTCTGATCTAAAAAAAAAAAAACAGAAACTGCCTCAAATATTTACAACAGTGAAGTTTTTATTTGGGGAATTGGTTACCACAAGTGATTTAGTATATAAAAAGCAAAACTAGGGATGATGGTGAAGCAACCCAAAGATTAGCAGTCGTAGGAATCAACTCTTACCAGTAGACTAGAACTATGCTGCCCAGTATGGTAGCAACTAGCCATACCTGACTATCAGCACTTGAAATGTGGCTAGCCTGAACTGAATTGTGTTCTTAGTGTAAAATGCACACCAGATTTTGAAGACTTACCGTGAAAAGAAGAAAATGTAAACTAGGTCATTTGTACATCAGTTATATTCAATATGACTTTCGTATTGAATATACAGATAGGTGATACATTGAATTTATTGGGTTAGATAAAATATAGTAGTTTAATTAATTTCACTTTTTAATTTTGACTTTTTTTTTTTTTTGAGACAGAGTCTTGCTCTGTTGCCCAGGCTGGAGTGCAGTGGCGCAATCTCAACTCACTGCAAACTCTGCCACCTGGGTTCAGGTGATTCTCATGCCTTAGCCTCCTGAGTAGCTGGGATAACAGGCGGGTGCCATCACGTCCAGCTAATTTTTGTATTTTTTGTAGAGACGAGGTTTTGCATATTGGCCAGGCTGGTCTTGAACTTCTGACCCCAAGTGATCTTCCTGCCTCAGCCTCCCAAAGTGCTGGGATTACAGGCAAGAGCCACAGCGCCCAGCCTAATTTTGACTTTTTAATGTGACCATAGTAAATTAAAACTGATATAAGTGACTCACATTATGTTTCTATTAGACAGTGCTGGGCTAGAGAGACAAATATAGGACATTTACTCTAGGTGCCCTGTAGAGTTATTGCCCTGAATTGTCTGGGGTTCCTGGCCCTTAATGTTGAGATTGCTTGATTTGTTTCCAGATTCCCTCACTGCCTAGACTGTGATCTGGATACTTAACAACTTCCCTGGACATTAATCAAATGAGTCACCCTGTTCTTTGTTACGTTTTGACATTTCTCAGTATTTGAATCCATTGTCTTATCTTGTTCTCCCAATTCTTAGTAGTCTATCTGGGATTTTCATCCAATTTCTTATTCTATGTTATTTATAGTGCCTATATAATTAATGGTGCCAAACATAGTGCTGCTTCCCTAAGAGTATCAGCTACTATAGCAGTCTTGGAAACCACAAGTTCTTGCTCTCTGCTTCCTTTCCATAATACGCCACCATGTTTGGGACTAATTACAAAGAAAGTTTGCCTTGTAATCCATGCAGAAACCTAAAAGAAAACTGCAGACCCTAAGTCTAAGGGTAAATTTCTCTGGCCAAAAGCTAATTGTCACAAAGTGTTTACCTGGGAAAAGTTTATTCTTTAGGCCTGATAATCATCAAGTTAATAGAGAAATATGTGTTATCATTAAGAAACATTTTCAGGGTATCCATGATGTGCTACACACTTTTCTAAACAACAGGATGCAAAGGTGAAAAAGTCAAAAACTCCTGGAGGGTAGATATGAGAAGAAACAAATAATCCAAGGAGTCATGACAACAAGTTAATGAATGTCCTGGGAATTTTTAGGCAAAGAACTCCCTTGTGCCAGAGAAAGTTTCAAAGAATATGGGAACCTGAGCTGGGATTTGAAGGAAGGCAAGAATTAGATAAACAAAGTAGAAACAAAAAGTTTTCTAGGAAGGGCAAATTGTATACATAGCAAGAATATACAGAAGCAGGAATACATTTACTCCATATTTGAAGTGGAATATATTATGGTCAGGAAGCTCAAGTCTTTTAAGAACTGTCTTCATCTAAGTGAGACCCAAGAACAGTTTCAACTTGAGTCAAAAACTCTATAGCATTTTTATTAAGATTTAAAAATATGTCTAGAAAGTGAAGCTTGTTGGGAAGTGCTGTGGGACTCCTTCACGGATAATATCTGATTACACTAAAATGTGGTTTCTACTTTTGGACTATAAGATTCCCAAAGGACAATGCCTGTCCTGTTCACTGTCGTCTCAAAGTGTGGCCCAGAGTAGATGCTTAGTGATTCTGTGTTGAATGAATGAATGCCAACAAATGGTGTGATAGTGCATGAGTCCCTGTGATGAGAGACACAAAGGAAGTATTGATTCAATATCTATGTATTCCAGAATAGAGTTTAGGGAATTAGAAATTGAGTTAGGCAGCATATTCCAATTATTAGGAGAACTCCCTTCAGGGATTTGGGCAGTGTGTCCCCTGGCCCACAGTTATTGGAGAATCAGAAATCCCAGTGAAGAATTGAATCAGCCTGACATGTTGTTAGGTGATGATAAAATTTAAAATATAATTGTCACCACTCATGCCTTTGTAAGAATTTTCTTTATGATAATACCTATTTAAGGCTGCCTCCATTAGGCACATCTGGATTGGATCAAGAAGAATATGAGATCCGTCTCAAGCTAGTAATTCAGAGACCAGATCCTGCAGGCCATTGCTAATTCATTAAATTTTGAGATGTGAAAACACATAAATTAACATCATTGAACCCAGAGAACCATTAGGATCTTTGGAAATCTCAGGGAAACAGCATTATATGAGGGAAAGTTTTGAGGAGGACCCATTCCATTCACTTAGACACTGGGGAGTGTTGCTGTATATCAAATGCAGGCTGTGTTAGTCCAACATTCTACCATATGGAGGCCATATGGCTGTTCCGAGTGGGTGTTGTCTCCAGAAACAGCCAGAGCTGCATTCACAGCCTGAATTCAACATTTGTTACTCTGAGAGCTTTAACAAGTGATGGAGATAAACACAGCATTTGCATCATAACGTTGTTGCAATAATTCAATAAGATAATGCAAGCAAAGCTCTTAGCACAGTGCCTATCCCCAAAAAAGTGCTTAGTAGATGTTAGGTCTCTCTTCAAGAACAATGGAAGTGCAGCTCTGCCCCCAAGAGTCTTTACTTTCCCAAAGAGAATCATCCCCAACGACACTCCCCACTTCCCCATTCCCTGTCCTGACAAGGCTGGGAATTTATCCAGACCAACTACATATATGCCCTATTTCTTAAGCCTTACTAAAAAACAGAATACATTCAACCCTTTCCCCACATTGGGACTGGATTCATTTTTTGATCTTAGAATAATTTTTGTGTATGCCATTTCCTCAAATGACTACCTCTTGCTCTGACTCCAGTACAATCCATGCCCTGGTTTTGTTTCACCAACAAAGTTTTGTCCGGCGGGTCTTGATTTCCCCAGTGCCTGAATAAGTTTGCCCCAACTTTTGACTTCAATCTTCCTGACAGCTGTGAGCGATCTTCACCCTGCTGCAGAGCTGAAACATATTTCACAGAGACAAAACAAAGCAAGTAGCCTTATATTTGAGGAATAAATGATTTATATCAGATTATTTTCTGAAAGAAGCTTTTGACTAGGGAGGGGAATGACAATTGAAATGCATAGACCACAAGATGACTGTCCTTTGGTTGGAAATCAAAGGGCAGGGAAAGATGGCTCCCAGAAGGGAGGGATACATAAAACACACTTACTTCTCTTACTTTGTGATCCTCTCTGGGGATTTTGACAGTTAATATTGGCCTAGGTGGCAGTTAGTAGGGCTTAGTCACTTAATTTCTCTTTATCCTTAAAAATGCCATCTATTTTTCCACTTTTAAAAATGGAAAGAAGAAGCTATTTCTGTGATTTCTCAAATCCCTAAAATTGCAGTCTGGGTGCACATTTTCAAGGTGGTCTTTGCCAGAGTGTTGCTTTTATAACCCTAGAACCAGACATGTACAGACATGTAGTTTTAGGGAAGTCAGGGATTTTGAGGTGAGCCATGGTAGGCCTGGCACCAGCTCCTGAACTGATGTCTTGTGGCATTAACAACTCACCACTGTCATCAATACCATTGCCTTAAAGGAATAAGAAGGCTGGGCGTGGTGGCTCATGCCTGTAATCCCAGCACTTTGGGAGGCCGAAGTGGGTGGATCACGAGGTCAGGAGATCGAGACCATCCTGGCTAACACGGTGAAATCCCATCTCTACTAAAAATACAAAAAATTAGCCGGGTGTGGTGGCAGGCACCTGTACTCCTAGCTACTCTGGTGGCTGAGGCAGGAGAATGGCGTGAACCCGGGAGGCGGAACTTGCAGTGAGCCTAGATCTTGCCACTGCACTCCAGCCTGGGCGACAGAGCGAGACTCTGACTCAAAAAATAAATAAATAAATAAATAAAATAAAGAAAGGAATAAGAAATATGACCATGTGAAGTGTCACCCTTATCAGGGAATTGACCAAGATAATTGGGATACCTGCTCTATTATGGGAAACCTTGCGGTTGGAGCATGAATATACTTCAACATGGCAAAGACTGGAGGAAACTGATGCTAACAATGGTGACATTTCCACCTCTAGTATCTCATGTACAAACAATGTATGCCTGCAATCTCTATCTTTCCACTAATCTCTCCCAGGATCATTAAGACAATATGGAATCCATGAGAGCTGATTGCACAGCAGCATCAACCCTGCCCACAGAAAGAAAGCTCTTTTCTACAAACCACAGTCTCTTTCCTCAGTGCCTCTGCCCAGTCCTTCTTACTTCTTTTAGTCTGCTACCTCCTGACTGTCATAATATCCTGGGAGATTCTCTCCATACCTACTAACATAGGATAGGCATTCCCTTCTAACAAAAAATGTAGTATGTGAGGTAGTTTTAAGATGCACTGGAGGAAAATTAACCAGGATTAGGGAGACAGAAAGTTGCTACTTTGTTAATGTGGTCAGAGAAGTTATCTCTGATAAAGTGACAATTGAGCATATAATTGAATAAAATAAGGGGTGAGACTTGGAAGTATTAGAGAAAAATTATTCTAATCAAGGGAACAGCCAGAGCAAAGGCCCTGAGATGGCAGAGTGCTAGGAATTCAAAGAAAAGCAAAAAAGCCAGTAAGACTAGAGCACAATGAATAAGGAAAAGAGTGACAGAAGAGAGGACAAGAGCTATTGGGGGACCAAGTCATTTAAGGCTCTATAGGCTTTTTACTTTGAAAAAGATAGGAAACCTTTGGAGATTTTGAGCAGAAGAAGGACATGACCTGACTCAAGTTTTAAAAGGCTCACTCTGGCTATTGAGAATAGACTATAGGGAAGTCAAAAAGAAAGAGAGAAAAAAACAGAAAGTGATTGCAATAATCAAGGTAAGAGATGATATCTTTTTTTTTTTTTTTTTTTGAGACAGTCTTGCTCTGTCACCCAGGCTGGAGTGCAGTGGTGTGATCTCAGCTCACTGCAGCCTCCACCTCCCAGGTTCAAGCAATCCTCCTGTCTCACCTTCCCAAGTAGCTGGGACCACAGGTACACATCACTATGCCTGGCTAATTTTTGTATTTTTAGTAGAGATGGGGTTTCACCATGTTGGCCAGGCTGGTCTTGAACTCCTGACCTCAGGTGATCCACCCACCTCAGCCTCCCACAGTGTTAGGATTACAGGCGTGAGCCACTGTGCCCAGCCTAAGAGATGATATCTCGACAAAAGTCATAGCAGTGGATGTGGGTAAATAAATTGGAACAGAAAGAGATGATGATAATTAGTAGTATTATGGATATATTTTTAAGGTGGAGCCAACAAGATTTCCTGAAAGATTGGTGGAGGGTTATGAGAAAAAGAGAAGAATCAAAGAAAAGTACAGGGGTTTTGGCCCAAGCAACTGGATAGATGAATTGCTGTTGGTAGAGATGAAGCTGAAGGCAGGACAATTAGAGTTTAGGGAAAAATTAGGAGTTCTGTTTTAAACATGTTGACTTTAAACTAATATTAAACATCCTTGTGGAGATTTTGAATAGACAGAAAGGACTTCAGGTGACAGGTCCAGGCTTTGAGCATCAGTGGTAGATGCTTTTAAAAGATAGCATAGTTTTTAAAAGCCATGAGACCACAGGAAATTGTAGATATATAAAAATGTTCAAAGATTGACCCCTGAGGTGGGACAAGGTCTAGAGGTCAAGTGTATGTGAAGGAGCCACCAAAGGAGACGAGAGAGAACAGCCAGTGATGTAAAGGGAACACTAAGAGAGAGTGGTACACTAAGGCCAAGTAAAGGAAATATTCAAGAAAGGAAGTGTTCAATTTTATTGAAAGCTGCTGTTAGAACAAGAAAGATGAGGACTGAGAAATGACCAAAGTAAAGTGGAAAGTAAAAAAATAGAAGTATACTTACAGTTGAACATTTAATGTATTTTCTCTTACATAATATTTTTTAAAACCCTAATGAAAACATATGAGATAGAAACATTTATCATTTTCTACCATAAGTTTGGTGACCATATTTCCCAAATGACAAAATTGATACAAGTGGTATCAAAATGGAGCAATATATTTGAAAACAGGATTGATCTCTAAAACTCGAGCCATATGTACAGCAGATCAAGAAAAAACCCTCAGAAGAGGGATTCACTCACTTCATTCTGGGTCACTTTTCACCCCCCTGAGAATCAGTGACTCATTCCTCCATTTATTCCTTTATGTTATAAATCATTGATGTGTATAGCTCTTTGTCCCTTTATCCACCTATCTAACCATTCTCTACCTAACTATTCACAAAAGAAATGCTGCTTCTAAAAGAAGATAGTCCTAACACACCGGTAGAATTTTTGCCAACAAGATGAGAAGAGTTGGTAACATTTTATTCATTAATATCTATAGCAGTTATAGAAGATTATACTATTCTTTGCTGCAAGAACAAAACCCACTGTGAGAAACACAGACTAAAAATCATTGGCAATTTATGTCTCTTAGTGCAAGGAGATTTTGAGTCTTTATGGGGAAAGTCAAGATGAGCTGTTTCCAAATGCAGCAGTAATTGCGACACTTCTCAAAGGGACCACAAATTACAGTGAAGATGATGAAGATATGTTCAGTGGATCTGAAGTTCCTGAAGGATGTTCAGGAGTAAATATCAAATAGGAAGGGATATATAGATGTATGGGTTTGTAGAACAAGAGAGAACTCTATTCTGGATTTATCAAGTTAACAATCTGAGCTATTGTATGGTGTAAAAACGTTGACATAGATGGAGTCACATAGAGAGATTGTTGAGAATTGAAAGAGCTGAATGACTACCCTGTTAAATTTTTCAGGGAAGCTCCCTCTCTTTCAGAACAATGCTTTATCAACATTACAGCAGTGTTTTTCTGATAAAATGCTAATTCTCATCAAATAATTGTAAAAATAAATCATGGGAGAAAACAGTAAAAGCAATCTATCATCAATCTTCATATCTCATCAAGGAACACACTGAGAGGTCTTTTCTACTTTCCACTGTCTCCTGCCCTGCTATTTTAGGATTGCAATTGTTCCTCTATTTTGTTCAAGGCTACGGTATTTTCTTGGGGACATTTCTGAATAGGGATATTCAGAACATAATAATCTTCATAAAAACAACAGATCACTAAGCCTTCTGAAATGGAATATGTCATGATAGTATTTTGTTTGCTGTTTCATTTCTTCTGAACCATAATGTGCTTCATTCTCATGCGTAAGCACTGTGTGAACAGACATGAAATGGCTTTGAAAAAAACACTGCTACTTCTCTGATGTTTATTACCTTCCTCTTGATTCAAACAGCAATGGCATTATTATGACTTTGTCTGATAAAACTATTTCTTTCTTAAAAAGTCAGGTTTGATTCTACAGACATTTTAAATTCAACACACTGCATCTTGCACTAGCATCTAATTCAGGTTTCTAATTACAAAACTTCTTTCCTTGCTTTCATTGCCTTTTTGTGACTAGGACTGTTGACTTTTCTTCTTGTGACATCCATAACCCAGCATCTTGGAAACCAGATACATTTGCATAACTCACTGACCTAGAAAAAATGTTAAAAATCCATGTCTTAGTCTTGCATTACTAGAAAAATTTAAAATTGTATGGCTATGTTAATACTTTGGAGACTTTAGCATGAGTTTAAACTTGTCAGTTAACAGAACTGGACATGTACTTTGCCATTAAGTTTCCTCTTAGCACTTCAATTCAAAATATTTCCCTATTACTTTCCCTGAGAAATTTAACTTGAAACTTTCATTATAATTGAAGGAGGGGTTGGTTTTTACCCAAGAAAAAAATCATGAACAAAGTTCACAACATGAATAATGTACATGGGAGAATATTAAAGAGATGTATGTGCTTGTATTCATGTGCAGAGATAGAAGGTGTTCAACAACTAGGAACCCAAATTACCAAACTGAGTACCAGAAGTTGCTTTGGCATGAAGCTTTGAGGCAAAATAGAGGTTGACAGGACGGTGGGAGTTAGGCAGAATAAGGATGTGGGGGATAAAGGCAGTCTGAGGTTGCTCTTTTAAGGCAGTTAATTTCATGTATGGACTTTTTCCACACAACTCCCAAACAAACCGTATAACAATTTCAACTTTTTAATTTTAATTTTTTTATTTTTAAAGTTGAAGTCTCACTATGTTGCCCAGGCTGGACTTTAACTCCTTGGCTCAAGTGATCCTCCAGCCTCATCAACTGTTTTTAGTATTAAGAAATGTGTGATATAATCATCCGCACCTTATTGCTGTTGGCATAGGGCTGAGCAAGGCATGAGCTGAGGATCAGGGAAGAGTAAGAATGAGGAGACACCTAGACACAATCTGAAAGACAAACTACAGATAACCAAGAGGTCTGTATTTACCAAGCTCGCTCATTTCACAAAAGACCATCAGTCATTCTTAACTTAAGCATCTGCCCATTCTCTAGGAATTTACATGAATGAGTTCTCCGAGTGTCATGATTTCTCTTTTAAAGTTATAATAGCCATATTCATTTACTTTAAATGAATGCATAGAATTTCTGCTTAATAATGATAGCTGTTTTTTTAATTTGAAAATTTTGGGGTTCCTAATGTGTTTACACACACACATACACACACAAACGTATATATATATATGGAATTTGGGAAAGGGGGGATATTTGAGTAATAGTAATTTGATCTACTAATTTAGCGTCAATCTCCATGGGGAATTCTTAATTTTATATTTAATGATTCTCTCAGCACTCAAAAAACATATGCCAATATCCTTAAAATGAAAGTCTCCTAAGATTGCCTGGGGTTAATGTGTTGTAAATATTTCCTAGTAATAAAAAAGGGGGGAAACTTGCACATTTCAAGCCACTTTAATGCATTTTGACTCAGCTATGACAAATAGCTGCCCCAAGTAAATGCGTCAAAATGACTTTCTAGTAAATAGCCTTGCAAAACTGACTCCAAGTTTCCTTGTTACAAGTAACAACTTAGGGATAGAAATTACTTTAGACTTATAGAATGTAGAGAATTTTGCTCTTTTTATGATGAGAATGATGGATGGAAAGCCTTCTTTCCCTTATTGCTTTGAAGGATGTATGATTGTCCCTTTTGGAAACCTCAGAACCAACCTTTATTTTCTACTGCAACAAATGTCAGATACTCAGAATATTTGAGAAATGGTGAAATCTTGTTGGCTTGCTATTTTGTTTTTCTGGTGTTTAAGAACTTTTTTTTCTTTGCATGTTTGTTTCAACAATCACTTTAGGAGAAAAGGTGGGTACAAGGAGAACATTATAAAATATATTAGTCCTTTCTCCTGCCTTAGTTGAGTATGTATTAATTCAGTAAATACTTATTGATCATCTTTGTGCTAGTCAATGTGAATTAAGAACTATATGTTTTTGCCCCCCAAAAAGCTCACTGTTTAGCAGTAAGAGATAGGCATATAAATGCAATTATGTAGTATATTAGTCAGAATAGGCTAAATGCTATAACAAACAGAGTTATTTTCAGTGTTTTAACACAACAAAGATTTATTATTTGGTTATATCACCAACCACTGGGGATACACAGAGAGGATATGGTGGGGTTTCTGCTTCACATAGTCATCCAGGTACCCAGGCTTCTTCCAGAGTGGCTCTGCCATCTTTTGGGGCCTCAGAGAGCTCCACCAGATTTTCTTTATCTGTTTAGCAGGCAAGGGAGGTTTCATGGACCAGGCCTGGAAGAGCCATTCTTACATGTCCTGTTGGTCAAAACTCAGACATGTGACTATATCAAACTTCTGACAGGCTGGAAAATATAATTTAGAATTTTCAATTTATCTTTTGCCAGTGAAATATAGACTACTAGGCATTTCAAGTTCCTCTGCATTCTAGCTTTATTGTATCTTTCCAATTATATATCCCATTTCTTCCTTCACATGATCTGGTCAAATAATTATTCCTTGTTCCCTGAGCTAGTTTTCTACATCCCATGCTCAGTTTGTTTTTATGAAAGGCTCTTCCCTATCAACTTTTTTTCCAGATTTTCTTATCTTTAGGGCCAGTTTTAAAATTCACCTCTTCTATGAAACCTCCATTATAGGAATGATACAAATTAGCTTACTCATCACTCAAACATGAAAATAAAATGTTTTTTTATAATTGATCAATACTTCCTCACAAGCTCTGTCCTTCCCAACATAAAAGTATAAAGAAAAAAAAATACTAAGCACAACTTCCAACGTAAGAGTAGGAAAAAAACTAGTTTCTATAAGTTTCAAAACGTAGCTCAATTTAATACATTAAACATCTTTAAAGCCCTTTGAACTGGATCAAAACATCTTTAGAGGTGTTGTTTAATGTGTAATATACAGTCATGTATTTAACATTTCAGTCAATGACTGATTGCAAATATGATGGTGGTCCCATAGGATTATAATGAGCTGGAAAATTCCTATCACTGAGTGGTGTTGTAGCCATTATAAGTCATTGCACAACGCATTACTCACATGGTTGCAGTGATGTTGGTGTGCACAAACCTACTGCACTGCTATTCATATAAACGTCTAGCACAGTTTTGTACAGTACATAATACTTGATAATAAGAAACAACTATGCTACTGGTTTATTATTTACTGTACTGTAAATATCATTATTTTAGAATATATGCCTTCTATTTAGAAAAGAAAAAAGCTAACTGTAAAACAGCCTTAGACTAGTCCTTCAGGAGGTATTCCAGAGGAAGGCATTGTTATCATAGGAGAGGACAGCATCATGCATTGCCCCTGAAGACCTTCCAGTGGGACAAGATGTGGAGGTGGAAGATAGTGATATTGATGATCCTGACCCTGTGTAGGCCTAGGCTAATGTGTGTTTGTCTTCATTTTTAACAAAAAAGTTTATAAAGTAAAAAAAAATATTAAAAACAGAAAAAAGTTATAGAATACAGATATAAGGAAAGAAAATATTTTCAGAGTTGTACATTTTTGTGTTTAAAGTTGTGTCATTACAAGATTCAAAAAGTTTTAAAAATGAAAAAGTTTATAAAGTGAAAAAGTTACAGTAAGCTAAAGTTAATTTATTATTGAAGGAAAATATTTTTTATAAATGAGTGTGGCCTAAGTGTACAATGTGTATAAAAACTACAGTGGTGTACAGTAATGTCACAGGCCTTCACATTCACTCAACACTTACTCACTGACTCACCCAGAACAACTTCCAGTTCTGCAAGCTCCATTCATGTTAAGCGCCCTATGGAGGTTTTTATCCTTTATACTGTATTTTTACTGTGCCTTTTCTATGTTTAGATACACAAATACTTACCACTGTGTTATAATCACCTACAATATATAGTACAGTAACCTGCTATACACATTTGTAGCCTAGGAGCAATAGGCTATATCATATAGCTTGGGCATGTAGTAAATTATACCATCTAGGTTTGTGTGTTACTTTTTACTGTACTATAAATATCATTATTTTAGAGTATGTGCCTTCTATTTAGAAAAGAAAAAAGTTAACTGTAAAACAGCCTCAGACTCGTCCTTTGGGAGGTATTCCAGAAGAAGGTATTGTTATCATAGGAGAGGACAGCAGGTTTGTGTAAGTATGCCCTATGATGTTCACACAACAAAATTGCCTAATGATGCATTTCTCAGAATGTATTCCCATTGTGATGTGACACATGATTGTATACCTGTATCTATATTTTATCTATCTTATCTATCTATCTGAAAGGTATAAATAGAACAAACAGCTATGAACCTAATACTCAGCTTAAGGAATAAAACATTATTAATGCAGCTGAATCCTCCTATACCTCCCAGTCACATCTCCCTTTATATTGAGTATTTTATACATAACCTTTCAGATTCTCTCTCCCTCACATGTCTCCTGACCCTTGGCTGTTCCATGTGAGCTGCCAGTGCCACTGCAGTACACTCAGGGCAGCGGTTCCACTGCATGAGTTCCAGCAGACAAGCACTAGAAATCCCTAGATCTTCTTACTACTTCCAGATTTGAATGAAGCTATCATGCCACAGAGCACTGGAGATGCCTTCCATAGCAGTTGTGTAAAGGCCCGGTGAGAGAACCTGGAAGCGTGGAAAAATTAGTTTCCTGACAGTAAATTATGACCGATGAGAGCAAGAAGACTGTAAGAACCTAAAATAATCATTTCTTCTCCCTTCCTTTCTCTAATGGACTGTTCTGAGGATGGTTCTTTGTGCGGCCTGTGCAGTTACATTGCTGTACTTCTCTTCCTTATCCTTTCCTGTCTCATTTTGCCTTTCCTTCACTCTTGCTGCCCTGAGATCACATCTCCCAATATTTATCCCTGTATTAGGCTCTGTTTTGGGGCCTGACCTGAGATGCCCCCTTTCACTTGCATCTGTGTGAAGAGAACACCAAACAGGCTTTGTGTGAGCAATAAAGCTTTTTAATCACCTGGGTGCAGGCGGGCTGAGTCCAAAAAGAGAGTCAGCGAAGGGAGATAAGGATAGGGCCATTTTATAAGATTTGGGTAGGTAAAGGAAAATTACAGTCAAAGAGGGGTTGTTCTCTGGCGGGCAGGAGTGGGGGTCACAAGGTGCTCAGTAGGGGAGCTTTTGAGCCAGGATGAGCTATGAGAAGGAATTTCACAAGATAATGTCATCACTTAGGGCAAGGCCCGGCCATTTTCACTTCTTTTGTGGTGGAATGTCATCAGTTAAGGCAAGGAACAGGCCATCTGGATGTATATGTGCAGGTCACAGGGGATAAGATGGCTTAGCTTGGGCTCAGAGGCCTGACATTCCTGTCTTCTTATATTAATAAGAAAAATAAAACAAAATAGTGTTGAAGTGTTGGGGCGGCAAAAATTTTGGGGGTGGTATGGAGAGATAATGCGCGATGTTTCTCAGGGCTTCTTCGAGCAGGATTAGGGGCGGCGTGGGAACCTAGAGTGGGAGAGATTAAGCTGAAGGAAGATTTTGTGGTAAGGGGTGATATTGTGGGGTTGTTAGAAGAAACATTTGTCGTGTAGAATTATTGGTGGTGGCCTGGATATAGTTTTGTATGAATCAAAAAACTAAATTTAATAAGAGAAGGAGAAAAACAGGTATTAAAGGACTAAGAATTGGGAGGATCTAGGACATCTAATTAGAGAGTGTCCAAGGGGGTTCAGCATAATTACTTGCTTGGTTGGCAAGTTTTTAGGCTCTATCCTTGAGTTTTTTATGTTGTCATACACCAGGCCAGATTGATTTAGGTAAAAACAACACTCTTCATTAAAAAATATACAGAGTCATCCTTTTTCAGCAGTAAGTCAAGGCCACGGCAGTTTTGGAGGACAACTGCAGCTAAAGAGTCAACTTGAAGTTTGCAATATGTGCATGATGCTAGCAGAGAAGTCATTAGAGAGGCTATGGAAGGTCGTGAAAGAGGTTGAAATGCCTGCTATTCCAGTACTGAGAGCAGTAGTGGAGGCAGACAGTCTTAAACCGACAAGCAAGGGAATTAATGGAATAACTCTTTTTTGTCATGTTGGTGTCATGAGGGGAACGGGGAGCTCTTCAGTCCTATTTGCAAATTGAATTTTGGGAGTAAGAAAAACTAGTGTCTATGTGCCTGTCCAATTAGCAGGTAGACACATATAGGTAGAGGATCCACAGAGGAAGAAGAGACCTTGTGCAAGGCAAAACTAGAGATGAAAGTAAAAAGATGAGAAGGAATGCTGAAAGGGGTGTCTTGTACCTAGACTCCTAGGGATCCAGCTAGGGCGGCAGCCGTCGGAGGTTTTAATGGGGACTGATGAGGTAACTGCATAGAGGGGGAAGTTCGATTTTCATGGTGTATGAGAAAATGTTGAGTGTCTACGAGCAACCTTTCACTGTTATTTTTGGGGCTGCGTATAAGTAAACAAGAAGAGGACTTTGGAGATAAAGAGTAAAGGAACATAGAGAAGTTGAAAGGTTACCTCGGGGAATTCCAGTGGGTCTTTGCCGAGAGATACATAAAAGAGCGGCCACAGGAATAGTAGTTTGTGTTGTGAGAGGTCTAAATATGGGGGGAGTAGAGTTGATATAAGGAGAAAGGTTTTTTAAGTAAGTGCAGAGGAGGGTGGCAGCTTGCTGATGTGAAATGTCTGGGGAGGTCTTGCTGGACCTGTCTAGAAAGTAAATGAGTTCTTCAGGAGGGTAAAGGTGAGGGCTGTTAAAGGAAGTTCAGAGGTGTAGGGAGACAGGAGATGTTGCCTAGTCTGCATGTAAGGCGGGGACAGCTGTGTAGGCACTGGAAGAAAGGGAAATGCAAAGCCAGTGGTTGTTCGCTAAGGAGGGATTAGAAACGGCTAGGAGAGAATGAGTAAGATTGATAGTGTGGTGGAGATAGCTGGGAGGTAGAGGGTGGCATAAGAATGGGAATGAGAATAAGAGTGAGTATAAACGTAAAGAATAGAACTTCATCAGGGTGAAACTATCGGAGGGTCCCCTGCCAGCAGATATCATCTATCCACTCTAAGAGGGAGTTAAGAGTTGCCAGTCCTGGGCGAGGGAAAATCCTCGAGCTTGATGTGTAGGGAAGGGAGGGGGCCTGAATAATCCCTGAGGAGTGGTAGAATAGCAGATGGAACACTGAGAAGTTATTTCCTTGAGGATAGATTTCCACAATGGAAAGGAAATGAGAAGTTCTAAGAGGCGGACTGTTGGCTTGTACTATAGCATAGCCTGCCTTTGCTGGTGTGTGGCGATTAGGCCTGGTGGAACTACTATCAATAAACCAAGTGTGTTCAGGGTGAAGAACAGAAAAGATGGAAATATGGGGAAATGGGGTGAATGTCAGGTGGATCAGAGAGATACAGTCATGGGGGTCAGGTGTGGTATCCGGAATACTGTGAGATACCAGATTGAAGTCCGGGCCAGGAACAATGGTAATTGTGGGAGACTCAACAAAGAGTGAGTACAGCTGAAGGAGCCGGGGAGCAGAAAGTATATGTGTCAGGTGTGAGGAAGAAAATAGATTTTGGAAGTTATGAGAACTGTAGAGTGAGTTGAGCACAGTTTGTGATTTTTAGGGCCTTTAAAAGTATTAAGGCAGCGGCAGCCACTGCACACAGACATGAAGGCTAGGCTAAAACAGTAAGGTCCAGTTGTTTGGACAGAAAGGCTGCAGGACGCGGTCCCAGCTCTTGTGTAAGAATTCTGACTTTACTAACCATGCCTAGGAAAGAAAGGAGTTGTTATTTTGTAGAAGGGATTGGGGTTTGGGAGATTAGCCAGACACGATCAGCAGGGAGAGCATGTGTGTTTTTATGAGAATTATGCCGAGATAGGTAACAGATGAGGAAGAAATCTGGGCTTGACTGAAGTAATGGGGGCTGTCTGTGAAGCCTTGCGGCAGTACAGCCCAGGTAATTTACTGAGCCTGGTGGGTGTCAGGGTCAGTCTAAGTGAAAGCAAAGAGAGGCTGGGATGAAGGGTGCAAAGGAATAGTAAAGAAAGCGTGTTTGAGATCTAGAACAGAATAATGGGTTGTGGAGAGAGGTATTGAGGATAGGAGAGTACATGGGTTTGGCACCACAGGGTAGATAGGCAAAACAATTTGGTTGATAAGGCACAGATCCTGAACTAACCTGTAAGCCTTGTCTGGTTTTAGGACAGGTATAATTGGGGGAATTGTAAGAGGAGTTTATAGGCTTTAAAAGGCCATGCTGTAGCAGGCAGTGATAACAGACTTTAATCCTTTTAAAGCGTGCTGTGGGATGGGATATTGGCATTGAGCGGGGTAAGAGTGATTAGGTTTTAATGGGATGGTAAGGGTTGCATGATCGGTCGCTAAGGAGGGAGTAGAGGGGTCTTATACTTGTGGGTTAAGGTGGGGAGATACAAGGGGAGGATGTGAAGAAGGCTTTGAACTGGGGGAAAAGGCGGCAATAAGGTGTGGCTAGAACCCAGGAATAGTCAGGGAAGCAGATAATTTAGTTAAAGTGTCTCGGCCTAATAAGGGAACTGGGCAGGTGGGGATAACTAAAAGGAGTGCTTAAAAGAGTATTGTCTAAGTTGGCACCAGAGTTGGGGAGTTTTAAGATGTTTAGAAGCCTGGCCGTCAATACCTACAACAGTTATAGAGGCAAGGGAAACAGGCCCTTGAAAAGAAGGTAATGTGGAGTGGGTAGCCTCCATATTGATTAAGAAGGGGATGGACTTACCTTCCACTGTGAGAGTCACCTGAAGCTCGGCGTCCCTGATGGTTTAGTGGGCTTCTGAGGCGATCGGGCAGTGTCAACCTTCAGCTGCTAAGCCAGGAAGATCTGGGAAGGAGTCAGAGAGCCTTGGGCCAGAGTTCCAGGGGCTCTGAGAGTGGCTGCCAGGTGAGTTGAACAGTCCGAATTTCAGTGGGGTCCCACACAGATGGGATGTGGCTTAGGAGGAATCCTGGGCTGCGGGCATTCCTTGGCCTGGTGGCCAGATTTCCGGCACTTGTAGCAAGCTCCTGGGGGAGAAGGTTCTGGAGGAACGCCTGGCCGCTGCGGTTCAGGCATTTGGAAGTTCTTGTGTGCTGGAGATGTGGCTGGGGTTTGTCTCACAGTGGAGGCAAGGAATTGCAACTTTTTTCTATTATTGTACACCTTGAAGGCGAGGTGAATTAAGTCCTGTGGTGGGGTTTGAGGGCCAGAATTTAATTTTTGGAGCTTTATTTAAAGTCGGGAGCGGATTGGGTAATAAAATGTATATTGAGAATAAGACGGCCTTTTGACCTTTTAGGGTCTAGGGCTGTAAAGCGTCTCAGAGTTGCTGCCAAATGAGCCATGAACTGGCCTGGGTTTTTCATATTTGATGAAAAAGAGCCTAAACGCTAACTGATTTGGGACAGGTCGGATAAAGAAAAAGGAGCATTAACCTTGACTATGCCTTTAGCTCCAGCCACCTTTTTAAGAGGAAATTGCTGGGCAGGTGGGGGAGGGCTAGTCACAGAACGAAACTGTAAGCCGGACCGGGTGTGAGGAAGGGAGGTGATAAAAAGATTATAGGGTGGAGGAGCGGAGCTAAGGAAGAATTGGGACCTAGCTCGTCCTGGCGAGGAGCAGCCTGGGGAGGAGGGGAGAGGTCAGATGGGTCTGTAGAAAAGGAAGATTAGAAAGACTCAGCGACGCTTGGGGTTGGGACTGAGGGGACAGGTGAGAGGGAAAGAAGGAGGATTTGGGACGAGTCGCATTGCGAACAGAGACTAGGTAGGGAACAATGTGTAAAAGAATGCCTGGATGTCAGGCACCTCAGACTGTTTGCCTATTTTACAACAAGAATTATTTAGATCTTGTAGGATGGAAAAATCGAAAGTGCCGTTTTCTGGCTCTTTGGAACCGCTGTCGAGTTTGTACTGGGGTCAGGTGGCATTGCAGAAGAAAATAAGGCATTTAGGTTTAGGTCAGGTGTGAGTTGAAGAGGTTTTAAGTTCTTGAGAACACAGGCTAAGGGAGAAGAGGGAGGAATGGAGGGTGGAAGGTTGCCCGTAGTGAAGGAGGCAAGCCCAGAAAAAAGAGAGAGTAGAGACACGGAGGGAAGGGGTTGGGGGGTTCTTGCCCTCCAGAAAAGCAGAAAAGGGGTAGAGACACGGAGAGAAGGGGTCGGGGGGTTCTTACCCCTTAGAAAAGCGGTACTTGCCACTAAGGGTGAAGGAGAAGGGGTTAGGGAGTTCTTGTCCCCCAGAAAAGCAGAGAAGGGATAGAGACACGGAGAGAAGGGGTTGGGGGATTCTTGACCCCTAGAAAAGTGGTACTTGCCGCTAAGGTTGAAGGACCAAGGCAGGCGTCCCCGCGTGGTCAGACACCTCTGAAACGTGGGTGAATAATCAGGCAGGCGTCCCCGCGTGATTAAACACCAAGGGAAGACTGTCTTCCTGAGTCCAGGACTGGCGCCGGAGTTTTGGGTCCACGGATAAAACGCGTCTCCTTCGTGTCTACCAGGAAAGGAAAGGAACTGAAATTCAGAGAAGGGAGAGATTGAAGTGTGGCACCAAGACTGAAAGGAGAAAGAGGTTGAGGGATAGAGAGGTTGGAGAAGAGAGTAAAAAGAGGCCGCTTACCGGATTTAAAATTGGTGAGATGTTCCTTGGGCTGCTTGGTCTGAGGACCCAAGGTTATAGGTGGATCTTTCTCATGGAGCAAAGAGCAGGAGGACAGGGGATTGATCTCCTAAGGGAGGTCCCCCGATCCGAGTCATGGCACCAAATTTCACTCACGTCCATGTGAAGAGACCACCAAACAGGCTTTGTGTGAGCAATAAAGCTTTTTAATCACCTGGGTGCAGGCGGGCTGAGTCCAAAAAGAGAGTCAGCGAAGGGAGATAAGAGTAGGGCCGTTTTATAAGATTTCAGTAGGTAAAGGAAAATTACAGTCAAAGAGGGGTTGTTCTCTGGCGGGCAGGAGTGGGGGTCACAAGGTGCTCAGTAGGGGAGCTTTTGAGCCAGGATGAGCTATGAGAAGGAATTTCACAAGATAATGTCATCACTTAGGGCAAGGCCCGGCCATTTTCACTTCTTTTGTGGTGGAATGTCATCAGTTAAGGCAAGGAACAGGCCATCTGGATGTATATGTGCAGGTCACAGGAGATATGATGGCTTAGCTTGGGCTCAGAGGCCTGACACCCCCCACCACCCAGAGGTAATAATTATCATAAATTTTAGGTATAATATTTCATTTAATTTTTATGCTTTTATATGTATATGCATAAATCCATAACAACATATAATGTTCTTACATGCTCTCAAAATTTATATACATTTAAAACATAAGGAGACTCTATGTGTCTTTATCAAACTTGCCTTTAAAATCTAATGTTATATTCATGAAAATTACTCATATTGAAAGATACCATTCTAGTCCATTTTCACTCCTGTAGTGTATTTCATAATTTATCTATTTTCTTGTTGATGTACTTTTGAATTGTTTCCAATCTGTTGCTCCTATAAGTAATGCTGTAAAGAACACTCTTACACATGTTTTCTTGTGCAAATGTGACAGAATTTCTCATGGAATTGCTAGGCCACAGGGCACGTGCATATTGAACTTTATTAGGTATTGCTGCATTGCTCTGCAGTCTGTACAATCCCCACCTGCAATACATGAAAGTTCTCATTGTATCCTTGCTAACATTTTATATTATCAGGTTTAAGTATTTATCATTCTGATAGTCGTGATATAATGTGTCACTTTGTTTAATCTGCCATTGTTGAAGTTCAATATCTTTTCAAGAGCTTACTGGCTATTTGGATTTCCTCTTCCTTCATCCATTTTCAATTGGATTGTTTTCTTATTGACCGGCCCGGGTTCTTTCTGTGTTCCACGTACCTATTAGTCCCACTTTGAGGCTTGTAGTTTCCGTCTGTTTATGGTGTCTTTTCATTCAGAAAATTTCTAATTTAGCCAGATTTTATTGTAAGCAATTGATGAATATATTTAATGAATTTTACTATTGTATTTCTTAAGAAATTCTAACAATACAAAGACAGTGTCCTGTATTAACTATTTTCTACATGTTTTACAGATTTTCTTTTCACGTTTAGGCCTTTAATTCACCTGAAATTGGTTTTTGTGGAGGGTGTGAAATAGGAATTTTATTTGATTCTTTTCATGTAGATAAATAATTGCTCTAGTATCATGTATTGAATAGCCTGTTTTTTCCTTGCTGACCTATATACTGTCTTTGCTTTCACATATGTTCTATATATATGTGTATATATATACATATATATACACATATATATATATAATATGTCTGTTTCTGGTTTTCCTGTTGTGATCCATTGGACTACTTATTTTTCCCTGTATTAATACAAACTGTCTGTATTATAAGTGGTATCTCGTAGATAGAAATGTCTTACTTTGTTCTCTTTTTGCAAAATAATCCTGGAAATTTTTGGCCTTTTGTTTTTTCATCAAAATTTTAAGTAAACTTATAAGAGTTCCATGAAAAAAACATTTTTTCCATGAAATGTTTTTATTTGAATCGCATTTGTTTATCATTTTATTAGAATTAAATTTCTATTTGATTCATCCCAGACTTTATTACAAAGTAGTTGCTCAGTAAATACTCATTAACTAAATGAAAGAAGGATAACAATTCTAAGTTTCAGGACAATGTGCCCACCATAAGCTTTATGCTTAGAACTGCAAACTAATTTTTAAATTAAGCAAAATAAAATTCAAAAATTAACTGCTGCAAACCCTTCATCATGTAATAAAATCAGAAGGTCTTAATTTTTTCTAAGGGTATTGAACTTAATCATTCATATATTTAAATATAACACATGTAAAGTCCCTAGCACATCTGTTATTATTGTTATACATGGTAACAATTCATGGCATGGTTGACTACATCCTAATTCCCTTTTGATATACCACTGTTCTATTTTAATAGCCAAGATCATTAAATGCCTAAGTGTGATTTTTTTAATAGGCTAGGGAAACAAAAATAACTTTTTATTGCTTTAAAAATACTATACTTTTTTAAAAAATGTGTTACTACCTTTTTAATCCATTGATTTGAAATGCTAGTAGCCTCTCATCAAACTATAGCTACTAGTCATGTATGGCTATTTGCTTGCTGAAGTTTAACAGTAGCAGACATAAATCTAAAAGTTACTCTTATGAAACATAAGATAATCTTTTAAATACCTAAAAAAATTAGTACAGATTTCTGCCTCTGTGCTTTTTCTATGAGGTAAATGGACTACCAGTGTGAGCTAATGTGACACGAAGGATTTTCTAAGGCAAGAAAGCAAATACTGACTAGTATCTTTATCTATATAAGCATATCCTAATTGAATGACATAATCCAGGGTTGGAAGTTGCCTTGGTAAGATTTATTACTATTTCCTTCCTCTCTCCCCATTTCACTTCCCCAATAATGTCTCTGTTCCTCATTATGAAAAATAAAGTTCACGTCTGAAAGGCAGTTTTCAAATCCACATGGGTATGCTTTACAGACTGAGATGCAGAAACTGACATGGTCTATTAAATTGATGGGATCATAAATATCCCATTCTTTCCCTGAACGTGCAGACAGAAGTGAAAGATAAAGGGATTCAGATAGTTCAGTGTGTTACAGTCACATTACAAGTGATGAGACAAACGTAAGTCAACCTCAAGCTCTTGCCAGGGGATGGTAAATCTAGTGAAGGGGGTTGGGGGCGGTGGGGGAAACAACCCTCACTTCAGCTTCTAACCTTATTTTACTTTCATTGACTGAAACTGCCCCAGATCTTGTGCCCAAAGGACATGTAGAGCTCCTAGACTCTGAAGCAAGCAGTTTGGGGTTGTAGTAAACTGGCAGAATATATCTCTGAAGTGAATATCACTCATGAAACTGTCTTGAACACTGGAAACAAATGTAATTAATAATTTGGGTTCTCTCCTGCCAGGCTTCAGCTTAGAAATAACTGAAAATTGCCAAATCCAGGGAGCAAGCTCATTCTTGGTGTCTTCATAGCCCAGAAATTAATTGCACACCCTTCTGCTCCACCAGGGTGAAGGGAAGAGTGTTTCTTCTTTGTGCTCATAAATTCTCATCATTTAGCTCCCATTTGTAAGCGAGAACATGTGGTATTTGGTTTTCTCTTCCTGTGTTAGTTTGCTGAGGATAATAGCCTGTAACTCCATCCATGTTCCCACAAAAGATGTAATCTCATTTTTTCATGGCTGCATAGTATTCCATGGTGTCTGTGTACCAAAATTTCTTTGTCCAATCTGTCATTAATAGGCATTTAGGTTGATTCCATGTCTTTGCTATTGTGAATAGTGCTACAGTGAATATTCACATGCATGTGACTTTATGGTAGAATGGTTTATATTCCTCTGGGTATACAACCAGTAATGGGATTGCTGGGTTGAATGGTAGTTCTGCTTTTAGCTCATTGAGTAATCATCATACTGCTTTCCACAATGGTTGAACTAATTAACGCTCCCATCAGCAGTGTATAAGGATTCCCTTTTCTCTGCAACCTCACCAGCATCTGTTATTTTTGACTTTTTAATAATAGCCATTCTGACTGGTGTGAGATGATATCTCATTGCGGTTTTGATTTGCATTGCTCTAATAATCACTGATATTGAGCTGCTTTTTCATATGCTTCTTGGCCACATGTATGTCTTCTTTTGAAAAGTGTCTGTTCATTTCCTCTGCCCACTTTAATGGGGTTGGTTATTTTCTCTTGTAAATTTGTTTAAGTTCCTTATAGATGCTGGATATTAGACCTTATACACCTGAATATTAGATGCATAGTTTGCAAATATTTTCTTTCATTCTGTAGGTTGTATGTTTACTCTGTTCACAGTTTCTTTTGCTGTGCAGAAGCTCTTAAGTTTAATTAGATCCCAATTGTCAATTTTTGCTTTTGTTGCAATTGCTTTTGGTGTCTTTGTCATGAAATCTTTGCCTGTTCCTATGTCCAGGATGGTATTGTCGAGGTTGTCTTCCAGGGTTTTTATAGTTTGGGGATTTACATTTAAGTCTTTAATACATCTTGAGTTGATTTTTGTATATGGTGTAAGGAAGGGGTCCAGCTTCTTCTGCATATGGCTAGCCAGTTTTATCAGCATCATTTATTGAATAGTGAGTCTTTTCCCATTGCTTGTTTTTGTCAGCTTTGTCAAAGATCAGGTGGTCATAGGTGTGCAGCCTTATTTCTGGGCTCTCTATTCTGTTCCATTAATCTATCTGCCTGTTTTTGTACCAGTACCATGCTGTTTTGGTGACTGCAGCCCTGTAGTATAGTTTGAAATTAGGTAATGTGATGCCTCCAGCTTTGTTCTTTTTGCTTAGGATTGCCTTGGCTATCTGGGCTCTTTTCTTTATTCCTCTCTTCTTTTGTGATTTGATTTTTTTTTTTTTTTTTTTTTTTGGCAGTGGTATACTTTGACTTCTTTATCATTTCCTTTTGGGTATCTGCTACAGGTTTTTTTCTTTGTGGTTATAATGAGACTTACATAAATTATAACAGGCTATTTTAGGCTATAAGCAACTTAACATACAAAAACTCTGTATTTTAAGTTCTCCTTCCCTTACATATTACTGATATTACAAATTACATCTTTCTATATTGTGTATTCCTTGACACATTATTGTAGCTATAGTTATTTTTAATAATTTTTTCTTTTTAACTTTATGCTAGAGTTAAATGTGATTTTCACACAATTGTTACAGTATTAGAGTATTGTGAATTTGACTATATCTCACCTTTCCAATGAGTTTTGTACTGTTACATGTTGTTAGCATTTTTCATTACAACGTGAATTTATGAAGCATTTCTTGTAAGGCAGATCTAGTGGTGATAACTCCTTCAACTTTTGTTTTTCTGGGACAGTCTCTATCTCTACTTCATTTCTGAAGGACAGTTTTGCTGAGTATTGTATTATTGGTTGCCAGGATATTTTCTTTCAGTACTTGATTATCCTACTATCTCCTGGCATGCAAGATTTCTTCTGAGATATCTACCTATAGTTTTGTAGTGGTTCTGTTGTAAGTGATGAGTTGCTTTTCTCTTACTGCTTTCAAAATTCTTTATTTTTTTAAGAATTGTATAACAATGTGTTTCAATCAAGATCTCATTATGTTTAATCTATTGGGATTCATTGAGCTTCTTGGATACAGATGTTCATTTCCTTCTCTAGATTTGAAAATGCTTCTGTCATTGTTTCTTCACATAAGCTTTCTGCTTCTTTCTCTTTCTCTTCTCCTTTTGGTACTGCAAAAAAGGCATATATTCATTTGTTTGATGGTGTCCCAAGTTGCATAGGCTTTCTTCCCTTTTTTTCTTTTTATTCTTCTGCCTGGCTAATTTTTAAAAACACATCTTTATGTGCCTTGATTCTTCTGTCTGATGAAGTCTGCTGCTGAAGGTCTCTATGGAATTTTTCAGTACAATCATTATGTTCTTCAGCTCCAAATTTCTATTTGGTTTTTGTTTTGTTTTTCTTTATTGAACTTGTCATTGTGTTTATGTATTGTTTTTCTGATATCGTTTAGTTGTCTGTGTTCTCTTGTAGCTTACTAAACTTCTTTAAGATAATTATTTTGAAGTCTTTGTCAGGAAGTTTATAGGTCTTCGTTTCTGAGAGTCAGTTATTGGTACTTTATTTTTTTCCTTTGGTGGTTTCATGTTTCCCTGATTATTTGTGATCCTTGTGGATCTGCAGTAGTGTCTGCATTTGAATAAGTGGGCACCTTTTCCAGTCTTTATAGACTGACATCTCCAGTGAAAGGCCTTCACCAGTCAGCTTGTCCAGAGACTCTGAGCAGAGTAGCCAGCAGGGTCTGCAGGCAGGCTTGCTGTGAAAGTCTCCAAGTCAGCTGGCATAGTGCCTGGGTCAGTGGGTAGGTGATCCCAATGCCTGGGTCCACAGGGACTGGCCTGGTACCTGGATCCATAGAGCTGAGGACCCTAGGGGCCAGCCTGGAAGCTGTCTGTGAGGTCAGCCTGGTGATGGGGCAGGTCTGGAGGCTAGGTCCACTGGTGACAACCTGGATCCCTGAACCATGAGGGCTGGCCTGGAGCCTGGGGCTACAGGGGGTAAACTGTCTCTGGAGGAAACCCAGAGCCTGAGTTCACTGGGGTGGGACTGATGCTGGTGTCCACAGTGGTGGGCCAGCCTGGTACTAGGTGGACCTGGAGCCTGTGGCCATAAGAGTTGTCCTGGTGCTGAGGTAGGCCTAGAAGCTAGGTCTTCAGGGACTGGTCTAGAGCCTATGGCTACAGGAGCCAGCCTGATGTTGGGGTGGACCTGGAACCTGAGGCCATGATGGCTGGCCTGGCACTGTAGTGGGCTTGGAAGCTGGGTCCATGGGGGCTAGCCTTGGTCAGAGTGAGCCTTGTAACACACAATGTTAGATTATATCACCCCTTGCTTAGAACTCTCTAATAACTTCCCATCTCTCCCTTTCTCTCCCTTTCTCTCTCTCTCTCTCTCTCTTTCTCTTTCACACACACACACACACAAATAACAATCCCAAGTCCTTCCCTCAGTCTGCTTACCTGGCCCACAGGATCTAGCCCTTTGACCTTTCCTTTGTTCACTGTGTCCAGTTGCACTTATCTTCTTCCTGTAACTTGAACATTATCCACCCTTGGTATGTTTGTACAGTTTCTTCTTTTTCTATGGAATTTTCTACTTCCAGAAATCTATAATTCATTCCCTTACTTTATTCTAGTTTGAATGCAAATATCACCTTCTCATGGAGGCCTTTCTGAACTTCCCTGTCTAAAATAGGACCATGTACCCCATCATCCTCTATCCTCTGATACTGATCCTGTACTTGACCACTTTGTCCAATGACAGGATTCTGGATTTGCACAGAGTCATAAAACAACCTCACAGGAACATGTGCTGCTGTGCATGGAATCTGAAGCCCTTTCTTTGGACCTTACCCTAGTCTACCCTCAGAGCCATAAACTGGGTTTCATGGCCTTCAGAAGACCCTTCTCTGAAATCTATCCAGCAAAGCAGGATGCTAGGGGCATGGCCAGTTGTGAGAGCCTGGATAGCACACAAGCGACCAAGGACACATATCTTTTGCAATTTGTCTATTTCACCCTCACAGAAACTTTGCCAGGAGGCCTAACAGAGAACACCTTGAAAATGCTTACTTTAGTATACTGTTAAACAATCTCAGAAAAAAAAAATTAAAATACATTTATCTTTTTGAGCCAAATTTCCCCATGGAAAATAGCAAGATGATTTTCTCTTTATAGCTCTTTATAGCTGCAGAGAAATCCCTATGGCAAGTGAGTCTCAATGATGGCTGTTTGCCATTGAGTCAGCTAGAATATCTATAAGCACAGTGAATTCTGCAGTATGCCACACTTATTCCCCTGAAGAATAGATGCACTTATTCCTCTAGTGCTAGGGGATGTCTATCTAGTTCACTGCTGTATCCACAGTGGCTGGGACAGTACTAGACACATGGTAGGTGTTCAGTAAATGCACTGGATGAAAAATGAATATCCTGTTCATTCATTAGTCTTCTCTACACAATACCAGAAGCTATATGAGACAGCTATTGATGCACAAGTACAAAAGCTCTTCGAGGAACTGGCCAGGGCCCAAACTACAAGATCTGAGGAAAGGCTTGTTTCTACTGTTTGTGTTTATAATGCTGGCTGTGAGGGTTGGTAGAGATTGTGGGGTGTATAATTTGTGAATAGAAAATAGCATGGGTGGGGTGAGAGTTTCTATTTGATGCCACACACAGTTGAAATGCAGCGTCTCCCCGAAATAGTGAAACTGACTTCCCTGGTACAGTTCACATAAAAAGAATGGAACTTACATACCTCAGCCTTTCTATCTGGGACTTAGAGTACAGCAGTCTTTGGAGCACTACAGAAAGTTCTGGCTGACATTGACTGCTGCAAGCCTAATAGAAGAATGGCTAAAAGCAAATGGCTGTGTCTGTTCTTGATGTATACATTGGAAACCCTGCAGGAGTAGAGGGTGTATGCTCTTGTATTGGCTCGTCTTCTCACCAGTACTACCACACTTGCAGGACCTTATGATAGTTGCAGGGTGCTTAAACCTGCATGCATCCTCCCAGTTCATATCCCAGGCAGTCTCTGCTGGAGAACCACCACATCATCAGAAGATGTTAAAGTCAGAAGGGACTTTAGGGCTCATCCCCTGCAGTTGTGTTTATGCTGGTTCCCTTGCTTTAGCTAGAAGAGCTCTGCTTTTCATCTGTTTTCTTCATTTCACTTGAGAAAGGCAATATATTTCTGAATAAATTACAAACCAGGAAACATACAAGCTCTTTATATTAGAGTCCAGGAAACCCAAGTCCAAAGATGTGTTGAGACGGACTTAAGTCCCAAGGCAGTTAGTGGCAGAATCAAACTATGACTATGGGTATTGTGTCATCAAGCCTAGCTCTGTTTCTCCACTCCATGCATTACTGCCTGTGCCAATCATTTGATGTGGCCATCTTTATTACTTAACTTTCTCCATATGTTAATGTTGTTCTACCCACCAGTTTTTACAGGCCTTAAAGAGCAGAGCATTTCACACCTGTCTTTATACAAACCCCAACCCCACAGAGCCACAGCCTAGGGATTTACACCTCCTAGGTATTCAGGTGCTTTAGTGCTTGAGTGGTCACAGCTGACTGCTCCTGGCTGCCTACAGCCTGAGAAGCGGAGCCAGCTCTACCCTCTTTTCTTGGCACAGCTCTTACCTCCTTGAGTTCCAGAAATAAGCAGAACTGTGGGGACAGTGGAAGAAGAAGAGTGTCTTTTTGTCCAGTCCCATCACTCCTCTGCCCTCTGGTAGGCCACACTCCTCTAGGGTATTTTATCTGGTTCCTCAGAGCAGCACTACTGAAGCCATTCTGCCTGTGCAGGGTTGGGGATAAGTAAAGATGTGATTGCTCCCAAACCAGCTTGGCCCAGTACACATTGTGCTCTTTGGTCCCTGCCTTCCCTCTACCACTTTCCCTTTTTTGGTGGGTGTGAGGAGGATTGTTGGTGGTGAAATACAGGAAGAAGGGATGTGTTAGTTAACCATTGCTGCGTTAAAAAATGAATGCTTTTTTTCATATGTTTGTTGGCTGCATAAATGTCTTCTTTTGAAAAGTGTTCATATCCTTCACCCACTTTTTGATGGGGTTGTTTTTTTCTTGCAAATTTGTTTAAGTTCCTTGTAGATTCTGGATATTAGCCCTTTGTCAGATGGATAGATTGCAAAAATTTTTTCCTGTTCTGTAGGTTGCCTGTTCACTCTGATGATAGTTTCCTTTGTTGTGCAGAAGCTCTTTAAATTAATTAGATCCCATTTGTCAATTTTGGCTTTTGTTGCCATTGCTTTTGATGTTTTATGAAGTCTTTGCCCATGCCTTGTCATCATCACTGGTCATTAGAGAAATGCAAATCAAAACCACAGTGAGATACCATCTCATGTCAGTTAGAATGGCAGTCATTAAAAAGTCAGGAAACAACAGATGCTGGAGAGGATGTGGAGAAATAGGAATGCTTTTACACTGTTTGTGGGAGTGTAAATTAGTTCACATAGGAACAGAGAACCAAACACCGCATGTTCTCACTCATAAGTGGGAGTTGAACAATGAGAACACATGGACACTGGGAGGGGAACATCACACACCGGGGCCTGTTGAGAGGTGGGGGGCACCGGGAGGGATAGCATTAGGAGAAATACCTAATGTAGGTGACGGGTTGATGGGTGCAGCAAACCACCGTGGCACATGTATACCTATGTAACAAACCTGCACGTTCCGCACATGTATCCTAGAACTTAAAGAGTAATAAAAAATAAATAAATAAATAATGCAAACTTAGCAGCTTAAAACAACATGCATTTATTATTTCACAGTTTCCATGGATCAGGAGTCTGGGCAAAACTTATCTGACTCCTCTGCTTAGGGTCTCACAAGACTATGTTCAAGAGGCTGCAGTCTTATCTGAGACTCGGGGTCCTCTTGCAAGTCCATGTGGATTCTGGCAAAATTTATTTCTGTACATCTGTAAAATTAATAATGGCTTACTTCTTTAGGGCTGACAGAAGAGGGAGTCTGCTATCCAGAATCTCTAAGCTCAGGGAAGGAATAAGCCCCCTTTTAAAGGACTACTTGATTAGGGGAGATTAGAACAGAAGTTCTACAGAGGTTCTGAGGTTCTGCGGATTAGAACCTTAACTTAATTTCACTTGCAAAATCCCTTCACTTATAACACAGTATAATCATGGCAGTGATATCCCATCACCTTGGTCACATTCTATTAGCAAGTCACAGGTCCTGCCCACACTCAAGAGGAGATTGTTTCACAAAGGCATGAATACACGGAGTCAGAGGTTGCAGGGGTTATTTTAGGTTGCTATTATCACAAGGGGATTATTAGAAGGATAAGTAACTTACTCATGGTTACCTCATGGCAGAATCAGTTTTCCAGTCAAGAGTGCCTGAAGTTAGGGCTTCTGTTCTTAACCTCTACTGCCTAAATCATATATTTGAAAAACAAACCAACTGTTGTGATGTTCAATGGCAAGCAACCTGTACAGGCACATTTATCTAACTAGCTTGGTATAACCTTAGGTAGCTCCTTCATGCTGCGTCTCATTCCTTCCCCCTGTAACACCACCTGATTTTTGTGAGGATTGGTGAAAAAGCACAAAGCATTGCAAATAGCAGGTACCTATAAATGCTATTAAACTGAAATGAAAGGTAGCAGTTTTGAGTAGAGGAAGTTGTCCAATTTAACCTCTTCCTCCTTCTGCCAAGGTTGGTCTAGAATGCTATGAGTATTGGTGTGATTGGAGGAAGGAAGAGGATGACTGAAAGTGAAAATTAATGTCTCTGAGACCTCACCTCCCTTCTTCCTCTCTGCTGAAGGCCAAGGGGGTACACTGGAGAAATTCTGAGCAGCACAGTTTTAGGATCACATTTCTTTTTCAGGAAACTTTCTGTGAGAGTGGAATGAAAATGAGTTGAAGGATGGTAAGAAAAGAATACCAAATATAGAAAGCTCTTGCAAAATTGTGAGTGAGAGATAATTGTTACCTGAATCAAGACATGAGAAGAGGGCTGGAGAGGAAGAGCCTCTGCAGGTATTTAGGATACAGAACCTATAGAATTTTGTAGTCATTTATGTGTGAGGAATAAAATAAATGAGCCTAAAAAGAGGTGTAAAATAATCATTAAAGAGGTTGGAATAAAACCAGCAAGCTTCCTAAAAAAGATGCGATGCATCATTTCCATCATCTCCTCCTTACATGGGATATAGCCTTTTGCTGAGTCAGGGAAAAGAGAGGGCTTATCAGAGTGTGTGGTAGCATGTAAGGCGATCAGCATCATATCTACGACTGGGTCCTAAGGAGCCATTGCTTTTAGCCCCGAACCCTGGGACTAGCCGTAAGTATCACTTGGAAACTTGTTAGCATTTGTTTCATCCTAGATCTACTGAATTAGAAGGTAGGGATGGGGCTTAGTAGTCTGTATTTTAACAAGCTTTCTTAGTGATTTTCATTCAGAATAAAATTTGAGGATTGCTGTAGAGAATTCATTTTGGTTCTGAAAATAGATCCACTCACAAAATCCCTGGGCAGTTAGGCAAAATGAATATATACACAGGGTCTTCCACAGTGGGCCATTATTCAAGCTGAAGTACAACGGGCTGGACATGTAGGAACTCAGTGAGGGTAAGGTTCACTTTTCTCCCACACCTGAAGACGCCAAATGATAGCTTCCAAATTCTCAAAGAAGATGTCTCTGATTCATATTTTGTTTGTTATTGAGTATTGCTCATAATAAAACATTTTCAAAAGGAAAGAAAAATGAAGGATAGGAGATGGGGGAGGAAAAGGCCATATTATTTGGTTTTGCCCTTGAGAATTCCAGGCCCTGACTCCTCACCTTGCATTTTCAGTTACCACCTTCACAGCTTGCTCAAAGGCCTGTACCCAGAATCCTCTGGCGGTTTAGAATCTATAGAGCAGAGGTGTGGATGGAAGGGGGTGCCCATAAGGACCCCCTAACTCTTTCTGTCACACTTGGTCACTCAGATAAGGAATCTAAGACCAGTGCAGACATTCACCGTTCCCTGATCACTGTAGCAAGAGGAAGGACAAGGCCTTGGGTGAGGCCTGTGTCTGAGGCCTGATTCAAATTACTTTCAGAAGTGGTCTCAGGATAAGTTCCAGTGTGCACCTCTATCTCTCTGAACCTCAGCTACCTTATTTTCAAAATGGAAGAGTTAATGGTATACCCAATATTTTTATTTTTACCTGTTCGTTCATGTCCCACAATTCCTAACCCTAGAGGTGATATCAGTATAGCTCTGGAGGCAAGGGAGAGTGCTACTCACTGTATTTATTATTTGAGGGAAAGGTCTTTAAGATTTTCAGTATTGGGTTCACTTTAAAGCAAGACAAAACCAGCCAAACTCATAACTCTGAGAAGTTCTGTGAATATTTTTGTCCGTATGTATATGAAGCTAGTATTTTTGTGTGGAGAGTATTAAATTTACATTGACAGAGAGATTTGAAGTAAGCAGAAGAAGGCAGTTTCTCTGACCTTAGAAATTTTTCTTGAGGAAGGTTTTGTGATCTTTCAGATGTCTCTGAGGCACAGAGAAAGAGCTCTTTCTGAAGGAACGACTCAGTCCAACCATTCTTTCATCTTCAAATTAGAGGGCATTAAATAAGTTGAATTTTTTTTTCAAATTTTTGAACCCAGAGATTCCACAGTTTTGTTTTCCTTCTGCACAAAATTAATTCCTTGACTTTTAGTCTGTTTCCTTCATCCTTCCTTTTTTCATTTGAAAAAATATGTTTTGAGCAAGACTCAAAGGCAAACAGAATGTGAGCCAGAGGCATTTTGTTTCTCTAAAATATTTGGAAAGTTTCATTTGACAACTTCAGGTGGAGTAGAAAGGCGAGACTTTTCCTCACTGTACTCCTAAATATCCAGCCAACTGTACTTCAGTTTGAGTCCTGCCCATTGCAGAGAGCTATACATCTGTTTTGTCTGACTTCCCAGAGGTTATATAAGGGTGCATTTTCAGAAACAAACACAATAACAAAAATTAATTCACACAAAATTTTTTGAAAAAAAACCATAAATTGTTTTCCTGATTTCAAATAATTATGGTACCCTTTTATCACAACGTGAACCAAAATGTTCATTCTCTCACCGAAATGCACTTCCTTGTTTATTCCCTTACCCAAGACATAATTTTGTCTCGAACATAATCCTCCTCTGCAATTTATTTTAGTAACTGAAAGCAATTTTCAGATTTATTTTGAAAGTCAAATGATTCCTCATAACAATCCTACTAATTATATTTGTGGAGGATTTGGAATAATTGTTTTTCTATCAGAAAGTAAAGGCAAAGAAGGGTGAGGTGATGGATTAAGACTACACAGGGAATCCCTGTTTATGCTAGATGAGAATTGAGTTCATTCAGTAAATATTTAGTAATGTTCCCATTACTAATCTAATTCTTTATATACTGGAATATAGTTCTTGTGTTTTGCCTTACACTCCGCGTGCCTTTTAAAGGGAGAATTTTATCCCAATATTTTCCTGATTCTCCCAACATGCATCCCAAACTCATAGAATCACACCATCAGGAGGGAACCTTATACTACTTTGTATCCAAAGGCAAAGAAGGAAGAAAAGCAAAGGAAAGTAGAAAAGCTAACAGGAGTCTAGAAAAAGCATACTAGAATGATTTTTATTCTTCAGCTATAATAGAGGAAAACGAAAGGTTTCTCAAAATAGAACTAACATTTTCCCTTGCTTCCGATTAAGCAATGACTCTTACACAAGACTTTCTGTGTAATTTCTCTTTATGTAAGTCCTGATTCACAAAACCCTTGGCATTAAAAACTGAGTAACTTCAGAAGCTCAAGACCTTATTATAACTGAAATATCTATTGTAAAGATGGTAAAATGCTCTCCTATTTAAAGTAAGAGGATAAAGGAGTGTTACAGCTAGAAGAGACTCTAGAGATCATCTACTTCAGGGAGCCAGAGAGGTTTTATTTCATACTGTTTAATACAGGTTTTATTACTATTAGGTATGATAAGGCCAACAGATTAGGAGATGACTTCCATTGGAAAGATAGTTATATTCACAGATCCCAAGAGAAGGGGGCATGCCACAAGCACACATGGGGAAGCACCAGGGCCAGTTAGGAGACAGACGGAGAGTGGAGAACTGTAGGAAAGAACATTATTATTTTTGTTTCTGTGGGAAGGAACAAGTGACATAGTGGAAACAGATTTAGGATTAGCTAGTTTGAATAATTTCAGCAGATTCTGGGGCATAGGTACTATCCTTGCTTGTTTGGTACCTGGCCTTGGAGTGCTTAGAGCGAGTGGATAGAGGCTCAGAATATGAGAGCTCTAATAAAGGAAGTGCTTGGGGTGTGGGCTCTTGATTGGTTGGTTTGCATTTGAATTGATTCGTTTGGTTGCCAGTGTGCTCCTGGGCAATTTCTTTACTGTCTCTAGGAATTGATTAACCCTGGGAAGGCGAGTCTCTCCAGAGTCATTAAGGCAGTAGTCTAACATTTCTGAATTTCCAAGGTTGGGCATTCCAAGGATTTTAACAGGAGATTTCCCTTAGCTTATATGGATGTGACATGACAAACTCGCAGCTCTCTAGGCTCATTGTTTCTCTTTCTTTTTTCTTTTTTTTTTGGACGGAATCTCACTGTGTCGCCCAGGCTGGAGTGCAGTGGCGCCATCTGGGCTCACAGCAAGCTCCGCCTCCCGGGTTCACGCCATTCTCCTGCCTCAGCCTCCCGAGTAGCTGGGTCTACAGGCGCCTGCCACCACGCCCGGCTAATTTTTTGTATTTGTAGTAGAGACGGGGTTTCACCGTGTTAGCCAGGATGGTCTCAATCTCCTGACATCATGATCCACCCGCCTCGGCCTCCCGAAGTGCTGGGATTACAGGCGTGAGCCAACGTGCCCGGCTGTTTCTCCCTCTTGAACTCTCCAACAAAACTGGGAGTTCAAAGGAAATTGCCCAAGTACTCACGATTCCTAGAATAGAGCAGAAATTATTTAGACACATGGCTGACTCTGACTGTCTCCTCAGTGCAATTGCTGGACACTAAAAAGCCCACACAAATCACAGACCAGAAGCAAAGGCAAACTTGTGAAGTAGATATAATTTCCCTTTTATGTGTTTAAATTTCCCCTAAAAACTGTCTACTCTCCTTACACGTATTTTCTGGAGCCATAGTACATGCATTCTCCCAGTTGGATGCCAGAAGCTCCCAAATTTAGCACTTTTCCCTGGCCTTCCAATTTTCGGATGTCATTATCCACTTCACATCTTAATCACTAAACCTGCTCAAATTTCAAACTAAAATACTATGGTGGGGTGTGGGTGTGTAGGCTACAATGTTACTGAAAGAGAACCTAGCATTCTCACAAAACAGTCCATTAGGTTACATCTGTCTATAATTAGCTGGATAATACCTTGGGTCCAAAAGGTGGAATACAGTTTAGAGAAATGTCAATGGATTAGGAATAGGAGAGTACAGAATTCTAAGTTCTGTCCATGACCATTTGCGGTAGGTTCCAGAGAGAAGGGCTGTGATTACTTCCTTAGGAGAAGAAAATCTTGCAAAATAAAAGTGAGAAGGTGTTAGGGAAAACGCTGTCTGTTCTGTTTAAGAATGGTTCTGACTTTATAACATTTTTTTCCTGAGAAAACATGCGCAGGCAAAAATAGTGAGCTACACACACCCAAGAGAATTGAATAGATGATATGCTTTGCACAATGCAAGTTGCAAATGCCAAAGTTCATTCTTCTGCTGTAATATTCATCAATAGTTAAGAATGCCCTGGGTAAGTTATTTGCCTGCCTAAAAAAACAGCATCCTGTTTTTTATAAACATGATTAGGGGTGAAAATAATTGCTTTTGTCATTTTGTCTCATTTTTATAAGATAGTTGATTCTGTTTGAGGCTAGCTTATGAATTTGGGTTTGTTCTGATTTATAAGCGACCTCTGGATGAATCTACAGTTGTTCCTGGAATTTATACCACAGGGATTCCCTTTCTTTCCTCCGTACTTAATTACCAAACATATCACACATAAATGTGATGGGAGGGCAGACAAACATTTAAATTACTTTCAAAAGGAAGCTTATGTTGGAAAATATTTGAGCTACATCCATCTTGTGGGTTTTTAAAAATCGAATTCAAGCATTTTTTTTATAATTTAGCCATCCTGATAAATTAATACTCAAAATCACTTAAGCTTATTGTTGTCCAGAGTACTGGTGGTAACACAACAAATAGTCATTTAAATGTTGCCTCTCACTTCAATATTTGGTAACCCAACCACACTCTTTAATGAAATGCTTCATGTGAAAGGTCACCCTTGAAATCCCAGTGCCTGAGAGGGGAAAATTTCTTACCATGCTGAAATGTTAGTTTCTAGGATCTAGTATGGCAAGTCTGCGCCCTTTCTATTCATGTAATACTTTAGAGATAGGAAATGAAGCAAAGAAGCTGCTTCCAGGAGCTATGGATGTTTGTCCCCTTGGTAACCTGAATGACAAATGTGGGCAGGATGGCAATGAGAAAGTGATAAGCCTACCAGAATATCAGCAGATGTCCTTTTGGATGCATCATCTGCATTGTACTAAAAACACATGGAAGCTGTTTTCCACAGAGGCAGAGCTCTGCTCTAAGCTTGGCGCCAGATCAGTTCATACTAGGTAATTATTGTAGAATGTTTTCTCAATACCACTGTTATTGTGCCACTTTCTTGCTAAAAACTATCCCATGGTGTGGTAAATGGACCCTAAAAGATGTCCATGTTCCAATACCCAGAACCTGTGAATATGTTACCCTACATGGAAAAGGGCCTTTGTTGATGTGATTAAGGTAAAGGACCTTGAGTTGGGAAGATTAGGGCCTATTACCCAGGTGGACCCAATATAATCACATGTTCTCCAAAGCAGGGAGCCTTTTCTAGACGTGGAGATAGAAACAGAAAGGGAGTGCGAGGAGGGAGAGAAAAGGTGATAATGGAAGAAGGGTCAGAGAGGTGAAGTGGAAGAAGAGATTTTGAGCATGAGAGGCACTCTCACTGCTTGATTCACTACTGATTGACTCAGAGAACTCCAAATCTACCATGACTGTTCTTACTACTATGCCCTTCTCATACTGTTCCTTCTCTGGTTCCTTCCTCTAAATCTTAGCAGTCTGTGGTCTCATCCCACTCTGGAGCAAAGCCAATTCTAACCCATACTGTTTCTTCTACTTTTGCACTCCCATACCATTTACTTTACTATGTTGCACACATAGCACAAAGATCTTCAAATTTATTGTTCTAAGGATTTGTTTATACTCTTAAAAATTATTGAGGACCCCAAAGATCTTTTGCTAGTATAAGTTATAGCTATACTGCTTACTGTAGTAGAAATTAAAAACAAAAGTATTTTTAATAATAATGTATTAATTTATTTTAAAATAACCCCATTTCATGTTAACTTAAAAAAATTTTAATAAAGATAGTTATTATATTTTCCAAAACAAGAAAAGATAATGAGAAGTGTTGTGTTGTGTTATATTTTTGCAAATCTCTTTTATGTCTGGCTTAATAGAAGACAGCTGGAATTTCAGTCTATGTTCCTTCTATTGTTATATATTGTTTTGATTAAAGTATTTGAAGAAAATCTGGCCTCAAACAATTTGCAGTTGTAACAGGTAAATTATTTTAAAAGCTTTCTGGATAACTCTCTATATATTTTTTGATCAATAAGTGCTAGTTTATTAAAGGTAATACTCTGTTACTTTAAAATCCAGTCACTTCCCCTGCATTTTGAAGGAAATTTTTAACCCATATATGATTTTGTAGTATGCCTGATTGTTCATTTGGAAAATATTGGTTTATTGAGTTGTACAAATCTTATAAGTATTGACACAATTTATTAGGACATATAAAAAAAAATCAGGCTTGTTAAAATCAACACCAGTATTATCAGATAAGTATTTACGTGTTAAGAGGGCGTCAAGTCACAGTGGTGGACATAAGATTTCAAAAGTTCTAATTTTCACTTGAAAGCTTAAATTTGATTGCTGTCAACAAATATTGTCAGTCATATTTTTTTTATGGGGCAGGCTCATTTCATTCATTTTTAAAAGATGCTGTCAAAAACCCAAGCCTGAACACCCAAACTGACTCAGTGTGTCAATCATTATTTTATGAAAAAAGTGGCTACTTCAACTTGTAACTCAAATCGCAGTGAGGAAAGGCATTGACATATGATGTCTTCGCTTCTGACTTCCAGCAGGACACAGATTTCCATTAAAGTGAGCATCAAAGTTCCAAAGGGACTGTCTAGCATTCTTTGGATTAGAAAAATTATATCCACATGCATGCAACAGCCCCAGAAGTGGATGATATTGCCTTAGAGACCCTGCTTGGCACAAGATAGCAGGGAGGCAGAGCTGAAGAACAAAATCACACTGACCTTGAAAGTTTTTCTCTCTCTTACCTCCTAAGTGATGGATATTAGGAAGTGAGGGCAGGCAAAGGAGGAAGGGAATTTTATAGTGTATATGTTTTATAAAACGATAACATAATTTTGATTTAGAAAAGGGGCACAGTAATAGCTATGTTACAGGATTTTTTTGAGAATTAAATGATATGTATTAGGAGCTTAGAATAATGTTTGGTTTGTAGTAAGGACTCAATAAAGATTGTTATTCTTACTATCACTAGAAAGAAAGTAGAAAGAGGAAAGGGAGGAGGAAGTCCATTTGTAGCCAAATTGATCTGATCCTATGCAGCATTGGACTATTTAGAGTGTAGCGATTTATCCATGGTGAATCTGGGATTTGGGGTGGTTTTCATTATGACCACTGGAGATGGCCACGAGTCCATCATTTGATGTTAACTCTGTGTAGAATGATTTTCTTGATAAGGAGAGTGATCGTGGCATAGTCACTACTATGAAAAAGGCTTAGTCCTTCTATTTAATTAATAAAGTCTCCATCTATTTGGTATATTTCCTTCAAAGAAGGAATCTAATTGCTTTCTTGTGGATACTATCAACCAATCTATTGACGAATAGTGTCTTTAGAGGCAGGAGATAAGTCACCACCACATCTCTAAAGTTACATACACACACACACACACACACACACACAAATCCTGATGAATAGAGGGCGTAGTTGAGCTTCACCAGGGGAGAAGGAACTGTTCGAAAGAAAATTCATGGTTAATAGGATTTTAATATTTTCTTCATCTAAGAAAGGATGTATGTAGATTAAGAAAATATTTCATCTTTTTATGATTATTGGATTATAAAAGAGCTGTCAGCAAAATGCTTGAAAAAATGTTCTTCCTGATTTTGTTTATGGTTTTACAAAGACTAATCATATTGACTAGGCTAGCTTTACCGTTGGTGGTCATTTTTTCCTATCTAGCAGTGTTATAATTGGATACATGAGAGTGATTCATATGATCCTGCTTATATGACAGCAAAAGCAGAAAAATAGTACATGAATACATGTGGTATAACTTGGCTAGAGAAATGTATAAATATGGATATAAAATTACAATGGGAGATGAAATTTCCAGTGAGTAAACAATTCTGCATAATATGTACAAGGCCAAGAATGCCATACCCTGCTGCATAGATACCTCAGGGGAAGCAGAAATAGACAAATGGACTTGGACGCTTGGTTAGATCTCATTTCAGAAATGTAACAGATCTCAAAGAACATGGGCATTGGTATCAAATAAACCTAATTCTAAAACCTAGCACTGCCTCTTTATTTTATTAAGTTTTAACAAATTAGGCACTTAAAATCTATTAAAGTGATAGTTTTTCTCATTTATAAAATAAACAGTAACAATATGACCTACTATATGATTGTTGTGAAAACTGATGTAATAACATATGTGACAAACTTAGCATGATGCATAGTAGGATAAGTTCTCAATAAATGGCAGTTAGATATGGCCAATTAAGAAAAACACAATGTCAGCAAGATAACTGACTAAACAAACCTAACACTTGTCCACCCCACCCCCCAACTGCCCACACACACACACAGGAACACAACAACAAACACCTACATTTCAAGGAGAGTATCTGAAGGTGGGCAGTCAAGTACAACAGAGGAGGGGCAGAGAACCTGTGGAGCATAGAGACTCAGGATGGCCACATAAAGATAAGAATGAAATGCCCTGACTTTACCACCCTATCTCCCCAGTCAGGATCAGCCTGGAACAGGAGGGATTCTCTCTGCAGAGAAAAGGTAAGCAGGAGGCCCCCAGCATCCCCCACTAAAACTATGGACACCTATAGTCTTTTTGTTGGAGAACGCTGAAGTCCTTCTGGTACCTGAGACCAGTCTAGGGAGCTGCCTGGAGTTCACATAGCTGCATGACTCCAAAGAAGGAGCACATGTTGTGCCCCTTCCCTCACCATGATCTAAGCTGCTACTATACAGCACCATCTTGAGACTAGAGTCTGAAGGACTACTAAAGTGTGTCCTGCTCTGGGGGCTAGTAGCCACTGCATCTGCTCATCTCTGAAGTTCTGCCACCACTACATTTCACCAATACAAGGTAGTGTACCACTCCACCACGGAGCAACTATACATCCCTACACCCTGGGAATAGACTGCCTAAGAAGCTATCCATCTTCTCCATCCCAGTGGCTGCAGCACCCCAACTTGGCTACTTGGAACCTAGGCCCAGTGAAACACCCATAACTCCAGTGCCTGAGCCCACGTGGCACCCTACCTCCCAAGGAACAGACACCGATGGTGCACAAAACAGCTCAGTATCCCCTCCCCCGGAAAGAAGCCACATCCAACCATGGTAAGGCAGCCCCTATGTACCTACAGTGCATGGAGCAGCTCAGTGCCCCTGCCTGCAGCTGAGAGCTTGCACTGAACCCTCGCAGAACATCCCCCATGCACCCATAACATGTGGACCAGCCTGGTACCCCTGTCCCCAGTGGGGAGGATGCACCCAACCCAGCAGAGCAGTTGCACAGACTCCTGAGCCTCAGCCACTGTAGTATTCATAGGCATTGCTGACAGTGACTGTAGCTGAAGAAACAGCACAGAGACCATACTACTGAACCCAGCCAGAACAAAAGCCTACACACCCTACCCAACTGACACTCTAGGACACATCTGCAAGCAAAATATCTTTCTCTATAATAGCTATTCTGTGAAATTGGAAGAGGTGATTATTTCATCAAATGCACAGATGTCAATGCAGGTACACAATGAAAAAGCAAAGATAATGACACTATGAAAGAAACACAGTAACTCTCCAGTAATTGACCCCAAAGACACAGAAATTTACAGATTGCCTAGAAAATAACTCAAAATAATTACCTTAAGAAACTCAATGAGATACAAGAGAATATAGATAAAAACTCAATGAAATTAGGAAAACAATTCATGATCTGAATGAAAAATTCAAGAGATAGATATCATTAAACAGAAATCTTGGGGCTGAAGACATCGAAGACAATGAAAAAATACAGTTGAGAACTTCAATAGCAGACTAGATGAAGCAGAAGAAAAAAAATCTGAACTTGAAAACAGGTCTTTTGAAATAACCCAGCCAGAGGAAAAGAAAAAAAAAAAAGAATGAAAAAGAGCAAGGAAAACCTACAAGGCCTATGAGATACCATTAATAAAAAAAAATTCACATAATGGTAATTATACATGGAGAAGAGGTGAAAAAGGGCACAGAAAACTTATTTAACAAAATCATAGCTGAAAACTTCCCAAGACTTGATAGAGATATGCACATCCAGATCCATGAAGCTCAAGAACCTCAACTAGATGTAAACCAAAGAGGTCCTCTCTAAGGAACATAGCAATCAGACTGTCAAAAATCAAAGACAAAGAGAATTCTAAAAGCAGCAAGAGAAAAGTGTCAAGTCACATATAAGAGAATCTCCATTAGACAATCATTAGATTTATCAGCAGAAACTTTGCAGGCCAGGAGAGATTGGGTTCAGATATTCAAAGTGCTGAAAGTGGGGCAGTGCGGGGGAAGCTTTTAGCCAAGAATACTATACCCAGAAAATCTATCCTTCAGAAATGAAGAAAAAATAAAGTCTTTTCCAGACAAACAAAACCTGAGGAACTTCAGCACTAGACCAGCCTTATAAGAAATGCTTCAGGGAGTGCCTCAACCAGAAGTGAAAGGACATTAATTACTACCATGAAATCATATAAAAGTATAACTCATTGGTAGAGGTAAACTCATAATAAAATTCAGAATACTCCATTACTATAATTTAGGTGGTATATAGTTTTTCAAACCTTTAGTATGAAGGCTAAAATTTTAAATGTTTGTACATTCATTGCAGCACTTTTTACAATAGCAAAGACATGGAATCAACCCAAATGCTCATCAGTGATAGAGTGGATACAGATAATGTGGTACACAGACACCATGGAGTACTATACAGCTATAAAAGGAACGAGATCATGTCCTTTGTAGGGACATAGATGGAGGTGGCAACTATTATCCTCAGCAAACTAACACAGGAACAGAAAACCAAACACCACATACTCTCACTTATAAGTGGGAGCTGAACGATGAGAACACATGGACACATGGTGTGGAACTACACACACTGGGGCCTGTGGGGGTGTGGAGGGAGAGCATCAGAAAAAAATAGCTAATGGATGCTGGAGTTTATACCTAGGTGATGGGTTGATCTGTGCAGAAAACCACTGTAGGTTTGGGTGTGTCCTCACCCAAATCTCATCTTGAATTGTAGTTCTCATAATTCCCACATGTTGTGGGAGGGACCCGGTGGGAGTTAATTGAATCATGGTGATGGTTTCCCCCATACTGTTCTCGTGGTGTTGAATAAGTCTCAAGAGATCTGGTGGTTTTATAAGAAGTTTCCCCTTTTGCTTGGCTCTCATTCTCTCATCTGCCACCACATAAGATGCGCCTTTCGCCTTTTGCCATAATTGTGAGGCCTCCCCAGCCACGTGGAACTGTGAGTTCATGAAACTTCTTTTTCCTTATAAATTACCCAGTCTTGGGTATGTCTTTATCAACAGCATGAAAATGGACTAATACAAACACCATGGCACACTTTTACCTATGTAACAAACCTGCACATTCTGTACATGTACCCTGGAACTTAAAAGTTGAAGGGGAAAGAAAAGGACTCCCCACTAGAGAACATCAGAATCTGTATTTGAAGCCAGGCTCCTCTAATTTCAGAGTGCCCACTAATTATTGCTGGATATTTTCTCTTTGTTCCATCAGCCCTTTGAAAATAATTCTCTAGTAGGACAAAATATGTAGTTTCAAAGTAATTATTCTGTTTTCTTAATGTCTCTTCCAAGAAATTGTGAGCTCTTTAAGGGCAAGGCCAATGTTCAATGTTGATTTAATAAATTAATTATGACTTGTTACTGAAGTCCTCAAAATGATTCAGGGTTTAGGAACTGGGTCTACAAGTTAGCATTAACTGAAGTAGAGACTGGGAATGAGTTGGGGGTGGGAGGCGGGATTTGTAAGTGGGCAGATAAGCTTCAGGGAGCCAAGAAAACAAGGGAAATAAGGCTATCATCTGCAGGCTGTTTCCAAGCCAAATTGTGCAGGAATCAATCTTATCTTTGAATTTTTGTCTATATTTCATTTCTGTGCTCCCATCTTACTGTTCTCTTCTCAAGTGGGCTGAGATCTTTAAAAGGAAAACATTATTAATGGGAACAAAAAAAATTTAAAATGTTCAATAATCATACCTACAAAAAGTTGTTAAGAAATATACAATATAAAAAGATAAAGGCAATAAATTACAAATTGTAAGGGGGAGTGTAAAAGTCTAGAATATTTGTTTGCAACCAATGTAAAGTTATCAGCTTAAAATAGTCTTTCATAACTATAAGGTTTTGTTTTTTGAAATCCCCAAGGTACCAACAAAGAAAAAAAAAATAGAGCAGAGACACAAATTAGAAAGGGAAGGGAATCAAAGCTTATCATTACAGAAAACCACCAAGCCACAAAGATAAACAAGAGAGGAAAAAATCAACAAGAGATCTACAAAATAACCAGAAAACAATTAGCAGAATGGTGGGAATAAATCCTTACCTATGAAAAATAACTTTGAATATTTTTGATTAAGTTATTCAATTAAAAAATAAGATCCAACTATGTGGGAATAAATCCTTACCTATGAAAAATAACTGAATATTTTTGATTAAGTTATTCAATTAAAAAATAAGATCCAACTATGTGCTGCAAACAAGACATTCACTCTATCTGTAACGACATACACAGACTGAAAATAAAAAGATGGAAAATGATGTCCCATATAAATGGAAATTAAAAAAAGCAGGAGTAGCTATACCTATGTCAGATAAATATAGGCATTAAGTAAAAAAACTGTAAAAAGAATCAAAGATGGTCATTATATAATGATAAAGGAGTCATTTTAGCAAGAGGATATAATAATTGTAAATACATATGCACTCAAAACCAGAGCACCTAAATATAGAAATCAAATAATATTCTATCTAAAAGGAGTGATAGACTGCAACATAAGAATTGTAGGGGACTTAGCATTCCACTTTCAGCAATGGACAGATCATCCAGACAGATCCATCAAAGAAACATGAGATTTAAAATGCACTCTAGATCAAATGAATCTGAGATTTGCAGAACATTTCCACTCAACAGCTGCAGAATACACATCCTTTTCATCAGCACATGGAACTTTCTCCAGGACAGATCATATTTTAGCTCACAAAACAAGTCTCAACAAATTTTTAAAAATCGAAATTATATCAAGTATTTTTTTTTTACCGCAATGAAATAAAACTAGAAAACAATAACAGGAGGAACTCTGGAAACTATACAAAGACATAGAAATTAAACAACATGCTCCTAAACAACAAATGGGTCAATAAATAATTTTAAATAAATTTTAAATATTCTTGAGATAAATGAAAATGGGAATGCAACATACCAAAATCAATGAGATACAGGAAAAGCAATTCTAAAAGTGAAGTTTATAGCAATAAAAACTTACATTAAAAAATTAGAAAGGTCCTAAATAACCTAATATTGTACCTCAAGAAATTAGATAAACATGAACAGGCCAGGCACAATGGTTTATGCCTGTAATCCCAGTGCTGCAGGAGGCCAAGGCAGAAGGATCACTTGAAGCCAGAAGTTTCAAACCAGCTTAGGCAAAAGGTGAGACCATGTCTCTACAAAAAGAAAAAAAAAAAAAAATTAACCAGGTGTGGGGGTATGTACCTGTGGTATTAGCTACTCAGCTAAGGTAGGAGACTGAGGTAGGAGGATCACTTGAACCCAGGAGTTTGAGGCTGCAGTGAGCTATTATTGCCACACTGCACTCCAGCCTGTGTGACAGAGCAGAACTGTGTTTGTTTCAAAACCAAAAAAAAAAAAAAGTAGAATGAAATAATAAAGATCAGAACAGAAATACAAATATAGACATAAAAAATGCAAAGATCAGCCAAACAAGGGTTGGTTTTTCTAAAATATAAACAAAATTGACAAATCTTTAAGCCAGACTAAGCAAAAACAGACAAAATTTAAATACATAAAATCAGAGATGAAAAAGGAGACATTACAACTGATACAACAGAAATATTTAAAATAACAGACTATTATAAATAACAATAGGCCAACAAATCAAAAAACCTAGAAAAATGGTTAAATTCCTGGACACATACAATCTTACAAATTGAATTATAAGAAATAGAAAATCTGAACAGACCAATACTGAGTAATGAGATTAAATCAATAATAAAATGTCTCCCAAAAAAGAAAAGCCTAGGACTGGAAGGAGTCACTGATGAATTCTACCAAACATTTAAAGAACTAATAACAATCATTCTAAAACTCCCCAAAATTAAAGAGGGAGCTCTTCCAAATTCATTCTATAAGGCTCTACAACAAAAAAATAGAAAACTATAGGCTAATGGTCCTGATGAACATAGATGCAAAAATCAACAAAATACTTGCAAGCTGAATTTAACAGCTCATTTAAAAAATTATTTGGGGAGGGGAGGTCAAGATAGCAGACTAGAAGCAGCTCATGTGTACAGCTCTCACGGAGAGAAAATAAAAGGGCTAGTAGTCATTGACCGTATAGGCCAATCATTTGAGAAACCATATCAGGATCCATCGAGGCAGCAGAAGGACACAGAGAACAGAGAGGAGCAAAGCTGGCACTGGCCTGTTTGGGCTCAGCATGGAGCCAGGAGAACATCTCCAAAAGCAAAAGGGAGGGTGAGTGAGTGAATGAATGAGAGCCCATTTGGGGGATTCACACTCTCCACAGGAACCTATGCACACCAGGAACAGAAAAATGCCCCTGGCCTCACTGCATACCCTCACCACACTTCTAGATTGAGGCAGAGAGCCACGCAGACATTTTCCAAGGGCAACTCTTGAATCCAAGGGGACCTCTACAAGCCTTGGGCCCTGAAGTAGACCAGCACAGATACCATAGCCCCAATAGAGGCCACAGTTGCAGTGCCTGGGAGCAATAAGATTGCTCCACACCCCCTCACCAGGCGGTGCTCAGTACCAGGTTCTGGCTCAGCAGTCCCACTTCTGTGTAAACTCAGCCAGAAGGTGCAGCCTCTTGTCCCAGGAAACACCTAGATAGCAAAGTGGGTGATCCCACCCTCACCCACCACTGGTAGCCAGGCAGTCAACACCTGCTAGAGCTTCTGGCCCAGTGGTCCTGCTTCTGTGTGAACTCAGCCAGAGGGTGCAACCTCTTGTTGTCCTGGGAAGAACCCAGATGGAAGGGTGAGTGGCCCAACCCCTTCCCATCACTGGTAGCCGGCAGGAAATGCCTGCTAGGGTTTCCAGCCCAGCAGTCTTGTTTCTCTGGGGCCTCAGCTTATGTATATAGCCTCCTGTTTTCCCAGTAAGCATCTAGATTGCAGGGCAGGCTACCTCACTCCCCCAACCCTGCATTGGTAGGGAGGCAACTCCTATTTAAGCTTCCAGCCCAGCAGTCCCACTTCTGCCTGAACTCAGCCAGCAGGAGCAGCCTACTGTTGTCCTGGGAAATACCCAGCAGGGCAGTAACCCCACTGTATTGGTCTGTTCTCACAGTGCAATGAAGAAATACCCAAGACTGGGTAATTTATAAAGGAAAGAGGTTTAATTGACTCACAGTTTTGCATTGCTGGGGAGGCCTCAGGAAATTTACAATCATAGCAGAAGGCAAAGGAGAAGCAGGCACCTACTTTACAGGGTGGCGGAATGAAGTCAGTGCAAGCAGGGGAAATGCCAGACACTTATAAAACCATCAGATCTCATGAGACTCATTCACTATCATAGGAACAGCACTGGGGAAACCACCTGCATGATCCAATTACCTCCACATGGTCACACCCTTGACATGTGGGGTTTATGGTGTAGCAGGACGAGCCGCAGACAAAACTCCTGAGACACCAAGTTAAGGAAGGGGTTTATTCGGCCGGGAGCATCGGCAAGCCTCCTGTCTTAAGAGCCGAGCTCCCTGAGTGAGCAATTCCTGTCCCTTTTAAGGACCCACATCTCTAAGGGGGTCCACATGAGAGGGTTGTGATCGATTAAGCAAGCAGGGGGTAAGTGACTGGGGGCTGCATGCACCGGTAATCAGAACAAAACAGAACAGGACAGGGATTTTCACAGTGCTTTTCCATACAATGTCTGGAATCTATAGATAACATAACCAGTTAGGTCAGGGGTCGATCTTTAACTACCAGGCCCAGGGTGCGGCCCCGGGCTGTCTGCCTCTGGATTTCATTTCTGCCTTTTAGTTTTTACTTCTTCTTTCTTTGCAGGCAGAAATTGGGCATAAGACAATATAACGGGTGGTCTCCTCCCTTAATGGGGATTACAATTCAAGGTGAGATTTGGCTGCGGACACAGAGCCAAACCATATCATTCTGTCCCAGCCTCTCTTAACTCTCATATCTTTTCACATTTCAAAACCAATCATGCCTTCCCCAAAGTCCCCCAAAGTCTTAACCATTTCAGCATTAATAAAAAGTCCACAGTCCAAAGTCTCATCTGAGACAAGGCAAGTCCATTCAGCCTATGAGCCTGTGAAATCAAAAGCAAGTTAGTTACTTCATAGATACAATGGGGGTACAGGCATTGGGTAAATAAAGCTGTTCAAATGGGAGAAATTGGCCAAAACCAAGGGGCTGCAGGCCCCATACAAGTCCAAAACCCAATAGGGCAGTCATTAAATCTTTAAGTTCCAAAATGATTTACTTTGACTCCATGTTTCAAATCCAGATCACGCTCATGCAGGAAGGGTGTTCCCATGGCCTTGGGCAGCTCTGCCCCTGTGGCTTTGCAGGGTACAGCCCCCCTCCTGGCTGCTTTCATGAGCTGGTGTTGAGTGTCTGTGGCTTTTCCAGGCACACAGTGAAAGCTGTTGGTGGATCTAACATTCTGGGATCTGGAGGATCTACTAGGCAGTGCCCCAGTGGAGACTTGATGTGGAGGCTCTGACCCACATTTCCCTTCCACACTGCCCTAGCAGAGGTTCTCCATGATGGCTCTGCCCCTGCAGCAAACTTTTGCCTGGACAACCAGGCATTTCCATACACCCTCTGAAATCTAGGTGGAGGTTCCCAACCTCAATTCTTGACTTCTGTGTACTGCAGGCCCAACACCATGTGTAAGCTGACAAGGCTTGAGGCTTGAACCCTCCGAAGCAACAGCATGAGCTGTACCTTGGCCCTTTTTAGCCATTACTGGGGGGGCTGGGACACAGGGTGCCAAGTCCTTAGGCTGCACACATCAGGGGAGCACTGGGCCAGACCCAGAAAACCATTTTTTCCCTCTTAGGCCTCAGGGTCTATGATGGGAGGGGCTGCCACAAGGTCTCTGACATGCCCTGGAGACATTTTCCCCATTGTCTTGGTGATTACATTTGGCTCCTCATTATTTATGCAAATTTCTTCAGCTGGCTTGAATTTCTCCCCCAAAATGGGTTTTTCTTTTCTACTGCTTCATCAGGCTGCAAATTTTACGAACTTTTATGCTCTGTCAGCTCTTGAATGCTTTGCTGCTTATGAATTTCTTAGAAATGTCTCCCAGATACCTTATATCAACTCGTTCAAGTTCAAAGTTCCACAGATCTCTAGGGTAGTGGCTGTCACGCGCATCCCTGTGAAGAGACCACCAAACAGGCTTTGTGTGAGCAACAAGGCTCTTTATTTCACCTGGGTGCAGGTGGGCTGAGTCCAAAAAGATAGCAAAGAGTGGTGGGATTATCATTAGTTGTTATAGGTTTTGGGATAGGTGGTGGAGTTAGGAGCAATGTTTTGTGGGCGGGGGGTGGATCTCACAAAGTACATTATCAGGTGGGGAGAATTTCAAAGAATCTTCTTAAGGGTGGGGGAGATTACAAAGAACTTTCTTAAGGGTGGGGGAGATTACAAAGAACCTTCTTAAGGGTGAGGGAGATTACAAAGTACATTGATCAGTTAGGGTGGGGCAGAAACAAATCACAGTGGTGGAATGTCATCAGCTAAAGCTATTTTCACTTCTTTTGTGGATCTTCAGTTGCTTCAGGCCATCTGGATGTATACCTGCAGGCTTGGGCTCAGAGACCTGACAGTGGCAAAATGCCATCAGTCTGTTTGCTAAAGCACAGTAAGAGTCACCTTTGCTCCAGTTCCCAGTAACTTTCTCATGCGCATCTAAAACTGCCTCAGCCTGGACTTCATTGTCCATACCACTATCAGCATTTTGGTCAAAACCATTCAATAAGTCTCTAGGAAGTTCCAAATTTTCCTGGATCTTCCTGTCTTCTTCTGAGCCCTCCAAACTGTTCCAACCTCTGCCTGTTACCCAGTTCCAAAGTCATTTCTACATTTTCAGGTATCTTTATATCGGCACCTTACTACTTTGGTATCAATTTACTGTATTAGTAGATTTGCACCCTGCTATGAAAAAATACCTGAGACTAGGTAATTTATAAAGGAAAGAGGTTTAATTGACTCACATTTCCACATTGCTGGGGAGGCTTCAGGAAACTTACAATCATTGTGGAAGGCAAAGGAGAAGTGGATGCTTCTTTACACGGTTGCGGGAAGGAGTGAGTGCAAGCAGGAGAAATACCAGACACTGATAAACCGTCAGATCTCATGAGACTCACTCACTGTCATGAGAACAGCATCAGGGAAATCGCCTCCATGATCCAATTACCTCCACCTGGTCCCACGCTTGATACATGGGGATTATGGGAATTACAACTTGAGGTGAGATTTTGGTGGCAACACAAAGCCAAACCATATCACCCCCTCACCCTCATTGCTGGTCACCAGGCAAGAAATGGCAGCTGGAGCTTCTAGCCCAGTGTTTCTGCTTCTATGTGAACTCAGCCAGTGGGCACAGCCTCCTGTTGTTCTGAGAAACACCCAGATGGCAGAGTGGGTGACTCCACCCACCCCCAGCTGTCACAAGCAGGTGAACAATACTGGCTAGAACTTCCAAACAAGCAGTCCTCCTTCTGTCTAAATTTACTGAGGGGCATAGCCTCTTGTTGCCCAGGAAACACCTGGAAGACAGGATGGGAAACTCCATCAACCCCTGCTTCTCAAATCCAGACAGGCCACACTGGCTAGAACTTCCACCCAGCAGTCCTGCTCCTGCCCGAAGTCTGCAAGCAAGTGCAACCACATGTTGCTATGGAAAGCACACAGACAACAGATTAGGGCAGACCTGGCAAAGATATGGCCTGTCTGCCATCTTCAGCCCCTGTTTGAGGGAGGCCTACGGACCAGAACCCCATGCATAAAAGTAATGTGGGCATAGAAACAGTAATCGGAGGGGCTCCTTCAAGACCCAGGAGCAGACTAGAGTTGAAGCCGGTGGACTCAACCTACCTCACACCACAATCAAACCTCAAAGGACAACAAAGAAGATAAAAGCAAAAACAGCCATCCAAAAAACAGCAGCTTCAAAGATTAAAGGAACGTCAGCCAACACAGATGAGAAAGAACCCACACAAGAATTCTGGCAGCTCAAAAAGCTAGAGTGACTTTTTACTTCCAAACGACTGCACTAGCTTCCTATCGATGATTCTTAACCAGGCTGAAATGGCAGAAATGTCGGAAATAAAATACAGATTATGGATAGAGTGAAGATCATTGACATGCAGAAGAAAGTTTAAACTCAATCCAAGGAATCTAAATAATATAATAAAATGATACAGGAGATAAAAGACAAAGTGGTCATTTTAAGAAAGAACCAAACCAAACTGACAGAGCTGAAAAACTTGCTTCAAGAATTTCATAATACAATTGAAAGTGTTAATAGTAGAATTGACCAAGCTAATGAAAAAAATCTCAGAGGTCAAAGACCAGTTCTGCAGACTGTGACTTTTGTCACAGTCAGACAAAAATAAATAAGAAAAAATAAAGAAGAATGAACAAAATCTCCAAGAAATATGGGATAATGTAAAGAGACCAAATCTATGACTCATTGGTGTCATAGATTGGTGAAAGAGAGGGAGAAAAAGCAAGCAACTTGGAAAACACATTTGAGAATATCATCCATGAAAATTTCTTCAACCACGCCAAAGAGTCCAACATTCAAATCAAGTAAATGCAGAAAATGCCTGTGACATACTATACAAGACAACCACAACCAAGGCAAAAAGTTATCAAATTTTCCAAGGCTGAAATGAAAGAAAAAATGATAAAGGCAGCTAGAAAGAAGGGGCATATCACCTACAAGGGGTATAAGCCCATCAGGCTTACAGCAGACACTGCAGTAGAAACTACAATCCAAGAGAAATTGAGGGCCTATATCCAGCATTCTTAGAGAAAAGAAATCCCAACAGAGAATTTTATATCCAGCCAAATGAAGCTTCAAAAGGGAAGAAGAAATAAGATCCTTTTCAGATGAGCAAATGCTAAGGAAATTCCTTACCACTAGATCTACCTTGAAAGAGATCCTTAAGGGAATGCTAAATATGGACAGGAAAGACCATTATTGGTCACCACAGTAACACACAACTACTTAGACTATTCACACTATGAAACAATCACATGATCAAGTCTACGTAATAACCCGTAAGAAACATGATGACAGAATCAAACCTGCACATATCAATATTAACCTTGAATATAAGAGAGCTAAATGCCCCAAATTAAAAGGGACAGAGTGGCAAGATGAATAAAGAAGCAAGACCCAACTGTATTGAGGGCCTATATCCAGCTATCCACGAGAGAACCATCTCACATGCAATGACATGTGTAAGCTCAAAGGAAAATAATGGAGAAAAATGTACCAAGCAAATGGAAAACAGAAAAAAGCAGGGGTTGCTAATCTAATTTCAGTCAAAGCAGACTTTAAACCAACAACAATCAAAAAAGACAATAAAGGGCATTACATAATGGTAACAGGTTGAGTTCAATGAGACCTAACAGTCCTAAATTTACCTGTACCCTATACAGGAGCACCGAGATTCATAAAGCAAGTTATTAGATCTCTGAAGATACTTAGATAACCACAAAATAATAGTGGGAGACTACAACACCCTCACTGACAGTATTAAACAGATCACTGCAGCAGAAAACTAACAAAGATATTCAGGACATGAATTTGACATTGGACTAAATGGTCCTAACAGATATCTACAGAAATCTCCACCCTACACCAAGAGAATGTACATTCTTCTTATCTGCACATGCCACATACTCTAAAACTGACCACACAATCATTCATAAAAGAATCCTCAACACATTTGAACAAACCAAAATTATACAAAACACATTCTCAGACCACAGCAAAATAAAAATAGAAATCAATACTAAGAAAATTGCTCAAAACCATACTACTGCATGGAAATTAAACCACTTGCTCCTGAATGACTTTTGGGTAAATAATAAAATTAAGGCAAAAATTGAGAATTTATTTGAAGCTGATGGCAACAAAGATACAACATACCAAAATCTCTGGGCCACAGCTAAAGCAGTTTTGGATGGAAGTTTATAGCGCTAATGCCCGCATCACAAAGTTAGAAAGATCTCAAATTAACAACCTAACATCACACCTAACATCACACCTAGAGGAAGTACAGAAACAAGAGCAAACCAACCCCAAAGCTAGCAGAAGAGAAGAAATGACCAAAATCAGAGCTAAACTGGAGGAAATTGAGACATGAAAAACCATACAAAAGATCAGCAAATATACAGGTTGGTTCTTTGAAAGAATATAATAAGATTGATAGACTACTAGCTAAACTAATAAAGAAAAAAAAAGAGAAGATCCAAATAAACAAGTAGAAATGACAAATTGGGACATTACCGTAGACCTCACTGAAATACAAAAACAAAACAAAACAAAACAAAAAAACCCCTTAGAGACTGCTATGAACACCTCTAGCACAAAAACTAGAAAAGCCAGAAGAAATAGATACATTCTTGGAAACATACAACCTCTCAAGATTGAACCAGGAAGAAATCAAATTCCTGAATGACCAATAATGAATTCCAAAACTGAATCAGTAATAAAAAGCCTACTAACCAGAAAAAGCCCGAGACCAGAGAAATTCACAGCCAGATTCTACCAGACATATATAAAGAACAGCTGATACCATTCCTACTGAAACTAGTCCAACAAATGAAGAAGGAGGGACTCCTCCCTAACACACTCCATGAGGCCAGCATCATCCTGAACTAAACCCTGGCAAAACACAATGAAAAAAGAAAACTACAGGCAAATATCCTTGATAAATATCGACACAAAAATCCTCAACAAAACAGTAGCAAACCAAATCGAGCAGCACATCAAAGCCTACCATCATCAGTAGGCTTTAATCCTGAGATGTAAGGTTGGTTCAACATATGCAAATCAACAAATGTGAGTCACCACATGGACAGAACTATAAACAAAAACCACATGATCATCTCAATAGATGCAGAAAAAGCTTTCAATAAAATTCAACATCCATTCATATTAAAAGCCTTCACCAAATTAAGCATCAAAGGAACATACCTAAATCTAGTAAGAGAGATCTGCGGCAAACAGCCAATATCATAGTGCATAAGCAAAAGCTGGAAACATTCCCATTGAGAACCAGAATAAGACAAGAATGCCCACTTTCACCACTCTTAGTGAACATAGTAGTAGAAGTTTTAGCCAGAACAATTAGTTAAGAGAAAAAAATAAAAAACATGCAAATAGAGAGATGGGCAAACTATCTCTATTTGCAGACAATATGATTATATGCCTAGAAAACCCCATAGTCGCTACCTCAGAGCTCCTAGCTCTAATAAACAACATCAGCAAATTTTCAGGATACAGAATCATAGTACAAAAATCAGTAGCATTTCTATACACCAATAAATTTCAAGCTGAGGGCCAAACCAAGAATGCAACCCCACTGGCAATAGCCACATACAAAAAAACCCTAAGAACAAACCTAACCAGGGAGATGAAATATCTCTATGAAGAAAACCACAAACACTGCTGATAGAAATAGAGATGGCATAACAAATGGAGGAACATTTCCTGCTCATGGATTGGAAGAATCAATATCATTAAGATGGCCATACCTCCCAAAGCAATCTGCAGATTCAGTGCTATTCCAATCAAACTACAAACTTCATTTATCACAGAAGTGGAAAAAAACTATTCTAAAATTCATATGGAACAAAAAGGAAGCCTGAATAACCAAAGCAATTGTAAGAAAATGAGCAAAGCTAATGGTATCACATAACCTGACTTCAAACCACTGTAAGGTTACAGTAACCCAAACAGCATGATACTGGAACAAAAACAGACATATAGACAAATGAAACAGAATCGAGAACCCAGAGGTAAAGCCAGATACCTACAGCCATGTGATCTTTAATAAAATTGACACAAATAAGCAATGGGTAAAGGATGGTGCTGAGATAGCTGGCTGGCCATATGCGGAAGAATGAAACTGGGCTCTTATCTTTCACCATATACAAAAATTAGCTCAAGATGGATTAAAGATTTAAATGTAAGACCTTAAACTATAAGAATCCTGGAAGAAAACCTAGGAAACACCACTCTGGACATCAGCCTTGGGAAAGAATTTATGACTAAGTTCATAAAAGCAATTACAACAAAAACAAAAATTGACAAGTGGATCTGATTAAACTGAAGAGCTTCTGTACAGCAAAGAAAGCTATCAAAAGAGTAAACAGACAACCTATAAAATGATAGAAAATATTCTCTAACTGTGCATCTGACAAAGGTCTAATATCCAGAATCCATAAGGAACTCAAACAATTGAACAAGTAAAATACAAATAACCCCATTAAAAAGTACACAAAAGACCTTAACAGACACATCTCAAAAGAATACAAACAGCCAATAACAAGAAAAAATGCTCAACATCAGTAATCATCAGAGAAATGCAAATCAAAACCACAATGAGATACCATCTCACACCAGTTAGAATGGCTATTACAAAAAAATGTCAAAAAACAACAGATGATGGTGAGGCTTCAAAGAAAAGGGAATGCTTATACACTGTTGGTGAGAATGTAAATTAGCTTGGCCACTGTGTAAAGCAGTTTGGAGATGTCCCAAAGAACTTAAAACAGCTACCATTTGACCTAGCAATCCCATTACTGGGTATATGTCCAATATAAAATAAGTTGTCCTGCCAAAAAGATATATGCATTTCTATGTTTATCACAGCACTATTCACAATAGTAAAGATATGGAATCAACCTAGGTGCCCATCACTGGTAGACTGAATAAAGAAAATGTAGTAAATATATGCCATGGAGCCATAAAAAATGAAATCACTGCCTTTGCAGCAACATGGATGCAGCTGGAGGTCATTATCCTAAATGTATTAATTCAGTAACAGACAACCAAATGTTGCATGTTCTCACTTGTAAGTGGGAGCTAAAGATTGGGTACTCAACGCCCATAGAGATGGCAACAATAGACACTGGGGACTACAAGAGATGGAAGTGGGGAAATGGGACAAAGGTTGAAAAACTAACTGCTGGGTAGTATGCTCCCTACCTGGGTGATGGGATCATTTGTATCCCAAACCTCCACGTCATGCAATATACTCATGTAACAAACCTGCATATATACCCCCGAACCTACAATAAAAGTAAATTATAAAAAAAAAGAAAATGTGGTATGTAAACAGAGTAGAATACTATTCAATCATAAAACAGAATGAAATCTTGTCATTTGAAGTAACATGGATGCACCTAAAGGACATTATGTTAAGTGACATAAGCCCAGCACAGAAATGCAAATACTGCATAATCTCAGCTATTTGTAAAACCAAACAAAAGGTGATCTCACAGAAGTACAGAGTACAATAGTGGTTACCAGAAGCTGGGGAGGGTAGGAGGAAAGGCCAATGGAGAGAAGTTGGTAAATGGGTAGAAAATTACAGTTAGTTAGGAGGAGTAAGTTATGGTGTTTTATTGCACAGTAAGGTGGTTATAGTTAACAATATCATATATTTCAAAATAACTGAAGAGGGTTTCTGATGTACTTAAAAGAAAATGTCAAATGTTTGAGATGATGGATGTGGTAAATACCCTGTTTATCATTACACAATGTATACATCATTTGAAACATCACACAGTAACCCATAAATATGTACAACTATTATGTATCAAAAATCATATAGAACTTTAAAAGAATACAAAAAGCAACATCCTTAGATACAGAAGGCAGGAGAGGGATGGAGTAAATGGCTGAATAAAAGGTTACACCATTCACTCTCGCCTCCCACCTGGAACACCAAATTTAACTATCTACGCAAAAAAAAGCACCCTCATACAAACCAAAAATTAGTAGAGCAGTCAGAAAATCTGGTTTTAGCTTCATATCACTGAAAGAGCCATTGAAGAGAATAGGAAAGACAGTCTTGAATTGCTGATGCCACCCTTCTCTCATGCCCCAGCAGTGGCCATCTGGCACAGAGAGAAAATCTGTGTTCTTGGGAGAGAGAAGGTGTAGGAATTGTGAGACTTTGCATTGAACTCAGTTATGCCCTGTCACAGTGGAAAGCAAATCCGGGCTGAACTCAGTGGACACCCACCTATGGAGGGAATATTTAGTCCAGGCCTAGTCAGAGGGGAATTGTCCATCCCACTGGACAGAACTTGAGTTCCAGCAAGCATCACCATTGTGAGCAAAAGTGCTCTGGGGCACTAAATACACTTGAAAGGCAGCCTAGGCCACAAGGACTGCAGTTGCTAGGTGTGTCCTAATGCTGAGCTGGGCTCAGAGCCAGTGGATGTGGGGGACATGTGACCTACTGAGACACCAGCTGGGACAGCTAAGGGTGTTGTTGTGCCACCTCTCCCCCATCCCCAGGCTGTGTAGCTTGTAGCTCTAAAAGAGACCTCTTCCTTCTGCTTGAGGAGAGGAGGGGGAAGAGTGAACAGGACTTTGTCTTGCATCTTGCATACCAGCTCAGCCACAGAAGAATAAGTCAGAGTCATGAGACCCCCATTGCAGGCTCTATCTTCTGGATGACATTTCTAGACATAAACAGGGCTAGAATAGAACCCACTGCCTTTCAGGGATAGACCCAGTCCAGGAAGTACCCATCTCCTGCTGACTAAAGGGGCCTTGGTCCTTGAATATCCAGCAGTGATACTCAGGTACTACACTGTGGGCCTTGGGTGAGACTGAGACATGCTGGCTTCAGACGAAACCCAGCACATTCCCAGCTGTGGTGGTTACAGTGAGAAACTGTTTTTGCCTGAGAAAGGCAAAGGGAAAAGTAAAAGGGGACTTTGACTTGCACGTTAGGTTCCAGCTCAGCCACAGGGAAGTAGAGCACCAAGCAGGTGCTTAGAGTTACTGATTCCAAGTGTTGACTCAGTTGGCATTTCTGGATCTGTCCTGGGCCAGACGGAAGTCCACTGTCCAGAAGGGTGAGTCCCAGGCCTGGCAGACTTCACCACAAGCTGCACTTGGGCCATAAGTGAAAATTGGCTGTAGCCTGGCAATAATCCCTATGGGCCTGTGGTGGTGGCCAAAGGGTGAGGCTCCTCTGCGTGTGGAAAGGGGAGGGAAGAGTGGAAAGGGCTGTGGCTCATGGTTTAAGTGCCAGCCAAGCTAAACTTTAATAGAATACCAGGTAGTTTTCCATGGTTTATGACTCCAGTTCCTGGCTCCCAGATGGCATCAGTGGATCCACTTGGAGCCTGGGGAAGCTTGCTGCCTTAAAAAGAAGGACATAAGCCTAGCTGGCTTCACCACCTGCTGATTGTAGAGCACTAGAGCCTTGAGTCAACATAAGCAGTAGTCAGATAGTAGTTACGGTGGGCCTTTGATGAGACCCAGTGCTATCTTGGCTTCAGGTCTAACCTAACTCAGTCCCAGCGGTGGTGGCCACAGTGGGGCTTGTGTCATGGTAAACTCAAATAAAAAATCATACAACAGATACACAAAAAATAAAAAACAAAAAAACCCAAGAAATTAAATCATATAACCAGAGAAAATCACCTTCATTAAAAAATAGGAAGGAAGGAAAGAATGAAGAGAAGACCACATAATAATCAGAAAACAAATTAAAAAATGGCAGGAGTAAGTCCTTACTTATCAATAATAACATTGAATGTTGTCAGAATTAATCTGCACTATGGAACAAACGGACCTAATAGACATTTACAGAACATTTCATCCAAAGCTGCAGAATATGCATTCTTTTCCTCAGCACAGTGATCATTCTTAAGGATAGAACACATGTTAGGTCATAAAACAAGTCTTAAAACATTAAAAAAATGGAAATATCAAGCATTTTCTCTGATCATAATAGAATAAAACTAAAATTATTAACAAGGGGAATTTTGAAAACTATCCATGCATCTGGAAATTAAATAATGTGCTCCTAAGTGACTAGTGGGTCAATGAAGAAATTTAAAAGGAAACTGAAAAATTTCTTGAAACAAATGATAATAGAAACACAACATATCAAAACCTATGGGATACAGCAAAAACAATACTAAGAGGAAAGTTTATAGCCATATACATCAAAAAGAAGAAAAAAATTCAAATAAACAACCTAATGGTGCTTTTTAAGGAATTTAAAAAAGCAAGAGCAAACCAGACCCCAAATTGGTAAAAGAAGATAAATAATAAAAATGACAGCAGAAATGAATGAAATTGAAATAAAGAAAACAATACAAAAGATTAATGAAACAAAAAGTTATTTTTTGAAAATGTAAACAAAATTGACAAACCTTTAGCCAGACTAAGAAAAAAAAAGAGAAGACATGAATAAATAAAATCAGAGATGAAAAAGAAGACATTATAACTGATACCACAGAAATTCAAAGGATCATTAGTGCTGCTGTGAGCAATTATATGCCAATAAATTGGAGAATCCAGAAGAAATGGATAAATTCCTAGACATATACAACCGACTAACATTGAACCATGAAGAAATCCAAATCCTGAACAGACCAATAACAAGTAACGATATTGAAGCTGTAATAAATAGTCTTCCAGCAAAGACAAGCCTGGAACTCGATGACTTCACAGCTGAATTCTACCAAACATTGAAAGAAGAACTACTATCAATCCTACTCCAGCTATTCCAAAAAATAGAGGAGGAGGGACTACTTCCAAACTCATTCTATGAGGCCAAAAGCAGACAAAGACACATCAAAAAAAGAAAACTGCAGGTCAATATCCCTGATGAACATTGATATAAAAATCATCAACAAAATACCAGCAAACTAAATTCAACAACACATTAAAAAGATAATTCATCATGACCAAGGGTAAAATCCCAAGGATGCAAGCATTGTTCAACATATGTAAATCAATCACTGCAATACATTGTATCAACAGAATGAAGGACAGAAACCATATGACTATTTCAACTGATACTGAAAAAATAATTTGGTAGAATTTAACATCCTTTCATGATAAAAAAAAATTTTAAAGTCTTGGTATAGAAGGAATATATCTCAACATAATAAAAGCTGTATATGAAAGACCCATAGCTAGTATCATACTGAATGGGGAAAAACCAAATGCCTTTCCTCTAAGATTTGGACTATGACAAGAATGCCCAATTTTATAATTGTTACTCAACATAGTACTGGAAGTCCTAGCTAGAGCAATTAGGCAAGAGAAAGAAATAAAGGGCATCTAAATTGGAAAGAAAGAAGTCAAATTATCCTTGTTTGCAGATGATATGATCTTATATTTGGGAAAACCTAAAGATGCCACAAAAAAACTATCAAAACTGATAAACAAATTTAGTAAAGTTGCAGGATACAAAATCACATACTAAAATCAGTAGCATTTCTTATAAGCCAACAGCAAACAATCTGAAAAAGAAATCAAGAAAGGAATCTCCTTTACCATAGCTACAAATAAAATTAAATACCTAGGAATTAGCTAAAGAAGCGAAAGATCCCTACAATGAAAACTACAAAACACTGATTGAAAAAATTGAAGAGGACACAAAATATGTAACAGTATTCTGTGGTCATGGGTTTGAAGAATCAATATTGTTAAAATGTCCACTCTACCCAAAGCAATCTACAGATTTAATTAAATCCATATCAAAATACCAATAACATTTTTTTACAGAAATAGAAAAAAAAAATCCTAAAATTTATATGAAACCACAAAAGACCCAGAATAGCCAAGGCTATCCTAAGCAAAAAGAACAAAACTGGAGGAATCATATTACCTGACTTCAGATTATACTACAGATCTATAGTAACCAAAATAGCATGGTACTGTCATAAAAACAGACACCTAGACCATTGGAACAGAATACAGAATGCAGAAATAAGTATGGACATCTACAGTGAACTAATTTTTGACAAAGGTGACAAGAACATACATTGAAGAAAGGACAATCTACAACAAATGGTGCAGGGAAAACTGGATATCCATATGCAGAAGAATGAAACTAGACTTCTATCTCTCACCACATACAAAAATCAAATGAAAATGGATTAAAGATTTGAATCTAAGACCTCAAACCATGAAACTACTACAAGAAAACATTGGGGAAACTTTCCAGGATATTGTATTGGGCAAAGATGTCTTGAGTAATACCTCACAAGCACAGGAAACCAAAGCAAACATGGACAAATGGGATCACATAAAATTAAAAAGCTTTTTACCAGCAAAGGAAACTGTCAAGAAAGGCAACAACCCACAGAATGGGAGAAAATATTTGCAAACTACCCATCTCAGAAAGGATTAATAACCAGAATGTATAAAAAGCTCAAACAACTCTATAAGAAAAAAAAATCTAATAATCCTTTATTTTATTTTATTTTTTTTGAGACAGAGTCTTGCTCTTGTCACCCAGGATGGAGTGCAGTGACGCGATCTCCGCTCACTGCAACCTCCATCTCCCGGGTTCAAGCAGTTCTTCTGCCTCAGCCTCCCAAGTAGTTGGGATTACAGGCACCTGCCATCACAACCAGCTAATTTTTGTATTTTTAGTAGAGATGGGGTTTCACCATGTTGGCCAGGCTGGTTTCAAACTCCTGACCTCCAGTGATCCATCTGCCTCAGCCTCCCAAAGTGCTGAGATTATAGGTGTGAGCCACCATGTCTGGCCTAATCCAATTTTTAAATGGGCAAAAGGTCTGAATAGACATTTCTCAAAAGAAGATATACAAATGGCAAACAGGTATATGAATAGGTGCCCGGTATCATTGATCATCAGATAAATGCAAATCAAAGCTACAATGACATATCATCTCACCCCAGTACAGGCGATAAGAAATGGTGGCAAGGATATGGAGAAAAGGGAACCCTTGTATACTGTTGGTGGAGATGTTCATTAGTACGACCGCTATGGAGAACAGTTTGCAGATTCTTCAAAAAAACTAAAAATGGGCTACCGTGTGATCCAGCAATCTCACTGCTGGGCATATACCCAAAAGAAAGGAAATCAGTATATCTAAGAGATATCTGCACTCCTATGTTTGCTGCAGCATTGTTTATAATAGCCAAGATTTGAAAGCAACCTATGTCATCAACAAATGAATGGATAAAGAAAATGTGGTATATATATATGAAATGGAGTACTATTTGGCCATAAAAAAGAATGAGATCCAGTCATTTGCAACAACATGAATGGAACTGGAGGTCATTACATTAAGTGAAACAAGCCAGGCATAGAAAAACAAACTTCACCTGTTCTCACTTATTTGTGGGAGCTAAAATTTAAAACAATTGAACTTATGAGGACAGAGCTGACTCCTCTGTCATCTTGTCTGTGTTCTTATACTATATTGTCTCTTTTGGAGTTCTTAACCACATTGTTTGGTGGTTAGTTCTTTAAACCTCTATTTCACCTACTAGCATATGAGCTCCTTGTAGCTGAGATATTTTGTATCCCCATCATCCAGCAGAGTGAGTTGCTTGTAGTAGGAGTTCAACAGACTCCTTGAGAAAGGAGAGAGGAAAGCTAGAAGTGGAGAGGAAATGACCAGTTACTAAATATCTAATAAGTGTCAGCCATGTACCAAACCCTTCACATGCATTATTTCACTTATTGTATCACTCATATCTATTCATGTGTCTATTTAACAAATATTAGCCCTATACTACCTGTCAGCCACTGTTCCGTATGTTAAGGATAGAGCCACTCTTACATGCTTAATTTCAAGTGAGAGGAGACAGACAACAAACAAAATATAACAAATAAATATATAATTATGTCAAGTGGTAATACATTTTATGAAGAAAAATAAAAGTGGGTAAGAAAATAAAGAGTTATGGAAGTTGGGAGTGTTCCATTTTAGATAAAGGACCAAGGAGGCACTTTGTGATAAGGTAGTTTTTTGAACAAAAAAAGTAAACAGAGTAACCTGAAGAACTGTAGATATGTGGAAGGAGAGAATTCCTGGAAGAGGGCTAGGCAGTACAAAGGCTCTGAGGCAGGAGCTCATCTGCATGTTTGAGGCCCAACATGGAGGCCACTGTGTCTGGAAAGGAGTGATCAAGATGCTGAGTGATTTATGAGAATTAGAGGGATAATAAAGGAGAAGCATGTCATATAAACCCTCACGGGAAGGCTTTGGAAAGATCTTGTGATTTAATTCTCAGTGAGGGGCAAAGGCATGTGAGGATTTTGACCAGAGAAGTGACTTCTTTGGATAGCATGTGGAATGCAGACTATGATGGAGCAAGATGTATTGACGGAACCAGTTACTCCTTTATTGCAATAGCTCAGAGAGACAGAGGATTGGAACAGAATAACAGTAGTGGAGGCCACATTTGGATATAGTTTAAGGTAGAGCCAATAGATTTGCTAATCAATTGGAAGTGTGAAGTGAGATAATGAGGGTTTAGTCATGAGAAATGAGACAAATGGAGATGTTACTCATTTAGGTAGGAAAGATTATGGAAAGGACAAATTTGGGGAGGAAAACGAGATTGCTTTGGACATATTAAGTTTGAAATGCCTATTACATATGCAAGTAGAGTTATTGAGTAGGCAATTTGATATGAGTTAGAATTCAGAGAAAGTTTAGGGCTAGAGATACACATTTGAAGGTCATCAGCATAAAAATGGTATTTAAAGTTATAGAACTGGATGGGTTATTATTATTTTAGTTTTACCTTAAAGTCTTTTATCCTGAAAACTTTATGAGGCTTCAGAAATACCAGTCCCTCTGAAAACTTGTATGTTTTTATTTAATTAGAAAGGGGCCTCACTGTCTTGGCCAGGCTGGTCTCGAACTCCTGTCTTCAGGCAATCCTCCTGCCTCAGCCTTCCAAAGAGCTGGGATTACAAGCATGAGCCACCATTCCCAGTCTGGTCATTATTATTTTATATATTAAATTGTTTTTGTTTGTTTCAAAACTATATCAATAAAATTTACTTCATCTGAAACAAACAAATAAGTTATAGGATTGGATGAGGTTCCCTAGGAAATAATTGTAAACAGGTGACAGAAGATCTTCTGACTGAGTCTTGGGCACTCCAATGATTAGAAATTGAGAAGGCACAAAGAATTCAGCAAAAGTAATATAGCCACAGGGGCAAGGAAAAGTAAGTCTAAAGTAATGTCCCAGAAGCTAAACAGAGGCAGTGGCTCAAGAAGATGGAAATGATCAAACACGGCAAATGCTGCACATAGGTCAAATGAGACCTGATAACTGTAGATTGACTAGTGCCACTGAATTTGGTCATTTGAGTAAGCATCTTTATCCCTCTTTGACATACAATCAAATTGAGGTTCAAATGGATTAACTAATTTGCCCAAGTAGAGACAGCTGGAAAGTGGAGTTGAGACTGAAACACAGATCTGCTGTGTCCAAAGCCCATATTCTTTTTCCTCCTTTGGTTACAAGCCTGCAAGCTGTGCCATCCACAAAGCACCCAGGCAACGGGACAATTAGGAAATTAATTCTAGCCTGTGCTCTGCTTGTCAAACTGTGTGCCCTGAAGCAGGGAGGATTCAGACTTGGGTAAAGGGTGCCTTTTCCCACAAAGGCAGGGAAGAACTTGAGCGGTGGGAGAGAGAGCAGTAAGAAATTGGACAAGTTAAAATAAAACATAAAAACTAACTTAATAAAGTAAATCTGAGCATTAGCTGTGTATCACATCACCTGTGGATATTTAAAAATATGCATGTCTGGGCACCACTCCAGATCTATTAAATCAGACTCTCCAAGAGTGATCACATGTGTACCCTAGCACTTATAGGTGGATTGTACATTCTATCATTAAAAAAACTTAAGATCTTCCCTCATTTACACAGTATCCAGAAGATTATACAAAAAGCTCTCTGAATTTGAGTGGGACATTCTAATACATGCAACAACAGAGAGCAGTGGAGTCTGGAATGGCTTTTCTCACTCTATTCTGGATATCCCTACTCCAATCTTCTTCAATAATAGATGCAGGGGCTTAATTCTGGTGTGCCCCCCACCCCTTACTCCCCCATGTAGCCATCTGCCTTGTGATCAGCAAAGAAACCTCTTTTCTTTGGGCACTCTTTTTTCATGTCCCCTCTCCCAAGTCCCTTCAGTTTATATGTTTTGCCAACCCTCCTTTTACTTCCTATCCAAATTCAATCATTTATCTCTGTCTGGTTGAGCTGGGAGGGCTCTGGATACTGTGAAAGGAGGAGAGACAGATATGAAGCTCTGAAGAAGCATTCACTCTCTAGCATCAGGGTGATTATTTAAAAGGCTAGTAGACCTTTTACACTGTCAAAATTAATGTCTGCAAGAAAGGTTTCCATATATTATTACGCTAAAAGGCACCTATCTCCTTCTGTCATCCTAGCTTCAGAATGTGTGAAACCTCAGAAAGGATTTGTGGGATGATAGAGGCTGGAGGAGGATGCAATGAAGTGAAATGAATTTGGACCACTAGATCCAAATTATACAAAATTTCTACAAGCAAACATATTGGGGAATTAGATTTGATAAACAGTGATATGGTTTATGCCCAACACCCATCCACTCTCACCTCCTTACAGATAAAAACTTGAAGCCCATGAGAATCCAGTGACTTAGGGCAAGGTCATGCAGAAAATTTAGAAGCCAATCAAGGATTAGAAGCTAGGAGACCCAATTCTCAGTCTCAAACAAGAAAGAGATGAATTGTGTCATGACTAGTCTAGTGGGAGTGCACTAGGAGTATTATGTCATAATCTCCTAGGATACTGAAAGCAACCCTGATACCTGGTCCACCACAAAGATTCTGCTATAGTAGTACAAAGTGAGACCTAGGAATTATAAAACATTTCTGATGCCAAGCCAGGGTCAGGAGCCTTAGACATAAAGCAACAAGCTGTGGTCAGTCCTAGGAGATTTGAAGCCTGCAGATGACTTTTCTTAGAAGAAATCACCATAACCTGAAAGCAAAATGAATGCAAATAGAGATGGAGAGATATGAAGGGACAATGTGCAAGGTATTGTATGGGATGAGAATACCAGATTTAGGTCAACATGCTCCAACTCAGTCTCACCTTAAAGTCTAGCTGAAGACTTCAGGTTCTATGTGCTATCTCTGTCTGGAAACCAACAAGTGAAACTGCACAGCAGAAAGAAGATGACTCCAGAGGACAGTGGAAGGAATATGGAATCCTTGGCTTCTTGAGTCTGACTTGCATCTAATTCAGGTTGGCAGGCACCATAAGTCATTAGCATGAGTTGAATTTCCTGTAGTCATGGTGAGCTCAGCCCTGGACTCTCCAGTTCCTGGGAGACCAGTGTCTCAACTAGCACTAAGTACCTTGGAAGACTTAGTTGAAAGGGCAAGTCAAGAGAGAACAGGACTGGACTTCTTCCTATACCTGATTTAAAAGACAAGTATATCTGGAAGCACCTAAGATCAAAGATACTTCAACCAGGGTCTCTGCTTTGCCTTTCACTTTCCAAGACTATGCAGCTGTTTTTTTTTTTTTCTATTATGTTACAAAAAGCAAGAAAGTATTTAGCATGGCCAATAATAGAAATACACTCTGTTTTCAGGATTCCAAAGAGCATATAATTTTCCTTTCATTTGAATAAATTATTGTGCCCCGCCCCCCACCCGCCCCAGCTCCTTACATAGTGACCAAGAAAAAAAAAGTTTAGGTGCATAACCTTTTTGTGCTGGCATAACTGAGACTTGAATCTTGCACAAACCAGTGAGATCCTAAACTATGAAGTTGGAGTGCAGTCAGGGACAGCTAGCAAAGCAAGAAAGATAAGTCTGTCCTTTGGGATACCATCCCAGCAGTGGCATCATCCCAGCTCGGTATGCCACAGCCACTGGCCAGGGAACCATGAAGCAGCCTTAGCAGGCAGAGTTCTCTCCCAGTGCTGTCTGGAACAAACTAGGAGCAGTAGCACAGCTGTCTCTGCAATTTCCATGTTGCTGTAGAGAGCTAGTTCTGGCTTTTCTGAATGTGAGTGGAGCCCATCTTGTCTGTTTGGAAGGTGAGAGTCGGTGCTGCAAAGAGATAGGGCGTAAGCATTCTCTTCACTGTGAATAGGTCTTAAAGAAAGCTGCCCTTGCCAACAATAAAAATGCAAATGTTAGAACTTCTTCCAAGGATACTACCTACAGTTCAGTGAGCCAATGTGCCAAACAAGTTTGAGGACCACTGCCCTTAAGCGCCTTTCATCTTCCTCACAATTTTATCACAGGGTCGGTGATCAGAAGGACTTATCCTTACAAACACTTTTCACTTGGAGGGCTAACTTGGTCTGCCTTATTAGTCTTCTAAGCCAAGAATGGAATACAGCAGAAAAAGCAGATGAAAATGAAAAAGGCCTTCCAAATGTGAGATAAATGAGACAATTCCTCTCCCAAGCATATACCTCGGGGGAGAGCAGGGCTTTTTGGAGTGGCTCAGTTTCCAGTGGCTGAGACCATGACTTTCCTTCGCCTCTCAAGTCCTTTAAGCCTTGGAATTCTTTCAGCCTCTGAAAATGCACAAACAAGAGCCAAGGAAAGACAAATTGGAGTCTGGTGCCTTCCAGTAAGAGATGCTTGTGAAAGCCAATAACTAATGGGGGTTCCTTTGTGCCTTGTTGATGGCTGAGTGGGGCTGGTGTTCAGGGGTATAGGTCAGATCAGCCAAAAAACCCAGCTTCAGAGTGTCCTTGAGATAACATAGCCGTGTGTTGAAAGCCTGTGAGAGACAGGCATGGGAGTGGGATCAAGGAGAAGATCGGTAAAGGATACCTCTTGTTATTCCCCAAATACTTTGATGATAGTTCATATTTTAAATGAGTTGAATCTGTTCAGAGTCTGAAGCGATTCAAACCTGAAAACATATTAGCATGTAGCTTGTATCAGACTATAATTGGTGCAATATGAACCAGCGTAGATGATTTTCATTTAATGAGTGCCTTGTCCAAATGACTCTGGAATCATTTCCAAATCTGAATTGATTCAAATTGTGACTATTTATGAATGATGATGGGTTAGGTGGATGTTTCATGGAGCCCTGTAGACATATGCAGGAGGGCCAGGAGAGGAGCAGCAGTAGGATCCTTGCACATCCAGCACTCAGCAGATGAAGGCTTTGGTAACTGGACAATCTAATGGTCCCAGGCCAGCAAGCACAGAGCTGTCACTCATCCCGAGTGAAGCCTGTCCCTGCTTGTGACTCATAGTAAAATTTAATGCTGACTCTGCAATGGAGAAAGTGAGACTGGTTTGTCTCCAGCTCTGCTTACACTTTTCATTCGTAGAGGGAAAGCAAGTCCAGGCCTGGGTTTGTATCTGTATGAAACAGAATCATAAAATAGCTGGGTTCTACATTCAGCAGGGCTCAGTACAAGTATGGTACCACAGTCTTGTGATAATCAGTGCTATCATAAAAAATTGAAGGAACAAATTTGGCCCTGTGTAAAACAGGTTGTCTTCTACAGCACTAACAAACTCTTAATGATATAAAACAACTTTGGAGGAGATACAATGATATAAAACAACTTTGGAGGAGATTAGTTGGATTCCAGAGATTATAGGCAAGTTAGACATATACCAGATATTTAATACTTGGTCTGAAGAGTAGTTTCTATATTAGAAGAAACCTCTATTTTATGACTAGGGTGTGAACTATTTAATGTCTCAATAAGCCATTAAAATGTAGAAAGAATAATTGCCATTTTTAGTTTCTATAAATATCAAAGTGAGTTGTATGAACTACTTAAGCCAAGACAATGAAATGGATATCATGCATTACTCCGTACTTCTATATGTTGCAAGCATGGCTGAAAAGAGATTTATATCACATATTTGGTAGGATTCTAATTAAAGCCATAAGATCATGATCAAATAATCTTGCATTTTATCAACCTGTGGCTCTGGGTGAAGGTCAAAGGTGAAACACCAATGCTGTCTTAAAATACATAGCCAACATACAACAATATTTACTTCTCCTTGTTGAGTTCATTTCCAATGAAAAAAAGACAGACGTATACAGATTTAATAATCTGTATAAGTACATTTCCCCTAATGACTATCTTATTTTGTTACACAATTAAATTCTATAGACTCTTGCTGGCATTGTTTGAAAACTTCTGGGAGTACTGGTCACATTACATTACAAACTCATAATTTTTTTTGTTAATAAACTATCTGAACCAAGGAAGAAGCTATTATGATTTGTTTATGTTCTTTAGATGATATGTCTCAAATATGGTGGGTATTATTGCTGGTGTGGACATCTTCACAAAAATTGAAGGCCAATTGCTGGCATATTTTCTTCATACCCTAGAAAAATGCAAATACAAACCTCAGATGTCAAGGAGGTACTACCCAGTATATAGGTCTGCCTTTATAAGACATATATAAAAAAGCAAGAGATATGAATTCTGATATCTGTACATCATGTTCCAATTCATTTTGAGAGCCTTAGAGAATGACTTTGCTGGAACAGTGTTCATGTTCTTATTGCAATTAGAAACGTCCAAACTAAACAGGTTTCAATACCTGTGGTAGCACCTTTGGCTTTTAAATCTTATTAAACCACTAGAGACCTGAGAGAGACTTGACATTTATTTAATTTGGCCGATAATACTCAACAAATAAGAACCACAATGGATAAAATGTATTAATATTCGAAAAGTCACTTTTCTGCCCACCACCCATGGCAACAAGTTTATTTGTTTGGAGGAAGACTGAAACTTGAATTCCTACCAATAGTATGAACTGTAGCAAATCTTAAGTTGAATTTGTGTGAGAACTTTGGGGAAGACACATAGGCAGGATGTTTGTTTCATCTTTTCCATTTTTCCTGCTGAATTTATCTTGTAAAGAATGAGACTGGTCCCAATTTCTGTATGCCCCAGTATCGACATCTGGAAAACATGGGTTATTTATCCCCTAAGGTTACTGAGGCCGATTACATAGGATTTAAAAAAAGAGGGAATCACTCATTTATGAACAGCATGGGGAATCTTCACTACAAGGCAATCTGCTGTATACTTCATTTATTTAGCATGGTTTGGACTATATACAAATGTAATATACAAAGGCAATAATTTCTTATTAGATTTTGTCTAGGTCTTGTAGTCTTATCTTTTTGGCTGAAATAAAAATAAATCCTTAGAGAAACAGAACTGGGGTCACAGTATCTCTTTTAAAGCCATTTTCACAATAAGTATTTATAAACAATTTCCAGAACAATTAATAATCTGTACTAAATTGAAGTGAATTCAGGTAATGACTTTTAAAACAAAAGCAAGAATAGTTTCCTCAGAAAAAAGGTAGCAGGGTTTTTGACTATTAGACATTCAGTAATGAATATTTGAGTCAAATTTTATAAGGCATTTCTGTATAGCTATCCACCCTTTCACCTAAAATTCATAATGGAGTTCAAAATTGAAAATAATATTGCCTATCTAGCTATTTCAATATCAAATCCCATAAAGAAAAAATGAAGGGAATGTAAGGTAAGAATTAAATATGTGATAGAGAAACTAGTAGATAATCTATGTGAATTCTTAATGTGACCATGAAGATTATGCAGATAGTTTTCCATTAGGCATTTGATCACATAGGTGAATTGAATGCCATAGACTATGTTTATTCATGCTTTAATAGCCATTGAAAAGCAAAGTAATTTTTCAATTAAAGGAAAAACTTTCAAAGAAACAGTTTTATTTAACTTTTTTTGGTTGGACAGTGAAGCTAAGAGAAGGTTGGAGAAAAAAGAAGAAGGAAGTACACAGTCTTGGCTAACACACACAAAAAACAAGGACAGAAAGTATTTTCAAGGATCTTCAAGTGGGGTTCTTTTATGATTTTAAAATATATGCATATCTTTTCTTTCTCTATGGGGACCTATCTCCAGAATTAGAATATATTTTATTGGGCAAATATAGTCTGATATACAAATACTTGCTTTATAAACATCATCTTAAAATGTACTCATTCAGTGTGGCTAGGAAGAGATAACGTATCTCCAAAGGGCTACTCACATAATCTTTTATGGATTACTGAAAGGATTTAATTTGATCTATTTAAGATATAAAATCACATCTAATTAAAGATATAAAATTTAGAGATTTTATACCTTGCTAAGGGGGTGTCATTGCAGAGTGCACTGGTGAACAAAGATCACTAGGAATAAGGTATGAAGCTTAACTTCATATACAGGGCAAAAATACAAGGTAGTGGTCAAACAAAAGAAGGGGGTGTCATTTATATCTTGCTAAGGGGGTGTCATTGCAGAGTGCACTGGTGAACAAAGATCACTAGGAATAAGGTATGAAGCTTAACTTCATATACAGGGCAAAAATACAAGGTAGTGGTCAAGCAAAAGAACAGATAAATGTACCTAAGGGTGGCTGGTCAAGAAGGATCAGAAAGACTTTAACAAGGTATTTCAACCTCAAAATTCATTAAGATATTTGCATCAGAAAAACTCAGTGAGTACAAAAAGTAAAATAATTAACAAACAAAGGGGTTCAGAGCCTCTAAATTCAAGGCAAGGCGATTGCTAAAATTAAGCAAAAAAATAAGAACCAAAAGTATATGATTCCAAACCCAAGACCAAAGACCATAATTGAAAGCTGGTAGGAAGACAGGAAGTAATTACACTACAAGAAGCACAATAGGTGGTGCCATCCATCCTTGGGCAAAAAATCTAGACAGCCAATATGCAGCACCTCAATACTGAGAGCAACTTTCATCTCATTTCACTTCCTGCTATAACAGTCCATTCTAGGACTGTTAACTCAGAGTCTGCAGGTTGTAGCAGATAAATCAACTCAAAAAATGAATATCCTGACTTAACTGGGGAGTATGAGGGTACTTCAGTGAGCATACATATTTCCAATTAATTCATTTATTAATTTGCTCCTTCAAAAACATGTACTGAGGATGAAAGGAAACATGGTGAAGTAGGACTGCCAAAACTCCTCTCTTTCCTAAAAGCAATGAGAACAGCAGCAAAAAAAATATTGCCAGAATCAACTATTTTAGAATTCCAAAAAAATGAATCAAAAGCTTACAGCAACCTGGGGATAATTTATCCAAGAAAAATGGACAAATCCCAATAAGAAAAGTGAGCCTTGTGGTGATTTAACTTATACTATTCCCAGCCCCCAGTACTCCAGCTCTGTGGTGGCCTTAGAAACCAACAGCCTACAATTATGGTGAAAGCCAGCAGTCCAGCAGCCACTGGAGGAAACAGAATGGGATTGGAGTTTCTATAGAGCCACCTTCCCAGATAAGAGTCATTATTTGTCCTGTCTGGTGGTTCCATGGAAGCCCTACTTCAAGGATGCCTGACCTGGCACAGATCCAACACAGAGCTTATCCAGTGAAAAAAAATCTTTTCCTGAGGACATTTGTCAAAAACAATTACAGTCAAGCGTGGCTGACTGAGGTGGTATATAGCATTTGGGACAAATAACAGGCTAACCACAGCTTGAAAGGAAAATCTGGAGAATGAGATATCCATAGGGGGCTTTGAAAAGCTCTGACACATTCCTGGAACTGTAGAAAGCCATGTGCATATGTAGGACAGTGAGCATGACCAGGGCTGTGCACATACTCAGGAAAGACGTGAAAAGGTCCTATGCACTCACATCTGGCTAAACTTGAGGCTCTGTACGAGCAGGAAATGAAATTTCAAAACTTTCTGCAAAACTGTAGTAAACAAGATGGTGTGGAACTGTCATTAGAATAGACACATAGATCAATATAATGAAATTGGAAGTCCAAAAATGAATCCATATATTTATGATTAATTGATTTTGGAAAGGGATGTCAAAACAATTCATTAGGGGAGAGAATAGCCTTCAATAAATAGTGCAGAGACATCTTAATAGCCACATATAAAACATGAAGTTATACTCTTATCACACATCATATACGGAAATTAACTCAAAATGAATCAAAGACTGAAGTGTAAAAGCTAAAATTGTACAATTCTTGGAAGAAAATATAGGTGTAAATCTTCATGACCTTGGATTAGGCAAGGATTTCTCGAGCATGACATCAAAAACACAAGAAAACAAAAGAAAAAATAGATAAATTCAATTTCATCAAAATTAAAAACTTACGTGCATCAAACCATCAAGAAAGTGAAAAGACAACCCACATAATGGAGAACATTCCTATTGACAAAATCACATATCTGATAAGAGTCTAGTATCCACAATATATCAAGAACTTTCACACTCAGTAATAAAAAGAAAAATTAATTTAAAAATGGGCAACTAATAATCATATGAAAAGGTGCTCAATATCATTACTCATTAGAGAAATGCAAATCAAAACCATAATGAGATTCCACTCATATCCACATAGATGGCTATAATCAATAAAACAGACAAGAGCAAGTATTGGCAAGGATTCTGAGAAACTGGAACCCGCATACACTGCAGGTAGGAGTGTAAAATGATGCAGAAACCTTGAAAAACAGTTTGCCAGTATCACAAAAAGTTAAATATAGAGTTACAAGAAATTCCACTTCTACACATATAAGCCAAGGGAACTGAGAACATATATTCATGCAAAAACTTGTATACAAATGTTCATAGCAGTATTGTTACGGATAGCCAAAAAGTGGAAACAATCAAAGTGCTCATCAGCATCTGTCTGAATAAACAAAATATGGTATATCTGTAGAATGGAATATTATTCACCCATGAAAAGCAATAAAATATTTCTGCTAAAACATGGAAGAGCCTTGAAATTTTTATGCTAAGTAAAAGAAGTCAGACACAAAAAGCTGCATGTTGTGTGATTTTGTTTATTTGAAATTTCCAGAATAGGTAAGCCCATAAATATAGAAAACAGATTAGTGGTTGCCAGGGACTAAGGAGGTAGAAAATGAGGAGAGTCTGATAATAGGTATGGGGTTTCTGTTTAGGGCAATGAAACTATCAGGGGATTATGTAGTGGTAATTGTTGCACAACTTTATTAATAAACTACTGAATTGTACACTTTAAATGGGTGAATTTTGATGTTTGAATTTTATATTTGAAAAAATGTACTGAGGATCTAACAAGTATGAAAAAATGTACTGAGGATCTAACAAGTATTAGTTGCTATATTGGGCACTGAAGATAGTGAGAAGAGTGAGGTCATGCTTGTGCCCTTGTGAGAGAGTCTGGTAAGGAAGAGAGACACAAATAATTCACTGCAATGACAAGCGCTATAGAAGAATATCAGAAAACAAAGAGAAGCCAGAAGAGAAAGCATGTGATGTTGTTGAGATATTAGGTAAAACTTTACAAAGGGGAACATTTTGAACACTGAAGTGTATAGTTCACTAGATAAGAAAAAAGGAGGACATTGAAAGCATCAGAAAAAAATGTTCAAAGACCGAGAAATCAGACAGAGCAGACCCTGACAGAAATTCAGCACATAACATAGTGACTTCCCATTTCTAAGTTTACTGTAAGAGAGACCCTTTTAAAAATGAGACAAGGCAATGAATCAGTCTAGCTATGTCTCACCAGCTGTATCTCCAAATAGCAATCACATGGCAAGAACTGTTTATACCAGTCAAGATTAGTCAAGTACATGCAGCCAAGATTTTTGTCAAAAATCACTTCTGGGTGACCACCTACATGATAAGCAAATAAATGATTCAGAACAAATGGATGAACGTATTGACATACCTTTGTATGAATTAAAATCTGTAAAATTCAGTCCCTTGTATCTCACAAAATTTTGACCCTTAGAAGTAGCCTCAAGTTATTATAAACTTTAGTTTTCATTAAAATAAGGGGTGGAATAACAATAAAAGTGAAGAATCAAAAAACTTTCTCAACCAGTTTTTACAGGATGAAGAAATTTCATTTGCTTATTCATTTATTCAGCCATTCATCAATATTTATTTTGTGTCAATTTTGTGCCGAATATGGGGCTAATTGTTTTTCAGTTGTCTCAAGCTAGAAAAGGAGTAAGGATGAAGGGAAGAGTGACAGCAATACACTTATTTATTTATATTATTATTTAATAATACACTTATAATACACATATTAATAAGTAATACACTTATTAATATATATTATTTATATATAGAAGGATGGAACCATAAGCACCTTTAAAGGAACTATAGGGTTGTGATTCAAAGGATTAAGTATATATTTCTCAGATACAATTAGTACAAAAACCTTTCTCAGAGCTTCAAAGATAAAAAGATAAAAGAATCTATTTGGAGCTTTAGATAAAGAGTAATTCTAGAATTTGTTTATGTTGCCATTCAGGGAAAGTTGAAACCAGACATCAGGGCCAGGTTTTGTATAAAAATAATTTGGCATTTTCTCTAAACAAAATCCTAAAATTCTAAATCAGTACTTCCAGGCAGAATATGCATTTCCACTTCTGACTATCATAGAATAATTGAGAACAGTTATAAAAGTCAGGCAAACTATCATGACAGTAGTTTGTACAGATAAGAGGGCAACCAAGGCAACCAGAATTTGAGGGGCCAGGATCCCAGAGAGCAGGGGCATGCCTTGAGAGAGTCCCATATTTGTCACTGTTTTTCCCCCCAACCCAGGGCATTTTCAAATCAAATCATGGGGCAGGGAAATCATGAAGAAAATGGTGGCCTAGTGCTTATAGTAGTCTCACCGACATGGAAAGACAAAAGCTACAGAACTTGATTGAGGGGCCAAGTTCCTGGATAAAAGGTGAACCAAATAAAAGTGTGGCTGACTTTCTGCAGGCAACTTTTGTTTTGATGTGTTTTTAACTCCTAAGCTGTGCATCTGTGAGATAAGAAACCAAGAATCAAAGCAAAAAGCAACTGTCAACAGGCTAAAATGCTAAACTGAGATTTTGGTAATCCATGGTGCTAGGGATATAAAAGTTGGAGTTCAAGATCCTTCAAGTAGAAAAGGTAGATGGATCACCTCAGGTTTTTAATAGAGATCTCTAAAAGGACTATAATGTAATAATAAGAGCAGATCAAATTATACCAACCTTGACTAGATCAAGGTGATCTGCACATATATTAACTGCCTGCCAGGAGAAAATTAAATCCTCTTATTTAAGATAATGATATTATTCAGAGAACCCTTATAACATTTCAGATATTAGGTCAAGCATTCAATTAAACTTTACTTGGCATATCATAAAACAAACAAAACAACACAACACAGCAAACGCCCAAGTGACTGAACAATAAGAGAAGAGATAGATAATAGAAACAGGCCAACAGGTGGTTTAGATATGGGTATTATCAAATATAGACCTTAAAATCATTATGATTAATATGTTTGACAAGTGCATACAAATATGGGGAATTTTACTAAAATAGAATATGTGAAAGAGAATCAAAGGGAAATTTTAGAAAAAGTTTGAATTAAGAATTTAAAGAATGGACTTCACATATTAGACACAGTAGAAGAGAGGATTAGTGAACTGGAAGATAGGTCAGCAGAAAGTGTCCAGAATACAGTCCAGAAAGGGAGAAAATACGAAGAATATTTTTAAAAGAAATCATAAGAGACATATGAGAACCCATGTAAAAGTCTAACATAAATGTAATTGGAGGTGAGATTGAAAAAGAAGCAATTTTGAAGAACTACTACCTGAGAATTTTCCAAAACTGACCCCAAAAACCCCACACATCGAGTCATAGATTCAAACAAAATAAACTCAAAGAAAGCCAAACATAGGCACATCATAGTAAAACTGCTGAAAACCAAGGAAGACAAGAAAAATTGTTAAAGCAGCAAGGAAAAACACACATTACCTTCAAATAAGCAGTAATGACAGCCAACTTTTCAACAGAACCAACAGAAGCCATTAAAAAATGGAATCACATCTTTGAAATAGTGAAAGATATGTGTCAATTGAGAATGCTATACTCAATTAAAATATCAGTGAAAAACGAAGACAAAATAAATACTTTTCAAAGACAAAAACAAACTTCTGATAACTTACCTCTATCAGATTTACATTAAAAGAAATACAAAAGGGGATTCTTTTGGCAGAAGAAAAATGATCCTAGACACAAGTGTAATAATGCAAGAAGGAACAAAAACAAAAGAAAGAGTGACTATGGTGGAAAATATAAATAAATATTATTTAAAACCAATACCAATGTCTGTTGGTTTTAAAGTATATGTAGAATTGAAATACGTAATAGCCAAATCACAACGAGTAGAGAGTTAAATGAAGTTAAAGTGTTACAAGGTCTTTGCATGATATGGAAAGTTTGTAAAATTATTAATTGACATTAAATTCTTATAAGTCAAAGATGCCTGTTGCAATAATTGGGGTATACAACAAAAGGAAAGTTTTAAAAATTGCAAGCAAACTAATAGAGTGAGAAATGCAATAATTAAAAATTATTTAGTATGTAGTATTACTAGATACAAAGTATATTTTTGTATATCATAATTTAGAGATAAAGAAAAAAATCATTGTGAAAAATTCAAAAGGAAGGTTTAAGTACTTTGAAATATTTCTATATTTATCTTGCATGACAAGAACTCTAGTCCCATTGAACAGCAACTCTTTATTTCACCCTCTCTTGTAGCCCCAAGCAAACACCATTCAACGTTCTTTACTTATCAATTTGACTACTTTAGATACCTCATGTAAGTAAAATCATGTAGTATTTGTCCTATCCCCTTCAGCACAATGTCCCCCAGGTTCATCTGTGTTGTAGCAAATGACAGAATTTCTTTCTGATGGCTGGATAAGCACATACGGGGTGTGTGTGTGTGTGTGTGTGTGTGTGTGTGTACGTGTGCATATATATATATTTATGTATATATATACACCACAATTATATTTTCTTTATGCATTTATCTATTGATGGGTATTTACATTATTTTCAGCTCCTGGCTGTTGCAAATAATGCCGCAATGAGTATGAGAATACAACCATCTCTTCAAGATCCTGATTTCTTTTAGATAAACACCCAGAGGTGGAATTGCTGGATTATATTGCTATACTATTTTTCATTTTGGGGGGAACCCCATACTGTTTTACTTAGCAATTTTACTTTGCCATCAGTGGTCCACAAGGGTTCCAATTTGTCCACATATTCACAATACTTGTTATTTTCTGTTTTTTTTTTGTTTGTTTTTTTAAAGAAAATCCTAACAGGTGTCAGGTGATACCTCATTGTGGTTTTTATTTGCATTTCCCTGGTGATTAGTGATGTTGAGCATCTTTTTATATACCTGTTGATTGTTTGTTTTCTTTTGAGAAATGTCTATTCAAGTCCTTTGCTCATTTTAAAATCAAGTTACTGTTTTTAAACTTTTGAGCTATAGGAGTTTCTTATATATTAACGTCTCATCAAATATATGGCTTTCAAATATTTTCTTTCATTTTATAGGTTGTCTTTTCACTCTCTGGATGGTTTCCTTTGCTGTGCAGAAGGTTTTTAGTTTGATGTAGTTTCAATTGTCTACTTTTGCTTTTGTTCCCTGTGCTTTTGATGTCAGATCCAAGAAATTATTGCCAAGACCAATGTTATGAGGATTTTCTCCTATAAGTTCTTCTAGGAGTTTTATTATTTCTGGTCTTGCATTTAATTCTTTCATTTTTAGTTGATTTTTGTATATGGCGTAAGGTCGGTGTTCATTTTCATTCTTTTGCATGGGGATATCCAGTTTTCTCAATGTCATTTGTTGAAGAGACTATCCTTTCCCCATTTTGTAGTCTTAACACCATTATTGAAGATTGTTTGACTGTTGTGATGGTTACTTTTAATCTGTCAACTTGACTGGGCTAAGGGATGCCCACAAAACTGGTAAAACATAATTTCTGAGTGTGTGTGTGTATGTGTATTTCCAGGAGAGATCAGCACTTGCCTTAGTAAACTGAGTAAAAATCACTCTTCCAATATGGGTATCATCTAATCCTTTTAGCTCCTGAAAAGAACAGAAAGGTGAAGGAAGGGTAAATTCGCTCTCTGTTTGATCTGGAACATCCATCTTCTCCTGCCCTGGGATGCCAGCACTGCTGGTTTTTGAGCCTTAGGACTTGGACTGGAAATTATAACATTGGCTCTCCTGGTTCTCAGGCCTTTGGGTTTGAACTGGCACTATACCACTGGCTTTCAGGGACCTCCAGCTTGCAGATGGCAGATTATGAAATTTCTCAACCCCCATAATCAAGTGAGCCCATCCCTCATAATAAATATCTGTCTGGTACTATTTTTCTGGAGAACCATGACTTATAAATCCATATATATGTAAGCTATTTCTGTTCTCCATATTCTGATCTATAATTGGTCTGTCACTAATGACAGTATCATATCGTTTGATTACTGCAGGTTTGTAATATATTTTAAAATTAGGAAGTGTGGGGCTTCCATCTTTGTTCTTCTTTCTCCAGGTTGTTTTGGCTATTTGGAATCCTTGTGGTTCCATATAAACTGTAGAATTGTTTTCATATTTTTAAAAAAAATTTTAACTTTTATTTTAGGTTCATGGGTACATGTGCAAGTTGGTTATATAGGTAAACTCATAACTCAGGCGTTTTTCTGTACAAATTATTTTGTCACCCAGGGACTAAGCATAGTACCTGATAGGTTTTGTTTTCCCCAAACCTCTCCCACTTCCCACCTCTTAGTCTTAAATAGGCCACAGTGTCTGTCGTTCCCTTCTTTCTGTCCATGTGTTCTCATTATTTAGCTCCCACTGTTAAGTGAGAACATGTATTATTTGGTTTTCTGATCCTTCATTAGTTTGCTGAATATAATGGCATTTGCTTTCATCCATGTTTCAACAAAGAACATGATCTCGTTCTTTTTTATGGCTGTGTAGATATTCCATGGTGTATATGTACCATGTTTTCTTTATCCAGTCTACTGTTGATGGGCATTTAGATTGCTTCCATGTCTTTGCTATTGTGAAGTGCTGCAATAAACATACAAATGCATATGTCTTTATGGTTTTTATATTTCTGTAAAAAATGCCGCTGGGATTTTGATAGAGAATGTATTGAATCTTTAGATTGCTTTGGATAGTATGGCCATTTTAATAATATTAATCTTTCCAATCCAAGAACATGGGATATATTTCCATTTATTTTATTTATTTTATTTTTGTCTTTAAATTTAACAATATTACATCTTCAAATCCGTGAGCACTAGATGTCTTCCATTTATTTGTATCTTCTCTAATTTATTTCAGAAATGTTTTGCAGTTTTCAATGTATAAGCCTTTTGTCTCCTTGGTTAAGTTTTTTCCTAAATATTTTGTTCTTATTGATGCTATTTTAAATGGAATTGTTTTCTTAATTTCCCTTTGATTGTTCATTGTTGGTATATAAAAATACAACTGATCTTTGTATGTTGATTTTGTATCCTGTTATTCATAAATTTGCTATTAGTTCTAAGAAGTTTATTCTTGTTTTTGTTTTTTGTTTTTGTGAAATCCTTATGATTTTCTACATATAAAATCATGTCATTTGTGAACAGGGACAATTTTACTTCCCTTCCAATTTGGGTGCATTTTATTTCTTCTTATCGCCTAATTGCTCCCGATAGTACTTCCAATGCTATGGTGATTAGAAGTGGTGAGGGTGAGTATCCTTGTCTTATTCCTGATCTTAGAGGAAAAGCTCTCCATTTTTCAGCATTGAATATGAAGCTAACTATGAGTTTTTCATATATAAACTTTATGAGGTCAATATAATTTCTTTCTACAGGTAGTTACTTAAGTGGGTTTTAAATCATTAATGAGTGTTTAATTTTGTCAAGTGCCTTTTACACACCTATTGAGATGGTCATGTGGTTTTTATATTTCATTCTGTTAACATGGTATATTACAGATTGATTTTCATATGCTGAACCATCCTTGAATTCCACAAATAAATCCCAATTGACATAGTGTATGATACTTTTAATGTGCTGTTGAATTTGGTTTTCTTGTATTTTGTTGAAGATATTTGCATCTATATTCATCAGGAATATTGGCCTTTAGTTTTCTTTTCTTCGTCATCAGGATAATTCTGTCCTCAAAATTAGTTTGGAAGTATTCTTTCCTCTTAAATTTTTTAGAAGAAATTTGAGAAAAGCTGCAATTCTTCTTTAAGTATTTGCAGTAATTCACCAGTGAAACCATCTGGTCTTGGGCTTTTTTTGTTGTTGTGAGGTTCTTTGATTATGGATTTAATCTTTTTGCTAGTTATACGTCTGTTCATATTTTCTATTTATTCATAATCCTGTCTTGGTAAGGTGATAAGGTAGGGGAATAAATTCCTAGAAATTTATTCATTTCTGTTGGTTATACAATTTGTTGGCAATATAACTGTTCTTAGTACTCTCTTATAATCCTTTAATTTCTGTAGCATCAGTTGTAATGGGCCCTATTGCATTTCTGATTTTATTTATTTGAGTCTTTTATCTTTTTTCTTAGTTGGTCTAGCTAAAGACTTGTCAATTTTGTTTATCTTTCAGAAAACCAAAAATCAGCCTTTAGTTGCATTTTTTTAAATTTTTCTAGTCTGTTTTATTTATTTATGCTCTGGTATTTATTATGTTCTTCTACTAAATTTAAACTTAGTTTGCTCTTTTTATAGTTCCTTGAGGTGTAAAGTTAGGTTGTATCTGAGGTCTTTCTTTTTCTTAATGTAGGCATTTATCACTACAAATTGCCTTGTTAGACTTGCTTTTGCTGCATCCCATAATATTGGTATGTTATGTGTCCGTTTTCACATGTCTCAAGATTTTCTTTTCTAATTTCAGGAGACTGTTAGTTAATTTTCACATATTTATGAATTTTCCAATTTTTATCCTGTTATTGACTTTTAGTTTCATACTACTGTGGTTTGAAAAGATACTTGACATGATAACAATCTTTTTAAATTTGTTAGTGCTTGTTTTATGGCCTAACATATGATCTATCCCAGACAATGTTCCATGTGCATTTGAGAAAAATGTGTTTTTTGCTATTGTTACATGAAATATTCTGTATATGTCTGTTATATCATATTGTTCAAGTATTGTTCAAGTTCACTATTTCATTAGTGATATTTGGTCTGGATGGTCTACTCATTGTCAAAAGTAGGGTATTGATGTGCTCTACTATTACTGTATTGCTATCTATTTCTCCTTTTATTTCTCTTAATATTTGCTTTATATATCCAGATGCTCAAATGATGGTTGCATATATATTTTCAACTGTTATATCCTCTTAATGAATCGACCAATTTTCTTAATAAAATGACCCTGAATATGAATATCCATTTTCTTCCCATTTGGGAAGTTTTCAGCCATTATTTATTTAAATAAACTTTCTTCTTATTTTTTTCCTTCCTCTGAAATTCCCATAATGTATAAATGTATATATTGATCTGCTTGATGATATCTCATAAGTCCCTTAAGCTTTCTTCACTCTTTTCCAATTTTTAAAAAATTTTTGATTTCTGACTGTGTAATTTCAAATGACTTCTCTTCAAGCTTATTGATTCTTCTGCTTGATCATGTCTGCTATTGATCCCTCTAGTGAATTTTTCTGTTCAGTTATTGTATTCTTCATGTTCACAGTTTCTGTTTGGTTTGTTCTTTTTTTATATTTCCAATTCTGTTGATATTCTTATTTTGTTCATATATTTTTTAGCTCATAAAGCATTTTTATAACAGTTATTTTTAATTCTTTTTGAGTAATTCATGTACCTCAGTTTCTTTACAATCAGTTATGTATGTATTTTGTTCCCTTCTTTGGGCCATGTTTCCCTGTTTCTTCATGTGTCTCATAGCTGCCTCCAGGCATTCAAACTATACCTGTTTCATTAGCACTTTGAATGAAGGGAGACAGAAAAGTCCACCAGGTATCCCTGCCTTCAAGAAAGAAGTTGTGAGCCAGGACTGTCTCTCCATGGGAAAGGGGGTAGGTAAAGGGAAATTGCCCTATTAACCTGTTTCAATGTGGCTATTCTTTGCTTTGTGCTTGCCTTGAGTACTGAAATGTCTTAACTAGAGTTCAACATTCTTACAAAGGTATTTTGGCCCATGTATCATTAAATTGGTGTTTCTGTGGAAGAACAAGAGCTACGAATTCCTACTTCACCACCTTGTTGACGTTACTCCTCCTCGCTTGATTTTTAAGACAATAAGTAAACAATTAAATCCTCTGAATTGTAAATGTATAATCTTACTAATAAAAGCAGAGAGACAAGGTTATTAAAACCTATGTTTGCTTACAGAGATGTTCAGGAGGAACAACAATGCCAAACACAAAGGCAAAAGGAATGGCCATGAAACTTCAGCACTGAACAGCAAACCATGAGTGGAAAGTCTGGTTGTTTAGTGCAGACTACATTTCCCTATAAGAAAACACTTTGAGTAAAGCCCAGCCTTAGACTGCTACAAAAACTCACCATTCTTCTTATCCCCAGTGCCATTTATTCTGACATATAAAATGACTCTATGAATTCTTTAGAAATGTAAATCCAGGGGTGCCCCAGCAGCCCAGAAACACATGTTCCCTATTAAGCTAATCACCACCAAATCTCTGGGAGATTCACGTTATCACTGAGAGGAACTGCTGGTACTCTTTACACTCAGTTCTGAATTTGGCCAATAGTCCTATTTTTTGAGGATTTATACCCTTTGGGGTTATTAGTTGTTTTGTTTTACAGTCTTAGAAGCCTGGCCAATGACAATGTTTTGCCTGAGATACAGGTGCAGTGCCACTTTTCTGTCTGTATAAAAAGGAATCACAGCAAGTTCCAACAGATCCTGTCAAGAAAGAGGTCAGCGTCATAACTGGTAAAGCTGTCTCAGATTGACTGCTTAGTTCCACTGTTACATGGGCCCATTTGTGAAGGGTGGGAATAACAAGAACAGCATTTTGTGATATTTGGGTGACTATGGAGACTAATTTTAGGCCTACACATGGAGTACAAGGACAGGGCTGTCTTCCCCAGACAAGTGTTGCCCTTAGAGCCTGACAAAATATATGCAGAGGAATTTCAAAGGCACTACTATGAAATTATTTTTTCTTGCCTTGTCATTATTTTTTCTTTTAACTTAAGAAAAAATGGTGCATTGGCATCATTTCCCAGAAAGTACATGATTCTTCTCTCTGCAATACCCATTCCTTGGTAAAAGAGAGAATTATCACAGACACATTAAGGTATAGCAAAAATTTTTTTAAACCACACTTAAAACCCATTCCTTAATCTAGGTTAAAGAACTTAAGAGCAAAAAAATTATGAACTTATTCCCTTCCATTTTTATTTTACTCTCTTTTTTTATGTGCAAATTTTATCTCTGCATCAATAATCAAGGACTCAGAAATGTGCTTAGAGTATTATCCTCCCTGCCTCTGCCATTAATTCACTAGCTCCCTTTCCTTAGGGACTGTGTTCTACAATCTCATCATAAACAACATTATTCTCTTGCTAACTCCTACTCATCATGCGTCTGCGATATTATGCAGATCCAGGCCTTTAGTAGAACCTGCAATAGTGAAAAAACCCCAAACACATTGTTTGAAAGCCATACCAACAATACAATAGGAAGGGTATTACAGTGAAGTGCTGGTTTAAGGCCAAGGGAGTGGCTGGGTCCCCCCAGCAACAGGTGCATTCACTTCCAGACCCGCTTTGGTCTGTCCTAATTAGCATATCATTTCAATTGTCAAAGCCCCCAATGATGACTATACCTCAGCTTCCAATGAACAGGAATTAAAGAAAAATTAACTCAAAGATATCTTCCTCTCCTTCTGTTATGGAGTTACTAGAGTTTATTAAGTGTCTAGAATCTGTTTGTTGGACAATCCTTTGGCTTAAGCTGCCTTCACACTCTGATTCATCCTTCCCCTGACCCATTCCTTGCCCCACACCCATCTCCCATCGTATTTTGAAAGGTTAATGGCTGGCTCCAATCACTGGCAGTCTTCTTTGCTATTAAGCATGGTTTTCATTTCCTTATTTTTATAAACTGGTAACCATCCAAGTTTCCTCCTAGGACTGCAACATGTAGTGCAAAAACAAGCTTGTTAAAGCATTGCTTCTTTGGGTCATAAACCATTCCTGAACACCAACTAGGTGGAACCAGGAGTTGGCAAAAGAGATCCAACCCAAATTTGGCATGACTAGTGGGAGAAACTGAAGGAAACAATGTCCTTACAAAAGATAAGAGTCATCTGATTGGCTGTATCATTATCTGGTGGATTCTATATCAAATATGTTCCCTCCACTGGCCCTAAATGTTGTTGCATTACATGAGTTAGCAAAGGAAAATAAGAAAGCCTTTAAATGTTGGGGAGTGCTAAAGGAGAGAGAAAGAGTATGGGTGATGTACTTTGTAGTCTAGTCCTCAGTTTGAAAGCATGGGCAACTCCATCATTCTTATTTCCATCTCTGACCCAAGCAAGTTCCTTAACCTCTTTCTGCCTCAGTTTTATGATCACTGAAATGGGAATCCCAATACAACCTTCCTCATAGGAAATAATGCATTGTAAAACATATGAAGTACTTAGTCTAGGGAAAAATACATAATGAGGGCTCAGCAAATGGTAAATGTAAGATAAAATTGTATTTTTATTAACAAAATTCACCTGGCTTACCCATACCTGTTCATGTGCTCAGATACAGAAAGAAGTACATGTACTCAGACACATGACTCTGGGACTCTGGAGTTCTTTGTTCCAATTGCAGCCTGTTGAGGCTTGAGTAAGTTAGACAATGGCTGCAGAGAGAATCTCTGAATCTATAAAAACACAAGGCATGTCTGAGTGGATGAATCGACTGCCTCCTCTCAAAGATATGAAGATATGATGTTTTTACAGCCTAAGCCCCATTGCACATTCACATTAGCCTTGGGACTAGTCCCATCCAAGCTTTGAATTTACCTAGAAGGGGCCAGGTATACCTTTTATTCTGAGGTCAGAGTAATGGAGGTATGTGAGCCAACATACACACAAACACACACACCTACACACATATACATGTGTGCACACACACATATCCAAATTTAACATAAATCCAAAGAATCACTCTTAGGGAGTCTTCCATGGAGACTTGGTTGGATATTGGCTCTGTATTTATCAAATTCTTTGAGTTTGATTAACAGTCTTACCTCTTCCTAACTCCTCCTTAGCAACCTACTAAACCTCTCTATGCTTCATTTTTCTCTTTGTAAAATGGGAATTACAATAGTTGTTACTATTCGTTTAAATTATATGAGGCATGTAACTTGCCTGGCATGCACGGTACATCTTTTTTATTTTTTATTATTATTATTATTTTTTTGAGACAGAGTCTCGCTCTGTCGCCCAGGCTGGAGTGCAGTGGCGCAATCTTGGCTCACTGCAAGCTCCGCCTCCCAGGTTCACCCCATTCTCCTGCCTCAGCCTCCCAGCATGGTACATCTTTTAGTAAATATTAGCTATTGACTTTATTTTTGTTTTAATTTTTTTTTTTTTAAAGAAAGACATAAGCCCAATCTGGAGCCCCAAGGCAAAGCTTCTTTTCACCAAAGACAAAACAATTATATTTCATTCAGGGGTTTGTTTCAAAATATCTGTTAGATATTAGCAAAAGGAAAAATACAAATACTCAGAGACTGAAAGAAAATAACCCAAAATATCCAGTAACTTTCTCTTAATGATGGGCTTATAGAAAATTATTTTTTGCTTTATATTTTTCAAAAATTCTAAAACACTACGATGAGCACAAATTACTTTTATAGTCACAAAAAGTCATTATTTTTACAAATATTCACACACATAATTGTCTTAATGACAGTGCATGTACTTTAGCCTCTCTACTCAGTTCCTCATACTTACCTGCACATCTCCAAGGTGGTCTTTGCTGAATTCTCTGGGGGATGATGGTGCCTAATGACTGGGAGATTTGTAAATCTCTCTCTCTCTCTCTCTCTCTCTCTCCCTTTCTGTCTCTTTCTTTCTCACTCTGTGTCTGTGTGTGTGTGTGTAAAGTTATTAGTCTAATTTGAACTTTTTTGCTATGTTTCATTTTTGAAATGTTCAAATAAAATACCAAAATCTAAAAGAACCCACTCTCAAGGATGATCACACGTTACTATTTAATCATTTTGCTTCAGATATTTTGTTTAAATATGTAAAACAGAATATTATAAATGAAATCAAGTTTCTTTTGTTTCTTCAAGTTCCAACCCCTTATCTCTTTCTTTATGAGAAGCTATTATTATAAATTTGAAGGGTACCATTTCAGTCCACATTTTTGTATTTGAATTGCATGTGTATGTCTTCATAAACATGCTTTGCATGCCTTGAAGTGTTTACAGATTCTTTCGTGCTGTATCATTTTAAGGTTGCTTATTTTCACTCAAATTATATTTTATAGATCAGTGTGATCTGATAAAAATATAATATAAACCATACATGTAATTTTAAATTTTCTAGTAGCTGCATCATAAAAAGTAAAAAGAAGCAGGTAAAATCAAATTTATTATATATTTTATTTAACCAAATATATAGAAAATATTATTTTAATGTATGGCCTTAGCCACATTTCAAGTGCTGAATAGCTTTATATGGCTAGTGGCTACCATATTGGATAGTACAATTCTAGTTCTATTCATATTGATATACATTCACTTAATTGTTAAATATATATAATAATATCTATATTTATATATAATTACATATATAGAATAAAGAAATATATATATATATATAATTTACCATAACAGATTTACCCATTCACTTATTGATGGACCATTCACATAATAATGCAAAGTTAGATTTTTTCCCCGTTGCAAATAATGTTTTGTTGGACATTTTTGTCTTGTCTTCTGCTGTGCATACACAAGAATTTCTCTTGATGACTATCTGTGAGTGGAGTGCCAGGTTAATAGGAGTGAGCAACTAGTTGTACAACTGTTACCAAATTGTTAACCATTAGTGATATCAATTTGGTAAAACTGTTATCTAAATTGTTATCCGTTAGCAAATCAGTGATTGTATTAATTTACATTATCTACAGTAGGGGTTGAGAGAGTTTGATTCCAAACATCTTTACTACAGACTGCCAGGATGAAATCCCACTTCTACTTCTTATTAACTGAGAGACCTAGGCAAAACAACCTCTGTTTACTTTTATGTAGAGTTGGAATAATAAAAATGTACCCATCTCGTTGTATTAGATGAGCTAATACATGTAAAGAAAACATTTAGATCCATCCTGTAAAATAGTAATCCCTCAATAAATGTAACCAATTGTTATTGTTGTTATTATCATCTTATTTGTTCTTCATAGCTGCTTTGTGTAGTAAGCTGGACAGGTGTTGCTATTACCAAGATAAAGGGACTGAATAAGACTCAATCCAAGTCAAGGATTCATTAAATGATATAATGTCACAGCTACAATAAGATTATTTTACCCCATCTTCCTCTTGCTTTAAAGAAGAAAAAATTGGCATTTCCTGGGATATTAATTAACTTTTCCAAATTTGATAAGTATCAGAATCTAGAACTAAGTCTTCTTACTCTTAGATATTACTAGTTGGGGAAATCCATCTCTTTCTCAAGAAACACTGGAAGAAACATAATTTCAGCTATGATCAAATGACAAAGTTCATGGGAAATATCACAGATGTATAACTTCATTTAATTAGAACAAAAATCTAGAATACTTTCCTCCTACATTCTGATATTTGGTTAGAATTTCAGTTCTGTCTATCACCACTATACCAACATCATTAATACCACCACACCACCAGTACTGCCATGCACACTCTTCCCAATTGCAATTATACCCACTTAAACTGGAATATGTGGTGCTTCTCAGTATTGATTATGGCTCCATAATACTGAGTGAAAGTAAATTAGAACCCAATGCTTGGCTTAGAAGAGGTATCAAAGCCTAAGCAGGTAAGGATTCTAGGACTCAAATTCTGCTGAAATTCTCCCCTTCTTTTCATTCATTGTGTGTATATTTCTCTTTGAGTCTTCGGACATATTTATTATGGCTGTTTTAAAGACCTTGTCTGGAATTTCCATTACCTGGATCCTCCTCAGGGTCAGTTTCTATTGAATGCCTTTTTTCTCTAGATTATTTTTTGTTGTCTTTGTGTATCGGTGATCTTTGATGGCAACTGGACATTATACATTATACATTGCAGAGTCTCTGGATTCTACCATGTTCTTTTGAAGAGTAATTTATTTATGTATTTATGTATTTTTTTTTTTTGAGACAGAGTCTTGCTCTGTCACCCAGGCTGTGGTGCAATGGCGCAATCTCAGCTCACTGCAACCTCCCCCTCCTGGGTTCAAGCAATTCTCCTCCCTCAGCCTCCTGAGTAGCTGGGATTACAGGCATGTGCCACCATGCCCGGCTAATTTTTGTATTTTTAATAGAGACAGGTTTCATCATGTTGGCCAGGCTGGTCTCAAACTCCTGACCTCAAGTGATCCACCCACCTTGACCTCTCAAAGTGCTGGAATTACAGGTGTGAGCCACTGTACCTGGCCTCAAGATATGCTTTGAAGGAAGATCTGATAAACTGCTTAATTTTCTGTGCCTTAATTTTATCATTTATAAAATGGGAATAATAATAATACCTACCTTATAGTAGGTTATATTAAGGATTAAATGATAGATGATATGTAAAATTCTCAGCACATTCAATAAATATTAGCTCCTCTTATTGTGAAAAGAGTACTGGGTAGAAAAGAGTAGATCTATGCTTTATTTCAATTCTACCATAAGCTCAAGATATGGCCTCAGTTTCTTACCAGTATAATGTTGGGTTGGGGTGGTGATTATAAGGTCATGGAATAGTAGAGCTGTATGGGGCCTTTGAGATTTTTTTTTGGATTGAGTCTCACTCTGTTGCCTAGCCTAGGGTGCACTGGCATGATCTGGGCTCACTGCAACCTCTGCCTCCTGGGCTCAAGTGACCCTCCCACCTCAGCCTTATGAGTACCTGGGACCATAGGCATGTGCGACCACACCTGGCTAATTTTTGCAGTTTTTGTAGAGACAGGGTTTTGCCATGTTGCCCAGGCTGGTCTCAAACCCCTGAGCTTAAGATTAGCCTCCCAAAGTGTTAGGATTACAGGCGTGGGCCACCGCACGGCTGACCTTTGAGATTATTGATCTCATCCAATCAGTGAGGGAAGAATAGGTAGCCCAGGAAGGTAAAACCGTAGCGTTGAACTTTGTGGCATTATGAGGCTCTGAGAAACTTTGGTTATTCTCAGTATTCCATGACGTTACTGAACATTCTTTTTTAAGGGCTCTTTTAGACCTCTGTCATACCTTCTCCTCATACTTAAGTTATCATATTCCTTTTCTGATCTTTCCTGAGTTCACAGATTTCTCAGGAGCAGGGCAGAGAATATGTCAAATCAACATTTAATTATCTTTCCTGCTTCTCCACATCTGTGTATTCAATGACTCGTACCATTAGGAGTACTACCTATCTCTACTAAAAATACAAAAATTTGCTGGGCATGGTGGTGCACGGCTGTAGTCCCAGTTACTTGGGAGGCTGAGGCAGGAGAATTGCTTGAACCTGGGAGACAGAGGTCACAGTGAGCCAAGATCATACCACTGCACTCTATCCTGGGCAACAGAGAGAGATTCCATCACACACACACACACACACACACACACACACACACACACACGAAGCATATCTTGAATCGATCATTAATTTTTCTCACCAGCATCCTCACTACCATAGTCCAAGCCTATGCCATCTCTCTCCTAGATACCTGTATTCTAACTGCTCTACCTGTTTCCACTCTTGCCCCCTCCCAGTCCATCATCTCTCAGAAGCCAACGTCATCTTTCAAAAATATAAATCAAATTGTTACACTTCTGCTTACACTCTCCAATAATTTCTCATTGCACTTAGAATAAAATATAGACTCCTTTCCATGACCAGGCCTTTATCTGTCTTTCTGACCTCACCTGCTGCCATATTCTTCTGGCGGGTTGTTACTGAAATCCCTGCCTTCACGTTCTTCAAACACGCAGCTTCTGCTGGGCTCCAGCCCTTCACACTGCACAGACTGCTCTTTCCCAGCATCTTTAAACCTCATCATTCAGCTTTCAACTAGAACGTCACCTTCTCAGAGAAATCTTCCCTGCCCATTCAAGCTAAAGAACAATGTGCCTTGTCCCCGCTCACCGCCCATGGCCACCGCTCTATTCCACTATACTAGTTTTTTTTTTTTTAACCTTAAGTAATTATCACGCTCTGAAATTACCTTATTATTTACTTGTTATGTTTTCTCTCCTCCACTAAAATGTACTCCATATGTCAGTCTTAGTTTCTCTAAGAAGCAAACAAATTTAAAATGGGATTAAATGTGCCAGGATTTTTGTCGGGTGAAATGCCTGAGAGAGAAAACAGGGAGGGAGCATAAGTTTGAGAGAGCCCTGAAAAGGTACTGGAAGCTGGATCCTGAGTGAAGGACAGAGGGGAGGAAAATTAGGTTGAAGTGAACTAGACTGCTGTGCAGTCTAAAGAATGCTCAACATGACCATCACTGAGTTTTCCAGCTGTGTCTGCCAGGAATGAACTTGCTTATCCCTACTGTAGTCAGTCACTCTTGGGGAGCAGCCCATGGGAAGCATAGCCTGGTGCAAATGTTACATTGGATTTCAGAGCACAGAATCTGAGGCCCTCAATCAATTTTGCTCCTGTAGTTGGAGATCTCTGAGGTACACTGTCATACCTGCCACACTTTATAAGACCAAGGGCTGTGTTACTCTTCCATTGTCAGTGATTTCCACAATATCTGACATATAGAAAATATTCAAGACATATTTGTGGGATTTATGAATGAATTAACACAAGAATAAAGAATGTTGCCCAAGATCACATAGGTGGAAGAGCAGAATTTAGAAAACAGCCTCTCTAATTTTAGACAGTTAGTGCTCTTGCTGCTTCTTGACTATGCTCACTATATTATACTGCTTCTTACATCGTAAACCAGGGAAAACAAAAAAAATTATGTACCCTTGATTAGACCTTTCAGGTATATTTATGTCCCTTCTGCAACATATTGTCTATAACACAGATTTATTTCTTGGATCTGATCAAAAGGAACAGAAAGGCTTACCCACCATCATGCAAAAGAAATAGTGCTAACCATCTCCCATCCAGCCAAATGTATTAGATACACAAAGTGTAATATGTTTTCTTTAAGTGCAGTTAGAAAGGAGAGAGGAAAAACAAAAGCCCTTCCAGAAGGATTGGGAGTGAGCATTAACTGAACTTTTTTTTTGAGACTGAGTTTAGCTCTTTTGCCCAGGCTGGAGTGCAGTGGCACAATATTGGCTCACTGCAAACTCCGCCTTCCAGTTTCAAGTGATTCTCCTGCCTCAGCCTCCCAAGTAGCTGGGATTATAGGCACCCACTACCACGCCCGGCTAATTTCTGTATTTTTAGTAGAGATGGGGTTTCATCATGTTGGCCAGGCTGGTTTTGAACTCCTGACCTTGTGATCCACCCACCTTGGCCTCCCAAAATGCTGGGATTACAGGCATGAGCCACCGCACCTGGCCAACTGAATTTTCATTAAATGTCATACATAGAAGAGCCATGCATTCATGTTACCTCTGTCTGATACAATAATCAATAAAGTCTGGGATATTTATATAAAGGAGTTGAGTTCTATCACAACGGACAAACATCTAACTTGATCATCTTACAAAAATGCTCAAAACCAGAAAAGACATCTTAAAATAATCCTCAGTTTCATGCAAAACAGGTGAAATAATAGAAACCACATACAATTATTTTTAAATGTTATACTTTGAAGCTGATAGTTTGAGATCAAAGACAGTGGTGAATTGCTTATCTAAAACATCTCCTCAGAAACTTGGATGACAAAAAATAAACAACTTTGTTCTTAGCCTTAATAATTTTTCTTAAAACCAAAATTGGATAGCACTAGTTGTCCATAGACAGAGTCAAATATAGTGAGTAAGTAAAGAAAAACTGTTGGCACGTAAGAGAACCTGATACAGTGACTTGTGTGATCCACAATAGCTCTTTTGCTGTAAATAAATCTTTATTTTGAAACCCTTTTCATTCTATGTAGTGAAGTGGTTTCCTTCTGTATCCTTGACCTGGAGCAAGAGGAGAGTATTATGTATTAGCCTGGGATCTTCAAGTTATTTTGACTCAGGGATTGGAAAGGCTACAGCGGTTGAAGACAGATGAGAAGAAATGAAGTAAGAAGAGATGGTTCTAAATGGTTCTAAAATATCACCATTATTTGCTTAGGTGGAAATTAGGCAAGTGAGAGAGGAGTTAACATGGCGTGAGAGGAAGAGAGGACAGCAGCCTGATGACGGAGGGCTCTGTTGGAGGCAAGTGTAAAATACTTGCTTGCATGCTAATTTTCCCTAATGCAGTTGTTTCTAATCATAGGTTATATACAGATCCTTGAGTTCCACCTTAGACTTACTAAATCAAAATCTCTGCTAGAGCCACTGCTAGCAGGACATGCCCCTACACATGCATAGCTTCCCCCATTACCAACATCTCCCCACAAAGTGGTACATTTGTTACAATTGAGGAACCTCCTTTAGCACATCATAATCACTGGAAGTCCATAGTTCATTAGATTTAACTCTAAGTGTTATACATTCTATGGGCTTGGACAAATGTATAATAGCAAGTATCTACCATTATACTATAATATGGAGTATTTTCACTGCCTTAAACATCCTCTCTGCTCTGGCTATTCATCTCTGTATCCCCCACCCCAAACCCCTGGGAACCAGTGATCTTTTATTGTCTTCTTAGTTTTGCTTTTTCCAGAATATCACAGTTAAAATTTTACAGTATGTGGCTTTTTCAGATTGCCTTCTTTCGCTTAATAATACGTGTTTAAGATTTCTCCATGTTTATTCACAGAGGAATGAAGGTTTGATAGCTTATTTCTTTTTTTTTCTTTTTTTTTTAATTTTCTTTTTTTTAATTATTTTTTATTTTTTATTTTTTATTTTTTGCCAGCACTGTTCTTTATTGCACTAGGGTGCCACCATCTTATTTATTTATTTTTTTTAATTATACTTTAAGTTTTAGGGTACATATGCACATTGTGCAGGTTAGTTACATATGTGTACATGTGCCATGCTGGTGCGCTGCACCCACTAACTCGTCATCTAGCATTAGGTATATCTCCCAATGTTATGCCTCCCCCCTCCCCCCACCCCACAACAGTCCCCAGAGTGTGATATTCCCCTTCCTGTGTCCATGTGATCTCATTGTTCAATTCCCACCTATGAGTGAGAATATGTGGTGTTTGGTTTTCTGTTCTTGTGATAGTTTACTGAGAATGATGATTTCCAATTTCATCCATGTCCCTGCAAAGGACATGAACTCATCATTTTTTATGGCTGCATAGTATTCCATGGTGTATATGTGCCACATTTTCTTAATCCAGTCTATCATTGTTGGACATTTGGGTTGGTTCCAAGTCTTTGCTATTGTGAATAGTGCCGCAATAAACATACGTGTGCGTGCGTCTTTATAGCAGCATGATTTATAGTCCTTTGGGTATATACCCAGTAATGGGATGGCTGGGTCAAATGGTATTTCTAGTTCTAGATCCCTGAGGAATCGCCACACTGACTTCCACAATGGTTGAACTAGTTTACAGTCCCACCAACAGTGTAAAAGTGTTCCTATTTCTCCACATCCTCTCCAGCACCTGTTGTTTCCTGACTTTTTAATGATTGCCATTCTAACTGGTGTGAGATGGTAGCTCATTGTGGTTTTGATTTGCATTTCTCTGATGGCCAGTGATGATGAGCATTTTTTCATGTGTCTTTTGGCTGCATAAATGTCTTCTTTTGAGAAGTGTCTGTTCATGTCCTTCGCCCACTTTTTGATGGGGTTGTTTGTTCTTTTCTTGTAAATTTGTTTGAGTTCATTGTAGATTCTGGATATTAGCCCTTTGTCAGATGAGTAGGTTGCGAAAATTTTCTCCCATTTTGTAGGTTGCCTGTTCACTCTGATGGTAGTTTCTTTTGCTGTGCAGAAGCTCTTTAATTTAATTAGATCCCATTTGTCAATTTTGGCTTTTGTTGCCATTGCTTTTGGTGTTTTAGACATGAAGTCCTTGCCCATGCCTATGTCCTGAATGGTAATGCCTAGGTTTTCTTCTAGGGTTTTTATGGTTTTAGGTCTAACGTTTAAGTCTTTAATCCATCTTGAATTGATTTTTGTATCAGGTGTAAGGAAGGGATCCAGTTTCAGCTTTCTACATATGGCTAACCAGTTTTCCCAGCACCATTTATTAAATAGGGAATCTTTCCCCATTGCTTGTTTTTCTCAGGTTTGTCAAAGATCAGATAGCTGTAGATAAGCGGCGTTATTTCTGAGGGCTCTGTTCTGTTCCATTGATCTATATCTCTGTTTTGCATGCTGTTTTGGTTACTGTAGCCTTGTAGTATAGTTTGAAGTCAGGTAGTGTGATGCCTCCAGCTTTGTTCTTTTGGCTTAGGATTGACTTGGCGATGCGGGCTCTTTTTTGGTTCCATATGAACTTTAAGGTAGTTTTTTCTAATTCTGTGAAGAAAGGCATTGGTAGCTTGATGGGGATGGCATTGAATCTGTAAATTACCTTGGGCAGTATGGCCATTTTCACGATATTGATTTTTCCTACCCATGAGCATGGAATGTTCTTCCATTTGTTTGTATCCTCTTTTATTTCCTTGAGCAGTGGTTTGTAGTTCTCCTTGAAGAGGTCCTTCACATCCCTTGTAAGTTGGATTCCTAGGTATTTTATTCTCTTTGAAGCAATTGTGAATGGGATTTCACTCATGATTTGGCTCTCTGTCTGTTGTTGGTGTATAAGAATGCTTGTGATTTTTGTACATTGATTTTGTATCCTGAGACTTTGCTGAAGTTGCTTATCAGCTTAAGGAGATTTTGGGCTGGGACCATGGGCTTTTCTAGATATACAATCATGTCGTCTGCAAACAGGGACAATTTGACTTCCTCCTTTCCTAATTGAATACCTTTTATTTCCTTCTCCTGCCTGATTGCCCTGGCCAGAACTTCCAACACTATGTTGAATAGGAGTGGTGAGAGAGGGCATCCCTGTCTTGTGCCACTTTTCAAAGGGAATGCTTCCAGTTTTTGCCCATTCAGTATGATATTGGCTGTGGGTTTGTCATAGATAGCTCTTATTATTTTGAAATACATCCCATCAATACCTAATTTATTCAGAGTTTTTAGCATGAAGGGTTGTTGAATTTTGTCAAAGGCTTTTTCTGCATCTATTGAGATAATCATGTGGTTTTTGTCTTTGGCTCTGTTTATATGCTGGATAACATTTATTGATTTGCATATATTGAACCAGCCTTGCATCCCAGGGATGAAGCCCACTTGATCATGGTGGATAAGCTTTTTGATATGCTGCTGGATTCGTTTTGCCAGTATTTTATTGAGGATTTTTGCATCAATGTTCATCAAGGATATTGGTCTAAAATTCTCTTTTTTGGTTGTGTCTCTGCCTGGCTTTGGTATCAGAATGATGCTGGCCTCATAAAATGAGTTAGGGAGGATTCCCTCTTTTTCTATTGATTGGAATAGTTTCAGAAGGAATGATACCAGCTCCTCCTTGTACCTCTGGTAGAATTCGGCTGTGAATCCATCTGGTCCTGGACTCTTTTTGGTTGGTAAGCTATTGATTATTGCCACAATTTCAGATCCTGTTATTGGTCTATTCAGAGATTCAACTTCTTCCTGGTTTAGTCTTGGGAGAGTGTATATGTCGAGGAATTTATCCATTTCTTCTAGATTTTCTAGTTTATTTGCATAGAGGTGTTTGTAGTATTCTCTGATGGTAGTTTGTATTTCTGTGGGATTGGTGGTGATATCCCCTTTATCATTTTTTATTGCGTCTATTTGATTCTTCTCTCTTTTTTTCTTTATTAGTCTTCCTAGTGGTCTATCAATTTTGTTGATCCTTTCAAAAAACCAGCTTCTGGATTCATTAATTTTTTGAAGGGTTTTTTGTGTCTCTATTTCCTTCAGTTCTGCTCTGATTTTAGTTATTTCTTGCCTTCTGCTAGCTTTTGAATGTGTTTGCTCTTGCTTTTCTAGTTCTTTTAATTGTGATGTTAGGGTGTCAATTTTGGATCTTTCCTGCTTTCTCTTGTGGGCATTTAGTGCTATAAATTTCCCTCTACACACTGCTTTGAATGCGTCCCAGAGATTCTGGTATGTTGTGTCTTTGTTCTCGTTGGTTTCAAAGAACATCTTTATTTCTGCCTTCATTTCGATATGTACCCAGTATTCATTCAGGAGCAGGTTGTTCAGTTTCCATGTAGTGGAGCGGTTTTGAGTGAGATTCTTAATCCTGAGTTCTAGTTTGATTGCACTGTGGTCTGAGAGATAGTTTGTTATAATCTCTGTTCTTTTACATTTGCTGAGGAGAGCTTTACTTCCAAGTATGTGGTCAATTTCGGAATAGGTGTGGTGTGGTGCTGAAAAAAATGTATATTCTGTTGATTTGGGGTGGAGAGTTCTGTAGATGTCTATTAGGTCTGCTTGGTGCAGAGCTGAGTTCAATTCCTGGGTATCCTTGTTGACTTTCTGTCTCGTTGATCTGTCTAATGTTGACAGTGGGGTGTTAAAGTCTCCCATTATTAATGTGTGGGAGTCTAAGTCTCTTTGTAGGTCACTCAGGACTTGCTTTATGAATCTGGGTGCTCCTGTATTGGGTGCATATATATTTAGGATAGTTAGCTCTTCTTGTTGAATTGATCCCTTTACCATTATGTGATGGCCTTCTTTGTCTCTTTTGATCTTTGTTGGTTTAAAGTCTGTTTTTTCAGAGACTAGGATTGCAACCCCTGCCTTTTTTTGTTTTCCATTTGCTTGGTAGATCTTCCTCCATCCTTTTATTTTGAGCCTTTGCGTGTCTCTGCACATGAGATGGGTTTCCTGAATACAGCACACTGATGGGTCTTGACTCTTTATCCAATTTGCCAGTCTGTGTCTTTTAATTGGAGCATTTAGTCCATTTGCATTTAAAGTTAATATTGTTATGTGTGAATTTGATCCTGTCATTATGATGTTAGCTGGTTCTTTTGCTGGTTAGTTGATGCAGTTTCTTCCTAGTCTCGATGGTCTTTACATTTTGGCATGATTTTGCAGCGGCTGGTACCGGTTGTTCCTTTCCATGTTTAGTGCTTCCTTCAGGAGCTCTTGTAAGGCAGGCCTGGTGGTGACAAAATCTCTCAGCATTTGCTTATCTGTAAAGTATTTTATTTCTCCTTCACTTATGAAGCTTAGTTTGGCTGGATATGAAATTCTGGGTTGAAAATTCTTTTCTTTAAGAATGTTGAATATTGGTCCCCACTCTCTTCTGGCTTGTAGGGTTTCTGCCAAGAGATCCGCTGTTAGTCTGATGGGCTTCCCTTTGAGGGTAACCCGACCTTTCTCTCTAGCTGTCCTTAACATTTTTTCCTTCATTTCAACTTTGGTGAATCTGACAATTATGTGTCTTGGAGTTGCTCTTCTCGAGGAGTATCTTTGTGGCGTTCTCTGTATTTCCTGAATCTGAACGTTGGCCTGCCTTGCTAGATTGGGGAAGTTCTCCTGGATAATATCCTGCAGAGTGCTTTCCAACTTGGTTCCATTCTCCCCATCACTTTCAGGTACACCGATCAGACGTAGATTTGGTCTTTTCACATAGTCCCATATTTCTTGGAGGCTTTGCTCATTTCCTTTTATTCTTTTTTCTCTAAACTTCCCTTCTCGCTTCATTTCATTCATTTCATCTTCCATTGCTGATACCCTTTCTTCCAGTTGATCGCATCGGCTCCTGAGGCTTCTGCATTCTTCACGTAGTTCTCGAGCCTTGGTTTTCAGCTCCATCAGCTCCTTTAAGCACTTCTCTGTATTGGTTATTCTAGTTATACATTCTTCTAAATTTTTTTCAAAGTTTTCAACTTCTTTGCCTTTGGTTTGAATGTCCTCCCATAGCTCAGAGTAATTTGATCGTCTGAAGCCTTCTTCTCTGAGCTCGTCAAAGTCATTCTCCATCCATCTTTGTTCCGTTGCTGGTGAGGAACTGCGTTCCTTTGAAGGAGGAGAGGCGCTCTGCTTTTTAGAGTTTCCAGTTTTTCTGTTCTGTTTTTTCCCCATCTTTGTGGTTTTATCTACTTTTGGTCTTTGATGATGGTGATGTACAGATGGGTTTTTGGTGTGGATGTCCTTTCTGTTTGTTAGTTTTCCTTCTAACAGACAGGACCCTCAGCTGCAGGTCTGTTGGAATACCCTGCCGTGTGAGGTGTCAGTGTGCCCCTGCTGGGGGTTGCCTCCCAGTTAGGCTGCTCGGGGGTCAGGGACCCACTTGAGGAGGCAGTCTGCCCGTTCTCAGATCTCCAGCTGGGTGCTGGGAGAACCACTGCTCTCTTCAAACTGTCAGACAGGGACATTTAAGTCTGCAGAGGTTACTGCTGTCTTTTTGTTTGTCTGTGCCCTGCCCCCAGCGGTGGAGCCTACAGAGGCAGGCAGGCCTCCTTGAGCTGTGGTGGGCTCCACCCAGTTCGAGCTTCCTGGCTGCTTTGTTTACCTAAGCAAGCCTGGGCAATGGCGGGCACCCCTCCCCCAGCCTCGCTGCCACCTTGCAGTTTGATCTCAGACTGCTGTGCTAGCAATCAGCGAGACTCTGTGGGCGTAGGTCCCTCCGAGCCAGGTGCGGGATATAATCTCATGGTGCGCCGTTTTTTAAGCCCCTCGGAACAGCGCAGTATTCGGGTGGGAGTGACCCGATTTTCCAGGTGCGTCTGTCACCCCTTTCTTTGACTCGGAAAGGGAACTCCCTGACCCCTTGCGCTTCCCAAGTGAGGCAATGCCTCGCCCTGCTTCGGCTTGCGCACGGTGCGCGCACCCACTGACCTGCGCCCACTGTCTGGCACTCCCAAGTGAGATGAACCCGGTACCTCAGATGGAAATGCAGAAATCACCCGTCTTCTGCGTCACTCATGCTGGGAGTTGTAGACAGGAGCTGTTCCTATTTGGCCATCTTGGCTCCTCCCCCCTTATTTCTTTTTATCACTGAATAATATTCCATTGTCTGGTTGTACCAGTTTAGTTATCCACTCACCTGCTGAAAGATATCTTAGTTGCTTCCAAGTTTTAACAATTATCAATAAAGTTGCTATAAACATCTATGCAGAATTTTGTGTGGATATCAAGTTTTCAACTCCTTTGAGTAGGTATCAAGGAGTGCAATTGCTGGATCATATGATAAGACTATATTTAGTTTTGTAAGAAACTGTCAAACTGTCTTCCAAAGTGGCATTCCCATTAGCAGTACGTGCGAGTTCTTCTTGTTGTTCCACATCCTCACCGACATTCGGTGTTGTCACAGTTCCAGATTTTAGCCATTCTAATAGGTATATAGTGGTATCTTGTTTTGGTTGGAATTTGCATTTCCCTGTGGGCATCTTTTTATATGCTTATTTGCCATCTGTATATCTTCTTTGGTGAGATGTTTCTTAAGGGCTTTGGCCCATTTAATTGGGTTGTTTGTTTTTTAATTGTTTAGTTTTAAGAGTTCTTTGTATATTTTTAATAACAATCCTTTATCAGATGTGTCTTTTGCAAATATGTGGCTTGCATTTTTATTCTTTTGACATTATCTTTTGCAAAACAGAAGTTTTAAATTTTAATGAAGCCCAACTTATCAATTATTTCTTTCGTGGATCATGACTTTAGTGTTGTATCTAAAAGTCATCACCATATCCAAGATCATCTAGGTTTTCTCCTATGTTATCTTCCAGGAGTTTTTTAGTTTTGTGTTTTGCATTAGGTCTATGATTCATTTTGAGTTAAATTTTATGAAGGGTGTAAGATCTGTGTCTAGATTAAATTTTTTGCCTGTCGATGTCCAGTTGTTTCAAACTCATTTGTTGAAAGACTATCTTTACTTCATTGTTTGCCTTTTCTGCTTTGTCAAAGATCAGTTGACTATATGTGGGTATATCTCTAGGCTTTCTGTTTAGTTCCATTGATCTATTTGTCTAGTCTTTTATCAATACCACACTGCCTTGATTAGTGTAGCAAGTATTGAAGTTGGGTAGTGTCCATCCTCCAAATTTGTTCTTCTCTTTCAACATTGTATTGGCTATTCTGGGACTTTTTGCCTTTCCATATAAACTTTAAATTTAATTTATTGATATCTTAAAAAGTAACTTGCTGGGATTGTAATTGTCACTGCATTTAGTCTATAGATAAAGTTGGGAAGAACTGACATCTTAACAATATTGAGTCTTCCCATCCATGAACATGGACGGCCTCTTCATTTATGTAATTTTTAAAAATTTTGTTCATGAGAATTTTGTGCTTTTCCTCATGTAGATCTTGTCCACATTTTGTTAAATTTATACTCACATATTGCATTTTGTGGGTACTATTGTAAATAGTGTTGTATTTTTAATTTTCAATTCCACTTGTTTATTGCTGGTACACAGGAAAATAATGAACTTTTGTATATTAACTTTATATCCTGCAACCTTGATTAGTTCCTAGATTTTTGTTGTTTATGTTTTCAGGTTTTCTACATAGAGGATCATGTCATCTGCAAACAAAGACAGTTTTATTTCTTTCTTCCCAATCTGTATATTTCTTATTTCCTTTTTCTTTTCAGTCTCATTTTATTAGTTAAGACTTCCAGTACAGTGTTGTAAAGGAGTAGTGAAAGGAGACATCCTTACCTTGTTTCTGATCTTAGTGAGAAAGCTACTAGTTTTTCACCATTAAATATGATGTTAACTATAGATGCTTTTACAGATATTCTTTATCAGATTAAGGAAGTCCCCCCCATTCCTAGTTTATTGAGAGTTTTTAATCATAAATGGGTACTGGATTTTGTCAAATGCTTTTTCCTTTTCTATTAATATGATCATGTGATTTTTCTTTTTCAGCCTGTTGATATAATGAATTACATTAATTGTTGTTCAAATGTTGAACCAGTCTTGCGCACCTGGGTCAAATCCCACTTGGTCATGGCGTATAACTCCTTTAATATACTGTTGGATTTAATTGGTAATATTTTGTTGAGGCTTTTTCAGAAATAGATATTAATCTGTAGTGACCCACATATTTAACAGTTTTAGTGAGATAAGATTGACATACAATTGAGTGTATATATTTAAGTGTACAGTTTGTTTACACCTGTAAAGTCATCACCACAATTGAGATGATGCACACATCTATTAGTCCAAATTTTCCTTGAGCCTTTTTGAAATTTCTCCTTCCCATCTTTCCCTGTTTCTCTTTTTTTAATCCCCAGGCAGTAACCAAACTGCTTTCTATCAGTTTAGTTTGCATTTTCTAGAATTTTATGTAATGGGAATAAAAATGTATATTCTTTCTTTTGTCTGGCATCTTTCACTAAGCATAATTAATTTCATATTCATCTATATTCTTATTGTATTGGTAGTTTATTCCTTTTATTTGCTAAGTGGCATTCCATTGTGTGGGCATTCCACTTTGTTTATCCATTCACCAGGTGATGAACATTTAGGTTGTTTCAAGTTTTTGGCTATTACAAATAAAGCTTCTGTACACATTCATGATATGTCTTTGTAGGGACAGATACCTTCATTTGTCTGGGGCAAATACCTGGAACTGGAATTGATGGATTATATGATAGATGTGTGCATTAGTTTTAAAGAAACTATCAAGCAGTGTTCCACAGTGGTTATACCACTTTACATTCATACCAGCAATATATGAGGGTTCTAGTTCTTCCACAAACCAAATAACACTTGATTATAATATATTATCATTTTCATGTGTTGCCAGATTTAATCTGTTAAAATTTTGTTTCAAATTGTTGTATCTGTGCTTATGAAGGATATTGATCTATAGTTTTCTTGTTGTGTCTGTGTGGTTTTGGCATCAAGTTAATGCTGTCCTCATAGAATAAATTGGGAAATACTTTCTCTTACTTAATTCAATTTTCTGCAACAGTTTGTGTAGATTTGGTATTATTTCTCCAGTAAATATTTGAAAGTTCCACCAGTAAAGCTATTTTGGAGCTGGTTTTTTTCTTTGTCAGAAGTTTTTAAACTACAAATTTAATTTATTTAATAAAACTATTAATGTTACCTGTTTCTTCTTAGATAAACTTTAATAGTTTGTGTCTTTTAAGAAATTTGTTCACCTATGTTGATGAATTTATAGTTGTTCAAAATACTCCCTTATTACCCTTTTAATCCCTGTAGAATCTGCAGTGATGTCACCTCTATTGTTCTTGATATTGATAATTTGTGTATATTATCTCTTTTATTTTCCTGATTAGTTTGGCTAGATGTTTTATAATTTTTTGATCTTCTCAAAGAACCAGTGTTTACTATTTTCTTTTTTCTATTTTCCTTTCTATTCTATTATTTCCTTTCTTCTGCTTACTATATTTTCTATTTAATTCTTTTTTCTATTTACTTTAGGTGAAATTTGCTCTTCTTTTTTTAGTTTCTTAATGTGGAAACAGATCTTTGATAAAGTTATTCTTCTTCTCTAATACATGTGTTTAGTGCTATAAATGTCTCCATAATTACTTTTTTGTAGCATCTCATTTTAGTAGCATCAAATTTGATATATTGAATTTGTATTTTAATTTTATCCAAAATACTTTCTTAGTGCCCTTTTGATTTATTCTTTAACCCTTGGACTACTTAGAAGAGTATTAAGCTAATCAAATTTATTTAATAATTTCTCAATATTTGGGGATTTTTCAGAGATCATTGTTATTGATTTATAATTTAATTACATGGTTGTCAGAAAACATACTTCAAATGGCTTGAATCCCTGCAAATCTATTGAGACTTGTTTTATGATCTAAATATGGTCTATCATATGATTTATCTTGATAAATGTTTTTTGTGCCCTTAAAAAGAATACATATTTTGAGACTTTTAAGTGGACTGTTCTATAAATGTCAATTAGGTCAAGTTGATTGATGATACTATTTAAGTGTTCTATATCTTTAATGATATTCTGTCTACTTGTCCTATCTATCAATTATTGAGAGAAGAGTATTAAAGTCTCCTGCATTAACTGGGGATTTGTCTACTTATCTTTATAGTTCTGTTTTTGCTTTATGTGTTTTAAAGTTTTGTTTTTTTATATACAAACTTTCAGGATTGCTTTGATGAGTTAACCTCTTTATTTTTATGAAATGACCTTATTTATCCTGGTAACATTTTTTGCTTTGCAGTCTACTTAATCTGATATTAATATAGCCATCCTAGCTGTCTTTGACTCATGTTAGAATGGTGTATATTTTTACATTCTTTTACTTTTAACCTTTTTGTGCCTTCATATTTAGAGGGCATTCTTGTAGGTAGCATATAGTTGGGTCTTCCTTTGTAACCACTCTGACAATCTCTGCCTTTTATGGTGTTTAGAAAATTTACATCTTTTATGATTACCAATATGGTTAAGTTTACAACTATTATCTTGCCATTTGTTTTCTATTTGCTCCATCATTCTTTTACCTTTTTTCTTTTTCTGCTTTATAAAATCATTTTTTGTTATTCCACTTATCTCCTTTGTTGGTGTGCTTATTTTCTTGTCTTTTACTGGTTGCTTTAGGGTTTATAGTATATATCTTTAAGTTATCACAGTCTATCTCCAAATACCACTTTAGGTATAGATGTATAGTATAAGAGCTTTGCAACAATATATTCCATTTTGCCCTTCCTGGCCTTTATCCTATTGTTGCCACATATTTTACTTTTATATATGTTATTAATACCATACTACATTGTCATTATTTTTATTTAAACAGTTAAGTATATTTTTAAAAGATTTAAATAATAAGATTATTATTTACTCATGTAGTATCATTTCCTGTGCTTTTCATGCCTTTGTATAGATTCATATTTCCATCAGGTAGCATTTTCCTTCTGATTGAAGTACTTCTTTCAATACTTACCATAGTGTGGGTCTACTAGTGATTAATTATTTCAGCTTTTGTATGTTTGAAATAATCTTTATTTTACTTTTAATTTTCAAAGATATTGTTGCTAGGTATACAGAATTCCACATTTACAGGGTTTATTTTTCTCTTTAATACTTTATACTTTGTGATATTGTTCTATTGTCTTCTTACCTGCATTGTTTTTCATGAGAAATCTGCTGTCATTCTTTATAATTATCCCTCTACTTTTTCTGTGGCTGTTTTTAAGATTTTATCTTTATCAGTTGTTTTGAGCAATTTGATTATGATGTTCCTTGGCATTGTTTTCTTCATGTTTATGTGCTTGGGTTTAATTTAGCTTCTTAGGTCCATAGAGTTTAGTTTTATAAAATTTGGAAAATTTTTGGTCATTATTTCTGCAAATATTTTGCCCTCCCCTTATGAAACTACTCCAATTGCAAATACATTAGACCATTTGAATTATCCCACAGCTCAGTTATTATCTGTTCATTTTATTTTATTTTATTTTTTCTTTTAATTTTTTTTATTATTATTATTATAATACTTTAAGTTTTAGGGTACATGTGCACAACGTGCAGGTTTGTTACATATGTATACATGTGCCATGTTGGTCTGCTGCACCCATTAACTCATCATTTAGCATTAGGTATATCTCCTAATGCTATCCATCCCCCCTTCCCCCACCCCACAACAGTCCCTGGTGTGTGATGTTCCCCTTCCTGTGTCCATGTGTTCTCATTGTTCAATTCCCACCTATGAGTGAGAACATGCAGTGTTTGGTTTTTTGTCCTTGCAATAGTTTGCTGAGAATGATGGTTTCCAGCTTCATCCATGTCCCTACAAAGGACACGAATTCATCATTTTTTATGGCTGCATAGTATTCCATGGTGTATATGTGCCATATTTTTTTAATACAGTCTATCATTGTTGGACATTTGGGTTGGTTCCAAGTCTTTGCTATTGTGAATAGTGCCACAATAAATCTTTCAATGTTTTATTTTGGATAGTTTTCTATTAAACTGTCTTTGAGTCCATTTACCTTGACTTTTTAAATTTCCAATCTGTAGTGAATTCCATTCAGTGTACCATTTATCCCAGATATTGTTCTTTTTATTTCTGGAAATTTTGAGTCTTTTTTATATCTTTCATATCTATACTTCACTTTTTGAATATATGAAATGTAGTTATAAAAACTGTTTTTAATGTCCTTGTCTTTTAATTTTAATATTTGTGTCAGTTCTTGGCTGGTTAAAATTGATTTTTTTTCCTCCTTATCAAAGATTATAGTTTTCTGCTTCTTTTTCATGCCTAGTAGTTTTTTATTGTATTCTAGACATGGGGAAATTTTCTTTCTTGGATTCTGGATATTTTTGTATTCCTATAATTATTGAGCTTTATTCTAGGATGGATTTAAGTCACTTGGAAACTATTTAATCCTTTTGGGTCTTGCTTTTATGATTCACAAGGTGGGACCAGAGCTGTGCATATCATAGGGCTAATTATTCCCCACTAATAATCTGGTTGATGGATCCAGGAACGAGTCCTATACCTGTGTGAGCAGTACTCAGTATTCTTTCCTTTAATTCTTTTGGTGGTTACATTCCTAGCCTTAGGTAGTTTTCTCACATGCATGTGCTGATGAGTACATGAGAAGATAACCATAACCATCACCACACACTGGCTTCACACTAAACTTCTCTTATTTTCTGAAAATAAAATCACAAATCAGGCACAATATCATTGTGACTAAGTACTTTACTGTGATTCTGAATTTACTGATAGGTTTCATCAGTATGACTTTTAATGATAGTTAAATTATTTTTGCTAGGGAAAAATTTATTCCATTCTTTTTTTTTGTTTTTGTTTGTTTGTTTTTTTGCTCTGCATCTCAAGTAAAATCCTATTGTTTGGCTGGTGAGTATGGTCTGCAAGCTGGGGTTAAGACTTGGAACTGAAATGCTCACGCAATAGGCTTTGGTAAGGAATTGTAAATTGAGAAAAAGAAGAGACATGAGAGAGCTGTCTGTACTGGAGGAAATTTGGAGAAACTGATATGTGTAATGGCAAAATGTGTAAGGCATCTGTGATGTGAATCATCTTACTTGTCAAGCCTCAAACCTTCAGTTTAAACTCTGTTATTCACCAAATTTCCATTTTGGAAATTAATTTTTGTTTCAGCAACATGATATAATAATTAAACTCGCCTATTGATGGCACAGGTTGAAAACAGGATCCCTAGGCCAAAGATAGCTGTTCATATACTTATTAATATTATGATTGCATACTTACTTAAAATAATGATTATGTGGAGGCTGAGGCAGGAGGATTGCTTGAACCCATGAGTTCAAGTCCAGCCTAGGCAACATAATAATAATAATTATTATTATGTGCAGTCAAATGAGTGATTCTCTTCTAAATTGCAGAAAATGAAGACTTATTTTCTACAGAAATCGATAGGGGTGTTCTGCGTACTGAGAAAACAAGGGTAGTGTTAGAATGTAAAATGAGTAATTAAGCAAAAGTCTGACTATTCAATAAATGGAACTCTGCAGCACTTTCCTCTACTCTGCTCCCAGAATACTCTAGACAATTGTATCTGCTTTTTGCAGCAGATTTAAGGATTCTTCTCTGAAAAGACTGGAAATCCCATAGAAAAGTCCTGCAGTTACCAATGTTTTAGGGTTCCTGAACCAAAAAGTTAGTCACTTTCTGATTACCCTACTATAAGGCCCACAAGTTAACAAGCCCTGCACAGACACAAAGAATATGCAACCAGCTTTCTAGATCTCATTCTGAAATATGAATGGACAATCGAAAATCATCAGATGAGCCTCAACATGAAAAATAAAAATCAAAATCAAAACAAGGAAAAAACTTGAAAAAATAGATGCAGAGTAAAGAAACTATAACTAATATCTTCAGAGAGAGATAAGTGAAGATATTATATCCATGGAACAGTAATTTGAAAATCATAACCCATTCAGATGAACAGTAAAAGCCAATGTACTGGAATTATCTTCATTCTACCTGGCATTTGGGGATATCCAAGGACCTGTGCTTTTAACAAAGATGACTTTATGACTGTCTAAGGATTGAACAGATTCCTGTACAGGTTGCCTGGTTTCAAGTTATATTCTCTTAGTATAAGCTCTCTTTTCTGAATGTAAACCTATTTGCATTGTTATTTCTAAAACTCCAGTAGGTTTCTGGATATTGTAAAGATACTGAGTACAGATACAATTGTGTAAATTTTATAGTGTTTAATTTTGAGGTAAGAGTTTTGTTACAGATTATAAAAGATATTTTCCTATTCAGACCTCAGGGCTATTTTGGGACCTACAAATAAATGTGATTCCCAGCATCTTCAATTTTTGATATTCAAAAAGTTAATAATCTATAAGTTAAATATGTGACATTATTTAGCAAAAAGAATGTGCTTTCCTTTTAAATTTCTAACAAATTATGTATCTAATGTTTAAAAATATGAAAAAAATGTGATAATGCAAAAATGTGGGAGAACTGTGGCTAAAGAACAAAAAATCACTTGCTAAATAAAAAAAGAAAACAAGGATAAATCAGAGTACATAAAAGAATTTTTAGGAAAAATAAAGTTTGGACAAAAAAGAAAAACTCAATAAAGTATCGGAATGTGAAGTTGAGGATATTTTCCAGAAAGCAGGATTTTAAAAAGCTGAGATAGAAAAAAGAAAAGAAAACATTTTAAAAAAATTAAAGAATCACCTGGGAGGTCCAACATAAGACTAATAGGAATTTTAGAAAGAGAAAATGACAATGTAGAATTTTTATTTTTTATTTTTTTAGACACATGGCCTCATTCTGTCACCCAAGCTAGAGTGCAGTGGTACAATCACAACTCACTGCAGCCTCGAACTCCTGGGCTCAAGTGATCTTCCTGTCTCAGCCTCCAAGTAACGAGGACTACAGGTGCATGCCACCATACCCAGCTATGTTCCTTTCTATTTTTCATAGAGACAGAGTCTCATTATGTTGCCCAGGCTGGTCTTGAACTCCTGGGCTCAAGCGATCCTCCTGCCTCAGCCTCTTGAAGTGCTGGGATTACAGATGTGAGCCACTGCACCAGGTCAAATTTTTTATTTTTAGTCCATAGACAGACACAAATTTCCAGAATGAAAGAGTCTATTGTGTTACCTACAATTTTGAATGAAAATGGGAAAAAGGATTCATGAAGGAACGTAGTGAAATTTTCAATGCTTAAATTTCAAAAATAAATTAAACAAATGAACAATAGCAACAACCAAAACAGGCAACAGTCAAAGATTGTGAATAAGAAAGGCACAAAACTTTAAAAGCCAGAAAACAGTGAAGCAATGCATTAGAAATTCTGAGGGAAAGTTATCTTCTATTCATGACTATGAAGCTTGAAGTAGATACTATAGAATAAAGGTGTTTTAGCCACATAATACTGGAGGATATTCTTCATCACAATAAGAGGTTACACCAAGACAGAGGAAGGTGTGAGAATGGTTCCAGCACAGGAAATCCTAGAGAAAATACTCAGAGACATAGAAAATGCCTGTTCATGGGAAATGCCTAAAGAAAACCAGTCAAGAGTTTTCCTGTCGCTGCTTGGTAACAATGGGGAAGATAATGGCTGCCTGAGCAACGTCTCCAAGCAGGCGCTAGGCTAGAGGCGGGTCTCAACCAGCTACTTATTGGAGGCGGGCTTGAGAGCTGCGGCCAGGGAGGTGCGGAGCAGCTTCGGAGGCAGCGGCCGAACCAACCGAGTCGGACCCTGACCCTCAAACCTGGTAATTTTCCACTTGTTCATTAATATGGAAAACTCAGTTTCTAATGACAAAGGAAGTGGTGATCAGTCTGCAGCACAGTGCAGAAGTCAGATGGACCGATTGGATCGGGAAGAAGCTTTCTATCCATTTGTAAATAACCTGAGTGAAGAAGATTATAGGCTTATGGAGATAATAATTTGCTAGGCACCCCAGGTGAAAGTACTGAGGAAGAGTTGCTGAGAAGACTACAGCAAACTAAAGAAGGCCCACCACTGCAAAACTCAGGTGAAAATAGAGGAGGAGACTCTTCAGATGATGTGTCTAATGGTGACTCTATAATAGACTGGCTTAACTCTGTCAGACAAACTGGAAATACAACAAGAAGTGGGCAAAGAGGAAACCAATCTTGGAGAGCAGTGAGCCGGACTAATCCAAACAGCGGTAATTTCAGATTCAGTTTAGAGATAAATGTTAACAGTAATAATGGGAGCCAAAATTCAGAGAATGAAAATGAGCCATCTGCAAGACGTTCTAGTGGAGAAAATGTGGAAAACAACAGCCAAAGGCAAGTGGAAAACCCACGATCTGAATCAACATCTGCAAGGCCATCTAGATCAGAACGAAATTCAACTGAAGCATTAACAGAAGTCCCACCTACCAGAGGTCGGGGAGGGCAAGAAGCAGGAGCCCAGACCGTGGGAGAGCCAGAGCAAGAGCTGAGAGAAGTAGGTCACCTCTGCATCCAATGAGTGAAATTCCACGAAGATCTCATCATAGTATCTCATCTCAGACTTTTGAACATCCTTTGGTAAATGAGATGGAGGGAAGTTCTAGAACCCGGCCCTGTGTGACATTGAGACAGCAAATATCTGGGCCTGAGTTGCTAAGTAGAGGTCTTTTTGCAGCTTCTGGAAAAAGAAATGCCTCTCAAGCAGCAGGTTCTTCAGACACAGCGGCCAATGGTGAATCTACAGGATCAGCACAGAGACCTCTAACCATAGTCCTTGATCTTCAAGTAAAAAGAGTTAGTCCTGGAGAATATCGGCAGAGAGATAGCATAGCCAGCAGAACTCGGTCTAGGTCTCAGAGGCCAAACAACACTATCACCTATGAAAGTGAGCGAGGAGGTTTCAGGCGTACGTTTTCACGTTCTGAGTGGGCAGGTGTGAGAACCTATGTCAGTAGCACCAGAATCCCCATTTGTAGAATCTTAAATACTGGTTTATGTGAGACTACATCTGTTGCAATTCAGACGATGTTAAGGCAGATAATGACAGGTTTTGGTGAGTTAAGCTATTTTATGTACAGTGATAGCGACTCAGAGCCTACTGGCTCAGTCCCAAATCAAAATATGGAAAGGGCAGAGTCACGGAGTGGAAGAGGGGGTTCTGGTGGTGGTAATAGTTCTGGTTCCAGTTCGAGTTCCAGTTCAAGTTCCAGTTCCAGTTCCAGTCCTAGTTCCAGTTCCGGTGGTGAAAGCTCAGAAACTAGCTCAGATTTATTTGAAGGCAGTAATGAAGGAAGCTTATCATCAGGCTCATCAGGTGCCAGGCGAGAGGGTCGACATACGGCCCCAGTCATATTTCATTAAAGTGGCTCTTTGCCCTTCCTAGCCTGGCTCAGTTTTCCTCTTAAATGAGGATGATGATGACCAACCTAGAGGACTCACTAAAGAACAGATTGACAACTTGGCAATGAGAAGTTTTGGTGAAAATGGTGCATTAAAAACCTGTAGTGTTTGCATTACAGAATATACAGAAAGCAACAAACTTCGTAAACTACCTTGTTCCCATGAGTACCATGTCCACTGACTGCATCGATCGCTGGTTATCTGAGAATTCTACCTGTCCTATTTGTCGCAGAGCAGTCTTAGCTTCTGGTAACAGAGAAAGTGTTGTGTAATTAAGATCTGAACTCTTAGCTATGTAGCTGATATAGTGATGGGCAAACAGGAATCACTTGCTTTTATGTCCACTTTTTGAGTGGTACTTAAATGTAAAGTAACAACCTGAATTGAGTCGTTGCTTTCTGAGGTAATCATTGTCCTTTCTCCAGTTTTTGTTCCAGAATAAAAGGAAATATTTTAAAAGCCACGTTTTAGGACATAAAAATCTGATTTCCATACCAGTTAAATTGGTAGCATCACTGTTACTGATAGTTTATCATATACACTTGTCAATTTTTCCTTTGTTATCTTAAAAGATCTGCCTTAGCAATGGCTCCTGTTTCATGTTGATCTTTAAATTTTCTCACGCCATACAGAGAGGGGTGAAGGAAATTACCAGTTTAGACTAAGTTACAGTATGTGTTTCATAAGTGATTAAAGCTATACCATTCCCAGTTATTAGCTGACACAAATTCAGCCACATTCTGAATATTTTTTGTTCACCTTTCAGACTTTGTAATACTGGACATGTCAGTGTAAATAACACTAAGGTTAGGATCTTCTAAGTGTATAACTGTCGCCTAAGCCCATCACTGTGGCACACTGTAGAGTGAGCTTATAGTTTGAGGTATTTATCTTGTGGAAATATTAAAAAGCCTATACCTGTGTAAGTGAAAAAAATCACATTCATTTGTTTAAAAATGTAAAGCTATTTTGTAGAGGCTCAGTACTTTTCCAATGCATTTTTTTTTTTTTACTATTATTATACTTTAAGCTTTAGGGTACATGTGCACAATGTGCAGGTTAGTTACATATGTATACATGTGCCATGCTGGTGCGCTGCACCCACTAACTCGTCATCTAGCATTAGGTATATCTCCCAGTGCTATCCCTCCCCCTCCCCCCACCCCACAACAGGCTCCAGAGTGTGATGTTCCCCTTCCTGTGTCCACGTGTTCTCATTGTTCAATTCCCACCTATGAGTGAGAATATGCGGTGTTTGGTTTTTTGTTCTTGCGATAGTTTACTGAGAATGATGATTTCCAATTTCATCCATGTCCCTACAAAGGACATGAACTCATCATTTTTTATGGCTGCATAGTATTCCATGGTGTATATGTGCCACATTTTCTTAATCCAGTCTATCATTGTTGGACATTTGGCTTGGTTCCAAGTCTTTGCTATTGTGAATAATGCCGCAATAAACATATGTGTGCATGTGTCTTTATAGCAGCATGATTTACAGTCCTTTGGGTATATACCCAGTAATGGGATGGCTGGGTCAAATGGTATTTCTAGTTCTAGATCCCTGAGGAATCGCCACACTGACTTCCACAATGGTTGAACTAGTTTACAGTCCCACCAACAGTGTAAAAGTGTTCCTATTTCTCCACATCCTCTCCAGCACCTGTTGTTTCCTGACTTTTTAATGATTGCCATTCTAACTGGTGTGAGATGGTAGCTCATTGTGGTTTTGATTTGTGTTTCTCTGATGGCCAGTGATGAGCATTTTTTCATGTGTTTTTTGGCTGCATAAATGTCTTCTTTTGAGAAGTGTCTGTTCATGTCCTTCGCCCACTTTTTGATGGGGTTGTTTGTTTTTTTCTTGTAAATTTGTTTGAGTTCATTGTAGATTCTGGATATTAGCCCTTTGTCAGATGAGAAGGTTGCGAAAATTTTCTCCCATTTTGTAGGTTGCCTGTTCACTGATGGTAGTTTCTTTTGCTGTGCAGAAGTCCAATGGATTGTTGTATGAATGCATTAAAAATTGTAAAGTACCATGCTTAGAACTAAGAAAACTGCTTTTTGTGAACCAACACAGTAACAAACACACCAAACAAAGTACAAAGCTGCTTTTGTAAGTGTGTAGATGTCAAGAGTAGAACATATCTATAAGATTTAATGTATGTGAACAGCTACTGTGACAGGCAAAGGAAACGACAGTGCAGAATCAAACTGTGTTGAAGACCAGTGGAAACTGCATAATTTAACTTGGATTTAGGCGGAAATGAAAGATGGGAGGAGTAAAGAAAACTGCTCTGAAGAATTTAAAGTTTTCCTGAAGACAGTAATAATGCAGACACAAACTGCTTTCATATCATGAGAGCAGCCACAGCAGCAGCTTGACCTGGTATTCTACCTGAGTAGATGAAGCAGAAGATCGGCAAGTTTGGCAGAGTTTTGGTTTAAGAAAAACAAACCACTACCACCTAGCACAAGTTAAATTGATGTTTTTACAAGTCTGCTCCTCAAAAATGAAAAGATGGACGAAAGAGACCATAAAACCACTTTTAGCATATGAATTGCAGTTGGTACACATGTGTGTGTTAATAGGAAAGTCTCGAATTTGTGTTGTTTTTGAGATTTGACATTTAAGGTACCAGTGCACACTTGATAATATTTCATTACTATCTCTAACACAGACCTAACATCTCGAATTTAAAGACCAGTTGAAGATTAAGGGATTTTTATCCTTTGTCGAAAGTGAGTCATGTTGGGTTATTTGAAATTCCAATTTTAATTGTGCTGCCCATATATGAAAATGAGACCTGCTGATTCGCTATCTATGGACATGAACTTTATGTTGGTTTCTTAGTAGTAAGAGTAATTTCATGATAACCCCAGTCCTCTTGCCTAATTTCTTTTTTGAGGCTAGTTGGGGTTAGGATTAGAATGACTATGCAGCAGATATTTGTTCTTCTGGGAAAAGCTTTAACAGGCCAAAATAGGGATTGAACTTGTCCTTGGCCTTTATAAAAGCAAGCTAGCTACCCAGACATAGTCAAATACTCTACAAAATAAGCAAGTCTGCTTTAGGAATTGTCTGGCTACCTTCACTGTTATCAGCTTAGCTGTAAAGCTTATTTCAAAGCTCACTCTTTCATGATTTCTCCTGGCTTTCAATCCTACCTAAGTATCACGGAAATTAACTTGTAAATATGGTAGTTGTTTACTAAGGATATGTACTGCTCTTGCAAGGGAATAATGTCCAAACAAAGCTTCACTTATTTTTTTTTTTTAATATAAGCAGATTTCACTTTTATGGCGCTAATGTAACACATTTTACCTTTTTTTTAAAAAAAATAAGATAAAAGAAAACCAGTCAAGATTAAAACAAAAGAACTCCTGGATGGAGACCTGTGTAAACAAACAAACAAACTAATGCATCTGGCTATGTGAAAAATAGAATGAAAATGAGGTTTTTTTTCCATATCTGTCATTATATTTAGAGAAAATTATGCATCTATTTTATACTGGTACATAGAAAACTAAGCAAATAAAAGAATGAAGTAATAATAAAGAAAAACAAAATTTGTATAAAAAGAAACTATTTTAGTACTCTCCCTGCCTAATAGTGAAGAATATTTACATAGACATTATAACACAAATGTAAAATATTTATTTAACAAACATGGTGCTATTAAATTGATAATACCAATTATTACATGGATAAATTGGAATAAAAGGGTGTAAGGTATGGAAGAGAAGTAGGGAGAACAGAAAAATTCTCATCTGCAATAACATGATGGCAAGAGATTATATCTAAAATAGGTAAATATAAAGATGAGTATAGACACAATAGTTACAAATATGAAGATAGATTTCAGAAGAGAAAGCTAAGAAACAATACTGAGACATGAGTAAGGGTATAGCTTGGGACTACATTTTTCCTTGATAAGCCTCATGGCACTGTTTAACCTTTTAAACTATGCATTTATTGTTTTTATAAAAATAAAAATGAATTTTAGATAGACTAAAATTATCACTAATCTCCACTACTATAATGTTGATAGGAAACTTCCTAATGTACCTTCTTTGTTGGGTCACAATACCTACTAATAACTCTTTCATTACTTATAAGATAGAGATCCCTAGACACTTGTATCAGTTAGCTATTGCTAGGTAACAAACTTCCCCCAAAATTTAGTGGCATAAAGCAATGAGTATCTATTATTGCTCATAAGTTGATGGGTCAGCTGGATACTTTTCATTTCCTTAGGGCTCACTCATCTATCTGATATTAGCTGTGGGTCAGTTAGGCATCTCTGCTGCTATAGGCAAGGTTCTCTCACATGTTTGGGGATTGCAGGTTCTTCACTGCTCTAGGATGGAATTGGCTAGAACAACCATGTGGCTCTCTGCCATATGGTCTCTTATCCTCCAACATGTTAGCTGGACTCATTCACCTGGCAGCTTTCCAGGGTTCCAAGATAGCGAAAAGGGGTTCAAAGACTCTTGAGTCTAGGCTCAAGATTGGCAGTCCGTTACTTCTGCCTCATTCTGTCAGTCGGTGCAATTAGTAGGCAAACCCAGATTCAAAGAGTAAGGGAATAGATTCCATCTGTTCATGAGAGGAGCTGTAGTCATATTGAAATGGGTATGGATATGGGAAAGGACAGAGAATTGTGACCATTTTTGCACTTAGTCTCCTTTACCACTCAAAGAAAGTCCCACTTCCCTTCCTACAAGGCTTTTCCCAAGTTCATACACATACATGCCTCTATGTCCTTGCTTTACCCAAAAGGCTTTTCCTGCCTTCTACATGACATTCAAAACTCCTTCCATCCATTCAGACTATAGGTCAAGTTTCTTTTCTCCTTTTAAGCCTTTCCTGGCCTTTCTAAGCCTTTTGTGATCTCCTATATTGTCAGTATCATTCATTTGCCATTTGATAATTTATTGCTACCATGGAGATATCTTAGCCTTGAACTAGGCCATACCTTCCTTAATGACAGGAATTGTGTCTTATGATGTTTTGACAAATACTACCATCTGCCCAGAAGACTGTCCATAAAGAAGGAATGAATGAGTAGACAATCAGACTACCTCCTCTAACTTGAGACAAACTATCTGCCTACATAAAACTGGAAGAGCAGATAATTGGAAGCTATAAAGAGATAATGCAAGGGAGTTTTGGGGGAGATGAAACTGATCTGTATCCTGATTATGGTCATGGTAACACAAATCAACATGTTAAGATTCATAGAATTGTATACCAAAAGGAAAAAAAAAAGTAAATTTTACTCTATGATGATGAAGAAAAAGCCTCTTAACTCTATAAAATCATGAATCCAGTGTGTGTAAATTGAGCAATTTCCTGGAATCCAAAAAATAAATAAGTAAACAGAAGACAGAAAGAAGAAAGGAAGCAAGCTACTTCCTATTTTAGCATCAAAAAGTACAAATCACTACATACAGAGTCACTGAATCTCCTTGTGAACTAAAATTATGGATGCTGCTCAATCCTCTTCTGCTGAAATTGTCCTACCTGTATCCATTATGTTGGAAAATGCTCTTGCCCTGGCTGGACTCACCTCTGTTTGGGCTACGTGGAAAGAGGGCTGACTGGAAGGTGTACTGAGAGACAGTGCTTCTCCCCAGCATTAGGACAGAGATGTCAAGAGGCATTCCCACCCCTCTTATATTCCTTTCCTGCTGCATGAGTATCTTGGCCTAAGGCACATATCAGGGGCCAGATATTAGGCATCCAACATTCCTTTTATTGATTATTATGAGGAGTTGAGTGCCAGTATTCAGAGAAATTCGCCCTCTCACCCTCCACTGGCTTCCCTTCAGGACAGAGAGAACCTATTACCATGTCTCCCAAACACCCTTGCCAATCTGCTTTTAAAACCTCCTCTCTCGCCCATCTGTATTTGATCTGCAGTATATTTTGTTGTTTGTTTTCTGGTAAAATATTTTAAAGCTTAGATATTTGTTCTTTAGGTGCTCCTTTGTGAGTTTCATTAATTCTTCCTATAAAGATATCATATTTTCTATAATGAGAAATTTGTGCCTGGATTGTGTGGTCACCATAAAAGCTTCTGACAACTTTTCTTTTCCAATGTAAATGCAGTCTGTCAGCTGCTGAATGGTTTAAAATTCTCATGACTAGTAACAAGACCATCCAAATCATCTGCACTCCATAAAATTAGGATTCTCCACAGCCCTGGTCAGTCTGGAGAATTGGGACTATCTCAGGCCTTCTTTTTCTCTATTGCCAGAATTTAAAAGAGACATCATCAGTTTAGTTTAACCCTACATTTTGAGGTATCTAAAAATAGTTGTAAAAATCTGATGATAGTTAAAATGTTTTCAATGTTTAAAATGTTTTACATGTCTTACATCTTTTGATTCCTGTGTTGAGATAAATTATTATTTTGACAGCAAAAAAAATCAATCCATATTGTTAGGGAAAAAAAAGAAGAAAGGAGGTGGATAGCAAATGAACTGTGTTGGTTGTTTGAGTTGCCCATGCTGAAGACGCATATTAAACAAAACAAAATTAGTAAAAACCAGAAGAGAGAACAAACAGTAACTTCAGCTGTGAAGCTGTTGATCCTTATCTCTCCTGTCAAATTCTGGGCAAGAAAACCACATAGATAGTCCATGTAGCCCGGGGCACCTCTGTGCTTTCTTTTTTTTTTTTTTTTTTTTTTTTTTTTTTTGAGACGGAGTTTCGCTCTGTCGCCCAGGCTGGAGTGCAGTGGCGCGATCTCGACTCACTGCAAGCTCCGCCTCCCGGGTTCACGCCATTCTCCTGCCTCAGCCTCCCGTGTAGCTGGGACTACAGGCGCGCGCCACCATGCCCGGCTAATTTTTGTATTTTTAGTAGAGACGGGGTTTCACCGTGTTAGCCAGGATGGTCTCGATCTCCTGACCTCGTGATCCGCCCGTCTCGGCCTCCCAAAGTGCTGGGATTACAGGCGTGAGCCACCGCGCCCGGCCCACCTCTGTGCTTTCTTAAAGACAACCCTGGTGTGTAAAAATTGTGTACACATATGACTTTCTCTCTGAATATTGCACAACATCACCTGGTAAACTCCCTGTAATTCCTCAGCATTTTATTGACCTCTTTGTATCCTCCTCTTTTCATCTCTCTCCCTGACCCTTCAGTAGTCTATCAGTTCAGAATATCTCAGTATGGTGTGTCTGTGTTCCCAGCTGGATGTAGAAAATTTATCTCAACCATACAAGGATTTTTAAACAAAGTGAATAAAGCATCATCTCAAGATTTTTCGCCTGCATGAGCTTATTCCAAGGCTCTATTTCTAATTTTGTATTTGTATTATTTTTCTTGCGATTCCTCCCCTAAATTGTACAAGATCCAGATCCCAAAAAGCCCACATATGCCCTTGGTCTCCACTCACCCCTGGACCCTTTCTTACCCAATACTCCATTAAAAATCGAAATATGATTAAAGAAGTACCAAACTTGCTTGTCTTTGAGTCTATCAAATGGACAATTCATCAAAACAGTTTTTAAAGGCATCTGTATTATTCTCTTTTCATGCTGCTGATAAACACATACCCAAGACTGGGCAATTTACAAAAGAAGTTTATTGGACTTACAGTTCCACGTGGCTGGGAAGGCCTCACAATCATGGCAGAAGGTGAAAGGCACATCTCGCATGGCAGCAGACAAGAGAAAAGAGAGTTTGTGCAGGGAAACTCCCATTTTTAAAACCATCAGATCTTGTGAGACTCATTTGCTATCACAAGAATAGCACAGGAAAGACCCACCCCAGTAATTCAATCACCTTTCACCTGGTTCCTCCCATGACATGTGGGAATTGTGGGAGTTACAATTCAAGATGAAATTTGGGTGGGAACACAGCCAAACCATATCATTCCACCACTGGCCCCTCCCAAATCTCATGTCCTCACATTTCAAAACCAATCATGCCTTCCCAACAGTTCCCGAAAATCTTAACTCATTTCAGCATTAACTCAAATGTCCACAGTCCAAAGTCTCATCTGAGACTAGGCAAGTCTTCCACCTATGATCCTGTAAAATCAAAAGCAAGTTAATTACTTCCTAGATACAATGGAGGTACAGGCATTGGGTAAATACAGCTGTTCCAAATGGGATAAATTTGCCAAAACAAGGGGCTACAGCCCCTCTGCAAGTCCAAAATCCAGCAGGGCAGTTGAATCTGAAAGTTCCAAAATGATCTCTTTTTAACTCCATGCCTCATGCTGATGCAAGAGGTGGGTTCCCAGGGTCTTGGGTAACTCCACCCTCATGGCTTTGCGGGGTACAGCCCCCTTCCTGGCTGCTTTAATGAGCTGGCATTGAGTGTCTGTGGCTTTTCCAGGTGCACGGTGCAAGCTGTCAGTGGATCTACCATTCTGGGGTCTGGAGAACAGTGGTCCTCTTCTCACAGCTCCACTAGGTGGTGTCCCAGTAGGGACTCTGTGTAGGAGCTCCGACCCCACATTTCCCTTCTGTACTGCCCTAGCAGCGGTTCTCCATGAGGGTCCCACCCCTGCAGCAAATTTCTGCCTGGCCATCCAGGCATTTTCATATATCCTCTGAAATTTAAGCAGAGGTTCCCAAACCTCAATTCTTGACTTCTGTGCACTCGCAGGCTCAACACCACATGGAAGCTACCAAGGCTTGAGGCTTGCACCCTCTGAAGCTATGGCCCAGGTCTCTGGGCCTGTGATGGGAGAGGCTGCTGTGAAGACCTCTGACATGCCCTGGAAACATTTTCCTCATTGTCTTGGGGATTAACATTTGGGTCTTTGCTACTTATGCAAATTTTTGCATCCATCTTGAATTTCTCGTCAGAAAATGGGATTTTCTTTTCTGTTGTGTTGTCTGGCTGCAAATTTTCCAAACTTTTATATTCTGTTTCTCTTATAAAACTGAATGCCTTTAACAGCACCCAAGTCACTTCTTGAATGCTTTGCTGCTTAGAAATTTCTTCCACCAGATACCCTAAATTATCTCTCTCAAGTTCAAAGTTCCACAAATCTCTAGGGCAGGGGCAAAATGCTGCCAGTCTCTTCACTAGGACACGACAAGAGTCACCATTGCTCCAGTTCCCAACAAGTTCCTCAGCTCTATCTGAAACCACTTCAGCCTGGATTTCACTGTCCATATCATTATCAGCATTTTGGTCAAAGCCATTCAACAAGTCTCTGGGCAATTCCAAACTTTCCCACATTTTCCTGTCTTCTTCTGAGCCCTCCAAACTGTTCCAACCTCTGCCTGTTACCCAGTTCCAAAGTCACTTCCACATTTTTGGGTATCTTTTCAGCAGCACCCCACTCTACTGGTACCAATTTACTATATTAGTCCATTTTCACACTGCTAATTAATAAAGACATACCTGAGACTGGGCAATTTACCAAAGAGGTTTACTGGACTTACAGTTCCACATGGCTGGGGAGGCCTCACAATCATGGCAAAAGGTGAAAGGCACATCTCACATGGCAGCAGACAAGAGAAGAGAGCGCTTGTGCAGGGAAACTCCTGTTTTTAAAACCATCAGATCTCATGAGACTCATTCACCATCAGAAGAACAGGTCAGGAAAGACCGGCTCCCATAATTCAATCACCTCCCAGCAGGTTCCTCCCATGACACATGAGAATTGTGAGAGTTACAATTCAAGATGAATGAGAATGCAGCCAAACCATATAAGCATATTTTCTTTCTTCCTGAGTTCTTCTTTCATATTTATATGTGCCATCATGTTTTCTTATAAATTGAAAAAAATTTATCCCTTTTGCTTCTCCCTGTCACTTCATCATCTTCAATGTAGAGAGTTAAGTCATGCCAGTGAACAGTTGTTAGCCTTCCTCCATGAAGCAAAAGACCTTCAGTCTCCAAATGGAAGACTAAAAATGCAGGGAGGCTGAATTTAAGATAAATGCTTTTGCAGCCCCAAAATAGCTGGACACTTTCTGCGATGTCTCATGTCTTCTTTATTTTCTTAGGACTAAGGTTCCAAAGTCATTGGTAATGAACATAAAGCAATCATCTTAAGATTAGTTTTTCTGCTCAGTAGAGAAGGCACTATATAACTAGTTTTGTGATGACTTTTTTGAGACAGTCTCACTCTATTGCCCAGGTTGGAGTGCAGTGGCATGATCTCTGCTCATTGCAACCTCCACCTCTCAGGTTCAAGTGATTTTCATGCCTCAGCCTCCTGACTAGCAGGGACTACAGGTGCACACCATCATGTCCAGCTAATTTTTGTATTTCTGGTAGAGACTGGGTTTCACCATGTTGGCCAGGCTGGTCTCGAACTCCTGGCCTCAAGTGATCTGCCCACCTTGGCCTCCCAAAGTGCTGGGATCACAGGCATGAGCCATCATGTCCAGCCTAGTTTTGTGATAACTTTCACCAGTGTTTAATTAAAAGGTGAGTTTTCATGCACCTGAATGAGTGATACATGGGCAGGAAACTAAAATAATAGAGCTGAGAGTCCTGTCCCCCACCACTAACTTCCCATCCTCGGTTTGATAATCAGAATGACCTGAGCTCAGGGCTAAGCCTGTAACTTCCTGCATCAGATAGTCTAGGGGCAGGATAGAGAGTCAAGTAAAGGGAGCAGATCCTGAGAGCTGTGTGTGTTCACCCGAGCAGCCCAAGTCCTCTCTTTAGCTTGAAAAACATGAAATCAAATTTCCATCTAATCCTCCCCATCTTAAAGCTTTTACTTGGCCTTCTGCTTTTCACTCCAAGCTTTGTTTTAGCAGCTTCAGATACAACCACAGAAGAGTCAGTGGTTAGGAGCACAAGAGCACAAAAGTTAGGCCAGGCAGTTCTGGGAATGTACATCATGTCTTGCTTCTCTCATTCGTTCTGACCTTGGGTTAACCATTTTCAGCTTTAGTTTCCTTGTGTATAGAATGGGGCTAGAATTAATGTTGTTAGAAACTAAATGAGATGTCTGTAAAGTCCTTAGCAAATATAAGCATTCAATAAATATTAGCTATTGTGAGTGCCATAATTATCTTTCTGCAGTCTCCTAAACAAAGTGAATCATCAGGTATTTGATAGATAAGAGCCAAGTGATATAATACCAGAGAGGATAGAAAGACATGCTTATTGCCCACTCACTGTATCCTTTTCCTCGGCCAGAAGCCCTGAGATGGGTGTGAAGGAGCAGGAAATAGAAAGAGAAGGAAATACATAGAAGATCAAGTATATTAAAAAAATATGAATCCTGAAAATCCAGAATGATCTAGGGACAGAGTTTGAATTGCTGATGACCATTAGAGGAGGATCCTTGATCTATCCTTAGTATTCCTTTCAACCTCAGGAGGGTTTCTTCCTCCAGATGAGTTTGGTGAACCTTGAAGTCTAGAGAGGGCAGCAGAGAAAAATGTCAGCAGAGAAAACTGGAGTCTCAAGCAAAAATTCTTCTTCCTATTGGCAGAAGAGTTCTGGTTAACTAGTCAAGTTACATATAAATCCACTTATTCAAACTAGCAGGCTTATGACATTTTAAACATAGAGATTATTAGTCTATTTCATAAAAGAAAAATTGTGAACCTTCTTATTAAATGCAATATAAGTACCACAAGCTCTTAAGGCTAGAAAGCAATTTAAACACCATTCAGTTCAATCCCAATGTCAGATGATATAACTCAAGTTCAGAAAGGCCAAATGACTTGTTCATGGTCACATTGCAAGTTTGACCAGATAGCAAATATAAAATCAGCTGGGATAGACAAACAATTGGCTTGGCTTTTAACTTACTATCCCAAAGCTCATCAGTCAAATTGGTTTATAAACATACATACAGGTTAAGAAATACCCATATGAAAATGGAAAAAAAAAAAAAAGATTTGGTTTATATTTACACTGCTTTTTCTTCTTTAAAGGATACTGTTTGTAAAGATTTGTTGACTCACAAGCCACAAACTTGAAGAGAAGGTAGTTTCACTTGTATACTTTTTCCTCCTCAAATTTTTTTATTTGAAAATAAAAATAATGGTCAAATTAAAAAAATGGGAAAATAAAAAAGTGGGCAAATAATGTGATAGAATAAGGATTATTAATATCTTACTATTCCCAGACCTCAGTTCCCCCTTCCCTGTCCATCAAAGGGTAGCCCATCTCTCCCCACCAAACCTGCAGTCAGATCATAAATAGGACTCTTTCCTACTAGGAGACTTAGTCAATCTAATAAAACAAACAAACAAAAAACACTGGGATAATTAGAGGAGGAAGAAGAAATGGGAGAGAAAACCTTAGTGGGCTGGGTGGAGGAGGATGAATATTAACAGAATGTTTGGGAAATGTGTTTTAAACTATGTGTTTCAATCTCCTTCAATACCCTCCAATAGAATTCCTTTCCAATTCCTTTTTTGCTCTTAAATTACGCTTCTTACAAAATACACTGCCGTAAAATGAACCTCCTCTAGAAACCCTTCTCCTGGGCATCTAGGTTTATAAGGGTTACAAGCAGTGGTGCACTAGAGACAGCTTGTACTGGCTTAGAGAACAAATTCTGTGCATCTCTTCCCAATACTATTCAGTGATCTCATACTGGTAGTTTGAAATTGGCCATGGTGGGAGTATTTACACCATAGAAATTGGCAAACATTACAAATCAGAGCTTGTTTTTTTTTTCCCCCTCTCCCAGAGAGCTGGTTTACCAGCACACCACTGGACAAAAAAACACAATGGTAAAATAATCCTCCTCCCAGTTTTCATATTCTGATATTGTTGTTTTTGAAACGTGATAGCTGGGTTTTCCTTTAGACTCTCTCTACTTTATAAAATACTTCTAAAAATGTCCAAAGTCACACTCCACACACTAGAACCCTGCCAGCTGTTTCATGAACACATGCCCAAGTGAAGTCAGGGAGTGGTTGAGGGAATATTTACTGTTTTATTCAAATCCATCCCCCACTGTTAAAATAACAATGCGTGCTATAATAATAGATGAATATTATTATTGTAGTATTTGAAAGATAATACATTTTTATTCCTTAAACGTTTAAATTTATTATTAACAAAATAGCCCTCTCCTAGGAGCCTTGGCACCCATAAAATATTTTAAAACAGTATTCTTACCCTCTTTTTGTCATTTTTTTATCCCTTTGAAAATATTAAGAAAGCTACAGACCCTCTAAACCAGAAAAGTTGTAAGGCGAAAGTCTAGTTAACTCCAGGTTAAGAACGCCTGCTTGTAGATAAGGTCCCCATTCTCAAGGCATTTGCAGTCTCCTGGGTAGAACTTTTTGGGAACTTCTGTTCTGAAATCCCCTTAAGAATCCATCACACTTTTTGTACATATTCTTAGTAGTGGCATCTTTATCCTCTTGGGGTAGATTGAAGTTAAAAGGAAAAAAAGAAGCCAAAGGTCATTTGGCACTAAAGCTGATGAATACAATGTGCAATGAAACTGAGTATTACCTTTTTTGGTAAAAACAAATAGGGAGTAGAGTAATAGGGCCCTTTTTCTTTCTGACACATAAACTGGCTCTGTAAGCAATTCCAAAAGAGGATTTCCAGAAAAGATCTGGGCAATACAGCATCATCACAATAAGTGGGTATCTTCCATTTCTCTGCCCAATATTTAGGGGGCAGATGATAAGGGGAAATTTGGATGCATAAATTCTAATTTCTACCACTTTAATTAAATGAAATCAGTCTCATTACCATATATATCCTGTTTCCAGTAGTTTACATGTATCAAACTTTTACCATGTAGCAGGTACTGTGCTGAATGCTCTCCATGCTTCAGATAAGCTCTATGAAATATGCAACACTGTTATCTTTAACTTATAAATGAGAAAACTGAGGCTTAGAGTAGGTAAGTAGTGGCAGCTTGGAATTTGAAACACCAATCTTCCCAACTCTGAATCCTGTGCTCTTAACAGTGGTTAAGAGCTTCCTGTCCACACATGAAAATCACATACTGCCTTTCGTCGCTAAATGAAAAGCCACTAGAATGATGCAGGTAGGAATTCAAACAGGCGTTTAGAAGCAGCAGCCAGCTGTGTGGGCAGTGATGAGAGACAGTTGCATGGAGAAGGCGAAACTTTGGTTCAACAAGATTCCAATAGAGAAAAGAGGAGTGATTACAAGCAGCCACAATAGCAAGGACAAAGATTTGAAGGTAAGATCAGCAATGTGCTTTTGCTAAGAGAGGACACAGAGGAACAGAACAAAACAGAACAGGCAGAATGATAGCAGGGCAGATAGGTAAACCACTGCAAGTGGAGGTGGCAGCCAAGGGAGGCAGGGGAGCTATTACTAACAAAACAAACAAAAACAAGGCATGTTGCTCAATAAACCCAGGAGGAAGATAAGAATAGCATCTAAGGTAGAGATTCTCATCCCAAAGTTCTATGGAACTTCAAAAAAAATCCCAGAAGCAAGCTCATACACACTATACCCCGTATCAATTAAATTCACACTTCTGGGAATGAAATCCAGGCTCCAGTGTGTTTGGTTCCTTGGTTTTAAGCTCCCCAGTGATTCTGGCATGTATACAGGATTAAGAATCACTGGTCTAACATCTTGGTTAAGGCAGATGAAGCAGATAGGGAAGAAGTCTGAGTATGTGAAACAAACTGGCCAGCTGAGAACTAGGCCAAGAAGAGGAGCACAGGCAGAAAGGTAGTAAGGACACAGACATGGGCTGGTGCCAAGCGACCAGATGGGGTAGGAAAGCCATGACAGATAGAGACTCTGTAAGTAATCAAGAGGTATTTAGGTTCAAATCAACTCTGTTCATACCAAATTGTTGGAGAACCATACCAGATATGGAGAGAGTAGAGACACAATCAAAAGTATAGGCTCTGCTACTCCTTAGCTATGGCACCCTGGGCAAGTTACCTGACCTCTGTGAGCCTCAGTGCTTTCCTCTGTAAAAATGGAAATGTTAATCATATCTATCTTCCAGGGATATACATACACTAGGCATAAGAGAAAGACTATGAAGTGAAGGTCCTCTAGGAGATTCCAGTTCTAACACAGGTTGAAAACTGAAATGAAAAGTACACATTCCTGAGAACCAGGAGATGGCAACAGAAAAGCAGGTTGGTGCCAGGTAGTAGGAGAGCTATTTTTTTTTTTTAAACTTTGTAGTAATGATAGGGAAGGAAAAGCACAACATTTTTGGAAAGCAGTGTGGAAAAATATAACAAGAGCCAGAAAGATGTTTGTACCATTTTATCCAGTAATCCTACTCTTGGAATGTATCCTAGAAAAATAAATTAACAGAAGAAAAAGAAACTTCAGTATATAAAAATCTATATTAAAAAATGGAAACAACCAGAACTGTCAAATATAGGTCAATGGCTAAGTAAATTGTTACATATCCACCATATAGAATATTAACTTTGGAATTCAGAAACCTTGTCTTATTCATCTTTTAATTTTTTAAAGTTCAACCTTAATTATACAAGGAACACTTTTAAAAATTGTCATTATAAAAAAATTAACGCAATAAAAAGCTAAAATTCTCCTTAACCAATTTTAGTTTTCCATCTAAAAATTGCCACTGTTAACAGTTCGGTGTGCACTCTGAGACATTTTTCAAGACACTTACACAAACACCCACAGATACATTTACACATATATATGTATACTTACATACACATATCTATAGAGGTATCTGTTTTGTTTACTGTATGTTACAAAAATGCTATCTTGGCTGTACTTGTTTTTTTGCAATTTGGTTTTTTTTTTTTTTCACTTAGCAACATGCCTTGGAAGATTTTCATGTCAGTATTAATAGATATATCTCACTGTTTTTAATTTAAGGATGAATATATCACAGCTTATTTAACCATTCCAAGTATTGGTAGGTATTGATGTAGCTTTCAGTTTTCATAATTACAAACGTTGTTTAGATGAACACTCTGGCTTCTGTCTCCTGATGCACTTTAACGACTGTTTCTTGAGGGCATGTAAAGAAGAGTGAAATGGTTGGATATAGAGGGTCTGGTCTATGCGTTTAAATGTTAGTAGTTAAATGGCTGTACCAGCTTACAGTTTGCCAGCAGAGGAGGGGGAGTACCCAATGTCCCAGGCCCTGATCTAAAGTGGATATTATCAAATTTTGTTTCCAATCTGCTAGGTGAAAATAGTAACTATTGCTTTAATTAGCATTTACCAACCTCTTATTAGAGTAAGCCTTTCCTTTGGCCATATATATTTCTTTTTGGTGTTTTACCTATTTGTCACCTTTGCTAATTTTTCCAATTTATTATCATTTTAGTGTCTCTGTCATATAGCATAATCAGTTTTGAGTTAAGTGCTGAAATATTTAGTGAGTTAAATTATTCTAACTTTTAAAAATGATCATAAAAACATATAAAATATGTATGACATAATGCAGTTAGATTAAAATGAGAATAAATTATGTGCAACATGAGAAGATATTCGTACAATTGGACATATGCTGGAAAGGAATACTTTAAATAAGAACAATAAAACTAGAAACAGAAGCTAACATTTACATAGTACTTTACATATACTTAACCACTAATCAAAATGTTTTACATGTGTTAATATCTTTATTCTTCATACCAATACTATTAGATTTTTTTTGAACTTGCTAAAAATCATTGTATAAATGGCAAAGCCAGAATCTGATAAGCCTGGGCAATCTGATTCCATAGCCTTTACACTCTTCACTATTACATTATACTAATATAGCTGCTACTGCTGTTGCTTCTCTTCCTTCTCCTCCCTCTCCTCCCCCTCCTCTTCCTTCTTTTTCTCCTTCTTCTTTTCTTCTCCTTCTTCCTCCTCCTCTTAATTTTGCTGTGAACCTAAAAGGTTTTTTTTTTTTTAATTAAGTCTTTTCTTTCTTAAGTTGCTCAGTGAAAGCAGAGTTAAGACCAATGGGAATTGGAAGAGCTTAGAAAACATCATAGCAGAATAGTTAGAATGAATATTCTAACTATCTAAAATACCATCACAGAATAGTTAGAATGAATCCCAGTGCACAAACAGGTATATAAGAAAAATTATTCATTGTGATTTAATTTTTATTTCTAATATTTTTCCTGCCAGTCTATTAGAAAATATAGCTTCAGTCATTTTCTTGCTTCTCTCTCCTCCATCCTGTGCAAAGTTATGCATGTCAGAGTGGGAGTGGGGAGAGCACATTGCATATCATGTGGTCCTTGATCCTCCGTTACCAGGCTATCTAATTTGCCAGTGGGATATCCTCTGTCCCTTTCCAGTATGCTGCCTGCCGCCTCTGTGCTCTCAGGCCCTACCTGGGGCCAAGGGTACCTGTTATTCTACCTGCCTAGTTGCCTATACAGCTATTCTCTCTGTAGGGCTAGGACTACCTCCCAGATGGTTCTGTCTGGGATGTGGGGTATATATCCTCTTGCTTAGAGACACATTAGCCTTCTTACTCTCCCTTCCAAGACCAGGAAAATTATTCTTCTAGACAGGGAAAAATTCTGATTTCATGGTTCTGGCCAAGACAAGTTCTATGCCCCAAATTCACTCTTACCTCTGGGACTTAGGCTTGTGGACCTATATCCAAGATTACTATTAGGATACTTTCTTCTTTTTATGCTGGCAGGTCTCTCCCTTGAGATAATGTGTACAGAGCCAACCATTAGTTCAGGGGTAGGGTGGAAAGCTAGAAATACAAAAAAAAATTAATAGATTTTTGCAGATCCAGATAGATTGATTGATAGAGATATATGAGAAATATCTCATGATACACTGCCACATAATCTCATCTAGGTATGAGAATACCCAGGGTACTCTCTCCCTTGGACATTATTGGCATTCAGGTGGATCTTCTATAGTCAACTCCTTTTTCTGAGTTCCCTGACAGCTGTACCAAAACTTTGTCCTTCCACTGTTACTTCTGACAGACATACTTGCTTCACTCTTCATCATATTTTCCTTCTGTTGCTATCTCTGCAAATGTCCCATGGACAGCTGGGGCCATCTGCCTACAAAACAATTGGCAGCACACAACAAAGTGTCAGTTGCTTCCAATGACTCAATAGATGGGTAGCTGGAATACACAGCACTATTGGGGTCTTGCTGCCCTGAGGACAAGGCTGTCTAGCTACATGAATGTGCAATCTATGCAGTCACACAGGGCCATGAGCTTGATTTAATGCTCTGTTGTCACCATACTGGAATTTTTAATAGTCTTTTTAAACAAAAGGCCCTGTGCCTTCATGTTGCACTGTGTCTCATAAATTATCTAGTTGGTCCTGCCTAAAGGTCATCATTTCAACAGATTTGCAAACTCTGTACTTGAAGACCCATCTGCAGAGTTTCTGAGACTGAGAAACTGTAAAGACAAATCACATTTCAATTGCATTTAAGGATACCATTAATGGATAATTTTGATAGGATTGGTTAAGGGATACCCTTTAGGGTCTTTTTTTTTTCAAGTTCAAAACTCTTGGGCTTTCAGGATGATAAGAGTAATTCTTATAATCCCATTTGTGAGGTTAATGTGCACACACTCTTCTTCATTTATGGTGGTGCCCACACATATAAAAATGCTAGAATACGAGAATGGTTGCAAACTGTATGTTGGAATTAATTCAAACAACTGTTTTCAGAATGATCAGTGGTTTGATTGGATGGTGTCTTTATGCAGTACAAATGATTGTGGAAGCCTAACTGGACCAACCCCATGAGCAACACTATGCTAATTAATGTGCTGTCCCATGCTCACTCATGGATCAGTAGGTACCCTTTGACCATCACCTTCCCGTTTGCTGTGGAATCAGCCTTGAGTCAGAACCATGACACCTGAACTCTAGGCTCCTTCATAAGGTTCAAAGAGATTGCTGAGAATCCATTTTATCAGCCAATCTTTCCCCATTCCATCTGGTGAGGTTAATAATATATAAAAGAAGTTGTAGATAATATGGTAACTTCATGTCCTCAAGAGTTAATATAGTTTTTAAAAAATTTGTATTTTTCCTGTGACATGAAAAATACCTCAGGGATGGAGGCTTCACATCAGTGTACTATCACACCAGCTTGAGAAATACGTCATCCTTCTATCTAATCTCTCTATTTATGAGAATCAACAGATGATTCTGTCTTCAAGCAAGGATCTGCTCAGCCTTTCAGAGAACTCAGAATGTCTTTCATCACAGAAGGATGTGGTCTGTTTTCTGAGATGATTTATGGCTCTTAGAGATGAGCTTTGAGTATCCAGCCTTTGGCCAGGATACATCAACTTCTTTAATAAGTAGCATCATGCACTGAATGTCTGTTGACACATAACACTGTATTTGTCAAGTGTCACCAAACCAGGAAGGACCCATCTTCTCATTATCACTGCCCTTCTTTTCTTATGAATATTACTTAAATCTGCCAGTACAGAAATCAGAGAATTTTTTTAAAGTTCACACAATCTAGAGTAGGATGTATTATGGTCCAATGAATGGTTTTTCAATGATAGACTGAATTGAGGCAGTTACAAAGTGGTGGAAGAAATAGTGGAACCAGGATCCATGAGTTCAAAGATTATTTCTGCCTTTACCAGCAGTGTGTTGCAGAGCAAGTTACTCAACCTCTCAGAGACCCACTTTTCTGTATACAAATTGAGGCTAACACACAAATATACAAATTCTGACTAACTGCTTTCTGGGGTTGTTTTTGAGGCTAAAATAGATTGTTTCTGTGAAAAGGTTTTGTAATGGGTAGTCTTGAAAATAAATAGTGATTAAAAATTGAGTCAATATGCAAAAATTATGTGTAGACATTATTAATTTCTAAGGCAATGTTCCTCAGTCTTGGCTGCTTTTAAAACTCTCAGTCTCCAAGCTGCATCCCAGATCAATTAACTCAGAATTTCTGGGGTTTGGGTGCAGGCATCAGTATGTTTTTAAAGCTCCCTAAGGCGATTACAACATGCAGCCAGAGCTGCATACAGGAAACTGTCCTAAAGGAAAAAGAAAACCACTTTCATTGTTTGCTTCCTATAGCTTGACCAAGTGACTTAACAAATAATTTGATTATATATCCCTCAAGCACCTGGGATGGTGCTGAGCACACTGAAATTGCTAACCAAATATTTGTAGATAACCTTTACAAATGACCATGAAAATAGTTGAAAATTCTTCACATTAAGTTCATACTATTGCAACTCATTTCTTATTTAGTGAACTATTTAGGGGGAAAGGAAAGACAGTAATGACTGTCAAAAAAAAAAAAAAAAACTAAAAGAACTTAGCATGAAAAGTTGGGTGGTATGTTGACCACAACCACATATAAATGAGTAATGAAAGCAGACAGGAAAGAAAAATGAAACTTCACTTGGGGGCCTCGGCCAGCACGTGTGCATGCAGCTTTCCTTCCTGGCATGTGGTTGCCTTTGGTGTATGGCTAATCCAGGAGGAGCCAGGAAACTGTGAAAAGCCTTATAAATGTGTTCAGTGAACATCGTTGACAAGTGACTGGACTCCAGCTCTCCCATCTGTCTCTGGCAGGGTTGCTGCCAGCCTTCCAAGTCTGGGAGAGCAACTGTGTGGTAAATCACTCCATAGCCTGGGAAAATCAAGAGTTTTATTTTCTTATGGTGGAGAGTCTGTTGCCCTCCACATGGTGATGTCTGTGGGAGAGGGGTAGGTCCCAATAAGTAGTCCTCCTCAGGGAATTAAGTAGTAGCTTTGGAAGGGTCCCCAGAAAAGCTAGGGGGACTGATATTGTTGCACTGGGCTGGGAATTTTATATATGAGATTACATTTAATGCTCACAGCAACTCTGTGAGGTGGATATTTTATTGTCTCTGTTTTGCCGATTCAGAACTTAAGGCTCTAAAAGTTAAACTCACTCTGCAGATCACAGGGCTAGGAAGTGGCAGACTGGGGGACTTAATGAAGTCTGCTGTCTCCAAATATGTGTCTTCTCTATAACAATGGTCTAAGTCACCCAAAGGTAATCAATCAGCTAAGTCTTCACTCAAGCCAAGTAAATATTTTGGGTCACTATCCATGTGTGTGCCCTTCTCCCTTATCCATGTGTATGGACCCTTGAGCCATTGCCTAGATTATTTTCATCCCAAAAAGTAAGTCAACCTACTGTGTGACCATGTAGTATCACATAAAGCAGCAGCAGCACCTAGGAGCTTGGTAGTAATGCAGATTATCAAACCCCATTGCAAGCCAACTGAATCAGAAACTACATTTTAATGACATTTCCAAGGAATTCATTGAAGTTTAAAAAGCACTGGCCTACACCATAGAATTCTTTATCTGAAAGGGAATTTAGGTTAGTGATTCTCGAATTTGTGTGCATTAGAATTACTTGGGGGAAAGGAGTTAAAATGCAGATTCCCAGGTCCTTTGCCCAAGGGTTCTAATTAGGGAGCTGTGAGTGGGATCTGGGCAATCTGCACCTTTTAAGAAGCAGCCCAGCTGATTCAGCTATAGGTGACTTAAAAGCAAGACTATGATGAACATCGACTTAGGAATTTCAGCACCTACCACTCATTTTGATGAATCTGAGGTCAAGGAGGGGAGAGGGATGACTTAGGTCATGCGGTGGTTAGTGACAGGAACAAGATGAAGACTGTGTCCTTGAAGCAGACTAAACACACCAGGTTTGGCATTGTAGGCCTTACAGAAAATGACTACCAAGTCTCTACCACATTTATTCTTTGTGCTACTTTAGAATCATTGATCCAATTGCAGTTCATTTACTCCTAATGAGAAAGGAATACTCTGGACATGGCAATGGAGGAAGGAGTGGGAGTCAATGAATCTCACTGGTCTTTTTCTTCATAGACCTGGTTTTTAAAGTTTGTTTTGTTTTTAATAAGCCAAGGGATTTATTTGGCAGAGGAGAGTTGAGGAGCACAGAAACACAAGTAAAATAGTACTTACACCTACATCTCTATGTGCTTACATGTAACCATCTCATTTAATCCTAAAATAGTCCTGTGAGGTACCATTTTACAGCTAGTAAACTCCAGAGTCAGGGATGGAATACAGTCTTCTAGCTTCAGGGATCTCTCTGTTGTATGATTACTACTTTCTGGGGAAAGTTAGAAATTCCACCTTGAGACTGTAAGCAGTTGGTGGACCATGGTTTGTAAACCAAAAAGAACCAATTAAAATCATGATTAGATCATAGTTTTAATTTTATCATCTTGACTATGGAAATCCAATATCAACTCCAGCCCTTTACTATATCCCTTAGGAAGAAAGGGGAACAAGAAAAAAAAATCTGTGGGGTGCTTTTATTCAAGAATTATACTTTTCTTTTGGAAGGTGGAATGACATAGTGGGAAAAGCATAATTTGTGGTTCAAATAATGCCTCCTCCATTTATTAGCTGTATGAAACTGGTAAAATTTTCCAACAACTCTGAGCAGTGTTTTTCTCATCTATAAAATGTGTCATGATGAGAATCACAGAGATAATGTCAGTATATAGTTTGTCACAATGTTTGGGACCTAGTAAGTATTCAATGCCTACAAATCATGGCTGAAATAGAGTGAGGAACACATTTATTTTGGTCAGTATTTTTGACCTCAGATAATAAGAGTGAAAGTTTTCTTTCTTTAGCTCTACTCTTTCTTCAAAATTCTCTATCTCAAGGAACTAGAAAACAAGAACAAACTAAACCCAAAGCTAGCAAAAAAAAAAAAATAGCTAAAATCAGAATTGAATAAGCAAAAATCAAACAACCCCATTAAAAAGTAAGCAAAAGACATGAACAGACACTTCTCAAAAGAAGACAGACAAGTGGCCAATAAACATGAAAAAGTTCTCAACATCAGTAATCATAAGATAAAGGCAAATCAAAACCATAATGAGATACCATCTTACACCAGTTAGAATGGCTACTATGAAAGTCAGAAAACAACAAATGCTGGCAAGTCTGTGGAAAAAAGAGAACACTTATACACTGTTGGTGGGAATGTGGAAAGCAATTTAGAGGTTCCTTAAAGAACTTAAAACAGAACTATCATTCAACTCAGCAACCCCATTATTGGGTATATACAGACACATGCAGTTGTATGTTTATCACAGCACTATTCACGATAGCAAAGACATGGAATTAATCTACATGCCCCTCAATGGTAGATTGGATAAAGAAAATACAGTACACAGACACCGTGGAATACAACGAAGCCATAAAAAAGAACAAAATCATGTCCTTTGCAGCAACATAGATACAGCAAAGAGGCCATTATCCTAAGAGAATTAACACAGGATCACAAAACCAAAGACCGCACGTTTTCACTTATAAGTAAGGGCTAAACAGCGGGTATTCATGGACATAAAGATGGCAACAGTAGACACTGGGGACTACTAGAGTGGGGAGGTAGGAAGAGGGGCAAGTGTGGAGCAACTTACTATTGGGAACCATGCTCAGTATCTGGGTGACAGGATTCAGTCGTACCCCAAACCTCAGCATCACACAACATACCCAGGTAACAAACTCATACATTTACCCCCGCGAATCTAAAATAAAAGTTGAAATTATTGTTTTAAAAGATTCTTTATCTCAATAAATGGCCTCACTATCTATCAACATTAAGCCAAACTAATAACCTTGTGCTTATTTTTACTTTTCCCCATGCTTTGCCACCTAACTGAACAGGTGTTCAAGCTGAGCTGGCTATACCTTTGAAACTCCTCCTAAATCTGAAGATTTTCACACCTACATTCCTGTCTAATGTGTTCCTCATAATTTCTCTCATGTGCTGTCAAAGCAGTTACAAAGCTGTCTTTTCTGGGTGAAACTTCTCCCATTCCTCCATGCAGCCACTGAAGCTCTCCATGTAAAATGCAAATCTCACTACGCTAAACAAAAAATAACTTTCTTTTTAAAATAGAGTGTGTTTTGCATTTCCTTGAGATTAGATTCAGGTTGTGTATTCTCAACTGCGATACTGGATGGGTGATGCATCCTCAAGGTATCAGCTCTGGAGGCATGATGATCATCTTTCCCTTACTGGCAATGTTAACTTTGATCACCTGGTAATTGAAAATACTTTCAAATTTACAGAAATGTTGCAATTATGAAACAGTACAACAAATACCCACATGCCTTTGACCCAGAGTCACCTGTAGTTAATATTTTATCCCATTTGCTTTATCACTTGTTCTATCTATATAATATTTTTCTTAACTTTTATGGTAAGCTGCATAAATCATAGAGCTTTAAATACTTCAGTGTGTATTTCTCAAGTATATAGTGTATATAGATATAGTCTTGTACATAATCACAGTATAGTCATCAGTACCAATAAATTTAAATTTAATACAATATTTTATCTAATCTGTCATTTGTATTTCAGTTTTCTCAGGTGACTTATTAATGTCCTTATGGCATTTTCCCCTCTAGTATAGGATCCAGTCTAGGGACATGTATTGCATTTAGTTGGTAGGTCTCTGTAATCTCCTTTAACCTAAAATACTTCCACAGCCTTTCTTTGTCATTTAAAAAAAAAATACACTCTCTCTCCTTTTTGTCAGTAGAGTGTTTCTTATTCTGGGTTTTCTGATGCATGTCTATGGCTGTATTCAAGTCCTGTATTCTCAGCCCAAATACTGCATAGATGATGGTGTGTTCTCCTCAGGACATAATGTGGAGGAACTCCATGTCCATCTACTTCGACGAATTTTGGTTACCCTGTCAAGTTATTGTTCAATTTCTCCACGATGGAATTACTATTATTTTTTTCTTCTTCACAGAAGATACTTTAAGACAATGTGGATATTTTTCTCTTCATCAGAACTTTCAGATTTAGCAATTATTGATGATTCTTCCCTGATGCAATCTTTACTGTAATATTTGCCAAATAATAATTTTTCAACTCCCATAATTTCTCAACATTCACAAGTTGGCTATCAGCATTCTACTGTATGCAAGAGCCCTCCATCCTCCCTCATTCATTCATTTATTTATCTTTTTATTATCAGTATGGACTCATGATTTTTTATTTTTTCAATTGTTTATAGTTTATCACTGTATTCAAGAATTTTGGTCCTCAAATTGTCCCAGATTTAGCCAATGAGAACCCTTTCCAGCTAGCACTTTGGTAATTGTGACATGACTCCATAATTTTTTTGAAAGTGCTTTCTTACTTTCCAGCATAACAAGATGTTCCAGGCTTATCTTTTACCTACCCTATCTCATCCCTTGAATCAGCCATATCAAAGACCCTTGATTCCTTTTAGTGGAGAATGGTATTAGAGACCAAGATTTAGGTTTTAGGTGGGATCATTGCTAATGGAGTGTCTTTGATTCTTGACTCTTACAACAGGCCTAGGAAATACATACATGTATACCTGTACATATACACATATAAAATATATATACAAACATACATTGAACATGCATACAAACACAAATGAACATATGCATGTTTGCTTACATGTGTACATCACATGCATTTACATAATTTAGAAATTATCAGTTCACACTGGTACCTACAATTCCAATGCATGCCCATGGGGTTCTTTCTTGCCTTCTCTCATGCTATATATGTTTTTGTGTGTGTGTGTGTGTGTGTGTGTGTGGTTGTTGTTGTTGTTGTTTAGTATTTGATAGCACAACAGTGTGACTACCATCAATAATCATTTATAATTTTTTTTAAATTTTATTTCCATAGGTTATTGGGGAACATGTGGGGTTTGGTTACATGAGTAAGTTCTTTAGTGGTGATTTGTGAGATTTCAGTGCACCCATCACTTGAGCAGTATACACTGCACCTAGTTTGTAGTCTTTTATCCCTCACCCGCTTCTCACCCTTTCTCCCTGAGTCCCCAAAGTATACTGTGTCATTCTTATGCCTTTGTATGCTCACAGCTTAGCTGCGTCTTATGAGTGAGAACATACGATGTTTGGTTTTCCATTCCTGAGTTACTTCACTCAATAGTCTCCAATCTCAGTTAGGTTGCTGTGAATGCCATTAATTCATTCTTTTTTATGGCTGAGTGGTATTCCATCATATATATCACAGTTTCTTTATTCACTCGTTGATTGATGGGCATTTGGGTTGGTTCCACATTTTTGTAATTGTGAATTGTGCTACTACAAACATGCATGTGCAAGTATCTTTTTTGTATAATGGGTATGAATCCCAGTAGTGGGATTTCTCATGCTGTATTTGTATGTTCCTTCTTCCATAGAGAGAACTTTGACTCCCTTCCACCTCATTTACTCACTTAATCCTATAATTTATCTAAAATAGTTTCAGAATTGCTTTGCCTATATTTATATAATTGAAAAAAAAGTACTAAGAGTTCAGGATTTGTTTTCTATCCTTCTCCCCTCACCCCTCATGCCCAACCTTGGCCAAAATTGAGGGTATATGGTCAAAAATTGTGTTTCTAAGTTACTTAGATTTATTTATTCTTTCCTCCCTCCCTCCTTCATTTGCTTTCACTATGGTTACCATATTTACTGAAATATGATTAGGTTTATTCTTTTCTTTCTGCTTTTATGTTTTTCCTCCTTCCTTTTCTTATCGATTTAATTTTAATTGTTGAATATGTAGAATATTTGCATGCTTTCCTAAGTAAAAACTATTTTTCCTGCTTTAGCACACAAAAAGTAACATACTATATGCTCTTTGCTTTATTCACTTAATATTATCTCCTGGAAATTACTCCTTATCCAGTTAACAGAGATCTCCTCATTCTTTTTTATAGCTGTATATTACTCCATTGTGTGAATGGAGCTTTTAACTAGGCCTCTATGCTTAGTTAGTTAGGTAGCTCCTATACTTTGCAATTATAAGCAGTGCTACATGGAATAACCTTGTGCATATGTTTTTTTTATATTGTTGGAAGTATATATTCAGAGTAAATTCCTAGAATTAGCATCATTATGTTGAAGGGTGAATGCACAATGTAATTTTAGTACGTGTTTTGAAATTCTCCTCCATAGGAACATGTGCCATTTTACATTCCACCAGCAATGTATGAGAGAACCTATTTCCCTGCAGCCTTGCCAACAGTGAATTGTCAAGCTTTTAAATATTTGCCAATCTGATAGGTAAAAATGTCAGTGTAGTTTTAATTTGCATTTTACTTATTATGAGTGAAATTGAACATTTTCTTACATGTGTAAGAGGCCATTTTTAAACTTCTCTTATGAATCATCTATGTATTTTGCCCTTTTTACTATAGTATTTTGTGGTTTTCCTCAATTTTTAAAAGTTCTTTATGAACTAGATCTATCATCTATGCTACGTTTTATAGTATTTTCTCCTAGTTTGTCGTTTGTCTTTTGACTTGGTTTATGGTGTTTTTTTTTTTTTTTTTTTTTTGCCACTTAAAATGCTTTTACTTTTAAGTAGTCAAATTAATCAATATTTTCTTATATTGCATCAAGTCTTTTTAGTCATAGTTAGAAAACCTAAGTCTTACTATGTGATTTGTAAGGGCTTTGGAAATATGCGAAAAACTAGCAGTAGTGCAAAGAACAACAAGCACTGCAATAGCAGAAGAGGCAAAATGCTTTGGAGCACATAGTAGAGTTGCCAGATTCAACACAGACTGCCTAGTTAAAAGTTGAGTTTCAAATAAGTATTGAATAATTTTTTAATATATTATATCCCAAATATTGTATGGAATATACTCACATTAAATATTATTTGTTGTTTTATCTCAAATTTAAATTTAACTGGATAACTTGTATTTTTATAAATCTAACAACCTTAGTCCCGGGGAAAGATAAACAAATCCCAGTTTGGGCTTATCCTCTGTTGTCCATTTACCTTCCTAAAAACAGATCAGTCCTCTTCACCTAGAACTCTTGCAACCCAAGTTGTCTCAGGGTCATTGATTCATCTATGTAGCCACTGTTCCCACACCTGTCATACGATTTCTTGTCCATCACAAAAATAACAATTTTAGAGGTAAGGCTATAGACAGAATGCAGTGCACAGAGCAGACTTTAGAATCTGACGCACCTGGCTTTTAATTCTGTCTGCATAATCTTGGGAAGTTTGTTTATTGTACTTAAGCTTCAAATAATATCTACTGTGCAGGACTTATATAATTAAGTGAATTAAATTGTGTTTACATATTGTAAGTGTTCCATAATTGTTTATCTATGATTACTTACTAAACTCACATTTTCAGCAGATATAGTTAAGGTAGGTCTTTTCATCAGCAAAAAGCGGGTATAAAGTCATAGCATCATAATCTGTTAGTGAGTATACTCATTTCTCAGACAAGGAAACTGATGCACAACTCATCATCATGACATTGGGACAGGGCTCTTCAGTGATGTTTCCTAGTACAAGAATCAGCCTCTGGCCTACTTGGGATGGTCTATGGCATTGCGAAGGAGTGAGATGGATGCAGGACAGAGTAAGGGAATTGAGGGCAGGAATTAACCACGACATCGGAACAGACGATAGGAGAGGCTGAGTGATAAAGAGGACAAAGAGTTCATTCATAAAGAAAATACATAAGGAAGAGTGAAAACACAAAAGCAAATATGAATGTGAGAGAAGGAAGTAGTAAAATGCTTTTGAAGATGCCAGTTAGAGGAATAGCAGAGCAAGTGAGATAATATAAATAAATGGTTGGACAAATAAATGAATGACTAAGAAACCAGAGAATTGAAGATGACTATGGAGATAAGGGGAAGTATTGCTTACATACTATAATTTATAAAGTAGTTTTTACCTATAATGTTGATATTTAATCTTTATAGTAATTCTGTGAGGTGAGCAGAGTAGATATTATTTTTCCCATTTTACAGAATGAGGAATTACTTAAATCAAAGTGGATAAATCATTTGCCCATGATTGCAATGTAAATAGGTGTAGAGCTAAAATGAGATCTCAGAGCTCCTAGCCACTTCCCCCATACTACACTCTTGTCCTTAAGAGCCTCAGGGACTGTGGTGAGAAGAATGAAGGGCAAAGGGTCTAGACAAATCCAGGGCTTCTAAAAAATCCAGGTGTTTGGTATGTTCTATACTGAGAGAGACATACAGTCCTGGTCCGTGGTGAGGACCAGAATTCAGGATATGAATTGTTCCAATTCCTTGTAAAAACAAACAAACAAACAAACAAAAAAAACAAATGGAATTCCTTCAAGCTATAAAACTAGGAGGCATGGTCTTCCAGACTGTTGATTTCTCTTTGATCTGGCTGAGCCTCCACAATTTGTGAAGTGAACCATAAATTTGGTCTTAGTTCACTTCCCAAAACCTGCAGGCTACCCACTCATCACAGAAGCCAGAGTGCAGTCTCTCATCCCCAAGCTCATCTTCCAGAGTTGAATCCATGTCCTTTGGATAGGGCCAATGTATTCATTGGCAGACAAATGGAGGAAACCCAATTTTCCTACAACTGTTGTGAATTCCTTCTTTGATGTTCATTTGCAGCTGCAGTGCATACAATTTCATCTGAATCAGATTAAGCTCTGATAACCCTGGGAAGCCACAACACTGCTAGAGGAGAAAGATTTATACACACAATTCCTTTCCACAGCAAGAAGAAATCAAGGTAGAAAAAAATCACCACCAACTCAACTGTGCTTTCTTCCAAGAGTTTTCTGATGTCTTTTTGAGGTGGTTCTTTTTAGTCTCGGCCACAATGTTGTGTTCCTAATCACATATGTTTAGTAGAGAGTTTGTGCGCCCCCAAAACTTACATGTTGAAATCCTAACCCCCAAGGAGGTTATGTTAAGGAGGTGAGGTGGGACCTTTGGGTGGTCATGGGGTGGGCAGCATGGTGGGCAAAGCCCTCATGAATAGGATTAGTGGTCTCCCTCATAAAAGAGACCCCTGAGAGCTAGCTAGTCCCTTCCACCATGTGAGAACACAGTGAGAAGGCTCTATGAACTAGAGTGGGCCATCACCAGACGCCAATTCTGCCAATGCCTTGATCTTGAACTTCCAAGCTTCCAAGCTGAGAAATAAATTTCTGTTGTTTACAAGCTACCCAATTTGTGGTATTTTATTATAGCAGATCAAATGGACTAAGACGGTCCTTGATGATAACAGAAATACAGACATACCTCAGAAATATTGCAGGTTCAGTTTGAAGCCACCACAATAAAATAAATTTCTCAACAAAGTAAGTCACGTGAACTTTTTGGTTTCCCAGTGCATATAAAAGTTATGTTTACACTATATTATAGTCTATTAAGTGTGCAATAGCGTTGTGTCTAAAAAATGTACACACTTTAATTTTAAAATACTTTATTGCTTAAAAATGCTAACAATTATCTGACCCTTCAGAGAGCTGTCATCTTTTTTGCTGATACAGGGTCTTACCTTGATGTTGATGGCTGCTGATAGATCAGGGTGGTGGTCGCTGAAGGTTGGGGTGGCTGTGGCAATTTCTATTATTATTATTATTATTATTATTATTATTATTATTATTATACTCTAAGTTCTAGGGTGCATGTGCACAACGTGCAGGTACACATGTACTTAGGTATACATGTGCCATGTTGGTTTGCTGCACCCATCAACTCATCATTTACATTAGGTATTTCTCCTAATGCTATCCTTCCCCCAGCCCCCCACTCCTCGACAGGCCCCAGTGTGTGATGTTCCCCACCCTGTATCCAAGTGTTCTCATTGTTCAATCCCCACCTATGAGTGAGAATATGTGGTGTTTGGTTTTCTGTCTTTGTGATAGTTTGCTGAGGATGATGGTTTCCAGCTTCATCCATGTCCATTTCTTAAAATAAAACAGCAATTAAGTTCGCCATATTGATTGACTCTTCCTTTCAGAAAGATTTATCTGTAGCATGAAATGCTGTTGGATAACATTTTACCCACAGTAGAACGTCTTTCTAAATTGGAGGCAATCCTCTCAAATTCTGCAATGGCTTTATCAACTAAGTTTATGGAATATTCTAAATCTTTTGTTGCCATATCAACAATGTTCACAGCCTCTTAACCAGGAATAGATCCCATCTCAAGAAACCACTTTCTTTGCTTATTCATAAGAAGCAACTCTTCCCCTGTTCAAGTTTTATCATGAGATTGCAGCAATTCAGTCACATCTTCAGGCTCCACTAGTTCTTTTGCTATTTCTACTACATCAGCAATTACTGCCTCCACTGAAATCTTGAACCACTTAAACTCATCATAAGTGAATCCACTTCTTCCAAACTCCTGTTAATATTAGTATTCTGACCTCCTCCCATGAATCATGAATGTTCTTAATGTCATTGACAATGTTTAATCCTTTCCAGAGGTTTTAAATTTACTTTGCTCAGATCCATCAGAAGAATCACTATCTGTGGCAGCTATAACTTTGAAATGTATCTCTTAAATAAGAAGACTTGACAGTCAAAATTGCTCCTTGATCCATGGGCTGAGGAGTGCATATTGCATTAGCAGGCATGAAAACAACATTCATTTTCTTGTTCATCCCCATAAGAGTTCTTGAGTGACTAGGTGCATTGTCAATGAGCAATAACATTCACCATAACAGATATAATAATAATGAAAAAGCTTGAAATCTTACAAGAATTATAAAAATGTGACACATAGACACAAAATGAGCCCATGTTGTTGGAAAAATCACTCCAATAGACTTGCTCAACACAGGATTACCATAAACCTTTAATTTGTGAAGAAGAAGAAGAAAAAAGCAATATCTGTGAAGTGCAATAAACCACAGCATAATAAAATGAGGTATGTCTTGCAGTCTTTGGGAAACAACAAATACCCAAATGAACATTAATGCGACACAGTTCTTGACTTCCAGGTGAGGCTGGAAAAGGGCCAAGTAGTTGCTGAGTGTTGGAGTGTGGGAGGAATCTTGTGAGGGCTGGGAACAAGGAAATTTTTAACTTTGTTCTAACATCTTATCCCTGGTCTCAGAACATGAGTTATATGTAAAATCCTGCCTTTCTTCTCTAAATTTCCATCTTTATCATGATTTACTCTCCTGTCTGGGAGAGACTTCCTAAGCCAAGATTCAAGCCGAAAGTAGTGTTTTATCACAGCAGTTTTCTTTCCACAATATATAAGAGTGTGGGCAATACTCTCTCAATTTACCTTGTCCCTTTTGCCTGCTACTTAAAAATAACACAATTCATAACCCTTGAAATATAAAAATGTTGCTCTTCTTTCCAATTCTAACTGGCAATAGCAATCATAGACTGTGGTGGGCAGAATCTGAAATGACCCCCAGTGATCTCTGTCTGCTGTATAATCTCCTCGCCTTGAGTGTGGTTGGGATCTAGTGAGTTGCTTCTAACTAACAGAATATGGCAAAAAATGATAGGATGTCACTTCCAAGATAAGGGTTAAAAGCTGTGACTTCTGTCTTGCTCTCACTCCCTCACTGGCACTCTCCTTTGCCCTATCACTTGCTCATTCTGTTGAAGCCAGCTACCATGTTGTGAACTACCCTATGAAGAGGCCCACACAGCAAGGAACTGAAAGAAGCATCTGGCCATCAGTCAGTAGGCAACCAAAGCCTTCATCCAAAGCTCAGGAGAACTAAATCCTGCCAACCATGTGAGCTTAGAAATGGATAATTCTCCAGTCAAGTCTTCCGATGAGACTATTAAGCCCAGCAGCTTAGTCCATTCAGGCTACTATAACAAATACCAGAAATTGGGTAGCCTGCAAACAACACAAATTTATTTCTCATAGTTCTAGAGGCTGAGAAGTTCAAGAGCAAGGTGATGGCAGATTCAGTGTCTGATAAGGGCCTGCTCTCTGGTTCACAGACAGAGCCTTTTTGCAGTGTCCTCACATGGTGAAAGGCACTGCTAGCTCTCTAGGTTATCTCTTATAAGGGCACAAATCCCATTCATGAGGGCTTTGCACTTATGAACTAATCACCTCCCAAAGTCTGTATCTCCAAATACCATTACGTTGGGGATTAGAATTTCAACATATGAATTTTGGTGAGACATAAGTATTCAGTAAATTGCACTCAACCTTGTGAGAGACCCAGAGCAAAGAACCCAATGAATCCATGCTCACTGAAATTATAAGGTAATAACTATTTTAAGAAACTATGTTTGAAAGTGATTGTTATACATCAATAGATAATTAATGGACTCTTACTAAACTATGCCACAAATTTGACATTGCAACAAATCAATTCATCTTATCAGCCCCACCTGCATTCCTTCACCCTCGTTAATGAAGCCAATTCTATCCTATGTGCATTGTTTTATGACATCAATCAATTTCCATATTCTCTTGGCCTGCTCCTTAGTCTACTCTGCAATCCTCACCCCGCAACCTCATTTATGTTATTGGCACCTTTGTGACTCCTAGTATTTTCCTTTCTTCTTGTTCTCCATAAGCCTCACACATTTTCCCCATAGTAGATGTTCAGTAAATTATTGTGAATGTATTTAAATGTCCACATTAATTTCAAATTATTCATTCAAAATATTTACTGAGTACCTATTAAGTGGTAGGCACTAAGGATGCAGTGGTGAATAAAAATAGACACAAGCCCTGCCTTCATGGAGCTTATCATCTAGAGGGAGGGTGACAGTGATACCAGTCAATTACATGAGCAAATGTGTTAAGTATTAAGTTTCCTGAAGGGGAGGTAAAGGTGCTATAAGAATACTAGAAATAAAAGAATTTTATCACATGAAGGAGATTAGAGGAGATTCCCTGAGAAAGTGGTGACTGAAGTAAGCTCTCAAAGGTGCATAAAGGGAGTTAACTTGGTAAAAGTGAGCTGGGGGGTTGATGAGGATGGAACCACTCAAGACAGTGGGACCATCATGTGCAAAGTGGAATATTTGCAGCTCTTAAAGAGAGCCAGTGAGTCTTGATGATAAAGGGCTAGGGACATATGATGTGAGATGAGTGGATAAGTGGGTGAGGGCCAGACCTGAGCCTGTCTTATTCTAGGCCAACTTTGAATAATGGAAATTCAGGACTATCCAGAAATTTCTCCATTCCAACTACATCCTCTTCGTAGCACTCCAGCCACGCAGGTCTCAAATATTCATTGGAACCCTGTTAGGAAGTTGCTTTTTGAAACTTCTTTTGATGACACCGTTAAAAGAAATCATGACCATGAAAATGTGAAAAGACCCAGCCCTTGACCACAAAGGTGTCTGTTCTAGTAGGGACTAACCTTGGAAAAAACTTAACAGTCTCTGAATCACAGCACGGCTGCACACAAAGTCATAAACTAAGTGCCATAAGAGAACTCCAATTTAAATAACCCTAGGGGGAAAAAGGAGCTGAGTAAGGGGTATATCCCACTTGGTCTTGGCTTCATCTAAGCCATTTTCAAGCCTCTCCTGGGCTAGCCAGTCTCAGGCCTCTCAAAGATGTCTTGTGGCACAGTCTGGATCATGAGAAGAGAGAAAGAGATCTCAAAAAATAGAAATAGAAACAAAGACCCATGAAACTGGTGGAAGACAGAAAGGGCGGAAGGAACCAAGGATACTTCTATAGAAGTCTGTACTGAATAGCTCAAAGTTACTGTTCTCTTTGGGATGCTGCAGCCATTTTGCTCATGTTACATGGAAGTGATAGGGGATGGCAAGCATATATGACCTCTGTGCCCGGCACAAATTGATGCTCATAATAGACACATTTTGAACCATTTGGGGAAGGGTCATATATTGTACACGATGTCTTAATCTATAGGGGTGATAGAGGTTTTCACAGAAGGAATTGCATAGTTTGTGAACTCAAGGTGACTTAGAGTTCTGTTTCTCTCTCCTCTTTCCCCTAACTTTGGAATGCAGCCAGCCGGTAAGAATGGCCTCACAAGACTTCCTGTGTTAGGCTAGGAGGTATGCGCAGAAGAGGCAGTGTGTGAGCCCCTCAGGGAAAGCTCTCTACTCTTTAACTCTATTTGGCCCTACCTTCCCCCTCTTGAACTCAGCCTTTATTACTCAGAATTTCAATAGATCTTAAGCAACCATGACAGTCTTCAGCAGTGCTGACTGCAGGATTTTAGGCTCAAACACAACCATCCATGGAATGAAAACTTGAAGAGTAAATTCCAAATATGCCATAATATTGGGAAACTGTCCACATGGAATTTTTAGACGTGTACAGATTTTCACTAATAAAAATAACCACCATTTGTTAATTGTGTTCCTGGCACACCATTCTATATGTATTATCTCACTCAATCCACATACAGAGCCCTTTAAAAAGGTACTATTATCTTTATTTTACAGATGGAGAAGCCAAAGCTCAGAAAGTTTAAGAAACCTTCTCCAAGATACAGAGTAAGTAGCAGAGGTAGAATTTTAACTCAGGTGAGTCTATTTCTGGGAACCAACAGCTTAACCCTAATGTTATTTTATCTGTAAAGCCTTGCATGATATACCCATTCACTATGCCCATATTGGACTTTGAACCCATTTATATTAATATGCAAAATATTATATAATATTAATTATCATTTAGGATTTTGTGAAATCCTCTTTGAAGGTATTCTCTAGCACTGTGCCTGGCATATGGTGACCCCTCCAATATTTATAGAAAAAATGAGTGTGCATCAAGGTAATTTCCAGAGAAATTATCTTCTCAGGAAATTTTCTCTGGAAATTACCTTGATGTACAGGTAATTTGTCCATTCCAGGAATATGGCATGGACTAATTTTAGAGAAATTAATAGCAATTATGCCAAAGAGCCAATCAGAAACTGCTTAGTCACCTCTGCTTCTGACCCCTGAAGAGGACATTCATCTCTGAGATAGGTACTCATCCTCTTCAGTGATTACCACAGGGACTTGGAGGCCCCTTCAAAGCTAAAACCTCCTCTCACCATGGCCCAGGCAACATCATCAAAACATCTTGTCTGAGCTCAGAGCCTGGGACCCTAGCCACACACTCCTGTCTTCTGAAGAAACATCTTTCTTCACAGGGCAGGACCTAGGAAGCATGATTTATCACGAATCAGGGAAAACCCAGGGAAAGTGAGGGCTGCTGTGGTTTCTCCTCTTCCTGTGGAAAGGTCAGTTGATCCTGGGCCTGAGCTCTCCCATGGAGCCTGGGATGCTCGCCTGATGTCACTGATCTGTTCACTTGGCTTCACAGCCTCTCCTTCTCCTCCCCCCAGGGCCAGGATAACACCTCAGGGGACTCACATCTGATTCATACCAGACGTCGAGAGGAAGGAAATGAAAAGTGAGGACAGACATTCCTTCCCTCGGCTGAGTGGAAGTCCCAGTAGTCATAATAACTAGCAGTCACTGAACATGTGTGGTATGCCAGCCACTGTGCTAAGGACTATAATGCACAGTAAATGTTAACTCTTCCAGTTACTGAGTGCTTACTCTGTACCAGCCACTATTCCAGGAGCTTTACAAGTATTATTTCATTTAATCCTTGTGACAACCCCATGAGATGAATCCTATTATTATCACCATTTTACAGATAGGAAAACTGAAGTAGGGAGAGAAGAATTAACTTTCCCAGGGCCACAGAGCTGAAATGTGATAGAAGAAGGTTTGAACTTAGACAGCCTGGCTTGAGAATCCATTCATTTAACTGTTAAAATATATGAACAAATTCTTACAAGTCCTCTGTGGTGATTACCACCTTCCCATTTTCAGATGAGGAAGCTGAGATTCTGCTAATGTTAAATGACTGGGGTGAGATGTGGAAGCAACTAACTGGGGTAGGAAGAATGTGATTTCATTCTGGTCCCAGGTCCTTAGCTCCTTCCATAGCATCATGTTGTGTAGGAGATCGGTCAGAGTGGTAGGAGAAGCTATAAGGAAAGACGCAAACCTTCTTGAAAGGTGGGAAGGTCTTGCAAAAGCTTCCGGAGAGAATAAAGCTGAAGGCAGCTAATTCTCTCACCCTGACGCTAAGGGCGAGGACTCCGTAACAAGGGAGTGTAAAGAAATCTATCTAGAAAAGCTTATTTACTTATGTCATCCAGAGACCAACCTTTGATCATCCGCGCACAAGACTGCTCCCTGCAAGAGGGGACAACAGTGTTAATTACTCACAGATTGTGTTGGTTCCAGGCCTTTGACATTATACCAGTATTGAATAAATACATGCAGCTCTGGCTTATCAGGGCTGCTGACTCTTCCGCCACCTAGTGCCAGGCAGTCCCCTAGCTACTCTCACGGGATACCTGTGTCTGACTACTCCTTTCATCTGTTGCTCAGCCAGGGTCTGTGGGACAAACCCTGCAGCTGGTGCTCCATGTGAGGAATGCTGCAACAGATCACAATGGAACCTTCAAAAATGAAGGTGAAGAGACTGTGCAGTCAGTAAGTCATTGGTGCCCACTCAGGATTTCCAAGTTTGAGGGAATTTTCAGGTTAGGGTTTCATCATGAGACAACAGTTATCAGCTCAACAGAAACAGTATATAAAAATATTGAAATAGCTGCTTAAAGCTAGCAGAGCCTCAGTTTCACAGGCTCAATTAAGGGACCTAAAGCAAACTTTCCCATAACCCATAGTTCTGGAAGAAGGCATGCTAGACATAGAGGTCTGGGAACAAGTGGGTAGAAATCTTTTTTTTTTAAATTATACTTTAAGTTTTAGGGTACATGTGCACAACATGCGGGTTAGTTACGTATGTATACATGTGCCATGTTAGTATGCTGAACCCAGTAACTCGTCATTTAACATTAGGTATATCTCCAAATGCTATCCCTCCCCCATCCCCCTACCCCACAACAGGCCCCGGTGTGTGATGTTCCCCTTCCTGTGTCCATGTGTTCTCATTGTTCAATTCCCACGTATGAGTGAGAACATGTGGTGTTTGGTTTTTTGTCCTTGCGATAGTTTGCTGAGAATGATGGTTTCCAGCTTCATCCATGTCCCTACAAAGGACATGAACTCATCACTTTTTATGGCTGCATAGTATTCCATGGTATATATGTGCCACATTTTCTTAATTCAGTCTATCATTGTTGGACATTTGGCTTGGTTCCAAGTCTTTGCTATTGTGAATAGTGCCGCAATAAACATAAGTGTGAATGTGTCTTTATAGCAGCATGATTTTATAATCCTTTGGGTATATACCCAGTAATGGGTTTGCTGGGTCATATGGTATTTCTAGTTCTAGATCCCTGAGGAATCGCCACACTGACTTCCACAATGGTTGAACTAGTTTACAGTCCCACCAACAGTGTAAGAGTGTTCCTATTTCTCCACATCCTCTCCAGCACCTGTTGTTTCCTGACTTTTTAATGATTGCCATTCTAACTGGTGTGAGACGGTATCTCATTGTGGTTTTGATTTGCATTTCTCTGATGGCCAGTGATGGTGAGCATTTTTTCATGTGTCTTTTGGCTGCATAAATGTCTTCTTTTGAGAAGTGTCTGTTCATATCCTTTGCCCACTTGTTGATGGGGTTGTTTGTTTTTTTCTTGTAAATTTGTTGGAGTTCATCATAGATTCTGGATATTAGGCCTTTGTCAGATGAGTAGATTGCAAAAATTTTTGCCCATTCTGTAGGTTGCCTGTTCACTCTGATGGTAGTTTCTTTGGCTGTGCAGAAGCTCTTTAGTTTAATTAGATCCCATTTGTCAATTTTGGCTTTTGTTGCCATTGCTTTTGGTGTTTTAGATGTGAAGTCCTTGCCCATGCCTATGTCCTGAATGGTATTGCCTACGTTTTCTTCTAGGGTTTTTATGGTTTTAGGTCTAACATGTACGTCTTTAACCCATCTTGAATTAATTTTTGTATAAGGTGTAAGGAAGGGATCCAGTTTCAGCTTTCTACATGTGGCTAGCCAGTTTTCCCAGCACCATTTATTAAATAGGGAATCCTTTCCCCATTTCTTGTTTTTGTCAGGTTTGTCAAAGATCAGATAGTTGTAGGTATGCGGCATCATTTCTGAGGGCTCTTTTCTGTTCCATTGGTCTATATCTCTGTTTTGGTGCCAGTACCATCCTGTTTTGGTTACTGTAGCCTTGTAGTATAGTTTGAAGTCAGGTAACGTGATGCCTCCAGCTTTGTTCTTTTGGCTTAGGGTTGACTTGGCAATGCGGGCTCTTTTATGGTTCCATATGAACTTCAAAGTAGTTTTTTCCAATTCTGTGAAGAAAGTCATTGGTAGCTTGATGGGGATGGCATTGAATCTATAAATTACCTTGGGCAGTATGGCCATTTTCACGATATTGATTCTTCCTACCCATGAGCATGGAATGTTCTTCCACTTGTTTGTATCCTCTTTTATTTCATTGAGCAGTGGTTTGTAGTTCTCCTTGAAGAGGTCCTTCACATCCCTTGTAAGTTGGATTCCTAGGTATTTTATTCTCTTTGAAGCAATTGTGAATGGGAGTTCACTCATGATTTGGCTCTCTGTTTGTCTGTCATTGGCGTATAAGAATGCTTGTGACTTTTGCACATTGATTTTGTATCCTGAGACTTTGCTGAAGTTGCCTATCAGCTTAAGGAGATTTTAGGCTGAGACAATGGGCTTTTCTAGATATACAGTCATGTCATCTGCAAACAGGGACAATTTGACTTCCTCTTTTCTTAATTGAATATCCTTTATTTCCTTCTCCTGCCTGATTGCCCTGGCCAGAACTTCCAACACTATGTTGAATAGGAGTGGTGAGAGACAGCATCCCTGTCTTGTACCGGTTTTCAAAGGGAATGCTTCTAGTTTTTGCCCATTCAGTATGATATTGGCTGTGGGTTTGTCATAGATAGCTCTTATTATTTTGAGATACATCCCATCAATACCTGATTTATTGATAGCTTTTAGCATGAAGGGTTGTTGAATTTTATCAAAGGCCTTTTCTGCATCTATTGAGATAATCATATGGTTTTTGTCATTGGTTCTGTTTATATGCTGGATTATATTTATTGATTTGCATATGTTGAACCAGCCCTGCATCCCAGGGATGAAGCCCACTTGATCATGGTGGATAAGCTTTTTGATGTGCTGCTGGATTCGGTTTGCCAGTATTTTATTGAGGATTTTTGCATCGATGTTCATCAGGGATATTGGTCTAAAATTCTCTTTTTTCGTTGTGTCTCTGCCAGGCTTTGGTATCAGGATGATGCTGGCCTCATAAAATGAGTTAGGGAGGATTCCCTCTTTTTCTATTGATTGGAATAGTTTCAGAAGGAATGGGACCAGCTCCTCCTTGTACCTCTGGTAGAATTCAGCTGTGAATACATCTGGTCCTGGACTTTTTTTGGTTGGTAAGCTATTAATTATTGCCTCAATTTCAGAGCCTGTTATTGGTCTATTCAGAGATTCAACTTCTTCCTGGTTTAGTCTTGGGAGGGTGTATGTGTTGAGGAATGTATCCATTTCTTCTAGATTTTCTAGTTTATTTGTGTAGAGGTGTTTATAGTATTATCTGATGGTACTTTGTATTTCTGTGGAATCGGTGGTGATATCCCCTTTATCATTTTTTATTGCATCTATTTGATTCTTCTCTCTTATCTTCTTTGTTAGTCTAGCTAGAGGTCTATCAATTTTGTTGATCTTTCCAAAAAACCAGCTCCTGGATTCATTGATTTTTTGAAGGGTTTTTTGTGTCTCTATTTCCTTCAGTTCTGCTCTGATCTTAGTTATTTCTTGCCTTCTGCTAGCTTTTGAATGTGTTTTCTCTTGCTTCTCTAGTTCTTTTAATTGTGATGTTAGGGTGTCAATTTTAGACCTTTCCTGCTTTCTCTTGTGGGCATTTAGTGCTATAAGTTTCCCTCTACACACTGCTTTGAATGTGTCCCAAAGATTCTGGTATGTTGTGTCTTTGTTCTCGTTGGTTGCAAAGAACATCTTTATTTCTGCCTTCATTTCGTTATGTACCCAGTAGTCATTCAGGAGCAAGTTGTTCAGTTTCCATGTAGTTGAGCGGTTTTGTGTGAGTTTCTTAATCCTGAGTCCTAGTTGGATTGCGCTGTGGTCTGAGAGACAGTTTGTTATAATTTCTGTTCTTTTACATTTGCTGAGGAGTGCTTTACTTCCAACTATGTGGTCAATTTTGGAATAAGTGCAGTGTGGTGCTGAGAAAAATGTATATTCTGTTGATTTGGGGTGGAGAATTCTGTAGATGTCTATTAGGTCTGCTTGGTGCAGAGCTGAGTTCAATTCCTGGATATCCTTTTTAACTTTCTGTCTCATTGATCTGTCTAATGTTGACAGTGGGGTGTTAAAGTCTCCCATTGTTATTGTGTGGGAGTCTAAGTTTCTTTGTAGGTCTCTAAAGACTTGCCTTATGAATCTGGGTGCTCCTGTATTGGGTGCATATATATTTAGGATAGTTAGCTCTTCTTGTTGAATTGATCCCTTTACCATTATGTAATGGCCTTCTTTGTCTCTTTTGATCTTTATTGGTTTAAAGTCTGTTTTATCAGAGACTAGGATTGCAACCCCTGCCTTTTATTGTTTTCCATTTGCTTGGTAGATCTTCCTCCATCCTTTTATTTTGAGCCTATGTGTGTCTCTGCACGTGAGATGGGTTTCCTGAATACAGCACACTGATGGGTCTTGACTCTTTATTCAATTTGCCAGTCTGTGTCTTTTAATTGGAGTATTTAGTCCATTTACATTTAAAGTTAATATTGTTATGTGTGAATTTGATCCTGCCATTATGATGTTAGCTGGTTATTTTGCTTGTTAGTTGATGCAGTTTCTTCCTAGCCTTGATGGTCTTTACAATTTGGCATGTTTTTGCAGTGGCTGGTACTGGTTTTTCCTTTCCATGTTTAGTGCTTCCTTCAGGAGCTCTTTTAGGGCAGGCCTGGTGGTGATAAAATCTCTCAGCATTTGCTTGTCTGTAAAATATTTTATTTCTCCTTCACTTATGAAGCTTAGTTTGGCTGGATATGAAATTCTTGGTTGAAAATTCTTTTCTTTAAGAATGTTGAATATTGGCCCCCACTCTCTTCTGGCTTGTAGAGTTTCTGCCGAGAGATCCGCTGTTAGTTTTATGGGCTTCCCTTTGTGGGTAACCCGACCTTTCTCTCTGGCTGCCCTTAACATTTTTCCTTCATTTCAACTTTGGTGAATCTGACAATTATGTGTCCTGGAGTTGCTCTTCTCGAGGAATATCTTTGTGGCATTCTCTGTATTTCTTGAATTTGAATGTTGGCCTGCCTTGCTAGGTTGGGGAAGTTCTCCTGGCTAATATCCTGCAGAGTGCTTTCCAACTTGGTTCCATTCTCCCCGTCACTTTCAGGTACACCAATCAGATGTAGGTTTGGTCTTTTCACACAGTCCCATATTTCTTGGAGGCTTTTATTTCTTTTTATTCTTTTTTCTCTAAACTTCTCTTCTCACTTCATTTCATCCATTTGATCTTCCATCACTGATACCCTTTCGTCCAGTTGATCGAATTGGCTACTGAGGCTTGTGCATTTGTCACATACTTCTCGTACCTTGGTTTTCAGCTCCCTCAGGTCCTTTAAGGACTTCTCTGCATTGGTTATTCTAGTTAGCCATTCATCTAATTTTTTTTCCAGGTTTTTGACTTCTTTGCCATGGGTCTGAACTTACTCCTTTAGCTCAGAGTAGTTTGATCATCTGAAGCCTTCTTCTCTCAACTCGTCAAAGTCATTCTCCGTCCAGCTTTGTTCCATTGCTGGTGAGGAGCTGTGCTCCTTTGGAGGAGGAGAGGTGCTCTGATTTTTAGAGTTTCCAGTTTTTCTGCTCTGTTTTTTCCCCATCTTTGTGGTTTTATCTACTTTTGGTCTTTGATGATGGTGATATACAGATGGGGTTTTGGTGTGGATGTCCTTTCTGTTTGTTAGTTTTCCTTGTAAGAGTCAGGACCCTCAGCAGCAGGTCTGTTGGAGTTTGCTGGAGGTCCACTCCAGACCCTGTTTGCCTGGGTATCAGCAGTGGAGGCTGCAGAACAGCAGATATTGGTGAACAGCAAATGTTGCTGCCTGATCATTCCTCTGGAAGTTTTGTCTCAGTGGAGTACCCAGCCGTGTGAGATGTCAGTCTGCCCCTACTGGAGGGTGCCTCCCAGTTAGGCTACTCGGGGGTCAGGGACCCACTTGAGGAGGCAGTCTATCTGTTCTCAGATCTCCAGCTGTGTGCTGGGAGAACGACTACTCCCTTCAAAGCTGTCAGAGGGACATTTAAGTCTGCAGAGGATTCTGCTGCCTTTTGTTTGGCAGTGCCCTGCCCCCAGAGGTGGAGTCTACAGAGGCAGGCAGGCCTCCTTGAGCTGCAGTGGGCTCCACCCAGTTCGAGCTTCCCAGCCGCTCTGTTTACCTACTCAAGCCTTGGCAATGGCGGGCGCCCCTCCCCTAGCCTTGCTGCTGCCTTGTAGTTTGATCTCACACTGCTGTGCTAGCAATGAGTGAGGCTCCGTGGGCGTAGGACCCTCCGAGCCATGCACGGGATATAATCTCCTGGTGTGCCATTTGCTAAGACTGTTGGAAAAGCGCAGTATTGGGGTGGGAGTAACCCGATTTTCCAGGTGCCATCTGTCACCCCTTTCTTTGACTAGGAAAGGGAATTACCTGACCCCTTGTGCTTCCCGGGTGAGGCAATGCCTCGCCCTGCTTCGGCTCATGCTCAGTGCGCTGCACCCACTGTCCTGCACTCACTTTCTGACACTCCCCAGTGAGATGAACCCGGTACCTCAGTTGGAAATGCAGAAATCACCCGTCTTCTGTATCACTCACGCTGGGAGCTATAGACTGGAGCTGTTCCTATTCGGCCATCTTGGCTCCACCCCCCCCGAGAAATCTTAAACGCAATTATGCACAAGGGCAACAGGTCCCAGTAACATCTTTAACATTATGGGCTTTAGTCAGTGCTGCTTTGGACCCACTCTACATGGAAGAGTCTAAAAAGGGAAGGGAGGAGGAACTATCCCCTACCTTACCACCTCCTCCTCCTCCCTCAGCCCCACCATTACCAGATAAAAGTACAAAAGAGAAAACGGGGATTTTTCCTAAGTCCCCTCCTCGAATATATTAATTGGAAAAAAGACAAGGTCCCACACTACAGCTATGGGACCCTGTCTTAGGCAGGCAGCATTAGAAGGGGAGCTCTTGGCCTGCCTGGTAATGCAAGATTGACAAGGCAATCAGGTATATGAGCCCATTTCTTTTGATGCTTATAAAGATATAAGAAAAAGCATTAAAGAAAATGGAGCCACTAGCCCATTTACGAAAGGACTAACTGAAACCATAGCAGACAACTTCCATATGACCCCATGGGACTGGTTAGTGCTAGCTAAAACAACTTTAGAGCCCAGTCAATAACTCCTCTGGAAGGCAGAATATGATAAGTTGTGCGAACAAGCCAACCAGAATCAATTGGCTGGGCAAGACATAACAGCTGCTATTCTGCAGGGGAGGGGTCCCTATGCCAATGTACAACAATTAAGTTTTGTTCCCCAAGCCTATGCCCAAGTGTTTTTGTGTGCTCTTAGGGCTTGGGACCGAATTCCCGAAAGCGGAGTTCAACAGGGATCTTTTATAAATGTCCGACAAGAGCCTCAGGAGCCATTTGTTGAATTTGTCAATCTGTTAACCCAGGCAATTAAAAGACAAATTAGTCATGTGCAGGCCACTGATATCTTATTGTTGCAGTTGGCTTATGAAAACGCTAATGTGGATTGCCAACAGGCAATGCAGGCAATCAGAGGAAAAGCAGCTACAGTTGGGGAATTTATATGAACGTTTCAACTGGTAGGGACTGAAACACACAAAGCCAAAATATTGCCTATGGCATTAAAGCCTCCTAAAGAGAAAAGGGAGAAAAACCCAAATTGTGTTCTATGTAGAGAGCCAGGTCATATGAAGCGGGAATGCCCCAATAGTAGAGACCAAGTTAACTCAGAAAAGAACCCCCTTCTGTATGTCGCCAATGTAAAAAGGGGAAACATTGGGAAAATCAATGCAAGTCCAAATTTGATAAAAACAGCAAACCCCTAGGCGAGAAACTTCATAAGGGGCCAGCCCCAGACCCTGCTCCAAACTGGGGCAATGCCAATGGCTTTCCTTGGTCAGATGGAAAGCCCACAGTCCTCTCTCTCAGAGCAGCCACCTCTGGGAGCACAGGCCTGGACTTACTCTGCCCCAGCAAATTAGTGCTAAAAGAAGGAGAAGATCCTAAAAGGGTTGCAACAGGGATCTGGGACCCACTGCCTCTGGGAACAGTGGGATTAGTCCCAAGGTGATCAAGCCTATCCAGTAGAGGAATCAATGTACGCACTGGAGTAAATGATAGTGATTACCAAGGTGAGATATTAGTTATGATGGAATGTAAAGGTCTGCATATTCTTCCCCCTGGATCAAAGATAGCTCAGTTACTACTCTTACCATACTGGGTCCCCAACACTCAGGGAAAGGAAAAGGGAAAGGGAAGTTTTGGAAACATGGGAGCCACAGGAGTATATTAGAACCAATTAATCACTGATCAGAGACCCATGATTACCTTAAAAATTGGAAATAAAAATTTTACTGGCTTATTGTACACAGGGGCAGACATTTCAATCATTAGTGATCAAAACTGGCTGAAAACTTGGCCTTGGGTCACTGAGAAACAAAAAATTGTTAACATCAGGGACATGCACACAGCCAAGCAGAGCACACATCCCCTGACATGTTGCGATTTGGAAGGGAGAAAAGCAGTTATACAACCTCTAGTCATGCCCATCCCTGTTAATCTTTGGGAACGAGACCTATTAGCCCAATGGGGGGTCACTCTGCAGAGCCCTTTTTAATAATGGCCACTGTTGCAATTCCTCCCCTACCCATGATGTGGCTCTCTCAAGATCCAATGTGGGTAGAACAGTGGCTTTTAAAGGGAGATAAATTACAAAGGGACCATGAATTAGTTGAGGAACAATTAAAAGCTGGCCATATAGAGCCATCAAACAGCCCTTGGAATTTGTCCATTTTTGTCATTCCCAAAAAGTCTGGTAAATGGAGACTTTTGCATGACTTACATGCTATCAATGCTAATTTGCAACCTATGGGGCCCCTTCAACAGGGGCTCCCTTCCCCTGTGGTGATTCTTCTAGATTGGTTTGTAGTCATTATTGACTTAAAAGACTGTTTTTATACTATTCCTCTTGCAAAACAGGGCAGGGAAAAATTTGTGTTTACAATACCAGCTATCAATAATGAAAGGTCAGTTTGCCAATTTCATTGGAAAGTACTTCCTCATGGAATGCTGGACAGTCCTACCATGTGTCAGTATCATGTAAATCAGACTTTGCTCCCCAGTAGAAAAGAATTTCCTAATTGCAAGATTATTCATTTTATGGATGATAAATTACTGGCAGCCCCACCAGAGCCAATACTTGTAAGTTTATATGCCTCTGTCAAAAAGAATACACAATTAAGAGGTTTAATCATAGCACCTGAAAAAGTACAGATGTCCTCTCCTTGGAAATATCCTGGATAGATACTAACTTCCCGGTCAGTAAGACCCCAGAAGGTTAAATTAAATACTAACAACTTACACACCTTAAATGATTATCAAAAAACACTAGGTAATATTAACTGGTTTTGCCCCACCTTAGGCATAACTATTTATAGGTTATAAGCCTGTTTTCTATCCTAAAAGGCAATGCAGCCCTAGACTCCCCCAGGTATTTAACCCCTGCAGCACAAAGGGAAATTGAGGAAATAGAGCAAACTATTTCTCAGAGGCAACTAGATAGCATAGGCCCATGATATTCAGTCCAATTATTTGTTTTTCCTACTAAACATTCCTCAACAGGATTAATAGGACAGATGGCCCCTGGGCTGCATTTTCTAGAACAGGTTTTTTGCTCACATATTGGGACTAAAACACTATCTCCCTATATCCAGCTAGTTAGTAAAGTTATCTATACAGGCTGCAGACGATGCAATCAATTGCTAGGTTATGACCCTGATGTCACAAAAATTCCCTTGCGTAAAAAACAATTCAAAGCAGTTTTGCCCTTATCTCTAGACCTGCAGATAGCAGCAGGCCATATAGAAGATGCCCTTCCTGCTGACAAACTACTTCAGATAGATAAGAGTACAAGTTCTTATCTTGTACTCCTGTAGTTATACCTACAAAAGTAGTTCACTCCCCCATACCTAATGTTTTAACGCTTTTTACTGATGGCTCTGGTAAAAATGGAAAAGCAGTTATCTAGTGGGAACTGCATAACTCCCTCACTCCATCTGGATTTACTAGCACTCAGACAGCTGAGGTTGGAGCCCTAATATTGGCCCTAGAAATCTTTTCTGCTCAATCTATCAATATTGTTAGTGACTCTGCTTACTCCATTTATTTATTGCAGTACCTTGAGACAGCCCTCATTAAGTCTACTCTTGAGCCCACCCTGTGTACACATTTTCTTTGACTTCAGCAATTGCTAGATCAATGTACACATCCTATTTTTATTACACACATTCGGGCCCACACCTCACTCCCCAGGCCACCAGCTTATGACAATAATCAAGCAGACCTGCAGGTTATGACATCATTGCTTGACCAAGCCACCCAATCACACCAATTTTTCCACGAAAATTGGAGAAATTTATCTAAACAATTTCAAGTTACCCAAAGACTAGCTAAACAAATTATTTTACAATGCCCAGATTGCCAGCTCACAGTCACATCCCCTCCTTCAACAGGTGTTAACCTTAGAGGACTAGAACCTAATCAATTATGGCAAACAGATGTTACACACATCCCTGAATTTGGAAAACTAAGATATGTACATGTATCTGTTGATACCAGTTCCCATTTAATAAGCGCTCATGCTCTTCCTGGAGAGTCTGCCCAATATATCATTAAACATCTTCTCTTTACTTTTGTGTTTATGGAGTGGCCCACAAAAATTAAAACTGATAATGGTCCGGCTTATGTCAGCTCACAATTTCAACAATTTTGTCACACGTGGAACATCCAACATTCCACAGGCATCCCTTAAAACCCCTAAGGACAGGCCATAGTAGAACATGTCCACTCCACCCTTAAAAATATGCTCAAAAAACAGAAAAGAAGGAATATGGGTAAGGACCCTGCAACACTATTGGCAAAAGCCTTATTTACCCTTAATTTTTTAAATGTAGATGATAAATTTCAATCAGCCATAGAAAAGCATTTTGCAAAATGCTCTCAAAACATAAAACCTGCGGTTTTACGGAAACATGTAAATAGTAATGTATGGTGTGGTCCAAATGATTTGCTAACATGGGGAAGAGGACATGCTTGTGTTCACACCCCCTCAAGCCCTCTTTGGATTCCAGCATGACTCATCAAACCATACCATGGCATGGCTAGGATCCAACCCGGTACCAGAAATGAAGGAAATGACCCTGCAGGACCCGCAGCCCCAGTTGATGCAGCTTCCTTGGATGACACAGGCCCCGGACATTACCTGGGGAATGCTGAAGAAGAAAACTCAGGAGGCTGAGCAAATCCTGCTCCAGACACAGACACCATTCATTCCAGATAATCTGTTCCTTGCTATGCTTTCTGTTGTACATTGCAAGTCTCACAGAGTATTAACCTTTCTTATTCTCTCACTCTGCCTGCAACCCGCACCTGCTACACTCTATTGGGCTCATCTCTTAGATCCATCTTTCTTCTGCCCTGTTACCTTGGCAGACACGCCCTTCCAGCCTCTAATAACATAACTGCTTGGCTGGGAGGGATTGAGTTGCCCCCGGTAGGGTCCCTCATTAATAACACACATTGGACTAAGGTGCCAGGTAACGCTACATATCACTTCACAATCCTCCCACTGTGTGTAAGTTATAAAAGTTCTAACCCTTACTGTGTACCTGCCCAAACACAATTATGGCTACATTATGGCAAAGGAAATACCTTAACATTCTCGGTTGCAGGTAGCCTCTCTAGATAAGCTTATTTACGTATGTCATCCAGAGACCGACCTTTGATCATCCGCATGCAAGACTGCTCCCTGCAAGGGGGAATGACAATGTTAATTACCCATAGATTGTGTTGGCTCCAGGCCTTTGACATTATACCAGTACTGAATAAATACAAGCAGCTCCGGCTTATTGGGGCTGCTGACTCTTCGGCCACCTAGTGCCAGGCAGTCCCCTAGTCACTCTTTCATGGGATACCTGTGTCTGAGTATTCCTTTCATCTGTCGCTCAGCCAGGGTCTGCAGGACAGACCTGGCAATGTTGAGTTGAAGCTCAGTTGAGGTCTAACAGGAAATCCTGTTTATAAATCACCAGAAGGACAGCATCATAGAGGACTGTTTTCTATAGGATTCTAAAGATGCTGATTTTCTTCCTGCAAGATGCATTTTTCTGAGAATGGCTATTGCCACCACACACTCACAGGCCAAGGACCCCTCCTTAAAACTCTGACAAACATGGGGCAACCCAGCCTACGTTGAAGAGATGAAGAAAGAGCTTGAGGACCAGGCACAAGAGCTTTGTCTGCTCCACCTCCTGGCTCTAGGCTCAGACGGAGAAGGTGGGGTGCCAAAAGAAATTCCTCACATGTTTACTACCTTCCTTCTAATTTCCTGTCCCCTCTGTTGTTTATTGAGTGAAAAAGGATGGCTGTCTTATAAGGAACATCAGATAGCCTACTTCAAGTCCACAGTGATTTTCAGGACTGGCATTTGCTATTACTTTATAGGTCTGGCCAATGCCTGGTCCACGAGAGAGGTGTTCACGACCAAGGTGAGAAGGTACCACTTGCTTACATTTTTTGCCTCTAGTGCAAGTACATTCACCTTGATTCCTCTCCAGTCATGTGGTTTGAGTTACTTTGGCCAGAAGCAGCAACTGAGGCCCAATCTGTGCTGTGCCCACAGGAAACTTCACAAAGGTTTACGTACAGAAGCATTTGGGGCCATGTCTGTCTTGGCTATGGGGACAGGTGGGGCTAAGCCGGCATCTCTGCTGTCAGTTGCCAGACTGCAGAGAGAGGCCCTTGCCTCCTTCCACAAGGTGTTTCCAATAAAGGGGACATATTTCCTTCGTTAGAAATAAACACAGACTGACAATATCATAGCATTTCTTGGGAAAAGAAGAAAACAGTCTTCAAACGTCCTCTGTAAGCTCCTCTGATGTGCATCTAGGTGGGGCTGGCATGGTGAGGAGAGAAGTGTATTATGAGAAAGCAAGAAAAGCACCCACACCATTCCATCACTAGATTTGACTTCCCAAACTAAAGAGGGTAGGATGACATCTGCTTAGCTACATCATAGGCCATCAAGGCTTGAAGAGACATAGGGTGCAACCTCCCTATAATGCTGATGAGGACACAGAGCCCAGGGAGGCTGAAGGATCTGACCACCTTACACAGCAGTCAGGGCAGAGCTGAAGCTACAACCCGCAACTTCTAATTTCAGTCCAGTGTATTTTCTGAAGTACTCCATTTCATCCAACCATCTCAACAATTGAACAAATCTGTTCATGTGTGGTTGGTGCTATAAGGCAATGGTTTTCAACCTACAGTCATGTTGTGAACCTCTGGGATATTTGAAAAATTACCAACACTTGGGCCTCATACCCTGAGATTTCAATTTCATAGGTTTAGTGTGAGGCCCAGCATAGACATTCTTAAGAGCTCTCCACTTGATAGTCACAGAGTTGAGAGCCATTACTTTAAGGAATATATATGGGAAATACTGGCACTTTCCTCTCCATTTTGCTGTGAACTTCACATTGCTCTAAAAAGATAATGTCTTGCCTGGGCGTGGTGGCTCACGCCTGTAATTCCAGCACTTTGGGAGGCCAAGGTGGGTGGATCACAAGGTAAGGAGTTCGAGACCAGCCTGGCCAACATAGTGAAACTCTGTCTCTACTAAAAATACAAAAAATTAGCCAGGCGTGGTGGCGGGTGCCTGTAATCCCAGCTACTCGGGAGGCTGAGGCAGAAGAATCGTTTGATCCTGGGAGACAGAGGTTGCAGTGAGCCAAAATTGCACCACTGCACTCCAGCCCGGGCAACACTGTGAGACTCCGTCCAAAAAAAAAAGATAAAGTCTTAAGAAATAAAATAGGAATATAAAGATAAAAATGACATGTTTCTAGGATCTCATGAGGAGGCAAACAAATACATAAATAACTTCCAAGCTAGGTGCTACAGAAGGTCCAAGAATAATATGAATATAAGTGTGATCCTGCCTGAACTATGCTGTCTATGGCCACAGGACTAATTTGTGTTAACTCTACTGTTTGTTCCACCAAGGCAAAGCTTACTTACCTTCCAGGCCTATCTCAAATCACACCTCTTCTATGGGCCTTTTTAACAAGACTCCAAAAACAGCTGGCATGCCTCTTCTCTAAACTTCTACACTACCCACAGGCCATAGGCAAACAATTTAGCACCAAATTATATATTATTTTCATTGTTACACTATAGTAATAGTGAAATGAAAGCTTCTACTTGTTCAGTGCATACCATGTGCCAGCCACCCTTTATGTTTTCTACACAGTGCCACCCATGCTCCCAGGAGCTCTATGATGCTGGTATTAATATACCCATTATACACATTAGGAAACTGAAACTCAGAGATGTCAAGTGCCTTGCCCCCAACCAGACAGCTGGTAAAGACATGAATTCAGGTATGCATGTCTCTAGACATGTTGCTTTGTATCAAATACAAATAATACTTCTTTATTATAGCACGTACTCCTGACATATTATTTTGCAAACTGTAAACTTCTTTGCTGTTCATTCACTTGTTTAATTCTTACTACAGCCCCACTATCAATTCTATTTGTGAGGGAATTAAGTCTAGAAAAATTAGATACAATTGCTCAAGATTCCATAGCCTGGCCAGGAACCCAGGTGTTCTATTCCAAGTGCAGGGCCATTTCACTGCCCACATATCCATGTGCCGGGCTCTGTTCCATGCTAACCTGAAGTCCCCTGAGAGAAAGCCTGTGTTTGATGCTGCTTCTGTATTTCCCACTGATGCCAGATATGCAGCCTGTTGCTTCATTAATTGATTTGCCAAGAAGTAGCAAGAATGTCCCCAAGACACAGCCAGACCCTAAGGACTTGAAGAATGAAACCACAGCAATTCTTTGGGGGCTGAAAATAACTGCTGAGAAGACATGACTGTGGGTTATTTTTAGTGCCATGAATAAGTTGTATTCTAGAAAAAACAAACAAAACTCCAACCTTTCAGTCACCATTTTTGAAGGAATGATTCTCAACTATCTACATCAACTAACAGAAGCAAACAGCAAAAGCGAAAGAAGTGACCTGCCCATGACCAAAGGATGGATCAGTGGAAGAAAGTCAACTTCCTTTCTCCTTCTCCCCCAAAAGTTTCCAATTTAAATCCCCAAAATCTCCAATTTAAATCCCAGTTATCTGTCTATGACACAACAATGTCTCTTTAGCCATATCCCATCTCGTTTCGTAAAGGATTCAAAGTAGCTTGCAACATGAATAGATATAATAAGCAATGATAAAATATAAACAAGTAAAGACTACCAAGGCTGAGGAACATGTAAATATAAGAAGTCAAGTCCAAGAAAAAATGCCTTATTAGTCAGAGAGGAAACTGTCTAAAGCCCAAAAGACTGCACTGCATTTAAAATAGATCTTCCATGCATGAGGTTTAGTTGATGAGGTATTTTTAGGGGCTCAGTCACTACTGTGGGTTTTACTCCTTGCCGGATATTGATCCAAAAGAATAATTGAAGCAATGAAACTATAGAATTTATCTCCAGGATGTGGTCAGCACACAATATTCATGCCTCCTTGGTTAAATAAGAGACGTGTTTTCCAAGTCTAATGTTGCCAAAAAGACCACGTCAGTGCTTTCTGTGGAATGGAACTCTTATTTCAACAGTAAGTCTGAATCATGACCATTTATTTATTTAACAGATATTGTGACAATAAATTATCTGCCAGGAACTGTGCAATGCATTGCTAATTCAAAGACAAGACATAGACCCTCTCTTACAGGACTTCTCTCTCTGGAGGAGCAGAGAGGCTTGTAAATATACAATAAGTAAAAACATAACAAGTATGATTAGAGAGGAATGCATAAGGAGTTGTAGAAGCAGGGATAGAGACAACCATGTCACTGAGGTTAGCAAGCACATCTTAACTTCTAATCTAACATCTTGTAACACATCTAGTTATAAGGATGCAGAGCTTCTGGGTTGGCAGAGGTGGGGTGAGCATTCTTAATTGAGTGGAACTGATAGAATCATAGAAGAAAGAACTTCCTTTTGTGACTTGCTGAACATCTCCATATTTCTGATTTGATTTTGTGGAGAAGTAAGGCAGACAAATGCAGCAGTGCCATCTCAAAAAGTGGCGGCCAGCAGGAATAGGACAGAGGAGTGTGAAGAAATGCTGTGGCAAGTATTTTGTCATATCCAGGTTAGTGAGACGAATTTCTTGGCAGTATAGGCATATTGTTCTTGGCAATTCTGTATATGGTAAAGGGAACTTCAGGATCCAAATCAACTTTCTGGCTGACTATGCATCCATTCAAACCACCTATGATCACATTTAAAACAAAAATCTAGCATCTCAAGAGAGATTTAAAATGGAAGGTTTCTTTGCCAGTGATCTGCACCAAAAACTGGAAGCCAGCAATCAAAAGTGAACAAGTGTTTCAAACTTTCAGGCCTCTGATGCCTGACTCAAAAATCTGAAGCATCCCCTTCCTGCTGACCCAGCTAAAGAATACTTTGGTGATCATACAAAAATATAATATTAATATACTATATTCATACTATAGTTATATATAACATTTTCAGATTATACATATTTATATGTATAAATATATATTTACATTTATATAGTATAGTATGAACGCTGAATAATTTATAAAATTATGATTGGCAAAAAGCAACTTGCTTAGAATTTACAGTGATTGATTATTTATATGTATAAATATATATTTATATAGTATAGTATGAATGCTGAATAATTTATAAAATTATTATAGGCAAAAAGCAACTTGCTTAGAATTTACAGTGATTGATTCCAGCATATGTATCTGAAGAAGCACCAAAGCAGGGGTCCATGGAAAATGGACACTTGCCTAGTGTTAGCTCAAGTCAGGTTCTGACTTTCTCCTGTAGAAACAAAAGCAGATAAGGTAACTTTCAAAGAAAATTCTTTTTTTTTTCCTTAAACTGACTCATAGCTTAGAAGTTGAGAAAATAAAGAAACAGCTAAGAAATATTGAAGGGTGTTGAATGTCTAAGGGAATCAGATAAAAAAGAAGAGCCTTAATAGGAAGTGTGCACATTTGTGACCAAAAATTAAGCTACCAGAAACTATGAAGAATGAATCCAGAAGTCTTAGCTAGAGAAATCATGCAAGAGAAAGAGATAAAAGGCATCCAAATAGGAAAAGAAGAAGTAAAATGATCTCTCTTTGCTGATGATATGATTCCATAGACAGAAAGTCCTAAAGACTCAGCCAAAAGGCTCCTGGAACTGATAAACAACTTCAATAAACTTTTAGGATACAAAATCAACACACAAAAATCAGTAGCATTTCTATACACCAAAAATGTTCAAGCTTTGAGAATCAAGTCAAGAACACAATCCAATTTACAATAGCCCCCCCAAAAATGAAATATCTAGGAATACATGGAATACATCTAACCAAAGAGTTGAAAGATCTCTACAAGGAAAACTACAAACACTGCTGAGAGAAATCATAGATAACACAAACAAATGGAAAAACATTCCATGCTCATGGATTGGAAGAATCAATTTCATTAAAATGGCCATACTGCCCAAAGCAATCTACAGATTCAATACTATTTCTATCAAGGTACAAATGTCATTTCCACAGAACTGGAAAAACGCTATTCTAAAATTCATATGGAACCCAAGAACAAGCTAGATAGCCAAAGCAATCCTAAGCAACATGAACAAAGCCAGAGGTATCACGTTATGTTACTTCAAACTATACTACAAGGCTACAGTAATCAAAACAGCATGGTTCTGCTACAGAAACAGACACATAGACCAATGGAAGAGAATAGAGAACCCAGAAATAAAGCTACACACTTGTAGCCATATGATCTTTGACAAAGACAACAAAAATATGCAATGGGAAAAGGACCCCCTATTCAATCAACAGTGCTGAGATAGAAGCTTTTGCTGTGCAGAAGCTCTTTAGTTTAATTAGGTCCCACTTGTCAATTTTTATTTTTAATTTTTGTTTATGGTGGATTTAATTTTTGTTTATATGGCTAGCCATATGCAGAAGAATAAAACTGGACCCCTACCTTTCACCGTAAACAAAAATTAACTCAAGATTGATTAAGGATTTAAAAGTAAAACCTCAAACTATAAGAATCCTAGAAGAAAACCTAGAAAACACCATTCTGGACATTGGCCTTGGGAAAGAATTCACAACTAGGTCCTCAAAAGCAATTGCAACAAAACCAAAATTGACAAGTGTGACCTAATTAAACTAGAGAGCTTCTGCACAGCAAAAGAAACTATCAACAGAGTAAACAGACAGCCTACAGAATGGAAGAAAATATTTGCCAACTATGCATCTGACAAAGGTCTAATATCCAGAATCTATAAGGAGCTTAAACAGCAGAACAAGCAAAAAACAAATAACTTCATTAAAAAGTAGGCAAAAGACATGAACAGACACTTCTCAAAAGAAGACAGACAAGTGACCAACAAACATGAGAAAATTCTCAACATCAGTATTTATAAGAGAAATGCAAATCAAAACCACAATGAGATACCATCACACACCAGTCAGAACAGCTATTATTAAAAAGTCAAAAAACAAATGCTGGCAGGGCCGTGGAGAAAAGGGAAGACTTATACACTGTTGGTAGCAATATAAATTAGTTCGGCCGCTGTGGACATACTTTGGAAGTTTCTCAAATAACTTAAAACAGAATTATCATTCAACTCAGCAACCCCATTATTGGGTATATACACAAATCATTCTACAAAAAAGATACATGCACTTGTATGTTTATCACAGCACTATGCACAGTAGCAAAGACATGGAATCAACCTACATGCCAATCAAGGGTGGATTAGATGAAGAAAATGTGGTACATATACACCATGGAATATTACATAGCCATAAAAAAGAAGAAAATCATGTCCTTTGCAGCAACATGGATACAGATGGAGGCCATTATCCTAAGCAAATTAATGCAGGAACAGAAAACCAAATTCCTCATGTTCTCCTTTATATGTGGGAGCTAGACATTGGGTACTCATGGATATAAAAATGGCCAAGAATAGACACCAGGGACTACTAGGGGAAGGGAGCAAGTGTTGAAAAACTATTGGGTACTATGCTCACTTCCTGGGTGACAGGATCATTCATATCCCAAACCTCAGCATTGTGCAATATACCTATATAACCTGCACATCTACCCCCTGAATCTAAAATAAAAGTTAAAATTAAAAAAAAAAAAAGACCAAATCTATGACCTAAGTGTCAACTAGAGATAGCATTGGGTTAAGAGCACAAGCCACTCCTGGGGTTTGAATCCCAGCTCTTCCATTATACGTCTCTGAGAAAGTTACTTAACCTCTCTGGGGTTTGATTCTTTCCCTTTAAAATGGGGAAAATAATGGTGCCTACCTCACTGGGTTGCTGTGAAGATTGCATTGAATGAGCTAATTATTATGAGGCTTAGCACAATACCCAGCACTTAGTAATCCTCACAATCCTTCAAGGAACATCTCATGATCCCCATTTTCCAGGTGGGTAAATGCACTTAGAGAAGGCATCTTTGCTAACAGTCCCACAGGTAACCGATGGACTTTCTAAAGTGTCAGCCATTCCCCTGGCTTCTCCTTCCCCTCCTTCTCCTAGGTGGTCAAACTATACAGAGTATAAATGTTCTTTCACTTTTTTCCTACGACTCAATCTGTCCCATGACTTTCTCTCAAATATTCCCCTTTCCCAGCTCCCCATGATGCTCAAGTCCTTTCTTTTACTATGAAAACATTTTTTCTTTGTTGCTGGATTTTGTTCTCATCAATTCTTTTATGCCAAGGACATTCGGGACTATCCCATACTAAGAAGTGGTGTTAGAGAAATCCCCTTGACTATTTGGGTATCAGTTTGCCATTCTTTGGAAATTATTCTCCCACCACCACCTTTTCCTCAGTTTTTATTTTTTCATATTTTTTCAGCCTCAAGGTACTCCTTCCCAGATCTAGACAAGGTCCCCAAGGAAGATCAAAACATTTTTGAGGTCAGGAACTATTCCAACTCACACTATCTAGACTACAGACTAATTTAAAGACTACAGACAATCAACAAAAGCTGCTATTTAACTCAAAGGACAGAACAACTATTTTCAAATATTTGAGGAGCTGTCACATGAGAGATACTTATTCAGTCTCTTTTGCAAGGGCAGAGGCAAACAATGCAGGGTAATGATGGGGAAACAGACCTCAGGTCAAAAGAAGAAGGAGATTCCTCACCAATGGAGCTGTTCGAAGGGAGCTGGCTTCGTTGAGCTCATGAGCACTGCATCATTGGGAACATCTGAGCAGAGACTGAATGCCATCTGCAGGCTTATTCTGAAGGAAGTTCCTGCATCAAGTTGAAAGTATGTACATAGTCTCCTGGGCGAATGCAGGAGAATCACCTGGAACACTTTTAAAGGGGTTACAGCAGGTAACTGAGGCAGACTTAGAAGAGTAACCTAGATGGGGAAGGGCATGTTAGGTGGTAAGATTAGATTAGAGTGAAGGAGGCTACGCAAGACAGATCACCCACCTTACAATTCTATCTCAATCATCAATGGTACTCAGACAAGCATAGTTCCTCTTTGAGCCACCCAGGGTGAGGATGTGTAGAAGGTACTCTACTCATCTCCTTCTTCATTTTGTGGTGATACCACTCCAGCTCTGGCTGATTTATGATGCTATTTTAGAGAAGGTCCCAGGCCACTTACCAGAGGGTCAGAGAAAAAAGCCCATGGTAAAGGGAGTTGATAAGAATGTGTATCCAGTCTACAACAGCAATTAGGGGCCTGGGCCTGATATCCTGCATTTCAGCCTAATGGGTGGATGAATTAACAACACCACCACAGTGTGGGGAATAGGAGGAAGAACTGGGGGTGAGGATGATGGGGGGATAGAGGGTGGAGTGCACAAGAGTTGTATGAAGCAGCCTGGACTTGACAGACACACATCCTTCATTAGCACTCCTGCTCAGAATGAGCTGATGACCATGACTATTATACCAAATATCAAGTGAAAGAATTACACAATGGGTTTGAGTTTCTTCTACAGAACTGAGATGTAAGAAGTATCAAATTTTTTTACCTTTTCATATCAAATTAGACTGGCTCTGAACCTCTAGTCTGTCCATTCCATCTCCTTGGAGCGTATAAGAATTTCAGGTCTTACCTAGTCCCAAGAGACAGAGAAGGGCTTGGTCCTTAGTCCTGATACAGTTTGGATATTTGTCCCTGCCAAAATCTCATGTTGAAATGTGATCCCCAATGTTGGAGGTGGGGCCTGGTGGAAGATGTTTGGATCATGGAGGTGGATCTCTCATGAATGGCTTGGGCCATCCCCTTGGTGATAAATTCACAGGAGATCTGGTTGTTCAAAGTGTGTGGCATCTTCCCCACTCCCTTTTCCTTACTCCTGCTTTCATCATGTGATGTGCCTGCTCCCCCTTCACCTCTGCCATGATTGGAAGCTTCCTGAGGCCTCCCCAGAAGCAGATGCTGACATGCTTCCTGTACAGCAATACAATAAAAAAGTAGTTGACATGAACTATATTTTTAAACCTCCTGCAATCCAATACTTACCAGATTTCATAATTTAACATCTCTGAAATTAGAAGTAAATCTTACATCCAATGGCATCTTTACAACTCTAAGCGGCAATATTCTTCTTGTTTTCCCGTGGTATGTAAATGAATGGTGCATCATTTACAAGGGGGCATTTTAGATTCCATCAACTGTGGTATGTATAATGCATGGTTGAAAGATACTGGGTTAGAACCTCTCCGAAGGCAAGAAAAAGAAACCATTTCTTATTTATCTTGTACCGTGGCCTCTCCACACTCAGTGTTCTATTAAGTGATTGATTCACTTATTAATTTTAAATTTAGTCCAGTAGAACTAAATTTGTTAGTACATTTCATCTGAGAGGTCTACTAGATGTAAGCTATGTGTGAACCATACATGAGAACTTTGAGGAAGAAATGGAACCGTAAAACAAAGTCTTGCCTGTCAATCAAAAAGATAATTCTGGTCATCTTGTCTACCCCTAAGTATTTAACTAAGCTCCCAAACTATGAACCACAATTATTTATATTATAATTGTAAAATATATATTTTTAAAAATATTTCAATTAAAAATGTTAGTATTCATTGAGACAAAAAACCATACACAATACCTAAACATATTTTGTCAATAATATGCAGTTAGAAACTATTCCTGTTGTTCAAAACACATCATCTCGTACCTTCAGAAAACTATTAGCTACCACACAAAACGATACCAGGAAAATATTTTGACCTGCCCTATAGTGTTTTTGGTGTTACTTGGTTTAAAAAAAAATCTTGCTGTTTTTATCTGGTTTAGACCAAATAGGCACCTCATAAAGAAAAATAGGTATAGTTTCAAATGTGACTTATCACGTGGTCCAAATAGGTCAGAGTGCCAGCTGCCATTAGCAGTGGGGCAAGACTAGCCATTGATGGCCCATGTTCATTCTTATTGGTCAGTGTCCCTGTCCAACTGTTTGTTAAATAAGCTTAATATCTCCCCCAGTCACTAATCATAATCCCAAATTAATTTATTCTTTTTCAGTAGTCATTTAATGAAAGTGACATTATCTCAAGAAATTCAGTAACAGGAATTTTATTCAAAACCTTTTCTGAGGATGTTTTGGGGTCAATATTATTATTTCTGTCCAATCTTGGTGCATTATCTCATACTTCCCTGTATCTCTATAGTGTCACATACTGGAGCAGAGACAGAAAGGGGATGAGAAGGAAAATCATCAGCTGTTAAAGAAGCATCCTAATCATTGCTCACATTTACCTAGAAGAAGGCAGGGAGTATAGAAACATTTATTACAAGGGGTGAAACAACTAGATTTCTTCTTGATCATTACTTTACTTCCAAGTTAACTATCATCTCTCCATGCATCCTGCTCCAGTAAGAATTTTCTGTGTAAGTCTAGGGCTGCAGTTTATTAAAAATTTTAACTTGCCCTTATAAACCTTATGGGAATCTGAATTGAGATAGCCAGAGATATCTGGCCAACTAATCATTATTATTTCTTGAAATCTGGATGTTTATGTATGCAGCTCCAAGCTGATTTGTATTCTGCACCAGTTACAGGAATAGATCTGCCAGGAAGTTTTGAAATTCAAGGACAGATAGGGTTAAGTCATAGCCCCAAACTACAGATTAGCCCAGCAAGGTCCTCCAAATCTTTTGCAATACACATTTGGTAATACGTGGGTCATTTAGTTCTGGCTTCCAGGCAGTTCAGCTAAAGGCTTAGGCTAGAGAATTGCAAAAGCTTATGATTTCTCACCAAGGAATGAAATGTGACGCAGTAGAGCAAACTGCAGACATTTAATACCAGATGTTAATGTAAAAATTGGAAAATTGTGACCCCCCCCCCCCACACGGTTATCTGACCCATGGCCTGCAGAATTCCATCACAAAGTCTGTAAGTCATCATTATTCCTGGATTCCTACACTATTAACTTTGTGCCTACTCTTTGTAGTGTAAAATAATAATTCTGAGTCATATAACTGAGATAATTAGATTATATCAATCTTGAGGCATTTTGTGCACACACTAACAGAGTAATTCAATTTCTTACCATAAAAATCAGAAGTAGAGCTTTTCTCATTAGTTGGATTTCCTAGTGACTTTTTAGAAATAGTTTGAGACATTTTTATTTCCTTTGCCTTCCACACCTACCTGACGTCACTAAATGCTGTAGGAAAGGAAGGAAGGAAGGGAGATTTTTCTTATTTGCACTGAAAGGTAAAAGAACATTTGAAACATATATTTCTGAACATTTTTACATTTATTTACACTTTTCCCTAAATCTGCACACTTTACATCTACACAGACACAATACAGTTTATGTAAGAATGATACACAAACTGCAAAGTGCTCTATAACTATGAAGAAAATTGTTCAAGCTCTGTTGCTTCAACTTCGGTCCCAAGGGAACAAAGGCTCAAAGAATCTCCTCTAAGCCCAGATTCAAGGTAGGGAGGACTTTTAAATGAGCTCTTCTTAACAGGACATGAGTATCTTACCTTCACATCTGGATACTTTTGTTACTCAAAATGATGAGAGAGGAAAGGAGGGTGTGGAGATACCTTCATGAATCATTAACAAGAAACAGCATTCAACTGACCCAGGTAAAATGCCACCACAGGGTTTAGCAGCTCTGTGGTGAGCTGAGAGAAAAGCCAGAGACAGCAGTGCATCAGGGGCTAGTCTAGAGAAATACAAACCAGTACAACAGCCTGAAGAGCCAGGCCCTGCCCTCAAGAGAACATCCAAGTCAGTTTCTTCTCTCTCTCTCTCTCTCTCTCTCTATATATATATATATATAGAAAATCTGTCTCTCTAACAAAGGCAATTGCAAATACACAACAGACAACACTGACAAGAACAGCTCACAGATTGGGTAAATGAGAAAAGGGCTTTAAGACCATCCTGTCCCAATTTCTCTATCAATGGACAAGGACACCAAGGCCTGGAGAAGTCAGGTGGCATGCCCCAGCTCACACAGATCAGCACCATCACTGTGACAGGAAGCCAGGGCTCCCGGCCCCCATTCTGGTAAGATTTTCTTGTTCTCACACAAGATGTGAAGGAAATTTTACTATTCAAGAGTCAAATATAATCCACTTTTTTTTTCTTTGAGGGATTACATTTATTTTTCAGAGAGTCAGATTATCTCAAAAAAACATATAACTGGAAAACTCTTTTCTCCCTCCCACCATCCTTTCCTCCATTACTTTTTCCTCTCTTGCTTTATCTGTCTTACTTTCTTCCTTCCTCTCTCTCTTTCTTTCCTTCATAAGTATATACATCTGGAGGCAGAGGAGAGAGCCAAAGATAGCAGAGCTAAGTCAGGGAAACACAATTTGCAATTACCTATAATAGCTCAAAACTTGGGCTGAGATTTTAAAAACACAAGATTATCAGCTTAAATCTAGAAAAAATAGTTTTTCTTTCCAAATAATTTGATAACATTTATGTAAAATTAAAATGTTATTATTCCCCAGTGCCCCCACCATCACTACCCACCTCTCATCACTTTTCATCTTCAGGTTCAAAATAATCCCTGGCGCTTGTAATTGAATGATCTCGCAATGGGTGTGTGAGTTTACTTGGATCTCATGGGGCCAAAGTAAGCTGATAATATGTTTCTCTCACAATCATCCACACTATTTGTTTATAAACAGCCTTATTTAATTTAAACTGGACTTGCAAAATTGGACCACTTCTAATCTTTCCTATCCCTTACACATAGGTCCAATTGTTTCATTTTATTCTTGACTCTGATTCTAAGAATGAGTACATTTTCCCCAGCATGTAAAGGAGAGAAAAAAATACCCGTGGACTAATGTAACAAAAATCTCCCCAATGAATTTCCCATAAAGAAGAGATAAAACATCAAGTACCAATAGTGCCAAAACATTTACTGAAAGTTTTCAAATCTTGCAAAAATGTTACAAAAAGTGAGCAAATGTGGTGAAACTAATGACAAATTAGACATTGAAAACCAACATCTGGTTAAGTGTAGGCAGGCATGTAAGGGAAAGACAACGTCCATAGGCAGTTACTATGGTAAAGGACTGCATTTGACTCTTTTACACATATTATTTCATTTGATCCCATTTAGGAAAGATTATCCCAGACTTGAAAATTTTGGTTTTAAAAAATTGTGACCTATAGATATCACATTAGCTCATTATCCATCAAACTCACTCAAGTGTCACCTGACTCTCTTGGGAAATGTAACTTTGTCTGACCAAGAATTTAATAGGGACCAGATTAAGGACTCTGTAGAATTAGAAGTTGATTTGTAGAAAACCATTAAGACATGATGCTTTATTTTTGCTTTCTGGTAGAGAAATGTACCTCCACGGTTATAATTTTATTTCCCTGTAGGACCCTAACCAGTTTTATATCTTTCTGGCAATTTCATTTTATCAAAGCCTTCCTCACTGACTATTTAGATTCCAGTTTTTTCATATTCTCTTCCAATTGCTCTGTTATACTGATGTTGAGTTAACTGGAACTTAACTCATCTGTTTATGAAATAATTATGTTTTTAATAATTTCAGAGTTTGTGCTTTGACAGACAATCATCAACCAACCACATGAGGTAGGTAGTATGTCCTCATTTTACAGAGGAAGAAACTGAGTCTCAGAGAAGGCACATTATCGTCCAAGTTTATAGAGGTAAGAAGTGACAGAACTGAGGTTTTCACACAAATATGCCCGAATCACTTTATGGAAAATACACTGATGATTCATATGTGGACTGAAATTTGAGCTGCAACATCTCCAAAAAAACAACCTTACCTACATATGTTTACTACATGTTTGAATTATAAACATGACAGCTGAGTATCAAAAGCAACTAATTTTAAACAATCTAAACCTGAGTTTTTAAATAGTAATTAAAACAATTATTTATTAATTTGTTTGGCTTCAATTCTGAAGCTTTAAAAATTGGAAATGTTGAAAATATTTGCCCATAGACTATGTGGAATATTATCATTAAAGTGTGAAATTCCAGTGCTTTGCTGATTCTATTAATGGTCTGGATGATGCTCAGCAAATTACTACTGAGGTTGTTAGAAAAGCCATTGAAAAGTATTTAGAATACTTAGTGGCGAGCCTCTCTCACATTTCATAAGCATGTCCTTACATGACACAGACTGAGAGCTTTTTGAATAAATTTGATCAAATTACCAGCCTATCCTGCTGCAAAGATGTTCAGTCTCCTTTGTCCCTAGACTGGTATAAAAATGAGAAACACAAGCACACTTTTGTATTCTTCAGGCTTGGAAGCCATTTGTTGTCCTGGCTGAACAGACAGGTAGATATCAAGACTAAAGAGTGACATGCAACTCAGTCTGAAAGCAACACAGTACACGCTTTAAATTTTAAAAGTATACCTTGGGAAAGGCTGATCTTACAGATACATGTTTATCTGTCAATAGGCATGCTTTTCAGCTTGGATATATACCTTTAAAATGCACCCTTTTATCCGCCTGAGGATCCATTCAGTGAATATGCAGCTTTACAAGTTTTTCTCCATAAATAAGATTCTAAAGTTCAGGTCAATTGGTATCTAGGTTGATTTAAAAAAAAAAAAAATCTGTACTTGTAACAGCGAGTGTTTTGTCCACCAAATCACAAACCAGACAGTGACCCTCTGGCCTGGTTTTCCATAGCGCACACTCCTGTTTGATGGGCACTGGCAGTTGTCTGCCGCAGATTTAAGTTAAGTGAGGCAATCTGCCTGCCCCACCTCTTGCCTCAAATCTCAAACTCTGGAGCCAGCAGAATTTCAGCTCCACCTGAAGTGAAAAGATAACTACGTGGTTTAAATTCATATTGACTCACAGTTTCACTGTTTTATCCTGGCTAAAGCTGCTCACGGTGTCTGTGGTTTTCTTACATAAATTTTCAATCCAGCTAGTGCTATTATAATGTGTCTTTTCCAGCCCTGATGTTGGGGGTGGATTTTTAGCTCGCATATTTTTTCCAGATGTGATAAGCTCTCCATAGCCTTCTTGGTGAGCAAAAGCATATCCAGACCTTCTTGAGCTTGACCTGCGGGTCCGAGGCCTTCGGCTACTTGGAGGCCTTGCCTTCTTTTGAGCCTTCTGCCACCGGCGGATCTGGAGAGAAACAGACCCAAAGTGAGATGATGCATCCAAATGATAGACTCCAGGCAGTGGCCCACTTTGTAAAGTGAAAGCCTTTTTTTTTTATAAGTAAAAACAACATTGCAAAAGGAAGTTTTAAATCTAAAAACTAAGAAATTTTCCACCCAAAAGATAACACTGGGGGGGCACTGGTCCATTTTTATCTCTATCGAGACACTATTAAGTAATTAAGAAATATCAGACAAATTTCATTATTGTCTCTCATGTATCTTCAATGCATATGAGCATACATTTGTATAGAAAGATTTTCTAACATGCACCGCCCAAAGTCAGCATAATAATTTATAATTTCATTCTCCCAAAACAGCCTTTTTCCTCTCTTTTAGAGATTCTCTGGATCCAACAGTTGTCAGTAACTGGACTAGAAGAAAATTCAGAAAATGAGTCAGAAATATTCAATTCTTGTGGTAGCTCAACGTATCATGAGACTTCCAGGGTTTTGATTTCTTAGGTTTGTATGGCCTTTCTAAATGTTCCCTATTATGTGAGTAGGTTTCCCACAACTCTTTCATTCCCCTGTAAAGCTAAGGAGAAAAAGACCTGAGGTTTGCTGTACTCTTTCATTTCCCTGTAAAGCTAAGGAGAAAAAGACCTGAGGTTTGTTGTAAGCAACCTTGTTCTCTGGTTTGGCAAATCACTTGGATCCTGACTTTTGTGTCAGGAGAAAACCATCAAGCAGAACATCACGATCAAACTTATCGGACAAACAAGCACATCCTTCCTTCCTTAACTCATCCGCCATTTTCTGGGTTTATGTCAGAATGAGCTTGGAGAACCAAAGAGAGAGGACAGATATGACAAGGGACTCCGAATTTTTCCGGAAGGAATCTTTTTACACTTTGGTCCCAAAATGTCAGAGACATCATGATTAAAAAAAAATGTGTGTGTGTGTGTGTGTGTGTCTGTCTGTCTGTCTGTCTGTCTGTCTGTCTATCTATCTATCTATCTATCTACCTACCTACCTACCTACCTACCTACCTCAGTCTCTCTCAGCATCACTGGCCTGGTCCCACTCACCACAGCAGCATGTTCCCCCTTCTCATGACATGGCTATGAATGTTTGTCTCCCTTTCTCCTTTTCACGCTTTATCTGAGTCCTGACCTAAGTTGATATTGTCCTACTTACTCCTCTTCCCATGAAATTCTGAAATATGTTCTGTTAATTCTCCAGTTAAGGAATTTCTATAACCTGTTCTTCCTATTTTCCTTCCAAGTGTACTAATCTACCCAGCATGCTGCTCTTCCCCTTCTTAATCTGTTCAGAAGGTAACATCTCACCCATGTTTCTGAATCTGCTACTGGATTTCTACAAAAATGTTAAGCCCCTTTGACTCATACCATGCTTGTCTCTCTTTTATTGTGCTTGTACTTGCCCTCAAATCAGTATCTTTTCCTATAGCTTGCCTTTCCCTTGGAAAAATTGTCCAAAATGATGCCTGTGATCTTCTTTTTAAAAGTCAGCTTTTTAAAATACCCAGTTCAACTTGTAATTTATGACTCCCCATCCACATTTAGTATAGATGCCTCTCTTCATGGCACTAAGGACTAGTACATTCAAGATGTGGGAAGTCCCATCTATTCTGATGTGATCTCATGCACCAGTAGGTGTTTGCTTGTGACAATTTCATTAGCCCATCTCTGAGCTTCCAATAAGGCAGAAAAGGACACCATTTCAAGAGCCAAAAACCAGCCTTCAAGTATTCATCAGCACTGTGACATACCTGATCACTCAGGGTTGGGTATAAATCCACCTTCAAAAATCTGAATGCCACCACTGGCATAACTGAAGCCACTGTTGTTAAGAGAATTACAAGCCAGATGCACTTCTGGGTCAGGGAATGTCGTGCATTACCTATCAATCATTAAAGAAAATATACACTGTGGTTACAAGTAGGACTGAATTATTAATTAATAGGTTCTTTGTTCCTACAAGATCTTTTTTTTTTTTGAGATGGAGTCTTGCTCTGTCTTCCAGGCTGGTGGAATGCAGTGGTGCGATCTCAGCTCACTGCAAGCTCTGCCTCCTGCGTTCATGCCATTCTCCTGCCTCAGCCTCCTGAGTAGCTGGGACTACAGGTGCCCGCCACCACGCCCGGCTAATTTTTTTTGTATTTTTGGTAGAGGCAGGGTTTCACCATGTTAGCCAGGATGGTCTCGATCTGACCTCATGATCCTCCTGCCTCGGCCTCCCAAAGTGCTAGGATTACAGGCGTGAGCCACCACGCCTGGCCAAGATCTTTTTTCAATGGTGAGATTTGGATCACCTAATGTCACCATGATGATAAGAAGGCAGAAGTGCTAAGATCACCCTCAGGAACGGCTTAGTGGCCTGATCACTTAGAGATTACCAGCCTGAGCCAAGCATTCTCTCACCCAGGCTCAGTCTAATATCACTCACGGAGCACAATTCTCTCTTCCAGCATCAAGATCTTGTGGTTACAAAGCAGCCATTATTTTTAAAAGGCACATTTACCCTTTACCCTTGTGGACTCTTGAATTAAAACTATCACATCAAAGCTACACAAAAAATGTTCCAGATGCAGGTACAATCTCAAGTAATGATCGCATTGATTGGCTTGTCATAAAAGGGGAGCTTTATCTATTGCAGGACCAACTTTTTAATTTCAGGCAATGGCCCGAGAAAACCTGCCTCAGAGGAACTTGTTATTTCTCTATTGTTCACTTGGTTATGAAGTCCTCAAAGTTCCAAGATCAAGAAGGCTCCTGGGTTTGTGAAAAGAACATTCCCTCACCAGGAGACTGTTGATGCAGCCATCCAACATGCTAGGGCAATAGGACAGTGAAACTCATTTCCAAGCCTGAAGCCAGTTTCCTTACTTTTTACTCACACCTCACATACCCCATTGTGGGTTTAAACAAGGCAATACGGGTCAGTAAGGCAGGCAGACAAGCTCCATGGGAAGATGCCAACCCTGCTTATATCACCAAAATAAACTTTTGTCCCTGTTCATTTTCTAGAGATTTATCATCATACCCCCAGTTATCCAGGTCCCCTATCCCAGTATTCAAAGCTTACCACCATTCAAATGCGCTTTGGGTATGAGGGCTTGGCTACTGAATGGTATGTCTGCTTTTTCTGGCTTTAGAGACAGGAATCTGCCTACCCAAGAGCAGCTGATTCCAGTTGCCTTCAGCCATGGGCAGAAACAAACTTGACTTAATCAATTAAATGTCTCTTTGAGCTCCTTGAAGCTTGGTACCCTCAGGCATGGCTGGGAAAACAAGCTTCACTTTGAAACCACACTCCTGTTTGCTGCTAGCTACTAAGGAAAAAAAAAATTTTCCTGAAACCCCAATGTTGATCTAACTTTTAAAAAATTTCACTGGAGCTCAGTAATTAATTACTGAAATGGCTTGTGCTTAGCTGGAAAAGAGTGGTCCCTGCACAAATTACTTTCTCCAGTTGAGGCATTCTAGTCTCATTATGCATCACAGTGCTCTCTTAGGACTGGAAATCTTCTAGTCAATACACTGAACTTTTCATTTTGGCAAACGATCTTAAAAAAATAAAACAAAAATAGTTTTGGTGTCTTTGTTTCCCAATATGCTCATTCTTACTCATGACCAACATGTCTCTACATAGTTGGAATCTTTTGGTAAACAACGTATTACCAGTACATATTAAGTAAGAGTGGTGCAACTTAAAGATTTCCATTTACATGTAGGAAAAGGCAAAAGGTGAAGAACATTTTTAAGTGTATGCGTGAATTTAAATTGAATTACAATTTCAGGTGCCTTTGCATCAATGTGGATTTGTAACCTTACTAACCTTATAATCCTATTTTAGTCCTTGTGGTCTTATTTTGCTTTCTACATAAATTAGTCCAAGAATTTACTTCCTCAATTAGTGGATACAAATCTCACTCTTGCCTGATTAAGTTCAAGAATGTTGGTCACTGCGCATCTCTCTTTTCCAGTTTGTTTAGATGAACTCGGTTAGCAGCTTATTTCACACACACTAGAGATTTCAAAACCTCTGAGAAAGTATATTAATATCCCTCTTTTATAAAGCTCAGTGGCCTTTGCTGGGAATCATTTTGAAATGTGGAGTGCAATGATGGTATACCCTATACATAGACCAGAGGTATACTCTTTGTAGAATAATAGAATCTTTTTTAAGGGATTTTAGAGGGTCCTTTGCTACTCATCTGATGTTCAAATTCCTCTGCAATCTTCCCACCAGTAATCGAGCCACATTTGCATGAATAATAATAATCACCATCACCATGGTTAACATTTAAAAAGTACTATGTACCAGGATACATGCTAAGTGCTTTATATGTATTATTTCATTTAATCCTCATAAATTTTCCATGAAAATAGGCTTATTAATATCCTCAGTTTATAAGTGAAGACATTAATGCATAGTATAATATTGTGAGCTGTATGTTTGGTCTTCTTCTCTGTTTTCTGGCATAGATTTAAAACTCCTTGAAATCCTCAGTGATATGTGTCTTTTTATTTGTTAATGAGTTGACTGATGGCTGGAAGTCCCTAGGTAGCTTCAGGATGGGGGCTGCTCATCAGAAAGACTAAGGTAGGATTAGAGGGTTGGGAGTTTCAGCCCCAGCCTCTAATCTCCTGGAAGGGAAGAGGGACTGAAGGTTAAATTGATCACCAATGGCCAATGACTTTATCAGTCATGCCTATATAAAAAATGCCTCCATAACAGCCTTAAAGAACAGGGTTCAAAGAGTTCCTAGATAGCTGAACATGTAGAGGTTCCTGGAGGGCAGCATGCCTGGAAAGGGCATGGAAGTTCCACGCCCCTTCCTCCACACATTGCTCTATGCATCTCTTTATCTGTATCCTTTGTAATATCCTTTATAGTAAACCAGTAAATGGGTCTCCCTGAGTTCTTTGAGCCACTCTAGAAATTAATCAAACCCAGGGAGGGGGTTGGGGGGAAACCCCAATTTATAGCCAGCTGGCCAAAAGTAGAGGTAAAACATCCTGTGGCTTGCTACTAGCATTGGAAGTGTGGGGGCAGTCATGCGGAACTTAGCCCTCAACTTGTAGGATCTGACACTCCCTCCAAGGAGATATTGCCGGAATTGAATTGGAGAACATCCAGCTGGGGTCCTCTGCAGAAACACCTCATTGGTTGTTGGTGGGAAGAAATCCCTACTTCTCGATGACCAGAGGTCACAGAAGTCTTCTGTGTTGCTTGCTGAATGAGAGTATAGGAGAAACTGAGTTTTGTTTATTCCTATATATTCTCGCATGGAAAGAAGAAACTTGCCCAAAGTCACACAGCTTGTTAAGTGGCACAGCTGGCGCTTGAACCCTGACTGACTAACTACAAAGCCTACTCCTCATGCCACTTATGGATTAATGTCCAGGAATTTTTAGAAGGCTCTAAATTATACATTGTTTCATTCTTATCTAAATGCAAATAAGTTCTATGGGTGAATTTTGGCAGATGTTGGTGATAATGTGGCATAAAAGGAGAGTCTAGTATTTCTTTTTCTTCTCTCTACCATATATGAGCATTTGACAGGTCTTCAGGTAGCCCTAATGTATGTGCTATGCCTCTCATTTGCAAAGAGACAGCCTACTACATGTAAGCTGTTGAGAACCTGTAAGCTACTGTGAGTGATTCTTCTGCATCCAGTAGAGACAGCAGAAACTGAGCTTTTAGAGCCACTTTTAAACTCGGAAGCCTTCAGATGCCTGGCTCAAACAATTTCTGGACAAAGGATCACTAATCATCCCCAGCTCTACCTAACACAAAAAATAAATTATAAGACAAGTAAACAGCAGCAGACACTAGGTTCCACTAGTCAACATGACTCACTTACCAACAAATGGAAACTGGTTTGGGAAGATGCCAAAGATGCCATTACTGTGCATTGTAAATAAAATGGAGAAATAAATGGCAATGCTCCCCCAGATGAAGACGTGATTAATGAAAGTCCAGTAACTGGTATCCAAGGCTATCTGTAAATAAAATCAAATGCAAACGGGAGGTCTTTGAGGATTAAAACAGCATCATTTTACCTCGTGATGTTTCGCGAGAACTGCCCTGTGGCAGGAAGTTTGCACCTGCCTAGTTGCCAAGCCAACCGCGGGCATCCCCACTTTCTGAACACACACAGGGGACTGATCTGACTTCATATTTCTGGTAGAAAATTGACTTTAGAACTTCTATACGCAAGCCATTATATCTGCCAAGGTCGAGTCAGAATCAGGAGGTAAGATGTTAAACATGTTAAACTTCTTTTAAGTGAGAAATATGAAAGCACAAGGGCTTATAATTTTTAAGTTACTTTACAAATGTCTCTCAAAACTTTTCTATTGGAAAAAAATTCTTTCTGTAATGGGCAAGTGCAACATTTTATACTCTGTAAGTAAATTTTCACAATACCATTTTTACACATGCATGATCTTTTTTACACCAATATCCCAACTCATTTTGATGATCCTTTCTCTTCAATTACTCAACTTATAACAAAGAAAATTCTTCAGCCTTATTTTGGCATAAAATTCAGAAACTGGGATTCACAATGGCCTGGAAGCATGGTCACGAGCTCTTCTTCCTTCTAGTAACTTGTTGCGGCAGCTCAGCTAGAAGAGTGGTCTGCTACTGGAGAATCAAGGACACCACTGGTAAATATGAACACTTGAGTTCTTCAGAGAATAAAAAAGTAGGTTCTGGTATCATTATTTGCATCTCATAGTTCCCAAGTGATCCACGTCCAAGTGAAGGTTTGTATTTCTAGTAGTTTGTTGCAAGACTAAAGATTTCTCATCTGTCTGAGGGGGCCCTACCTGCTTAGTAAATAGATCCCTCTCAACATGCTGAGACATACTTTCTCTTCCCACTTGTAATTTACTGTCCCTTAAAATGTTTCCCCATTAAAATGATGCTGGCAGCCTTTGATGTGAACTACAGGGTTTATAAAAGTACAGCCTTTTCTCCCCTCAGGAGGTCTGAAAACAGCCCTGCCATCCATGCCTCAGCAAAGACATGCCCGCTTTCCAGTTCATTTGGCTGCCAAGACATCTCACCAAAATCTCCAACTTTACCTTCCACCACCTGTTAGTTTAACACTCTCAAGAGTCAACGATAGCCTGATCTGTGTGGGTAAGAGTAGGCAAAGAAAAATTACAACCCATTTAAAAGGATTCAGCTGAAAAAGCAAGAATAGGTGGCTCCTATTGAAGCAGAACTAATAGAAGAGACAGACAAGCACGATAACAACAACAAAATATAATAAGACCCCGTAAGAAGATGCAATTAGGTCACAGAAAAAAATAATCTGAAAGAAAAACACACTATTCCTGAATTTAAAAATTCAACAGCAAAACCAAAGAATAGTCAATGAATAGAACTAAATTAATATTCTGGACAAAACAATACAAATAATATCTCACAATAGAGAACAAAGACTTGGAGACATGGAAACCATTTGCAAAAAGATATGAGACATGAATAGCAAATTCACAGATCTCAGATCTATGACTCCAATATACAAATAATGGCATTTTAGAAAGAGAAAAAGGAATAAATAGAAAAGTAACAATCAAAGAAATGACAGCAGAAAACTGCTCTGTGATAACAAATAGCATAGATTTTCAGATTGAGAGGGTCCTTTAGGTCCTATCCAAAGTAATGAAAGAAGATTCTGGTGACATAATCTTTTATACAGAGGAGGAAAAAGAATCAACCTAACATCAAACTGTCACAGTGAAACTGTGAAACAACACAAAATTGTTGAAACAACAACTATATAGTGAAGCAACAACAAAGTTCCTAAAGAAAAAGACTGACTCAAGGATCTTATGCTCGTCCAATATATCATGTAAATGTAAAGGCAAAGACAGAAAACATTAAGCTAAAAAGTATAACATCTCAATATCCTTTCTGAAGAAATTACTCAAGGATATTTCTGCACTGAAATAAAAATTAAAACTGTACAAAGACCTCAAAATAACAGAAGACAGGTCATAAAAATAGTGGTGAGCAATGATTCTTGTAAATAGTTAGTTCTAGATGAGTAATAATGTATGAGGGCAGTATTAATTTGGAAAAAAATGGGAATAGTCAGCAAATATGTTACAGGAGGAGCATTTAATAACATCCTGGAATTAAATTCTAAATAATTAACATGTAAGAGTTGGGGATGGGAGTAAGGACAAAGAAGGGTAAGTAAGATAAAAACATTGCCAAAACTGTTTAATTGAAGAAGCATAAGGAAAGGTTTAGAACAAGATAGTGAAACATTTGATGAAGGATAGAATTTCATATTATCTGTGGAGTTCCATTCTGCCAATATGGAAATATATATATTTAAATAACTATGAAAATAAAGAGAAATCACTAGTAAAATAAGAATATAATAGTAAAACTTGTAAGTTATTCATTAGAAATGGGATTTTTTTGTTGTTGTTGAGATGGAGTCTTGCTCTTGTCGCCAATGGTGTGATCTTGGCTCATGGCGACCTCTGCCTCCTGGGTTCAAGCGATTCTCCTGCCTCAGCCTCCTGAGTAGCTGGGACTACAGGCAGGCGCCACCATGCCTGGCTAATTTTTTTGTATTTTTAGTAGAGACAGGGTTTCGCCATGTTGGCCAGGCTGGTCTTGAACCTCCTGACCTCAGGTAATCCGCCCGCCTCGGCCTCACAAAGTGCTAGGATTACAGGCGTGAGCCACTGAGCCTGGCCAGAAATGGGATATTTTAAAACCATAATTAATGCATACAAGTATGAAAAAGTTAAAAAAAAAATTGAAAAGCAGAATTAAAAGTAATCAGAAAATAATATTAATATAGCATGATAAAATACAAGTTATTATAATAAAAATGAGTAGCTTAAACATTCTTATCAAGGAAGACTAATAGAATGAGACAAGAAATAAATGGAAATTAAGAAATTGGCCCAGATTATGTATCAGGCAAATGTAAACTAAAAAAAAGCAAGAGAAGAAAACTAATATAAAAATACAAAACTTAAGAATCTTTTATTATGAAAAAAGATAAAAACTACAAAGAAAAATTAACAATCAGAAACCATTATGTGGCAAAGATATAGCTTAAATTATATGAGGTAAAAATCTCTTTGAAACACACGGAAAACTTAATAGGAATCATAATCACAATGGCAAACTTTAATATGCTTTTCTCAGCATTTGACAGACATGATGGCAAAGGTGATGGTTCTTCTGGAAGTCTATGGCGAACCTTTTGGCAACCCGTCCCCAGGGTGATGACAACCAAGCTGTAAGGTGTAATAACAGCAGTGTTTCCACTGAAGCTACCTAATATGTTTTAATAAAGCTCTTTTTTTAGCTTAAATTTTTAAAGTGTCTGTCATTTGGAACTACTATCTTTTTGAGAACGTATTATGGCAATATTTATGAAAATTTTAAATGTACATACTCTCTGACCCAGTAATGAAAACAGCAAAATACCATTCTTTATCCAGCAGATTGGTAAAAATTAGGAGTTCTAACCCCAGAAGTCTCATTTCTAGGAACTTATCTGACAGTATATAAAATATATGTACTAATATATGCATTGTAGCATTGCCTTAATAGCAAAAAACATATAGAAACATCTTGTATGTTTATCAATAGATGATAAATACTTATACATTCATATTATGAATTTCTGTGCAGCTATTAAAACAATTAAGATAGATCTGAATGTGTTGATTTGGAAAGCTGACCAGAATATCTAGTTAAGCAAGAAAAGCATATTACAGAACAGTATACATAATTATTATCCCCTTTTGTTAAATATGTGTGTATGCGTCGTCTCAAAGTACAGAAAATGTATGGGAGGATTTAAGCTATGGTCATCATCATAGTAGTTAAAGAAGGGAAGGAAAGGAAGATGGTTCATTTTATTTTAAACACTTTTGTACTCTTTGAAATGTTTAAAAGAGCATTTTATAATTCAAATAATTGAAAAATACTTTTTTAAAAAAACAATAGAGACTACTTAAATTTGGCCTGTAGCATCAGCAGGACATAAGATTTATAACTGTAATTACAGACCATGGAAATTTCATGGGGTTGTTACCACAATGAAAAGTCAAGCTTAAACAGTGAGGAAAGGATATTAATGCTGCTGTCAAAGTGAGCTTATTCACAGAATTCCTTAAAGTTATTATTCTATATATTAAAGACCACAGTTTTTGATTGATTGAAGCCAAAATTGCCTAGCATCCATGGTTACAAACATTTACATACTTGGGTCTAAGAACTCTGGTATGGTAAAACAGACATTTTCAGGGCTTCCTAGAAATAAAAACAAGTGGTAATATTTGCCAAAGAATTAGACTGAAATGACAGAAGCTGGGAGTCTATATATTCCTCAAGTTGAAACTCTGCCATTGAAAGAAACACCTATGTGCTTGTCATCTATTAACCGTTTGTCTCCCATGTTAGCCAAGGGTGATACTGGTATCCTAGGTATTCCCACATGAGTGAGAGAGGTGGGGACCACGAATTCCCTGTACTTACTATGTGACTGGGGAGGCCCACAGCTTCTACTTATCTTTACAAAGAAGGGAGGTTCACGTAGCTTTGGAGCTGGGCATCTGGAGTTAGAAGACCTCTGTTCAAATCCTGGCCTACCACTTTTTGTATGACTTGGAATATAACTTAATCTTCTTGTTAAGTCTGTTTTCTCAATGGTGGTAATAGTACTTACATTTCATAGGACCATAAAGATAATTAAATGAGATAATGGGATTATCCCAGTATATGGCACAGTATCCAGTGTTTCCTTTACGCTCAGTATAAGGTTTGTTCTCATATTTCTTGAAAATTTTGTGTTTTAACCAGTCTCACTGTAGACTTTGTTCCAGATAACACTGGAATTAGACAGAACTGGATTCTCCTGGCTCTGGGACTTACTGTGTGACCTCAGGCAAGTCATTTAACCTCTCTGAACTTTATCTATAAAAGCAGCCCATAATATTTACTGCATAATGGCATCATGAGGAGCAAGTATAATGCATGGTATCACTCATGGTGGTGATGATGATACAGGTCTCTTACAGCTGCCATCAAGGACAGGCCTGCTTTGGTCATCTAGGTTAAGACAGACAGAGTTGAAGGATAGGTGGATAACACAACCAAATTATTTTCACTTCCTTTGCTCAATTTCAACCTCTCTCCTCATATCCCTTTGCCCCTGTATTCTTTAGCCCTGTGGTTTCCGTTAGGAATGCAGTGGCAACCAAAGCATGCCAGACACTGGAAGCCTCTACTCATTCTGCTTCTAGGCCACCATTTCTAGCCTGGATCTTTTCTAACCTCATCCTCCTCTCCAGAAAGTTATCCTCAATCTCCTAGCTGTTTTAGGCCCTCAAGCACTCAGAATTAATGGTGGGAGTGGGACTGGGAGTGAGGGCAGGGAGAAATTAGGTAGGGGAGAAAACAATGGGCTGGGAGTATATGGATAAGGTATAGGGAACTTCAACCCTGTAACGTGGCAAAGTGATCCCAGCCACAGAGGGGTGACAAGCAGCACCACCTCTTTTAAAGTACACGACTTTCTGTCTGCATTGCAATGATGAGGATTACATTCCACTGCTTCCCAACTATGCCTAACTACCCAAAGCCCAGTAATAATTGTGCTGTAGGAAATGCTTGCCTCAAATCTTTAACAGAATAATCACAGATGCCTTTATTAAAGAACATCGACTTGGGAAATCAGACTGTTGGATCTTAGTGCTAAACCTGCAATGTTGTCACTGTGTGATCTTGGGCAAATCCCTTATACCTTTGGGGCCCCTATTATAGCAATTTTATTTAAAATTACACCTGCTACAGTTTTAACATATAACCACTAATTCTTTGATACTCCTTCCTCTAGGAGGTAAAAGTTAATTCTCCTTCTCTTGAATGTAGGTTGGACTCAGCGACTTACTTTTAGGCACTAGAGTATGGAAAGGGAAATATAGTCAGCTTACAGTGGAGAAACCTGAAAAACATCATTGTAAGCAAGTAGTCAAGATTAGCATCACCTGTATAAATCATGTTGCTATCATGTGCTCCCTGATAGATGAGACAAGAACACATCACTCTTTGTGATTCTTTCCCCAAATCCACAACCTCAGTCTATTTCTAAGAAAAAACATCAGAAAACCCAAACTGAAAAACATTCTACAAAATACCTGGTGACCAGTCTTCAAAAGTGTCAAGGTCATGAAAGACAAGCAAAGACTATAGAACTGTCAGAGATGGGAGGAGACTAAGGAACATGACCACTAAATTCAATGTGGGATCCTGGATTGGATCCTGGATTGGATCCTAGAAGAGAAAAGGGTAATTAATGGAAAAACTGGAGAAATCTGAATCAAATCTGTGGCTCAGTTAATAGTATTATACCAATGCTAATTTCATAGTTTTAACAAATGCACCATGGTGAGGTAAGATGTTAATATTAACATCAGAGAAAAGCTAGGTGAGGGTATGCAGGAACTGTCTTTGCAGTATCTGCAACTCTTCTACAAATTTAAAATTATTCCGAAATTAAAAGTTTTTTAAAGAAATTATTCCTGTTTGAACAAGATGTATTCATTATTTCCCAAGCAACAAAAGGTTATCCATTTTTTAATTATAAAATAATTCAAAGTAATACTCTAAATCAGTGAAGGGCTGCTGAGAAGGGTAATTTGCACCCTTCAGCTGAAAATGATACAATCTATTTGGAAAGCCATTTGGCAATATGTGTCAAGTGCCTTAAACTTCCTTATGTCTTCTAGCCCAGAATTCCCACCTTTAAGGAGATAACCTTAGAAAATAACTAGAGGATCATGCTGAGAATTATGTACTACATGAAACTTTGCCATTGTATCATTTGCCATAGTGAAATGTAGACGCAATCTAACAGCAACATGGTTGAATAAATTATGGCATATTCATACGGTGGAATACTACAGCCATTAAAAGGGATATTTCAAAGAATATTTTATAAATAAGATAAATGCTTGTGACACAAAGTTAAGTGAAAAAATAAGACATAAAATTATATATATATAATCCGATTTCCATTTTTTTCATGCTAACCCTGATTTGTGATTACATGTGAATTTTAATTTTTCCCTGCATTTTTATGCTTTTCTTGAATTTCCTGCAATGTATTCCTTTTATAATAAGACTAAAAGGATTTTGTGTTTTTAGGGCAGAGGCTCCACAGGTACATACATGGCCTAAGTTTCTGCCTGGCTGCAGGAGGTGTGGCGACCGCAGCACATCCCACCTTCTGAGGCCATGCAGTACTTGACTCTCCCTGCACTGCCTTGCTTTTGAAGGCATCTAAAATCTCTCACTTTTCCCCATACCACATTTCACAGCTGGGTCATTCTGCTGGACTCAGCACAGGAGGACCCTCTCTCAGACTGGTTGGAAACTTTGGGCACATTTGAAAACTGTCAACACAATCTGTAAACACATCAGTTATAATGATTCTTTCCTAGGAACTTGACACACCCAGATGAACTCTCTTGTTATGACAGGATCAGTAGCAGGAGAATTTCCTCTCAACATCTCCCTCATTTATTCAATACTCAAGAAATATCCATTGTGTGTCACACTAACAGGTGATGTGCTCAGCTCTGGGTATACAGCGATTAACAGACATTTCCACTGCCTTCGTGAAGGTTACACTCTAGGAGGTAGAAAGACATTAAACGAGAGAACACACCACTAAATTTGTACTTACAAGGGGAGATGACAACTATGAGATAAAATAATTGATTTCTATTCCACTAGAGAAAATAAAGGGGCCTTAGTTTAAATGGATCCAGGGAGGCCCCTCTGAAGAAATGACATGTGAGGGAAACTGAGAGAAGAATGTTCCAGGCAGGAAAGAGCAAAGCCATAAGGCAAGCAAGAGACTGGTGAATTCCAGGAGCAGAACAAAAGCCAGTGTGGCTGGGGCGTGTGAGTAATGGGATTGGAGGGATGGCTAGGACCACTATTGTCCTTGAGGAGATGGAAGGCAGAGAATAGATTTTGAAGAGACAAATGGCCATTAAGGTCTGAAGCAAATGGATTTGGATTTCCTCTTGCAAAACATCCTGAATGAGGGGCTAATGGTTACTTTGAGCCTAAGGTGTGAATCCTCTCTGAAAAAACATGGATATCATTCTATATCATTCTTATAAAACTTGGATAATCAAGGGTTAGAAATTTCAAAAGTTTATTTTAAAAACTTCAAGCGACAAGAAGTCACTTGAAGCTTTTAAAATAAACTTTTGAAGTTCTGTAATTTTTTCGTGACTAAACAATGTTTTTAAAATGTGATAGTTTCTGTGGGCTCTCAACTTGTGAGAAAGTAGAAATGTGATTTCAACATTCAACTGGAATAAGAACTGTATGTTTTATGAGAAAAACAGCTTCTAAACATAAAGTTAATATAAAAACATGGCACTGGCACTATTGTAATAGCACATAAAACAAATTATGGGCAAGCAAAAAAAAAGAGAAAAAGATGCATGGGCATAACAGCAGGCTTTTTCTAAAATTATAAAGATTAAGTTAACCAAAAATTGTAGGGTTAATTGTGAACACCAGTTTCACACACACACATCTATCCATGTACACATGCACACACACATACACACAAACATTTAATGCTTGTTACATGTCACACCTACAATGACTCTTCCAGGTAATTTATTACCCTTACTTATAAACAGATCATGTTAACAGGACAGTATGAAGAATGTTTTCTATTTGCTGCTTCTTCAGATAGTGGCCTTTTATTTCAGTTACTACCTTTCAAATAATCTCTTGGAGTACCGAGGAACAGGTCTGAGCCAGAGGTGAATCAGCTGTTACCACTAAAAAGATGTCCCTGTACACCCCACCACTGTCTTCTCTATGGAAGGAGAATCCAGAGAATTGGAAATGTACCCTCATGACAGAGAAGATCACCTAATTATTAACAGTTTGCTCAGTAATCAAAAGACAACAAAATAAAACAGAGGTCACATAGCTTGCTGTACCTACTCGGAGCTACAGATAGTAATAGAGGAAAAGTTTTTCTAACTATGTGCGGTGATGCATGCCTATAATCTCAGCCACCTGGAGGCCAAGGTGAGCAATTACTTAAGCCCAGGAGCTCTAGACAAGCTTGGGCAACATAGCAAGGCCTCCTCTCAAGAAATAAAAGTTTTTGTGAACTCTAACTCAGTATCTAATGGCATTGACCACATTCACAGTAAAAAGGAAATAGAGACACAACTCAAGATGGAAGAAGGTCAATGGAACCTCAAAAAATCATCCCCACCAGAAGAGCTCCTCTGAGTGTGAGATTCGGATATGCCACAGATATAGCATTGAACCTCTTGAATAACTCCATAGAAATGTATTGCCAAGCAAACTTTAGATCTCACTTTAAAACCTGGCAGTTATTAAGTCTTAAAGAAATCATGGGAAAGTTTCTCCTTCTGTTATTGGAATTTTTTTTTTCTTCAAATACAAGAAGGAAATAATAGTATAATCATTTCTCTTTACATACAATGCACAACCCAAAGAAGTGATACATTGTGAGGTTTCTACTAACATGAATGTTACAGACGCCTAATGCTAATTCTCCCCAGTAATTTATGTTAAAGCTTCCTGCTTTCATCTCAAAATGTGTACTTAAAAGGACAGCCCCAGTATTCCTTTAGGATTATTTCCCCCCAACAAGTAGACAAAATCAATCAACAATGAAATAGTAAAAGTTGTAAACCCATCAAGTTAAGGTGCTTACACCGACAGCGTTACCTGCACACTGACCACAATGACCAAAGATGTGGCCATGGTAACTGCAAAGGACTGGTAGTCAGCAATATGTTGCCCATCTTCTCCAGCCACGTTGTAAAAGGCCCCATAGGGGATGAAGAAAAGGACTAATGAGGTGTAGATTCCATGCAACACGCAAATGAAAAATTTACGCTTGTTAAAAAGCAGATTCAGCTGTCCTGGTTTGTAGAGCTGGGGACAGTCCACGCTGTTCTGGTCACTCACATCCTGTAAACAGAGTGTAATTTCAGTGGAGAAGGATTAAAAAGAGTCAGAGAGGCCTTGTATTCCCTATCTTCAGAAATAGCAAATGCCTGTTTAAACATGTCCTAAAATGCACTACTCACTGGGCCAGAACAGGACATTATCTTGTTTGTATTCCCACAATAAACCAGAAGATAATAAAATGATCTCTACTTTACAGAGAAGGAGCTTGAGTCTCCAAGAGAGATTCATGAGAGGTCACACAGCTCGTAAGTAGCAGAACCAGGGCTTGGTTTGAGCCTAGCTATTTGGCTTCAAATTGAAGTTTCTTTCCTACACTCTCCTGCAGGCTGTCAGAAGCATTCGTGCTCCCAGAATTCCAGCACATCATGTGCAGCCAATGGGCCCCAGAAGTTAATTGTCAAGGTAGTGAGTGGTAGTGACCAGGAGATGACAGCAGAGAGCTGTGGAGTCAGAATTGTCAAATCAGAGCTCATGACTTTGGAGGGAAGTGAGCAGGAAGAAGAGAGCAGGGAAAAGGGGAAACTGCATTTGGGATTCCAGGTGAGAAGGAGGCTGGGATGAGGATCCTACCCAGTGAGAATTTTAACAGCAGTTACCAGGTGTTCAGGACAAAGAAAGAATATAGACAGAATGAGAAGGTGGCACATTTGACACCAACCAGGTCCCAAGAGAAACTAAATGCTTATCAAACCTAATGTGCACACAAATCGCCTGGGAAACAGATTGTGATTCAATAGGGCTGAGGGCCCAAGACTGCATTTCCAGCCAGCTCCAAAGTAATGCTGATAACCACAGTGAGCACCAAAGCCAAATGCCAAAAACCAAAAAGGATGGCAAGAATCAACCACAGGGGACATCAGAGGACCACAGGTGGAGGAGAAGAGGCGAAAGTGGAAGCAACACAGGTGGTGAACTATTGTGGGAGAGGAACATTCCCCTTCCTGCTTGTGGGATGGCCCAGGTCTCTCCAAACAGAGTCCCATGGAAAAACACAGGCATATTCTCTTTAGAAAGTCCTGTTTTTAGATGCTTTTGGATGCTTGTTCCCCTAGTTCAGTGACTGAGGGTTATGTGCGCAGGCTTTGAAACAAGACAGTCATGAGCTCAATCCCTGGTAACGGGTTTAGCTGGTGTGTTATCTTAAACCTGTTACTTAATCCGCCTGAGCCTTGGTTTCCTCATGCCCAGAAATGCAAACAATAACACCTCCCACATGGAACTATCGCCATGATTAAACCAGTATGTAAAGTATTTAGTAGAGTTCTTGCCACATCGTAAGTAATAAATATGCCAGATGCTTCTATAAATAACAATTAATAAAATAATGATAATAACAACAATAGCAATAATGTAGCAACCTCAAAGTTAAGAGGCCTGGTTCTAGTCTTAGCCGTGTCACTTATTGGCTGTGTGGCTTTAGGGAAATGACTCTCCAAGGCTTGGTTTCTGCCTTAAAAAATGAGCAGATCTGTTGATGATTGCTGAGGCCTGTCCAGCATAGCATTCCACGATCCTGTGATCAGTTTAAGGGCCAAGGTTGACAAAGCAGGAAAGGAGAGAGGAGCAGACACTCAACTTGATGGTAATAGGAAGCCTTATTATATTTTTTTTGAATTGCACAATAACCATCTTTTCCCAGAAACTGCTTTATTTTTATTATTTTATTCCACATTCTGGGCAGCTACAAAGCTCCAAGAAAAGAAACACTTGTAAACATGGGCGCTGAGAAATGAATGTGCTTAATCCTTTACATCTAAGGTCTTCAGAAGTTCATTACTTTTTTGTATAATTCCAGAAAATATGCCTTTCGCAAACTGCCCTTTTTACATATGAGAAGGGAGACTTAACAACTGACTACAAAGCCAGCCAAATGGGAGACTGGAGTGAGCTCATAATGTGAAGATTTATATTTTGCAATAGACGGCTTTGGCCCAGAAAATGAGGCCTAGCAAATAGGTCTAACAACAGCCTGGAGAAAATGTGGTCTCCTTAAAAATACTTTTTTAAAAAACAAAAAGTCTTTTTAAAAATAAGACACTCTAATTGTGCCACGGAAATTCCACTGGCTAGTCTTTCACTTCCCCACAGGCAGCCAGACTTTTTCCCCTTTCCAGGAAGTCCCTTCCAAGGCTCTGAGTATGCCAAGGATCTACCATTTTTGTGATTGATCCTCTCCTTTCTCCCCACTCAAGCACATTGATGCTGGGACAAAAGAAATCCATGCTCTTTCTTTCCTTGGCCATGGAGCTTCTCATCCTCCTCTCCCACTGGCAGACTGCTCTACTGGTCTGTGGCTCCTGTTCTGGGCTGTGTGTAACAAGGAAGTCTCACTGCAGATGTTCGCAACAAGGGAGTCTCACTGCAGGTGTTAGCCCCCTGTGTTCCAACCTAGCCCCATGATTTTCTATCATTGCATGGTTCTTTATAAGCTCTCAGAGGCTAAGGCAGCATTTCCCCGTGTGTGAACCACAGACACTAGTTCTGAGACATATTAATTAATAGGTGCTATATGAAAACATATACAGTCATAGAAGTTTGGGAAATGCTGGGTTAAAATGAAGTTAAAGAGATTACTTCGTACAGGACTTCTAGAGCCTTTAGAGCAATCTATGGGGTGTGAACCTCTAAGAGAAGAGTAACCAACTTTTATCAAATAATGCTTTTGGGGAAGCTAGGGTATAGGGGTAAGGGAGGCACAGTGGACCTGGAAGCATGTGTGATCCATGCAAAAGCAACTAAAACAACTGCATTCCTAGGGCTGCTACTTAGAATTGTGTTTTCTACTTAGAACCCACAAAAAACTAAAAGGCATAAAAGAGAAACTAAGTTATAAAGATGGAAAAAAAACATACCTGGTCAAAAATCCCCATGGCTAAAACAGGCAGTGATGTGTAAACAATGTTAAAAAGGGTGATGAACCACTGGTCATAAACAGTCTGAAAAGAAATATAACATATAAGTGAGAAACATCATCCATAGTAGTGAGAATATTCACATTTAGGTTAAATAACCAGGTTTTCTGAGGTGGGTGGGAGTTGACTTTTGGAATCAGACAAATATGAATTCTTTCCTAGACCTGCCTCTTATCAGCTCTGGTGCCTTAATGGGATACTAGATCTCTCTAAACGGCAGTTTCTTTATCTCTAAAGTGATGTATACCCTTCCTGCAGTGTGGCAGTGAGGACAAAATAATACATGCAGCAGTACCCCTAACATAGTGCGGGACACGTATGAGCCCCTGACCTTGTGGTGGGTTGCCATTTTATTCTCCAGGTTTTCAGTGGCTTATAATGAGTCCAATTATCTGATCCAAGTGGTAAACAAAGGATTCACTAAAATCTTCAGAGATAAATATAGTAATAAGCCTGTTATTTCTATCCTGTGTTAAAATGGAGAGGTTTTTGCGGGGGAGTGGTTTAAAGCAAGATGGGCATAAATAGCAAAACAACAAAAATATCCCCTCACACCTTTGTAGACTAATTACACAAGAATTCCCTGCATGGGCCTCACTAAAAGTCAATGAGGCATGTGAAGCAGGCATATATCCCCATTTTGCCTATGAGTACACACAGTTGTGGAAACAGAACCTTTCGGTTACAGAGCTTATTATGGGCAAAAGCAAAAATTAAAATCAACTTAATTAGTTAGAAGGTAGTAAGTGCTAGAGAGGAAAGGGGATAGGGAATGTGGGAGGGCTGTAATTGTAATACAGCAGATTGAAGAAAGTCTCACTGAGAAGTGAATTTGAGATAAGACCTGAAGGAAATGGATCTAACATGCAGCTTTCTGAAACAGCTGGAAATGCTGGGACGTGCAGCATTCTATACTGCAAGTAGGCCCCATGAAACAACCCTAAGGCAAGAAAGCATCCACTATGCTCAGAGAACAGCAAGGTGGCCCAGTTGGGTAGAGCAGAGTGACCTGTAGGAAGAATAATGGATGTCAGGAGGTAAGAAGAACAATCCTATGTAACTAAACATGGCTTATTACCTAAGTGAAAGTAGAAGACATTAGAGGACTTTAAGCAAAGGAGCAACCTGGTCTTATTTATATTTTAACAGGATTACTCTGGATGCTATGCTGAGAAGAAACTGAAGACAATGGTGGAAGTGGGAAAGCTTATGACTCAGAATAACTATTTCTAATAACAAATTTTAAGTTCTCTTCATGGTAACTCTCCTTTGTTACTCTCTGATTCCTATTTTCATTATGTGGTCTAAACCCAGCTGTAAGGATTTAGAAAGGGGGACTATATCCAATGACATGCTGATAAATGTTTAACAACAGGCTAAAAAAAAAAAAAAGCCGGCCAGGTGTGGTGGCTCACACCTGTAATCCCAGCACTTTGGGAGGCCTAGGCGGGTGGATCATGAGGTCAGGAGATCAAGACCATCCTGGCTAACATGGTGAAACCCCGTCTCTACTAAAAATACAAAAAATTAGCCAGGCATGGTGGCGGGCGCCTGTAGTCCCAGCTACTCGGGAGGCTGAGGCAGGAGAGTGGCATGAACCCGAGAGGCTGAGGTTGCAGTAAGCCAAGATCACGCCACTGCACTCCAGCCTGGGTGACAAAGCAAGACTCCGTCTCAAAACAAACAAACAAACAAACAAAAAAAAGCCTTGATTTGTAGCATTTGCCAATTTCCATGGTATAAATATTCCTCCATGACTGATTTCAAGCAATGATGCCACTGAATGTGGAGTTGAGACATACTCACCATTATATAGTATTTCTACTATACAGACCCAATATAATCTCAAGAGCATAAATAGTAAAACATGGGAAAATAATTAGCAAGGGATTCATTTTGAGTATATTAACTGTCTTTTATTTTTAATATAACTTAAATTGTAAATTTATATAACGTTTAATAATGGCTGTATTTAACCACTGGCTCACAAAATTCATGAAAATTTAACAATCAGCTCTTGTGAATCAGTATGGGCCAGTTCCAAGATACCACAGCCTAGGTCCATGCTGGGAGCAAAGTGATACAAGACAGCTGCAGCCACGTGAAGGATAATGCACTCAATGTGGCATGAGAGAACCTGCAGCAGCTACCTGAAGGATAATGCACTCAATGTGGCATGAGAGAACCTGCAGAAGGGCAGGGCAGTAGTCCACTAGTCAGGCAACCATGAGAACAGACTGGAAAAGCTGGCTGGCACTCCCTGGAACCCCCCTGGGTATTTAGCAGAGGTATCTGAAAGAAGCCTGAATTTATCACACAGGATAGGGGGCACGTGCCATAATAATTGATTCATACCAAACCTCCTGCTGAAGATAACGAAAAAAGTTGAGAAAAAAACAAATGCATCTTCATCAAAGTACCAATGAACTAACAAGACAGTGGGGAATGACTTGTCAAGATCAAGAAGAGAATTAGAACTTAATAACTATCTCAAGGCCTAGGATAATGCGATCCTTCTCCAGACTCTATGTTTATTTCCTTCTATCAGCTGTCGAGGACAGAACGAAGGCCTGATATTTTCTGGGCTAGCCAACTGTCCTGCTATGGCAGAGTCTGTGACCTCACTGCTGGGAGGCTGCCTTTGGGTCCCAGCCCAGAGTAGGAAGGGTTTCATCATGATCTCTACCCTCGATAGGCACTGAACCTTCTCCCTTCAGCCCAGGAAACTACTGAAGGCACAGCTCAATCTGTCAGTTGCCTCCTGTAGATTATCAACATTCCCAAGGTACATGGTTCAGAGCAGTGCGACCCCACAGGGTCCCAGCCCAGAGCAGCAGTTGTGACAGGGTCCCAGTATCCAACTCCTATCTACCCTCAAGAGTCCACCAAAACTGCAGCTAAGCCTCTTTATCTTCCTTCTGATGAGTGAATGTGTCCAACTCTACTTCTAGATACATATGTTCACAAATGTCTATCTTCGTGCAGTGGGATACATATAAAAATACTCATAGCAGCATTGGTCATAATAGTCCCCAAACAAAAACAACCAAAACATCCTTCAAGTGTGGGATAAAGACATTATCATGTATCGATATAACAGAATACTATAGAATAATGAAAAGCAAAGAATTATAACTATATCCCAAAACAAATGAATAAAAACTACATATAATATTGAGCAAAAGAAGCCAGATGCAAAGGCATAATTGCATTTAAATACAGTGCAAAAGTATGAAAATCTATTCCTATGTTGTTTCGGAACTCCTAATCATATGGTAAAGTTATAAAACAGAAGAAATGTGACTATAAGATGGCAGGGTAATGGTCACCTCTAGAGGATTGGAAAGAGGTCTCGAGGAAAAGCAGGAGAGCTGTTGGGTGTTTGGAAATGTTATATTTCTTGCACTGGATCATGGTACATGGGTGTTCATTTCACAACAATTTAAGCTGATATTTATATACTTTTTAATATATTTGTTAAACTTTACCAATGATAAAAAATTTAAAAATTAAACACGTGACCTTCTTTTATAGTTATAGCCCAGTGAGATTTCAGAGAGTAGGAAGATTCCAAAAATCCTGATGCCCAGGCCACACCCCAGGCCAATTAAATCAGTATCTCTGGGAGAAGGATCTAAGTTTTGGTCATTTTAAATTTTTCCCAGGTAGTTCCAATGTGAAGCCAAGATTGGGAATTACACTCACTTCCATTTTTTTTTTTTTAAAGCAGAGCAGCTGACACAAATCTTCAACTCATTGATGATGGCATCTGACTGTTCCAGGTATTAAGAAGAGAGAAAGAATCTGAGAAATTATGGCGTACTCAACTGTGGACAGCTGAAAGTCTGGCATAGCGTGCCCTCATCATCACAAATGGGCTCGCATTACAAGCTACACTTATTTGACAACTATCAGCATTTGTCAACCGGCACTCAGATTTGAAGACTCATTTCACAGCTGGAGCAAGAGAAGACAGGAAGGAAAAATCAGAGTAAGGTTTCAATGAGTTTCTGCAAATTCTCAGAAGTTTTGCTGCCACTCAGTGTCACAATAACAAAAAGAAATAAAAATAGCTGATATTTACTAAACATCTACTCTGTGCCATTTTAAGTGCTTTACATATATCGGCTCATTAAATTTTAACAACCACATAAGGTAGGTACTATTGATAGTTCCCAGTTTATACATGGGAAAACCGAGGCCTATCAAGGTTAGGAGATTGCTCAATGTCATACCTTAAATGCAAAGGTTTTCTCCATGATGTGCTTATTTCACATTGCATGCCTGTATCAAAACATCTCATGTACCCAATAAATACATATACCTACTATGTACCCACAATTTTTTTAAATTATATTAAAAAAAAACCCAAAGGGGAAAAAAAGGTTTTCCAAGTATAGTTCAGAACCTTTTAGGGGATCCATAATGTCAAAACTATTTTCACAATAATACAAAAAGTTATGTATTTACCCTTTCACCCCATTCTCTCATGAGTCTGTATGATATGTGACATCACAGCTGGTTGAATGCAGATGATATAGAACCCAGGTGTCTTCTATTATGTTAACTAGTTTTACAAAAGTGTAAAACAATGGCATTCTTCTCATTAACTTGTTTTTGTTTTGGAAAATACAATCATTTTGTAAACACATCATGGGTTCACTATTTTTTAACAAATTAATAAAAGTATTTAGATTTTTTTCTTCATTTTCATTCCTAAGATAATAAATATTGATAGTGGGGTCCTGAGATCACAAAGTTTGAGAACGCCAGCCAAGCAAGTGTCAGAGCTAACTCCAAGCCTATGAACCTTAGTGCCCACAACACTGACCACTACATGAAACCACCTCTCTCAATCAGTGGTGTCATTTGGAAAGCTTCCTTGGCCTGGTACAGTGGCTCACACCTGTAATCCCAACACTTTGGGGGTCGAGGCTAGTGGATCACTTGAGCTCAGGAGTTCAAGACCAGCCTTGGCAACATGGTGAAACTTGTCTCTACCAAAAATACAAAAAATTGGCTGGTCATGATGGTGTGCATCTTGTGATCCCAGCTACTTGAGAGGCTGAGGCAGGAGAATCACTTGAACGTGGGAGGCAGAGGCTGCAGTGAGCCGAGATCATACCACTGCACTCCAGCCTGGGAGACAGAAGTGAAATCCTGTCTCCAAAAAAAAAGAAAAAAAAAAAAAAAAAAGAAAGTTTCCTTGAAGGCTTTTTCCCTCACCTTGTTTAATGTAATTGAGAGCATACACAATTTTATATGCTATTTTTTGGCATTTAAAACAGGGGTCCCCAACAGCCTATAACAGTCCATAGCCTGTTATGAACCAGGCCTCACAGCAGGTGAGTGGCAGGCAAGCGAGCCTGAGCTCCACCTCCTGTCAGATGAGCAGCCGCATAAGATTATCATAGGAGCATGAACCCTGTTGTGAACTGTGCATATGCCAGTTCTATGCCTGATGATCTGAGGTGGAACAGTCTCATCCCAAAACCACCCCCACTGGTCTGTGGAAAATTGTCTTCCATGAAACATCCCTGGTACCAAAAAGATTGGGGACCACTGATTTAAAATAACAACATTAGCATTGACCTGGGTTAAAACCCTCTAATGGTTTTCCATTTTACTTGGAATGAATCCAGACTCCCTATTCGTCATGTCCTAAGAGCCCTTCCTGGTCCCCTGCCTGCCAGACTCTTCAACTTCACCTCACAACATTCTCACCCTCCCTCACCTAGCTGAGGCTTCGCTGATGGGCTTTCTCCAACTTATCTGGCTCATTCCTGCCTCAGGACATTTGCACTGGCTGTACCCTCTGCCTGGAACACTTTAATCCCAAGGTATTCATATGGAAGTTTCCTCTGAACACTCAGGTCACAACTCCAGTGTCACCTCACCCTCTCAGTGAGACCTTTTACATTACCAAGTTCTTTCTTAACAATTCTGATATTATCTTACTGATTTATGTCTTTATTATCTGTCTTCATCCCACTAGAATATAATCTCCATGAAAACAGAAATTTACTCACAACTATAATTTTAATGCCCAGAGCAGGATCTAGCCATTGGTAGATACTCTACAAATATTTGTTGACTGTAGGTACTCTATAAATACTTGTTGAATTAATTATTTTACAACTTTTTAGTAAATGCTACATATTTAACTTTCTACTAGGCATTTTCCCATAGATGCACCATAGATTCAAACTTAATATATCAAGACCAGAGCTCATCCTCATATTACCTTAACCAGACGCCCCTCCTGGGTTCCCTATACCAGTATCTGATACCATCACATCCACCCCAGCATCCAAATCAGAAATCTGAGATTTGTCCCTCTCCCCAACACCCCATATCAAATCACTCCCCAGATACCTGATGGCTTGTGTTCCTGCCCAAGCTATTCTTCACTTCTGGAACTTTCCTCCTGTTGTCTCCTCTGCTGGGATGTCCATCCTCTTACTTCTCATCTGCTTCAATATGTTTGATCCTGGAAGGGTCAGCATGGGAGGGGGAGTGGGCAGGTCTTCCAGGAAGCCTTTCTGAGTCCTGGCCACTCCGTGCCTCCATGAGTGGCTTCTGGACCACTCATCGGTAGTTCCATGATGCCCCTATACCTCACTGCTTCTTAACTACTGACTTACAATTATTTATATGCTGGTTCCTAGCCCTGTCTCACTAGACTGTGAGCTACTTGAGAGCGGGTAATCTAACTCACCCGTGGGGCCCAAGAACCAAACTCAGAACCTGCTCAATAAAAGGAAGCTGGTGTCTTAAGGGTAAGGGAGTCGGCAGACAGAACTGTGTGAATTTGAGTAGGATACTCAATCTCTCTGTGTCTTGGTTTCCTAGGCTATAAAATGAGGATTACAGGGAGGCTGTGAGCATTCAATGAAATGAGGTAAATGCCACGACAGCACCTGAAAGACACTGCTCAATAAGTGAGCACCATATTATGGAAGGAAGAAAGGAGGGAGGATGGGGGGAGCATGCAGGGATCCAAGCTTCAAGAGATGTGTTTAATGGGTAAATAAAAAGGTACATTTTCATGCTAATCATATTTTTATAAAAATAGAATTCTTTATTGAGACAATTAACCATAGATATTTATTTCTATAATAAACTATGGTAGCCATGAGATCAATATAACATCAGAACAAGATTTAAAGAAAAATGAGTACCTTGGTACAATTACTTTCTTCATGAATACTTAATTATTTCAATCACTGTTCACTCTAATTCTGGTTTTTATCTCAGGCTCTACCAAAATGTGTTAACCTGAGTCCTTTACCTTAGAAACCAACTTTGCCATATGGGCATTGGCTTAGCACAGTTTAGACTTCAGGGTCTTTCACAGAAATTAAGGCCACAAGCAATTTTTTTTTTTTTTTTGAGACAGAGTTTCACTCTTTTGCCCAGACTGGAGTGCAGTGGCACAATCTCGGCTCACTGCAGCCTCTGCCCCCTGGGTTCAAGCGATTCTCCTGCCTCAGCCTCCCGAGTAGCTGGGATTACAGGTGCCTGCCACCATGCCTGGCTAATTTTTGTATTTTTAGTATAGACGGGGTTTTGCCACGTTGGCCAGGCTGGTCTTGAACTCCTGGCCTCAGGTGATCCACCTGCCTTGACCTCCCAAAGTGCTGGGATTACAAGCATAAACCACCGTTCCTGGCCAAGCAATGTTTCTTCTACAACAGGTTTCTGTTGAAGAATCCTTGCAAGAGATCTCCAGCTACTCAAATAGTTATTCTAGTAAATGCCCCACTTCTACTTGTGGTCCTTAGATCCCCTTGGAAAAATTTTAAGGCCCCCTTCTGGTGACTAGGACTAGCTGAGAGGGGCACATGAGCCCAGATCAACCTCCCTGTTTCTCCCCTTCCAAGCATGCTCGGGCACTCTACCACCTCTTCTTCCCTCCCAACCCACCCAACACAGGTTGACCAGATGCCCTGAAGAGAGGGGCAGGGTGGAGGTTGAGGGATGATGACTCTTTTCAGATTTCTAGGTCGACACTCTGATTTTGGGTGACTCAAATTGTTTATATAAAAGGAGTCCCACAAAAAACCATTTTCCCTAGGGCACCCATACTCACAGGGGAAGCCATGGCACCTCTGCCTCCAAAATATTTGTTCCCTATCTCCAATACTCTGAACAAGAGAGAAAAGCCATGCTACTACAAGATGTCACAAGTCTGTTTAAAATCCTATAAGTGTCTCTTCACAGATCAGAAAAAAAAAAAACAGGGAGGAGAGTTCATTTTTCCAACTTCACTGTTTTTTCTATTTAAGGAAAGCTCCTCGCTCCCTTCTTTATGGGAGCAATTTATCAGCCTTATCAACCATTTTACATAGAGTTAAAAATACTCCAGCTACAAATTACAATCTAAAAACAGCTTGGAGAACACAAAACCTATGATTTATAGAATGACACATTTAAATAAACCTTAATAAAGTTCTTAAACAGCTGCAAAGGGCTTTCTCTGCTCTTTCTGCTCGACCACTGGCTGAGCTCCTTGTTCAAATAACAGGATGAACTTACTACCTCTTTGGAGATGTGTATCCCCCTTTTCCTATGTGTTGCAGAGGAAACCTATCTAATGACCTTTTGGGGGCCTTAAAAAACATTTGTCATTTAAAGAAAACACATTGTGGAATAAATATGAGGTGCTCAGCCTCAGCACATCTGTTATTGATTTGTGTAATTAGTAAAAACCCGCTCGCAGCATCCAGGAGGAGTGACCCAGGCCTGAGCACTCGTCCAGTCCTGGACTTTCCCCAGAGCACATCTGGAAGGTGAGGGGGAGCAGAGCTACCATGCCAGGTGGAGACGGGCTCACAGGTAACCAAATCCATGAAGTCATCAAAGCCTTAAGATTAGTCGCAGTCTTTCACGTCACTTTCCAAACTTTTTGTTGCTTTATTATACTGTTTGACAGAACTAAAGTTTTTCCAGCCTTGACAAGATAATTGCTTCCATATCACAGTAGAATTGAAGAAAAAAAAAATACACAGCCCTGTATCTCACTGACAATGATAAATTGTCATCAGATAATATCATCTCACAAGTACACAGTACCAGTAGTTGCATAATTTTAAGCATGAATTTTCTAAATAGGACTTCAACCAATTTTTTTTATTTGGCTGTATCCTTGGTAGGGGACAGTTCCTCTTTACGAAAAGTCCTGAAGGCATAGGGTGCTTTTAAAATAAGTTACAGGTATAAATTGTGAATCCAAACCCACAGTGGATGCCACAAAACTCATGTGGGTTTCAATAATAGATTGGGATAAGGCATGTCCTTAAAAAGAATCCATGATTCAGTTTAGAGACCTAGTCTCCTTTATCCAAACCTCTCTGTTCCAGAAATCTGGCTGGAAATCTCATTAGAACAAATTATATTTAATTTGTTTCTCAGTGGCAGTTGAGTTGGAGCGTTTGCCAGCAGAAGGTGTCCTCAAGCTTCCAGATGATTCTACAAACAGTTCGCCTAGGGACAGGCCTGTCCCTCCCACAGCTCTAAGCTATGACACACCCCGCAAGTCATGAGGTCTCTTTCAATAGAGAGCTCATTTCCTCCACATAGTCATATTGAACTGAGTGTTTCTGGATATTTCTCCTTTAGATTCCAAATAAAGCAAACATTTTCTGATTAGGGGTTGAGGGAAGACAGTATTTTTAAAAAAAAAAAGGATATGGCCATTAGCTTTTCCAAATTTATGACAACCCAAGAGGTCACTTATCATCAGGTAGAGTAGGCAGAGCGCTGAAGTGGGAGCCAGGAGACTTGGTTCCGGTCCTAGCCTTGCCTACCGCTGATCCTCAGCTCCTGCAGGATCAGGATCCTCCTCTGTAAAACGAGGGACTGGACTCAATGTCCCTGAAATTCTCTGCCAGAGTAAAGATTCTAGGTTCAACAAGATACATACTTTTTGTTCTTTGTTCCCGCTGCTTCTCCCAGGAAATTCCACCCAACATAGGAAACAAAAGGGAGTCTGGTCCGCGGGTTCTTTTCACTGTACATCTCAAGCCAATCACAACATAAGCAACGTACTGAAGTTAACCAGAGGAAAGTCCATAAACCAACGACAACCCAGACTACATCACATCACCATCCATCACAGATGTCCTAAGTGCCACCATCCCACAGGCAGTAATGCTTCCACCCATTGGCCTTCTTGAAGCCTTGCACACCACAGCTGGATTTGCCTACACATGTGCCCCAGCCCACCTACCAGGATGGGGCATTGGCTGGAATCTGCTGGAGCTCTCATCAGATAATAATTGCCTGGATAAAATCCACCAGGCCCCAAAGGCAGACTGATGTAGTAAAGAAACAGCACATGTCACTTCATTAAATAATTAAGCTGGTGTTTTAGAAAGTCAACATTGTGTCTTAAAAAACACAATCTGTTTACATTTGGTCAGATGTTTTCAGCTGAAGAAAGGATTACTTCCAAACAATCTGTTGAGAGGTACACGGAAGAATATTTAGGCGCTTATGAATCATGCTGTGATTTGACAGGGTTGGCCCCAAGACATGGCTTATCCATAGTAAATTTATTCCAAAAGAAATTTTTGGTAGAGAAATAAAAGAAAGGAGATTATGGGATTTTTCAACATTTGTTATGCATTTATGAAAATAAAATCTTTCCCAGACTGTAGGTTCCTTGAGGGTAGGAACAGCATCCCTTTGATTCACTCTGTTGTTCCTGGGGGGCCATCAGAGCACCTGGCCCTAAATTGGCACCCAGTTTATTGTTGGTAAATGAGCAAGCATTCAGACCACAGGTTCTGCATTGGACAATATGTGTGAGAGTCTCACTGCTGTCAGGACTGGACAGAGAAAGTGATGGAAGATTAGGCCTACCCAGGAATGGCCTCTAAAGAGATGCTGGCTATTACCAAATCTGCCAGGCCTTGGAGTTATTACTACTGGCTCCATTTCACTATGGAGCTTTCAATCCTGTTAAAGCAGTTTAGGAGAGGGGTGGCAGGGAGTGGGAAGACCTCAGACAGCTGACTTTCTTTAAAAGACTGGAAGTAAGTGGCTATCTAAGGGGCTTTAGGGGCTAAGAAAGTCTCATCACCCAACACATGGTGTTGGAGGCCAAAGCCACATGTTGGGTGATCTTAACGGGGAAGTGAGAGAGTATGACAGTGAAACTGTCCCCCATTCAAAAATTCTCATTCTCTGTAGTTCTTACAAATATGTTGTTTTCTTTTCACTTGCCTCATTTACAGCATATTGTCCTTAGAAAAACAGGACTAAAAAAAAGCCAAAACATTTTTCAGTTAAACCTGTTGCTAATCAGGCCCTTCCAGTGAAAAACAGGGAATGGAAAAGAGACAATGATCCCTGCCAATCCCAATTCCAAATCCGAGCCACCTTCACAGCCAGTCTTCAATACCGCGAACATGCCAGGCCACTCCCATGTGGGGTGTGGCTGGGGAACACCAGAGTTTCCAGCTTTACAGTGGTAGAACACCTGCTCTAGAACAGGCTTCTTGCTATAGACAATACTGCTAAGTAAGCTCCCCATTCAATGCCATGAAGTTTTTGAAAGGTATTTCTCAATGAGTTGGTGTTAAACAGAATTTTAGAAATTACAAGATTTTAGCTAATTACAGGTCAGTTGGAAAGTGTATGAGGGGAGGGATGTCCTCCTTTTACTCCAAAGTCTCATACCCTTCTGCAAATCAAGCCCCAAATCCCTGAAGGGAGCTAGAATTTCAGGCCTTCAGATCTCCACTTAATTTTTAAAATATTCATACACTTGCTTGCAGACTAATTGTGCCTAAGTCATCCCAGATCCTCCTAAGTCATCCTAGATCCTCACACATTTCTCCTTTCCCCATGCTTTCAAATTACCTTTAAATACAAGTTTGTTTGTTTGTTGTTTGTTTGCTTTGAGATGGAGTCTCGCTCCATCACCCAGGCTGGAATGCAGTGGTGTGATCTCAGCTCACTGCAACCTCCACCTCCCAGGTTCAAGCGATTCTCCTACCTCAGCCTCCTAAGTAGCTGGGATTACAGGCACGCTCCACCCCGTCCAGCTATTTTTTGTATTTTTAGTAGAGACGAAGTTTTACTACGTTGGCCAGGCTGGTCTCAAACTCCTGACCTCAAGCGATCTGCCCACCTTGGCCTCCCAAAGTGCTAGGATTGCAGGTGCGAGCCACTGCACCCAACTAAATACAATATTTGTATTAGACTGATTTATGCACTTATTTATTTCCCAATGAGAAAAACCAGTTCTAGGTGGGCAAGAGTTTGTCCTTTTCATTATTTTGTTTTCTCTTCCCAAGATAGCAAGCAAGTCTTTCTATTAGCAAGTTGACAATGTCATGTGACTCACAGATGAGGAAGACAGAAATTATTAAATTAAAAACAACATCTTGGGCCGGGCACAGTGGCTCATGCCTGTAATCCCAGCATTTTGAGGGGTCGAGGCAGGGGGATCACGAGGTCAGGAGATTGAGACCATCCTGGCTAACATGGTGAAACCCTGTCTCTACTAAAAAAACACAAAAATTAGTTGGGCATGATGGCACGTGCCTGTAGTCCCAGGTACTTGGGAGGCTGAGGCAGGAGAATCGTGTGAACCTGGGAGGTGGAGCTTGCAGTGAGCCGAGATCACACCACCGCACTCCAGCTTGGCAACAGAGCAAGACTCACCTAAAAAAAAAAAAAAAAAATCTTAAAAGTCTATAGACTCAGAATAGTTAAATAATTTATAATCTGGGTTTCAGAATGTCATTAAGAAAAATAACATGTTTGAAGAATGTAAATCAAGAGAACTTTCTTAAAGTGTGACAAGTTGTGTTTTTAATAAGAAAGCTATAAAAGAATACGATTGTAGTAGTATAAAAGTTGAGATATATTCACATACAAATATTTTTATAAGATGAAAAAAACTTTGAGAATAATGGAAAAGACTTTGCAGAAGTTTAAACGTAAACCCTTATTTTGATATATAAAATGGGTATTTTGTCCCTTGGACTAGAGTTAATTATTAAAATGGAAGTTTTTGTAAAGGGAGAAACATAAAGAGCCTGTTCCTATGGGGACAATATTCTTGTTATCATTTTGCTCTTTGTACATCTTATTGTTTTCAAAACACTAGAACTGGGATAAATAGTGAGGCAATGTCAAGTTTTGAAATTGTTGCTATAGAAGCATCCATTCCACAATGTCCCAAAGTGAGCTCCATATGGCACCTGTTCTACAGGACATTATATGTGTTGCTTAGAAAAAGCAGCGTTCCATGCAAAATGAGTTTGGGTAATAATACCAAATCTCATTGACTCTAAAGCACAATTGATTGTAAGAAATACCATTATCAATGCCAAAATTCAACCAAATGGGGACTCTAACATTCCCATAAAGCTAGGGCAACAAAGAGCTACATCCTCAGTGTAAAAGAGAAATCTTCATGCAGAAAGGGACTGCAAGGAAACTAGCCTACGTCAACTTTGCACTAACTAAAGGGAGAGACAAAATCTCTCTTGAAAACTTGGACCACAAGCTGGTATTCACTAGAATCTGCAATCTGAATTCAAAAAATCTTTGGAAAGAGAAAGATCTTAGGTTGGCAGCAGTGCCCACAGGGAACTGGATGAAGTCACACAAATGCTCTCTGGAAAACCTGACTTCAATTCAGATCAAAGGATATTGTAATATACTTTTGATTGTAAAGACATATCCAAGTCTTAGAGATGTCAGATGTGAGAATACATGTATATGCATCTTGGAGTCAAATATAGTAGTGTTTCTTTACATTTGGACTTGTCAGAGCCTACAATTCACAGACTAATGTGAACTGTAAATTTTTAAGCCTGAAGAGAGAAGATGGGGAGGTGAGAGTGGGAAGAAATAGAATTTACTGGACAGTAGAACTCCCAAATATTATTATTTAGAAAATATCGAACAAAGAGCTGATATAGACTAAGAGGTGGAAACAACCCAAATGTCCATAGATGGATACATGGATAAACAAAATGTAGTATATACATACAATGTAACACAATTCAGCCTTAAAAAGAGGAAAAATACTGCCACATGCTACAACATGGATGGATCTTGAGGACACTATGCTAAGTGAAATAAGCATGTCACAAAAAGACAAACACTATATGATTCCATTTATATGAGGTATCTAAAGTAGGAAAACTCATAGAAAAAGAAAGTAGAGTGGTGGTTGCCAGGGACTAGGGGAAATGCAGAGTTGTTATTGAGTGGATATAAAGTTTCAGTTTTGCAGAAAGAAAAAGTTTTAGAGATCTGTTACATAACAATGTGTACATAGTTAGCACTACCGAACTCTACACTTAAAAGTAGTTAAGTTGGTAAATTTTATGTGTTTTTTACCATAATTAAGCTAATATAGACCATGATTGTAAAACCTACTTCATATGGTTATTGTAACTACTGAGCTAATAAAAGTAAAACATTTAGACAATGCCTGAAACATAGTAAGTACTATTTAAATGTTAGGTATAATTATAACTTGTTTGTATCCCTGCTTGTTAGTGTCAACAATATCATGATTCTACAAAGAAGCTGACCCCACAGCATTGATGCCACTACATGGGTACTGTCACTGACTGGCTGTCCTCTCCTCTCCAACAGGTGATAAGCAATTACTACTTGTCACTCTCCTGGAAAGCCTATCTACTTCTCTGACAAGTCTGGATATAAAACCTTAAACCTTCCACAACATGAACAGCTAATAAAATTTGTCAGATCACACTTTGCCATGCCCATCAAGAGCACACTTCTTAACATACCCAGGACATAAGGTCCAGGAGGCACCACGGCCTGACACAGAGCAAAGGCTTAGTGAATATTTATTAAATGAGTGAAATCCTTAAATAGTGGGACCAAAGTACCCTTTCCAGTATAAGCTTTGGTCCCAATGTGATAAGGTCATCGTACAAATCGGGGCAAAGTAGAGAGCAGTCCAGGACTCCTATTCAGAGGCCCAATTATTTTTATATGGTGATTGCTCCTCTGCGTAAAAAAAGGTATCCTGCCCTATTTAAATCAGACAAGAACCAGCCAAAACACCTGGAAAATCCACTCTATGTCTTTCCTAGAATGAAAGGATGTATAAATAACTAAGAAATGTATCACCTGTAGCCCAATTAACTATTGTATCATATTAATATTAACACAACTGAGAAAAACAGCATTCCATATTCTGAAATCAGTTCCATAACCGCATTTAGATCTTAAGACCCTGAGCCCCTTTGCCACAGTGGTGATCAGGCTGCACACGTTTAAACAGACCAGATCCAGAGCCTGCAGGGATGGCCCCTGGGGTGGGTAGAGTAAGTGGCAACTGTGTGAGTGACTGGAGGCACGTCGGAATGGCTCTCTTTGCTGCACCTGCCTCAAGCATGGGAAAGGACTATAGAAACACCCACCAACATGAAATGACTAGAAGGCCTTCTATATGGCAGGTAACATTCAAGATTTTATTACAGATGTATCGATGAGTTAGATGTACTTCTTTTCCTCAAGGAGCTAATGGTTAAGCTAGGTAAGATATAATAGACTGGCTAAACTGGGGAAAGAAATCCTGTACCATGAACAGACATCCCTTTTCCACCTGGCCCTGTCTTAGCGCAGGTAAAATATGCCTCAGGGACAGTGGTCTGACAAGAGGGCTGAAAGGATTTTAAATCCTCTGGAAAAATTCAACTGGGGGAGATCAGCTGTTGGCTTAACTGGCCCCTCTGCTTTAGAAAAGATGAATACGGTCTAATGTTGTTGACAAAACAAAAAGTCAGCAGATTGGACTTTACTCTGGTCTGGGTTCAAGGAAGCAGAACTTGGGATACTCTTCTAGGTTTTCTAGCCCAGTGGTTCTCAAAGTACAGTTCTAGGGGCTAGAGCCCAGTGGGCAGTGCTTTAACCAGCCCTCCAGGTGATTCCTATGCACGCTAAAGCTTGAGAACCACTGGTCCAACCCAATTCACTGGCTTAAGAAAGAACACAGATGGTCAACTGGGACTAACAATAGATTCAAAATGAAGATTGTGCAATTAACTAGAGATTTCAGTGTAAAAAAACAAAAGGGAAAGGAAGGGACACAGAAAAGAAACATGTTAGTTAAATCAAACATTTCAGAAACCTAATCACAGACAGGTGGTGTGCCTTACAGCTGGGTTCAACCATCAAGCTGCTCATGTCTTTGGGGCAATTATTGTTCTCCCTTGTTGTTCTCTTTTAAAATGCAAATACCAGTGAAAGAATAAAAATTCTAGTTGCTTAATATCTGGCTCTGACCGATTTTTATCAGAACCCAGAAAATGACCTAAATGTAGAGGTTAGAAGTCATTGAACGTTAGTTTCAACTTCACAGTTTTAACAGACAACTTAGTGGAACAGTTGCCTATTCAAGCTTTGTGCGTCTGCAAATACAAATCACTGACTACTCTTCTGTGTTCTAAGAGTTTTTAAATGGGGTTTGTCCCTTCATAGTCTTGAGATTCTTCAGCCTTAAGCCTTTGGAATATGAAAATTAGATCTCTTAGAAACACCCGTTAGCAGATGGTCTTGCTTTGTTCTTATGTGGAAGGAAAATCAACAGACTAGGAAGCCACAGGCCACATTCCAATGCTTGTCTTTGTTGGACAAAGGAGGAATTATGAGCATGCAAATAACCCCAGCCCCACGCCTACTCTGAAGTAGCACTAAGATAACTTCTACTTCTGAGTAGCTAAAATCAAGACTCTGCTTTACTTCAACTGTCAAGAGATTAACAAAAAAAAGGCAAAAATATCAACATAATCTACTCTTAGTTTAGGGCATGTTATCCTAAAAAGAGAAAATTAGGAATGGGAACAGGTATGCCTCACTTTAAGAAATCTTAACTTCCCAGAAGAAGGAAAAAATGTTGAAAATGTATTTTCATTGTAAAAAGGAATTCACTAATCTCCCTTAGCACATGTAAGAAGAAGATGCCAAGATTTCATTTATCCTCAGTCTTTTTGAATAAAATGATTTTTTAAAAATCACCTTCATGCATATCGTTGAATCCATGTCATTGATTAAACCCAAAGAAGGGAAGAACAATTGAATAAATCTCTGAGTGTTATGGTTACCATTTCCTTTTCAAGGACAATCTTTTTCTTGTATTGTTGTTCAAAATGTCAATGCCATATCTACATTTAAGTTTTTGGTAACAAATTTTTTAAATTTATAAGTATATTTAAATGATATAGACATTACATTTTACAGTTGATTCATTGGGTCAAAACTTTTCTGATATTGAAGATGTGTGGTTAAATAACTATCCTTTAATGTATAAGAAGCGATATAAAAATAGAATCCTAATTTATACATTTGCTAATTTTCTTTCTTCCTACCAGCATTATCTATAGATCAACTTTTAGCTGATGAATTGCTGTCTAAACAGCTTTGATGTCAGAGTACCAATCAGTCCAGATACATTTAGTGTGTTGGATAAGAAACCATCTTCCCAGTAAAGATACCTCAACATTTCTTATTAGTGATTTGCAGACTTCTGTTCTAAATTAAAACTCTACAACAAGCTTACCTGTCATCATACCAAAAACATTTCAACAAAAACTAAAGTATGCATGGAAGGAGTACTCACTGGTTGACTATCTAAATAAGAAAATAAATAAATAAAATTCCAGCTAGATACATATTCTTCTTGGGTACAAAGCTCAAGTCAACTATCAATTACATAATTGTAATACTATTACTTGAATCAGCCATTAAAAAATGCTCTGAATTTATTAGTAAAGAGCTATGAAGAAGAGTCATTTGTAATATCATACAAAAACAAACAAACAAACAAACAAAAAAAAACATGCTTTTACCAACCTGGGCTGAGAAACCACAGAAGAAACCAAACCAGAAATGCACAAGTGTAAATGCAAAATTCTTATAGAAGAAATAGCATAAGAATTTGCACATTCGGAAATAAGACCACCTTCCATGAACAAGGAGAAGCCTTTGGAGATATCTAAACTGTGCAAATGAATAGTCGCTGGCTAAGACTGCTTGCAATCCTTCCTGGCCGCTGATGCCAACACCAATGTGAGCACCTACAAAGGAAAGAGGAACACTGTCACTCCCAAAACAAAGCCACGATCTCTTTTGGAAACTTGTCATTCCTCTTTTATTTACGGAAAACTTACAGCCATTGCAATTATAATTTTTCACATATATTATCTGATGAAACACTTATGATAGATATTTCTCTTAGTTTTACAAAAGAGAAAATCAGCCTCAGAAAAGTTCAGTGACTTACAGAAGTTTTTACAATTTGTAAGTGGCAAAGATGGGGTTAAAGTCACATGTTACAAATGTGGGTCTGGTGTTCTTTCCTCTACACCGTAGCTACTTACTTCCTCAAATAGTAAAAGGTGAACGACGTCTTTTTCTAGCCTAAAAATACACAAATGGTTTATTTAAAGACAAAGAAATTTTGTTACGAATACTAATAATGGTGGTAGCATTGGACCCAGAAGTATCATTCATTTTAGAATCACTGGCAAAATTAAATTTTAATGCAATCTAGTGATTATATATTGCCAAATGCTGAAACTGAGGACCCCATGTATGCAGCATACCCCATTGAGCAAATATCCTCTTACTTTTAATCATGCTGACATCATTGGCTCCATCACCAATGGCCAAAGTAACAGCATTTCTGTACTTCTTCACCAGCTCTACCACTTGGGCTTTCTGGAGTGGAGTGACCCTGCAGCAAATTACAGTCTTACACATGCAAGCAAGTTCTAGGAGATCATTCTTGACATCACTTTCTAGGGCATGAGCCTGTATGATTAAAAATAAAATTCAAACAAGAACAGGAAACAATAAATGAGGGTTGAGAAACAAGACAAATGTTTTGTTTGCTAAAACCATTTCATTTGTTTGCTAAACCATTTCATTCACTCCAAAAAGTCATTGTTGATTCAGAATCACACAAGCAACAAGAACCAAAGAAATGAGTATTGAACTCCTAAGCAAATTTTAAAATACTACTAAGGAATTTTAAAATAAAAATAAACAAAACTGCCATTTATATGTCTTCCTTGATATCATGCTGCACTGGAGAGAGAGAGTTAAATGCTGGAGAAGTTCTAGAAACCATTAAAATTGATGAAAACAAAAGACAGAACCTATCTACCAGCTCACCAAGTTTAGAATGAACTACAAATGATGATGTTTTGTTTATTCTATCTGATGGGCTTTTTGTTTCTTTGCACTGTTGTTTTGTATATTTAGTTTGTTGTGATTGTTAATGTGCAGGCAAAATGAAAAGCAGATGATCTGGGGATTGTCCCTTGAAGAACATAGTGACTGAAACCCAGAGAGGCCTGTGCAAAAGGGGGGCACGCAAGCTGCGTCACAGACAGGGTTCCTCAACCATTTCTAATCTTGCTCCTATCCAAATGCATAAGAGCCTTTAGCTATACCAAGAAATCACTAAAAAAGATAGCACAATCCCTTCCAATTAACTGTGCAATTTTTTTTTCCTAGAAAATGTTTTACTGTAAATTATTTAATAAACACATTAAGAGGAAACAAATCCACTTACACTTTGAGTCATCAGTATCTTTGAGTGAATCTTTAGCAAGACATTCACAGCCCATATCAATCTGGCCCCTGCATTCCTTTTGAGTTTCATCTTCTATCACCACTTTTAAGTCTACACTTTTTTTCCCATCATGCCAAATTGCTTGTTCCTCATGATTGAATGGGCTCTTTCTTGCCTCTGTGCCTTTGTACTTGCCATTACCTCTACTTGAAAATATCACTCTCTCCAGGAAGTCTTCCCTGATTCTCCCACAAAGAAGTAAATTTGTCTCCCTCTGTGCTCTCAAAGCATTGTGTTCATTCCTCTTTTACAGTATTTGTCATACCACTGTGTGATTATCTCACCCACTAGACAGCAATCCCTAAAACGAGAGCCATGTTCTATTCACAGTCTTATCCTCAGACTTTAGCACTGTGACCGGGGCACGCTTAATAAAAATGTCAATGGATGAATGGCTGGATGGGTAAATGAATATAAAAACATAACTCAGTACAGAAAATTCTCATGTTCAAACCTATAATTCCTAGGTGAAATTGTGAGTTGGCATTTTCAAATATTACCACTCTTTCTGAAAGAGAAAACAGATAATTGTCTGTCTTGCCTAGAATGGTCTCTTTCTCTCTCTCTCTCTTTTTTATTATCAGCAAGTGAAAAACTATGCTAAGACTCTGAGAAAAAACAAAGGCCAAATTACATTCTGCAAAGCATCAGGATTTGAGCAAATTAGAATCATGATTAAAAAAAAAAGAAAGAAAGAAAAAGCTTTCTGACCATACTAGCAAAAACATAGTCAAGTCTCCTTAAATTAAAAATGGCATTTCATGGTTCCATGAGTTTCAGGCTTTGAATATGATGGTGTTCTTGAAGAGCATCTATCTTACCTCCTTCTTTCAATGCACTTAGAGACAGAGAGAGAGAATGGTATAAATTATCACCTGAGTACTCTTAATGTCACCACACATTGGATTCTTTGAGCCTGAGAGAAAGTCAAAGTATAACTCATAAGATTCCCTTTCCATATTGTGGTCTCTGGGGAATTCAGCTTGGGGGCCACCAGCTTTAAGACCCAGATGACAGTCGTAATTTTCAGTTACTGTTCTTCTGTGCATAAAGGAATTTTGTGTCATGTGGACAAACTTTCAACTGAGTTTGGCCTGCAGCTGAGCTCTGTAACTTTCCATGGTGTAGAAGGCAACACATCATTATGTCTGGAATCCAGCTGGATAATGCTCTAAGCACTAAGAGCTAACAACAGACAGCTGATCGCAAGGGAGAAAACACAATATCCTCATACCCAACTTCTTTTGTCCTCTAAGAAACTGTCTACAAGAAGATACATTTATTGTCCAAACCCTAAAGTGAAAAATGATCATCAAAGCCAGAGAAAGATGTGAGATTAATTCCTTGTGCATATAAATTATAATTTCACTGGAGCGTAATTGGAGCTTTTGTATTTTAAATTAGAAACTCAGAAGAGTATTTTCATGTTTGTTCAAGATTCAGAATCTGAACTACATTAAAAGTACAATGCAAGTTCATTCTATTAGGACAAGAACCAGATTTCCTAATCAAAGCAAATTGTTTGGCATTGCTGTAAAATGCTGCTATTTAGAAAAACCACTAGAGGTATCTTAATGGCAATAATTTCGTATAGTAATTACATGAAGGTCAGGTTGTGCTCCACAAATCACAAACATTAGTAAGAGCAATAATTATAATACATCCACCCAGTTGCATTATTTTAATTAAGTAACAGTGAGCCGTAACACTCCCCTCTAGAAAGGCACTTAAATAATACTGCTAAGTGGTCTATAGTCATTTAGACAAGATTGATATTCTGTGAATTTAGCATTTCTTTGGAGCCTCCCCTTTACTGTGGTGATCCAAATAATAATGTATGAGATATATATTAGAAGTTTCCTTTCCCTTTGCAAACAGGAAATCATCGCATATGCCCTGTATCTAGTAGTGACATTTGTCTGGAAAAGACAAAGGAGGTCTCATTATGATAGCACAAAAGAGATGATTATTGCAGTGAAGAAAAAGAAAGGACAAAAACCTTAGGCAAACTCACCAAACTGTGGCCATTTATGATTAAGGCATAATCTCCTGTTATGGTTTCTTCTACAATAGAATCCAACTCCAGCTGCTGCTTTTTTTCACAAACTACATGGCCATTGGAAAAATTTCTGTTTTGTCCAAACAAATTTTGTTTTGCTTTCCTTAAAGGAGAGGGTGAAAAGTGAAACATAACAAAGCATACAGAGCATGCCTACTAATTCTAACAAGAAACTTGCCTAGAGGTAAATTTATTTCACCACTATTCAGAGAGAATATGGCATAAGACCCAGTTTCAGTAAGCAAGCTGGATAATTCTTTGTGATGGGAATATCTTAGCAAATTTCCAAATTCCAGGATGTAGGAGAGTAAACATAATGAAAATACAATATCTTGAATGTTTAAAATGACCTAAAAGCTAAATCACCATCTTGAGCTGTGTTTGAACTAGGGGATCTTGATAGATTTGGTACTTAAGACTGTCTGAGCTTCAAGGGCTTAAGAACCACTATCTGGCAGGCATGCTGTTAAATAATGGAAAGCACAAGACTAAAGACAATTGATGAAATCTTCTAGGAATTCCAGGACATCTATATATAAAATAAATTCATCAATTTGAGGTACAATGTAATACGATCCAGCTTAAAATAGTCCTCTGAGAAACATATTTTTTAAAAAAAATTTAACAAGAAGAAAAATGATGGTACTTACTGAATTGGCATAGCCATTATAATAGGATAGAACATTTTAAGCAAAAATTGTATTCAGCTTAAAAAATAGAATAAATCTTCTAGGAAAAAAACTAGACACCAAAATATAGAGGGTTGTTCCAAATGGAAACGCCCTCCAAATGCTCTAGATCTAATTAGCAGTAGCTATAAAGCAATCCTGCTCACATCCCATGCATCTCTGCCATCTAAGAGGAAGATTGTATGGTGACATAGCACACTTAGAAGTGGCATTCTACTGTTCTCTCCAAAATGGAAAGATGATGCCCTTAAAGGAAGGGAAATTCCTCTTCAAGAACAGTTGAGTGCAGGCTTTGAAGTAACATAAGGCAAGCTGACAAACCTACAGAAGCTTCAACCACGACCAGAGAACTATCCAGCATGGGTCATAACTGGCATTTACAAAATGAGCACTCAGGAGAACATGGAGAGTGAGAGAAGACCAGAAAGTGAATATTGTGTCTTTTGGCGAAATGAAATTACTCATCCTGTGTAGAAAATATTTATTAAAATGGTTTTATGCTGAGGCTCCTCTGAAAGAAGAGAATGTCCACTTACCAAAACAACTGTTTTAGCCCTCAGCTGTCTAATTATTTGAAAATGTAACACCAATTGTTTACATACTAAGTTTAAAAATAAAAATGATACAAAAAGATACATTAACTTCTAGCTCAATATCTCCTTCTGCTGTCCAAGACCAAAATCACATCTGCATTTAGGAACCCAGAGGTCACATGGTTCCAAGAATCATATCACACATTTAACAATCAGTTTGCAGAATCAAAGAAAAAGATGTATAAAGTCAGAGTGCTATGTGTGAAATTTAGGGAGTTACAAAGGGGAGAGGGAAGTAGAACAGACATGAAAAATCATTGTTGTAAGTGAGAGGATCAGACTTTCCCATCAGATAACTATGTCAGGGAATCCTCCTCACAGTCATGAAAATGTACAGTGCCAAATAATAAAGAAAGCAAGGGAGACAAGTTCCTTGGAAATGAACATTTCTCTGACAATGTTGCAGAGCTCATAAATTGTGACTTCAGAAAGCACCACAGGGAAAACATCTCCTGAGTACTCCTTTTGAGTAAAGTTCTCACTCGCTGTATAAATGACTCAATCTGTTTTCCCCTTAGAGAGTAAAAACATTCCAAAGAAGGGTGAAGTTCATGAAAGTATTGGCTGAAATTCTATTTACTTAGGATTTTTTTCTCCTTAAACTGTCTTCCTAACATCTCACATGAACCCTTTTCCAGGCAGAAAAGGGACAGTTTTTCTGGCTCTGCTGAAATTGTCACTGCACTTTCTCTGTACAGGCCAACGTCTCTTGGCCAGATTGGGCTTTCATATTTTTAGACCTTTGCCCACGCTCTGTAGCTGTCATTTCTTTTTCTTCCTGGAATTTAGCTCTTCAAACACCAGCTGGTTCTCACAAAAACGATTTATTAGGAAGGGAAAAAGCTACACATAACTCCCTTCAATGACTATGAGCTATACATTTTTGAAGCGTACACACAATGCTTAACCACATAATACAAATAACAAATGCTAAAACAAAAGAGTGCCTGTTTTTTCCAAGCTGCGTAATGAAGGGCAGTTTATTACAATTCTTGGCATGCAGAATCGCATTAACAGTTGAGGCAACTGTGGCATTCACAGCCCCATGTCACTACAAGCACAGCAAAGCATAGTTAGGCACATACTGGCTTGCATACAACCTATAAAGAAGAAAAGAGGATGGTTGGAAAAAAGAGTCGTTTAGTCAGTCCTCTTAAGGCACTCTATATTGAAAGGTTAAATTGATCTGTTGTGGCCAGGCACAGTGGTTCATGCCTGTAATCCCAGCATTTGGGGAGGCTGAGGCGGGCAGATCACCTGAGGTCAGGAGTTCAAGACCAGCCTGAACAACATAGAGAAACCCCCATCTCTACCAAAAATACAAAATTAGCTAGGCTTGGTGGCACATGCCTGTAATCCTAGCTACTCGGGAGGCTGAGGCAGGAGAATCACTTGAACCTGGGAGGCGGAGGTTGCAGTGAGCCAAGATGGCGCCATTGCACTCCAGCCTGGGCAACAAGAGCAAAACTCCGTCTCAAAAAAAAAAAAAAATCGATCTGTTGGAAATGGATTGAAACCATGACATCCTGTTTAAAAGAAGAAAATCTGGACTTTGATATGAAAGCTGGAGCTTTGAGCTTGGAACCTGGAAACCTGGGTTCAGACTGCCTCTGACATCTTATGTTTGTTTCCACAGTTGAGTTATCTGACCTCTAGCCACTTGATTAGCCAGCGACAGATCCATGGCTGGAACCTACGTCTTCATATTCACAGTTCTTGGTCTACTGCACCAAGCTGGTTTACACATAGAGTCAGCCACAGACTGCCTCTAGGTTGGACTAAGACACAGTGCTGGAGGGACAGTTTTAAGGGACAGCACTACCCTGCCAACAGTAGAGAAAGGGAGAAAGTACATGAAATTTTGATTTGAATTCCCAGTTCCATTCCTTACTACCCTACCTGAGAGACCTTTAAGATGTTCAACCACTGAACCAGTTTCATTATTAGAGTTCATGAAATGGGACCAGCCAGTCAGTTTGGCTAGTGCCCCAAGCAGTCAAAATAGATCATGAAAACTTGGGCTGCTGCACCAGTGTGTGCCAGAAGATCTACAAGATTACCTAAGTAAGTGCTCTAAAATTTTATGATTCATGAGAGAAATTTAATGTACTAAAACATTTTTCCTGGGTGACTAGGGGTTAGGAATTAGGACCAAAATGCATTTTGTTTGGCCTGCACAGTGTCTTAAAGAATCTCTATGGCTTTATGGCCAACATGATGTTCCCACTCACCAAAGGCCCCATCACTCCCTGATGTATAATAGATAGCCCAGATCACATGATTAATGCTATATGCCTGTTCCTGAAGCCATTTGCATTTGAGAACCCTGCACATTCAAATAAATAATTTTCCACCAAGTAGATGTTCAAAAAATACTGATGCATATTTTGCTGATTAAAGAAGAAATATCAATTCCTAGTTATATCACTGGGATACTTCTTAGAAGCAGTGGAGTCACTTTATGATTTAGTTAAAGAACATGAGTTTTTCTAATAACAAAACACGTGATCAATGCTACAAAAATGAAATACGGAATGAGTTTTCCTCTCAGATCAATCAAAATTAAATTCTCAGTCTGTTTTCCTTTCAGCAGAAGACATATGAATTGGTGAAATGTATTCAATGTAGTAATTTTCTGAGAAACCATAGCAGGGTTTAACTGTAGCTTTCTAGGCATGCCTTTAATAATAAGGCAGCTACAGCAGCAAAATTAACCCAGGACTCAAAGTGTCTAAAATGGTTTCACGACACTAAATTTGAAACAAGCCGTATGTATGATATGTATAAAAATTATATATCCATGTTTATGAAATAATCTAAGCACATTTGACAGGTTTAAATATAAGCATTTTGGTCATTTCTTTTCAATAGCTACTATTGTTCAGATCCTGTTCTTTGGTTACACTTTCTTTTTAAATGAACTCCCACTGAACTCAAAAGCATAACACAAGAAAAAGAGATGGTGCAAATTTATGATTTCAATATTTCATCCCAAAGCTGTAGGCTTAGATATAAGTAGCTGAGATTAGGAGTATAGAGAACAACTTTGAGCAATAGCTTTTTTGGATGCCATTTTACCCTCAGTCCTAGTATTAAGAAAATGCACACTATAACTATAATGATTTCTCTTACATAGAATTTTCTATCATATGTTGCCTCTCTGTCTTATACTCTAAGAATGGGGTTACCTACAAGTCTGAGTAGAAATAACATTATTTTCCAGTCAGCTGAGCAAGGTGGCCCCAAGGCTCCTGAAATATTGAGTCTAGCTGGAAATTCTTTATTTTTTTTCTTTTGAATATTTTTTCTTCTCATTAAAAAAGATAATTTTTTTAGCTTTTTTCTAATTGTAAAAGCATTACACAAACACTATTACAACATCAGATAATACAAACAGCCATAAAGAAGGAAGTAAACATGATCCATAATTCTATCACCCAGAGAGAACCACTGTTTATATCCTCCAGATCTTGATAGGCAAGGAGGTAAGGAGGTGGGTAGATGTATAGTGTTTTATACATATATGTACCTACATATATATACACACACACACACACATGCACACACACTTTTTTGCAAAAAGAGAGATCACATTACGCATGATGTTTTGTAGTCTCATTTATCATTTAACAAAAATATCATGGGCATTTTCCAATGTCGAAAAATACAAAATCACTTTGAATGACTGAAGAGTGTTCCATTGCATGTATATATCATAGCATTTAACAAAATCCTTCATGGCTGGTTATTTGAGCTATTTCTCATCTCTATTATCATAAATCAATAGAGCAATAAATATTCCTTTTTATACAAATTCATACATTTGTTCACTTATTTTCTTAAGGGAAATTTCTAGAAGAATCACTGGGTAAAAACTATGCGTATGTGTAATTTTGAAACATATCGCTAGTTTGTCCTCTAGGGAGTTTCTATCAACTTACAGTCCCAACAACAGCATACAAGTAGTTCACATTTCTCCATATTCTTTCCACGTAATGACAGTTGTGTCATCTAGCCAACCAAATGTAGTTGGATAAAATCTTGAGATATTAACTCAATCGCTCCTTTTCCCACTACTACTAGGACCACAAGTGATCCTCTCCATTTAACTAGAAACATACTTTGCTTCAGGAGGATCTGCAGAGCCAAATATAGAAGGAGAAAAATACAACGAAACTTTTGTTTTTGAGCACCAAAATAGGGCTTTGAAACTCATAGCAGCATCATTAGTCTGAATTTCAGCAATCTGGAATTTCACTAATTGGACTTTTGGAAAAAGAAGGGGGGGATTTCTTTAAGTATCAAAAGAATAAACTTTAAATGAGTCAAGGCATTAAAATGATGACAAAAGGAGCAGAGTAGGAAGAAATTACTTTCCTTCATTTCCCATCCCAGCCTAGGGAAAGGGGACTTTGAGGAGTTTAGAAACTGATAAGTGATGGCTAAAAAAAGCCGGGGTCCTGACCCGCCCCTGGATTGGTAGTGGATGAAGGAACCATGTGGCTAATGGAATCCTCAGATAAATTTAGGGGAATCAGCAGAGTAAAGGGATTTTAGAAACTGAAGTGGCCATATAAGAACACAAGTCATCTTGGGCATAGAGAGGTGAGGAAGAGCAGCCACACTTTCCATGGTTCCCCAGCAGAGTGTGGAAGTCAGCCAAGAGGGAAAGCCAACAACAACCCTAAGAGAGCAGAGACCAGACAGGAACACAGACGTGGGAAGTGCTGGATGCCAGCAGGGTAGACACTGATGAACAGTAACAGGTGAGGCAATTGTACATCCCAGACTTGAACTAAATTTAACTGAAAATGCCTAGTTTAATTGTTCTGTCCTCAGACAGAAAGAGGTTCAAGTTCAGTTTTAGAAAATTTAATGAGTTTCTATTCTTGCATGCCTGAGCACACTCTGGGCTGTGAAACCTAGCAGTGACAAAGCCTCCTACTATTTCTCTTCACATCCAATCAAATTACAAGACCTATTCATTCTACCTCCAAAAAGCTGTCTATTTTATTCTACCCTTTCCTTCCCCACTGTTTCAGGCCTGCTGCCCTTATTGGGGAAATAGTTACAAAAGTAGTCCTTGTTGGTGGAAAGATTGGGATCAGTGGCTGAAAGAATGAAGGAAGGGAGAAGGGAGGAAATAGACAAGGAATGAGGAAGGCAAGAAAGATGCGCATGGAACAGTCATAAAGCTTTAAGTTCTTATCTAATCCCCCAAATAAAATAAGATATAGAGTAGATATTTGTATCCCCATTTTACAAATAAGGAAACCAAGCAAACAGAGGTTATTCCCATATCAAAAGTTTCCCACTCAGCCTAAGCATGAAGCTGAGATTCCAACTTGAATCCAGCTGACATGAAGCCCATACTCTTTCTCCTACATCTGCTATTTCCCCTGGAAATTTCTGCTGACTCTACTTGCTAATCTGGTGTCTGACCATTTACTCAAGTGAAGCAGTAAGATACCTTAACAACTATATTTTTAGGTTAATTATTAAAGGGAATAAAAATAAATCTGAGGTATGTTTAGGGAAACACATGGCAAGTGCACAGCCTCTGGGACCAAGCTGCCTAGATTCACATCCCACCTGAACCACGGACTACTTTGGGCAAGTTACTTACCCTCTATATACTTCGACTTCCTCATATGTCCAACAGGGAAAACAGTAATGCCTACGATTGAGTTTCTTAAGAACAAAATGAGGTAATACATGTGTACTGCCTACAATACTCTTCCAGGCACTGTCTCAAAACATTTAGCAACAGGCTTATTAAAATCTAGATCTGTTTGCATCTATCTTCCTTCAGCAAGAGTCAAGTTCTGAATGAGAGTGGTCCTTCAAGATGTACGACTAAAGGCATCTGGCAGTTGCCTCCTCCACAAAGAAGCACCAAGATAGAGAGTAGATAATCATACTTCAAATATGTCATCTAAGAGAAAATATTGGAGTTCAAGAGAGAAGTGACAGGAAACACCTAAAAGAAGAAGAGGGAAACAAGGCATCCTGTCTGGCTGGGAGCCCAGAAAGGCTCTCCTGTGTAGGGAAAGTATAAGTGAGGGATGCCCAGTGGTCCACAATCTCACCACAGACTCCACTCCTAGCCATAGGAGAGCCTCTCAACCCTTTCAGACCCTGAAATTAACATAGGGAGCTGCCTGAAGACAAGGCAGTGCCATTGCCCCAGAGAGGGAGCTCACACTGGGTCCCACATACCACAAAATGACAGCAAAGTGTCATTTTGAGAGCCCAGCCCCACCAGACTGCATCCTGCCTGAGGGCCCAACAGTACTTGGCTTTCCACATTCCTGGAGCTCCACTGACATTCCCCACCTGCAGCCACCACCACTGCCACCACTGCCACCATGGCCAAAGTGCAAGACGCTGACAGCAACCCCACTACCCTTCCAGCAACAGGACTTCCTCACATTTCCACATGCCCTAAGGATAGGCTACCTTACATATAGCTGCCACCTACAGCCAAAGCACACACTTCCCAGCCACCTGCCTAAGGCTGCTACTACTAAAAGCAATCCCACTCACCCCAGCAGCCAGCACGGCCAGAGTGCAGCTACTGCCACCCCCACCTGAGCATTCCACCAGAGGCCTTGGGATAACCCTGTCCCTGCCACCACAGCCAGCACCCATACATACCACTGGACAGCGGGGAGAAGGGGAACATACAGACAGGTCTGTCCAGTCTGGCTTTGACCGCACTCCATACCCCCCACCCCAGTACTTGAGCATACCACCTAGGGGCCTGGGGATCACCCTGCTCCATCCACCATCCACTGCCGTGGCTCCATCCACCATCATGACCACTCCTCCCAGAGACTGGAAGACAGACTAACCCAGCCTGCCACTACCACCACAGCTAGCACCCACCTGCACTTACCACCCGTGGACCTGGGGAATGGCCTGACCAGCCTGTCACAGCCACTGCCAACACCAGCATAGGCTATTTGGGAGCCAGAGAGTTGTCCAACCACTGCTACTGCCATTGCCTATGCCATGCCTGCAGCCCAGGGGCCCAAGGTCCAGCCCACTGTTTCTACTGCTGTCACCTGAGCAAGCCTCCTGGTGGCCCAAGAATCATCCCACCAGGACACACTAATGCCAGTGCCAAATGTGCTACCCTTGGACCCAAAGACAGGCAGGCTCAGCCTACCACTGCTCCCACTGGGGCCCAAGGACTGTCCCACCTGCTGTCCCCATGCCCAATAAAACTTCACTACAGTCTCCATTAACAACCACACCCTAAGCCACTGAGGAAGTCACAGACACCATTGGCTTTGTTTACCAAAAAAAAAAAAAAAAAAAAAAAAGAAAGCCAAATAAATTATATGGAGACTATACTACTGCACACATCCAGAATCAAAGCCAAAGTGCCCTACCCAACCAATACCAAGATACATATTGAGGAAGTCCTCTCCTATGAAAGTAAATCCACAAAATTGGAAGAAGCGACTGTTATACCAGATGTGCAGATAGCAACGTAAGGACACAAGAAACGTGAAAAAGCTAGGAAATACAACTCCAAAGGAACACCATAATTCTCCAGTAACAGATTCCAATGAATAGGAAATTTATGAAATTCCCATAAAAATAATTCAAAATAATGATATTAAGGAAGTTTAGTGAGATACAAGAGAACAAAGATAAACAATACAAAGAAATGAAAAAAACAATTCAGGATATGATTGAGAAATTTACCAAAGAGGTAGATATCATAACGAAGAACCAAACAGAAATCCTGCAACTGAAGAATTCACTGAATGAAATAAAAAAATATATTTGAGAGTTTTGACAATAGACTAGATCAAGAAGAAGAGAGAATTTCAGAAGAAGACAGGTCTCTTGAAATAACCCAAACAAAAGTAAAACAAAAGAATTAGCAAGAGTAGACAAAGCCTACATAACGTGCGAGACAACATAAAGCAACCACATATCTGAATTATCAGCATTCCCAAAGGTGAAGAGAGAACAAAAGCATTCAAAAGCCTATTGATGAAATAATAGATAAAATCTTCCCAACTCTAGCAAGAGATTTAGACATTGAAATACAGGAGGCCCAGCAATCCCCAAACAGGTACAATGCAAAAAGGTTTTCTCTGTGATACATTATAGTCAAACTGTCTAAAGTCAATGACAATGATAAAATTCTAAAAATAGCAAGAGAAAAGCATCTAGTCACCTATAAAGGAGTCTCCATCAGACTTACCGTAGACTTATCAGTAAAAACCTTACAAGCCAGAAGATAACAGGATAATACATTCAAAGTGCTGAAAGACAGTATCTGGAAGTCAAGAAATACTATACCCAGCAAAGTTATCCTTTTTGGAGAAATAAGTTTATTTCTAAATAAAGTTACTTTATTGTGGAGAAATAAAATTACCCTCTTTGGGGAAATAAAGTCTTTCCCAGACAAGCAAAAACTAAGGGAATTCAACACTACTAGAAAAGCCCTACAAAATAATTGAGGGAATCCTAAACCTGGAAGCAAAAGGACAATATCTACTATTAAGAACAACACATAAAAGTGCAAAACTCACTGGTAAAGCAAACACACCAATGAGGAAGAGAAAGGACTCAAAGTTACAACTAAAGAAAACTACTGACACAAAAATATATAATAAAAAAGAAATAAAGGAACAGAAGATATATACAACATCCAGAAAACAATTAACAATGTGACAGGAACAAAACCTCACATATCAATAGCAACTTTCAATGGAAATGAATTAAATTTTCCGCTTGAAAAATACAGAATGGCGGAATGGGTTTTTTAAAAATGTGATCCAGATGGCCTGGATCTGGATCTATAAAAATGTGATCTATATGCTGCCTACAAGAAACTCCTTAACCTGTAAAGACACCTATAGACTGAAAGTAAAGGTATAGAAAAAGATATTCCTCACAAACAGAAACCAAAAGCAAACAGGAGTAGCTATACTTATATCAGATACAAGACACTTTAAGCCAAAAATAGTAAAAAGAGCCAAAATTATCATTTTATAATGATAAAGGGATCAGTTCAGTAAGAGGATATTACAATAAGAGGATATTACAATTCTAAATATATATTCACCCAACACTGAAGTACCCAGATATATAAAGCAGATATCATTAGATCTAAAGGGAGAAGTAGACTCCAATACAATAATAATGAGGGACTTCAACAGTACATTCTCAGCATTAAATAAATCATTTAGACAGATAATCAATGAAGAACATTAGATTTAAACTGGACTTTAGATCAAATGGACTGAACAGACATCCACAGGACATTTTATCCAACACTTGCAGAATACACATTCTTCTCACCAGCACATGAAACATTCTCCAGTATAGATCATAAGTTAGGCCTCAAAATCAGTCTCAACAAATTTTTGAAAACTGAAGTCATATCAAGTATCTTCTCAGACCACAATGGAATGAAACTAGAAATCAATACCAAAAGGAACTTAGAAACAATACACTACATGAAAATTAAACATGTTCCTGAATGAATACTGGGCCAATGAAAAAAGTAAGATGAAAATGAAAAGATTTCCTCAAACATATGAAAATGGAAACAAAACATACCAAAACCTATGGAATACAGCAAAAGCACTGCTAAGAGAGAATTTTATAGCAATAAATGCCTACATCAAAAAAGTAAAAAGATTTTAAATAAGCAATATAATGAAATGACTGAAAGAACCCGAAAAGCAAGAACAAAACCCAAAATTAGTAGAAGGTAAAAGATAATAAAGATCAGAGCATATGTAAATAAAATAGACTAAAAAATACAAAGGATCAATGAAATGAAAACTTGGTTTTTTTGAAAAGATGAACAAAGTTAATAAACTTTTAGCTAGACTAACCAAGAAAAAAAGAGAGAGGATCCAAATAAACAAAATCAGGAATGAAAACAAAGACATTACAACTTACGCCACAGAAATATACAAGATCAAGACTTTAAGAACAACTATATGCTAACTAACAGGAAAACCTAGAGGAAATGGATAAATTTCTGGACACATGCAAACTTCTAAGATTGAATCAGGAAGAAACGGAAAATCTGAACATACCAAAAGCCAATAATGAGATTGAGTCTGCAATAAAAAGTCTCCCAACAAAGAAAAACCCAGAATTGGATGACTTCACTACCAGATTCTACCAAACATGTAAAGAAGAATTACTATAAATTATCCTTAAGTATACCAAAAAAACTGAAGAGAAGGGAATTCTCCCTAACTTGTTCTACAAGGCCAGCATTACCCTCATACCAAAATCAGAGAAGAACACAACAAAAAAAGAAAACTACAGATCAATATCTCTGATGAACATAGACATAAATATTCTGAACAAAAAAGTAACAAACTAAGTCCAACAGCAGGCTTGAGTGTGGTGGCTCCATGCCTTGTTTTGCCGTGTTTCCCAGGCTAGTCTCAAACTCCTGGGCTCAAATGATCCTCCTGTGGGAAGCGGAGGCAGGCAGATCATTTGAGCACAGGAATATGAAACCAGCCTAGGAAACATGGCAAAACTCTCTCTCTACAAAAAATACAAAAATTAGTTGGGTGTGGTGGTGGCTTATACCTGTAGTCCCCACTACTCAGGACGCTGAAGTGGGAGGATCACTTGAGCCCCGGAGGTCGATGCTGCAGTGAGCTACGATTGCACCACTGCAGTGAAAGCCAGGTGACAGAGCACCTGGCTTTTTTTTTTGTGTCTCAAAGAAAAAAATTCCTACAACAGATCAAAAATATAATACACCACGATCAAGTGAAATTTATCCCAGGAATGCAAGCATGGTTCAACATACGTAATAAATATGATACATCACGTCAACAAAATGAAGGACAAAAACCATATAGTTATCTCAATCGATGCAGAAAAATCATTTGATAAAATTCAACATCCCTTCATAAAAACTCTCAACAAACTAGGTGTAGATGGAACACAACTCAACATAATACAATCCATATATGACACCCACAGCTAACATCATACTGAATGAGGAAGAGTTGAAACCCTTTTTTCTAAGAACTGGAACAAGACAAGGATGCTCACTTTTTCCACTCCTATTCAACATAACTGAAATTCCTAGTCAGAGCAATCAGGCAAGAGAAAAAAATAGAAGCCATCCAAATTGAAAAATAGAAGTCAAATTGTTCCTGTTTGCAAGCAACATGATCTTACATTCAGAAAAAATTCAAGTGATTCCATCAAAAACTCTTAGAACTGATAACCAAATTCAGTAAAGTTTCAGGATACAAAATCAAGATACAAAATCAGTAGTGTTTCTATACACCAATAATGAAGTACCTGAGAAAGTACCTGAGAAAGAAAGCAATCCCATTTACAATAGCTGTAAAAAAATAAAATACTTAAGGATAAATTTAACCAAGGAGGTGAAAAACCTCCACAAGGAAAACTACAAAACACCAGTGAAAGAAATTGGAGAGGGCACAAACAAATGAAAAGACATTCCATGCTCATGGATTGGAAGAATTAATATTGTTAAAATTATCATACTATGTTATTTTTCACAGAAATGGAAAAAAAATTCCTAACATTCATATGGAACCAAAAAAGAGCCCAAATAGCCAAAGCAATCCTGACCAAAAAGAACAAAGCTGGAGGCATCACACTACCTGACTACAAAATATATCACAAGACTAAAGTAACCAAAACAGCATGGTATTGGTGTAAAACAGACACATAGGCCAATGGAACAGAATACAGAACCCAGAAATAAATCCAAACATTTACAGTCAATGGATTTTTGACAAAGACACTAAGTACACACACTAGAGAACAGACATCCTCTTCAATAAGTAGTGATGGGAAAACTGAATATCCATATGCAGAAGAATGAAACTGGACCCCTAACTCTCACCATACACAAAAATTAACTCAATATGAATTAAAGACTTAAATATAATCCCCAAAATGATATAACTACTAGAAGATAACATAGGGAAAACAACTTCCAGACACTGGTCTCTAGGCAATGATTTTACGGCTAAGACCTCAAAAGCACAGGCAACAAAAACATAGGCAAGTGAGACTACATGAAATGAAAAAGCTTCTGCACAGCAAAGGAAACAATCAACAGACTGAAGAGACAGTCTGTTGAAAGGAAGAAAGCATTTGCAAAGTATTCATCTAACAAGGGAGTAATATCTGGAATATACAAGGAACTCAATTAAAACAGTAAGAAAACAATCCCATTAAAAAGCAAAGAACATGAATAGACATTTCTCAAAATAAGACACACAAATAGCCAACTTATATATGAAAAATGCTCAACATCATTAATTATCAGAGACATGCAAATCAAAACTACAATGAGATGTGATTTTATTTCAGCTAGAATAGCTACTATTAAATAAATAAATTAATAAATAACAGATGCTGGTAAAGGGAGCTATTACACTTTGTTGGTGAGAATGTAAATTAGTACAGCCACTAGAGAAAACACTATGGAGATTTCTCCAAAAACTAAAAATAGAACTACCATATAATCTAACAATCCCAGTACTGGGTATTTATTCAAAGGAAATGAAATTACTATATCAAAGGGATATCTGCACCCCATGTTTACTGTAGCACTACTCATAATATCAAATATATATGAAATCAACCCAAGTGTCCATAAATGGATGAATCAATAAAGAAAATGTGGTGTATACACATACAATGGAATACTATTCAACCATCAAAAAAGAATGAAATCCTACCATTTTAAGCAACATGAATGGAACCACGGGTTCCATGTTAAGTCAAATAAGGCACAGAATGACAAGTTTCACATGTTCTCACTCCTATGCGAAAACTAAAAAAGTTGATCTCATAGAGAGTAGAATGATAGATACCAGACACTAGGAAGGTTGTATGGGTGGGAATGCGGGGGATGAAGAGAGGTTGGTTAATTAGTACAAACGTATAGTTAGATGGAAGGAATAAATTATAAAGTTCAACAGCAGAATATGGTGGGTATAGTTAGCAACCATGTATTGTATATTTCAAGTTAGCCAGAAGAGAGGACTTTCTTTCCCAACACAAAGAAATGATAAAGACTCAAAGTGATGGATATCCTAAATACACTGACTTGAACATTATACATTCTATCCATATAATAAAATATCACATGTGCCCCCAAAATATGTATAAATATTGTATATCAATTTAAAGAGTCAATCCAAAAATCAAAAGGTAAAGAATCTACTTTTAAAATTTTAATTGATTATTAAATAAGTTACTAATATTTCCCCAACTGACTCTATGGGGTCTATCATTAAAATTATACCAATAATAATATTTAAATTATATTAGTAGTAGCTAATTAAATTTCCCAATTTTTATTTGGCAAAGACATGTGCAGTATTTAGTCATAGTTTCTAACCAGCACGATATAGCAGGTTTTTTTTTTTTTTTTAACTGCAGGTAAAACCGAGAGGCTGGGAGATTCGTGTACAAGTACCATCAAGTAGTGGTGCTGACTTTTAAGACTTCCTTTTTTTAAAGTTCAGGAAGAATAGTTTAATGACAGAGACATATTTGGGAAGCCACAGAGCTCTACTATTATATTGAAGGAAGGTTAGCTCCCCATCTAGAATGGAGCAAGCGATAAGTAATTTGCATCTGTGTCATCATTCTGCTTGGCCAGTGTCTAAGTGAGCTGAGCTTAGAGAAGCTACTACAAGCAGCAAGCAAGCAAAAATTGTTATAAGACAGTATTTTTTAAGTTCTAGGAAAATATTTTTGTAGATTTTTAAACGTTCTTCTCCAAATAAAGTAACAAGAAATAAGGAAATGAAATAAATTGGTACATCTTAAGAAATATTATCTCTCAAACTTTAATGTCTGTCCACTGCTACCTCCAATTTCAGCACTTACGTATTTTCTGGTACTGTGCAGTAGTTACACAAATCTCACAGTATTTTATTTCACATAAACAGTATATATCTGGGTTCAATAGTAACTACATCAAAATATCTACTTTCTTTAATGCTGAAAGACTCTATTCCATCTTTATATGCTGTTTACAGCTGTTTCCCAAACTTATCTGATCATAAGCTTCATCTAGGTGCTTATTAAATACAAAGTCCCATATCCCATTCCGTGTAGATTCTTAATTTGTAGGTCAGAATGAAGCTAGGGCATTGGTATTTTTAAGAAGTATCTCATGATACTGATCACTCATCACCACGCAAGAGTGAGCAGGTACTAACCAAAGCACAATTTTAAAGGACAACTCAACATAGCTGATTTGAAATTCTTTTCTAAAAATAGTTGAGAAATGTTGGAGGCCTGAAGACAATAATTCATTACTGATATCAGCTTCATCTCAGTTTGTCACCAAAATGAAAGGAAGTTTAGGAAACATGCACAAAGAACTTTATACTAAGTTAAGACCACAGGAAACTATAGCATAGCTTTTCACTTTCTCAACTCTCTGATCTTTTTTCCCTCCCTCCCTCTCGTCCTTCCATCCTTTCCTCCTTCCTTCAACACCTACCTGAGTTCTTCTCTCACTTCCACAGCATTATTCCCTGCTATCACAAACACATCATTCATGTCGTCAGTCAGCATGTTGCAGGCATAACCGATGTTGATGGCAGTTTCTAACACAAAATAAAGCCCAATTCAGTTAAAATGTTACTTAATAACCTAAGTCCATTTTTAATGAAAGTTTTGAGGGCTTAGCTGTATTTTCTTAAAGCCTACAGGGGGCTGATGTCAGAGAGAGCACAACAGGTGATAAAATACAAGCAGTGCAGAGGGAAATTCAAAGACCTGGGTTTCAGGATCAAATTCCCTACTTGCTAAACCCATGCACAAGTAGCAACACTAACGAATGTGCAGCCTTCTCATCTAGTTTTCAGAAAAACCTTTTCATTCCCAAATTAGCACTCATGAAAATAAGATCTTGTGACATAATATGTACAAATATAAAACCTTTGACCAGAAGTCTGAATACTGTCTTGGGAGAGATAAACTACTAAACTTAGCCAATATTTAATTCTGAAATGGAAGACAATTTGAAGAAAAAACTCACAAAATGTTCAGTTGAATGACAAAAAAAAATGCTCTTATGAAATTTTTATAGTTCTCTCACACACAACATTGCCATTTTCCCATTAAATATATGGAAATTTGGAATTTGACTATCATCTCAAAAACCACCCAGCACTGTTCTCCTAGAGAACTGGAGAATCAGATGGTGTTGGGTAATTCTTCCTCTAATTTTATAGAAATGGAACCTAAGATAATCAGATAACTCCTTCTATCTAATAGAGTTATTTGATTGTCTCTAACTGTATAGAATAATTAGACTCTAGCTAATTCTATGGAATCATTAGTTTTGTCCTAAATTAAGGAAGGTAATTGATAAAATCTCAGCATATACCTTGTATAAACCACAGAAATTAAAGCTAAATAATAGTAAACTCATGGATATTAGTAATAATAGAACGGCTGTAACTGACCAAAATCAAACTCTAGAGAGTTTCTACCTAGTAACACACCGGAGTGCTCAACTTTCTACTGTTTATTTTTTGTGATCAATGATTTGGATAAAGATGTAGAGAATTGATGCATCACATGTGCAGATCCCCTAATGCTATAAAAAATACCTAATAAGTAGATAGAATTTTAACATAGGTGTATGCCAGTTAGTTGAATATTTTTCATTTACAAATAGCCAAGCATAAAATCATTTTTGTTTTAACCATTACTGCTAGCAGTAGATCAAAAATATGTTGGTCCCCTTTTCTTTCATAGGAAACATAGTAGAACACGATGATTCACTAATGATTTGGCATTTTGTCAAGCCTGAAGGTCAATGAATTCTCACTGTACCTTGTATAGACAGTCCTGGAATTCAGCCAGGTTGCACTGTTACAGCTGTAGTAGTTATTAAAATACCAAAATATTTCTATAAATGGTTGATAAACAGCTGTTTCCCTGAGCTTCTTCAAAGTGTTCCCATCACCCTGACACTTCCCCTAAGATCCTTCAAATTCCCCACCATCAAGAAACTAAAGGAGTAACCCAAGGTCTCCAATATCCTGCTTTAGTTCTGTGCCAATATCTGTCCTGACTGGGGACAGTGTTCATATAAACCAATTGTTAAACATTTTAAATACCATTTTTGCCTCTAGGTGTAATGATTATATTCAAGAGGCAATTGGACCGAAACTTAACTGACTCCAGCTTATACTATGGAAGGCATTTTGTTAGTTTGGTTTGTTTTAAAATAGATTCTTGCAATACATTAACTTCCTCTTCTCTATTTCAAGTCTTTCCTATGTGGAAGATTGGGTGAATATTTAATTAATTAACCTTTCTGGTTAATTAAAATTTTGTGATATAAGTCATCTCCCCATTTTCAAAATATCATCAACATCCATTTTCAAGTTACCTTGTTTGTCTCCTGTTAGGACCCAGATCTTAATATTGGCTAGTGATAAACTTGTAACTGTTTCAATAACACCCTCCTGTAACTTATCTTCTACAGCAGTGGCACCTAGTAGCTTTATTGAAAAAGAGAGAAAAGTTTATGTTAATGCATGCAAACAATATCTATAACATCTATGGATTTCACTCACAGATTCTGGAGGCCAAAGAATATTAATTGAAGACAGAAATTATGATACATTGATATAGCAGGCATCCTATTTTGTGTGAAAGTGGATTGGGAAGGACTCCAGAAGGAAGTTCCCAAATCAAGCCAACTTAGCAGAGATCTTGGGACTTATTATTTACTTGAAGGGGCTGATATGCTCAGATAACATGTTAGCGTGAGCAGTAGGAAGCCATTTGGACTTAAGAACTCCCCAGCTGCTTCCCCACTTATATCAACAGTGGAGGAGTCCAAAGAATAGCCTTCATCCCATAGTCAGGAAGCTGATCACAAAAAGTCTAGTCATTCTTCTACATTAACAAACCAGCAGACGCCATAAACTAAAGTGAAAGATCCTGCATGATTTTTCCTTTTCCTTTCTTTCTTTTTTCTTTTGAGACGGAGTCTTGCTCTGTCGCCCAGGCTGGAGTGCAGTGGCGCGATCTCGGCTCACTGCAAGCTCCGCCTCCCGGGTTCACACCATTCTCCTGCCTCAGCCTCCCAAGTAGTTGGGACTACAGGCGCCCGCCACCGCACCCGGCTAATTTTTTGTAATTTTAGTAGAGACGGGGTTTCACCATGCTAGCCAGGATGGTCTCCATCTCCGGACCTCGTGATCCGCCCACCTCGGCCTCCTGAAGTGCTGGGATTACAGGTGTGAGCCACCGCGCCCGGCCACGATTTTTCATCAAAAGTTGAGCAAAGCATACTCTCTAGTACCTCACAGTGGGTGAGGTATTCCTGGCCACTGGGGCTTCAGGTAAGAGTGGTTTTTAGAATAGACCATGCTCTGGATAGCACAGATATCATCAGAATCTCATGGCTTAGGATGGTTTAGAACTGTAGCCCCATTCTTCACAGCAAATTTCTCTGCTCTAAAAAGGTGGGTAATAAAACAAGGAGAAAAGTAAAAATCCCATAACATCAAGGACCATCAGAGGTTGACAAAGAATAGGTAGCCTACTATCTTCTACTCTTGGGAAGCTTCCAATTGCATAAGCTACTGCTAATAGAAATACAATTCTAGGCTCTCTAGGACCATACATGGAAAACTCAAAGCCAACATATAAAGCATGATTCAGTGATTGAAAGAGAAACATCTGCTGTGTGCAAGATGACTTAGCCAATGGCTTATTCCTGTGCTAAATCTCTAAACACATACTATCTTTCCTGTAAACACAAACCATCATGCTTCTAAACTCATACCATCAAATCTCTTTCAATTTCTTCATATAGCCCAGCTATTCGTTCATCCCTCTCTTCTGTGGCAGCATTCGCATCTTCAAGCATCTTATGCCACTCTTTAAAGTACTTGTCATCCAGGTCTCTGTATGCGATGGCCAAGGTCCGAAGGCCTTCCCCTGCAAATTCCTGCCAGAGATGACATAGACTCATGAACCATCAAAGAAACAATAAGCACAGAAATAACAACAACAAAAATAATTGGTGAGAAATTTTTCACTCAAATTCATTTTGTACCAAGAGCACTGCTTGGCTATCCTTACTCTCAACTTTTTAATCTCCTCAGAAATGGGAGATAATGTGTGTGTTTTCCGTTTTATTTCTATGAGGTTAAAACATGCAGGGGAGCAAGTCTTCCCCCTAAACACAGCTGAAAAGCCTGCTGAAGTGTCCTAGTTGAGAGGTGATCAGTGACACCCATGACTTGAGATATTCATTTATGGCAACATATATTTGTTTCCAATCTGTCCTTGACGGAAGGAAGCATTTCTGGCCATGAGAGGGACCCAGTGTGTTTTATGGACCTCAGCTTTCAGTGAAGAGGAAAGGACCCTTAGAGAAGCCATAGTCCTCAAATCAAAGGCAGGAGGCTCTCCCCAGGAACCACAACATGACATCACACCCAAGTCTTGTCACATTCCCCCTAGTGATATGCCTATGCCTAAAATTGAGTCCTACTTTTGCATATGCTTGAAAATTTTCATGATAAAAAGCTAAAAGTAAATAATAAATGAATAAATAGATGTTAAATAGTCAGATATTAGAAGTTTAAGCATATTACTTAAGGTTATAACAATAACCTCTAGGGCAAAAGGGGAGAGAAAGGAAGAAAAGCTAATATAGGTGGTTGCTTCTGGGAAGCAGGACTAAATGTGGAGGCTGACCTTCACTTTTCATTATAGACTCCTCCGTGAAACTTTTTATTTTTTGCTGTATTAAAGTTTTATCTTAATAATAACAAATTGTTGGGAATTTTAAAGATACCATTATCAAGTCAGCTTAGTGCAAAAAAGGTATTATTTTTTAGAAGCTATATTCTATGAAGTTAGTACTAAATTAGTCAAACTGATTGGGGAAGCATACTCTTCCTTTTTCCTGTATCGTGACAATCTCAAACACCTTTGGTGCTTTATCCTAATAGTAGGGGAAAAGAAAAAGAGGAGACTGGTATTTGCTAAGTGTCTCACACAGCCATAGTAACTAGAAACATACGTAGATTGCTTTGGGGGAAATGCTCAAAAACTCCCATTCCGCTTGTGCTTCCAGTGGTCATTTTATGGGCCTCTACACTGCAAGTAAAGCATTTTTATGGCCATTTCTGCTCCTTTGGGTATTGCCATTGAGTATGTCTCCTCTGTGGTGTTTTGGCGTATGGTACACATAGAGGTTTATAATCAGGCGTAGGTTAAACTGTGAGATACTGTAATTAGGTAAATAGAAAAGTCAATGCGTACTGCAATGAGATGGTTTACCCCAGACAGATATTGAGAAAAAGTATCCAAATTTCTATAGTAGGCAGTTGGTAGCACTTCGGATATTGGAATCACATTTTGCAAGCCCTGCCTTTCAAGACCACAACTGGATCCCCTACGGATCTGAAAATCTAGCTACTGTCTTGTAATGATCTTTTGTCCTCTTAATTCACACAAGCACTTTTTTGCCTTTAACTTGCATCCCCACTGGGCATTACCACTGCCTTCCTCTCTGTTCTGCACAACAGTGAATGAACAATAAGATGACATTACAAAAGGAAACGGATGATTTAAATTATTTAATTAGTACATGAAACACAAGTTCAATCCTAAATGAGCATTTTATTAAGGTCTTTTCCTATCATTAAACAATTCGAAATCAGTAATTAAATAAACATTTAAGACCTCAGAATCTAGAAGTCAAAATGAATAAAGTGAATGAAGCAAAGAGCAAGTTAAATTTATATTACCTGAAAAAAAATTATTTTGCAGAGAAATGTAAAAAGACCAAATTAGGTTTCCTATAGTTTAGTATTAAAGGAGAATGTATGAAAAACCAGGGCCTTGGTGTTTGAGTAACGGCAATAAGTCAGACACTTATGATTCCAGTGTTGTGTTCATTAAAAAAAATTTAAAAGACCATGCTGGCCTCCTGGAAAAGATTAAAAGAAAATCAATTCTCTATTGGAAAGACAAAAAACAATAGCTATGTTTGTAACCAATATTACCAAACCATCATTTTTTAAATTTAAAGTGAGACAGAGGATTTTTTTTATTTGTTTATTTGCTTTTTAAAGATTCAGGGAATGTTTTGCATTAAATATAGGGTCTGACAAAGAACATGAATACTCAATAATATCTTAAAGGAAAGAAACCAATGAGAAAATGACAGTTTTGACCAGATGCCCTTAAATGGAACCATAGGCAAATATTTGAGACACACTTGAATCTCAGGTTTAAAACAAGTAAAGCTCATATTAATTCCCATTCCCTTACTTTTTGGCATTTAACAAAAAAGTGCCAAAAATCACTCTTACTTCTTTCAGAAAGCTTTTGGAAAGAAATTATGCTGGTCTCAGAATATACAAGTTTGGTGTCTGAGGGCACACAAGTGACTCATCATGATTTATGACCTGAATAAAAAGACCCTTAGAGGAGAAAGTGTGCACCAGAGACTATTTTCCTCTCACAATCTAAACACAACTCTAAACTTTCCCTAGAGGTAATCATAAGATATTCCACTGGTGCCAAACACATCAGAACCCAAGGAAAAGGAGCTCTCTGTCTCCTCTTTCCAAAACTAGTCCAGTCTTCCAAGAGGAGCAACATGAAGCTGCAGGGGAGTTACAGCAGGTTCCCTAGACGCCCACATTCTGTGGCTACTACTCAGTTGCTGTGTGTTCCTCCACCTGTAGAGACTGACTGGACTTCCAACGGGGCAGAAAGGGGGGTGGTCCTTGTGCCAATTCCCAGACAATCATTGGCACAGCTTCCTGTGGAACCATTCTCCAGATGCTTTCTATTTCAGTAGTCAAATCATCTAGCTGCTATTTTTTTTAAACAAGACCTAACCATAGGAGATGGCAAAAGGGCCATTGTGCTAACCTTAAGACGGAGGCACTTACACTGAGGTGGTCTGACGTCAAAGACAAAAGGACTTCATTGGAAGGATGAAGTTTTTCAAACAGAATAGTATCTGCTCCTTTGGAATAAAGCTTTATCTGTCCTTCTGGGTTTCGAACTGAAAAGAAAAAAGTTTGGAAAAGCAGAATATAATCAACGTCATACATCAAAATTAGATTCTCCCAGAGCTCCAGCCTGGCAATTTGGAAATGGGCATAATGTTTTAGCCAGTAGTAAGACACTCAGTGCCTTTGGTTAGGTCATTACCTAAGTCACTTGGCTTTATTCTCATTTATTAACTTAAGAAATGCTCCATCTACTGGAATCTTTGATTTCCCAAATTCAGAAACAAGTGTTTTTATTCTGAAGCACATGACCTTCCTGTTTTCCTTGCTTACTATTTCTGAAGGGTTGATACATTTAAATTAAGTCTTCATCTCCATATTAAGCAGAATTGAGAGCTTTATTTGCCTGTCTCCTGGTGTGAAATTCAAGACCTGCTGTTCAAATCAGTATCAGTGCTATGCTAAATCATCTCCATATGCAATTCTAGCCATTCAAAGTCATGGTTTATGCATTTTTTCTTGGCCCTTGCTGACATATTTCTTCATCCCTTTTACTCCGGAAAAGTCCATTAATTCTTGGTGGTTCGTTCCTGGGTAACAATTCTGGCTGAAAACACACTTCACAGAGGGGCTTTTAAAAATAAAGTTTCCACCTCATTCCCACTGGAAGTCTATATCGGTAGTACTGTGTTTTTAACCTGCCCCACAGGTTTGAGACTGACAGCCCTTCCTAGGCTACCCTCAACTCCATTCCCACCGACAACCCCCAGCATATTGCTGTTAGACAAAGCTTTCTTTCAAACCACAGAACACTTGGCCTAACTTTTTAGGTTTAGTTGTACAGCTTGACACATAGTAGGCAATTAATAATTATTTGTTGAATGAATGAATGACATGGCTGGGTATTTCTTCCCAGAACTGCCTACAACTTAAGACAACTGCCTTTGTCACAACTTCATAATCTGAATACTCTTGCCCTCATAGGCTTCATCAGTTCAGTCAAAGATCATTACATGCTTTCTACTCAATTATCCCATTTATCTACAAAGAGAATGCCTCAAAAAAAGGTTAACATAAATGTTTACTATTATTTACTGTTAATGTAATGCCAAAGAAAATGGCGTACAAAATTTAGTGCTTAATTTAAAAAAATATAAAAACCAAAATACAATGTTACCCTCCCCTCTACCCCAGTCTACACTTATCTATTCTAGTTTCCTCCTGGCTTACATAGATCTAATAACATACCCTGGAAGCTTTTTAGGACTGGGCCTTGTCTAGGTCTTGTCTTCTGTTTTAAGACCCTTGGTTAGCTTGCCTAATTGCCAGAACTCATGTGGGTTTTCTTGTACTCTAGCTCTAACCCCTACATTGGGGAAAAAGAAAGAGAAAAACATATGCAATTTATCTAATTGTTAAACCAGGGGGGGAAACTTAATCCTAGGAAAGACTCTCTCTTGATTTTCTTGTACAATAATCCAATTGAATAATTTCCCTTATATTTTCTCCCTTCCAACACCAGAGGTATAAAGGCAAACGATGAATAACCTACATTTGCCTGTATTTTGTATTCTAGACTAGGACATTAGTTCTCTAACTTATGGTCTCAGGACCTTCTTTATAATTTTTCAATGCTGAGTGAGGATTCTAAAAAGTTTTTTTAAGTGAATGTTATCTATCAATATCCATATTAGAAATTAAAAATGAGAAATTTTATTATATCAGTTTTATAACACTAGTTACTATAATTATTATTATTGTAAATCTAACATATAAGCATAAATAACATTTCTATAAAAAAACTATATTTTCCAAAAAATATTAGTTTGGAGATTGGCATTATTTTACATGATTACAGATCTTTGTAACATCTAGTTTAATAAAAGAGGGTTGGATTCCCATATCTGTTTCTGCATTCATTCTGTTGTGACATCACATGTCACGTGGCTTCTGCAAAACTCCATGGTATACTCATGAGAAAAAGAATGAAAAAGATAAATAATAGTGATATTATAATGAAAATACTTTTGTCCTTGTGCATCCTCTGAAAAACTCACAAAGTTCCCTAAGGTTCCCTGGACCACACATTTAGAATCACTGGTCTGGAAGAATCACAAACTGATTGTGATTTGTGTAAATCCCTTACCATCACTGTATCTTAGTTTCTACATGTAAAAAGGAGATGTTTAAACAATCTAACTTCAAAGGTCCTTTGCAGCAGTACAATTTTCTGATTCAATAAATACTTTCCATCCCTGATACTTTCCCTTAACCTAGTATTTGTCCCTTTAAATTTGATTTTGTGGAAATCCAATTTCATGGAATCCTGCTTATGTTTACTCATTAAACATTTGCTTTAGCAGCAAGTTTTATATCTCTTTTCTTCCAAGCCTTCTGGTCGTTTCTGTTCAAAGTTAATAAAATCTAAGTCATTTCAGAAGTTAGTATTTCTTAAATAAACTAAAAAGGACATAGTTTTAAATGGTCACGATAACATATGGCCAGAACTTGGACAAAGGTTACAGTTTTTAGGTTATAAAATCTTCTCCCAATGCTTTCCATTTAAATATTAGTGTTCTTCAGAGATTTACTTGGGGTCTTTTTTTTATCTTCCCATCCTTCATACTGTCCCTGGGCAACTGCATCATTTCTATGGCTTCAGGTTCCAACACCAGGCTGTTTTCAAATGTGTATCTCCTGTCCAATCCATCTCTAGCACTCCATTCTGACCTGCACATCCGACTACCAGTTGAAAATCTCTTGGATATGCTCAAGCACACCAAACTCATACTGGACATATTACCCTCCTCCAATAATTAGCTACTCCTCTTATATCCCCAGTCTTAGTAATCAGCTTCACCATCCATTCAGTCTCCCAAATCAGAAATCTAGGCATCACTCACAGTTCTCCCTTCACCAACCATACATCTAAGGGAAGCTACGGATTTCTCTTGCCACTTCTCTCTTGCCTAGAAAATCACTTTAACCTAACTGGTTTTACCCATTCCAGTACTGCTTCCTTCCAGACTCTTCTGTATATTCCAGTTACAGTCATCTTCATGCTGCTGCTTAGAATCCTGCAATAGCTTCCCTCTCCCTTCTATTAAGTTTGGACTCCTTGACATGACATATAGAGCTTATTAACAGCTGCACTATCCAGTCTGTTTTACCATGTTCTCTTGGAGGCAGCCACATAGAACTACCTTTCAACTTTTCACATTCTCCCTTAGCTTGAAGGCCCTGGAACATATGGGGAACTTAAATCAATATTTACTTAATTAAGATGAACCAAAATTGTGCACAATTTATTGAAAGCAGAAGCTATGCCTTTGTGACATAAAGGAAAGAAAAAATGTCACAAATGGCTTCCAGTTAGATGCAACAGCAGCACTGTGAAGGGTGGTAAATAATTCTATTTTGCCATATCGCCGCTGTTCATACATCTACACAGAGAAATGCCTGTCACATGACAGTGTGATTTGTACTTTGATAATCTTGAAAAAGTTTAGAGTTGAGCAACTTTTATCTAAAGATCTCGTAAGAGCCTTCCAAGAAGCTTCTTGTAATTTCTTCTTCTTTAATGGTTATCTGCCACTTGCCCCTGTTAATAGCCACCTCTGAATTTTATCTCTGTATTTCTATTTACAGAATTAGTAGAATTGGTCCTTCCAAAACTATATAATGTCATTTATATTTTTTACTAATATAGTATATTCTGTTCCCTCTGGAAAAAAATCCTTTATAGAAATCAATTTTTATGTAGATACTTCTGACTTAAATCAGGGCTCTTTCTTCAGAATGAAAGTACTACTGGTATTGAAATTATACATTGATGATTTAGTGAATAATGGCTGCCACCCAAAAACAAGGAAGCAGAAGAGGGAGGAGGAGAAAGGGGAGGATCAGCAGCAACAGAAGCAATGCCTGAGCCTTTGCATCAGGGTGTTGTTCCTACAGACCAACCCATGTGACGATCATGAGACCAGGATTGTTTTCTGCCTTGTTATCATGCAAAGACTTTTCTGCCCTGGTAGAGTCCCTCTAAAAATCCTCCTGATTAAAAACCAAGCAGAATAAAAATAAATCCAGCAAACCTTCATGCATTCTGTGGTAGAGCACTACCTTTCCTCATATGGGATCCATTAAGGCAAACATCTGATGTTTGTGGTTAGGCTGCAATTTCTCCACAGCCTGTAATGGTGACCAATGCTGAGGAAAAGCCAAACATCTCCCTGTGTAGCAATTTTAGGTTTTTGTCAACACCCTCAGAGCAAAAAGAAACCAACTCTGGGCCAAACCAACATCAATAACACCTTCCCTGAGGCTGTAAATAGAAGATAGCTCCTGCTGATACAACATTAAGCCAACACCTAGAACGGCATGTGTGCTCATCAGTGGCACTGGTGATGACTTCCCTGTTGTCAAAACATAAAAATAAAAATAAACATTCTCAGATGTTATTTGGTTTTTACCTGCTGAGAGCCATCTTTCAAGGCTAGTTTCTAGTAGTTAGAGACCAAAAACCCTACTGTTACGTATAAACACTTTTTAAATAGTAAGAAATTGATTAAATACCATGAGTAGGATATTCATAATTTACAAAGTGCTGGGTTGAGTAGTATTTCATAAACATTTATAGAAAACTTATCATGTGCCAAGCTCTGTGCTTTGCCTTGGGCAGTTTAGGAAGACTAAGGTACAGCACTTGCCTGAGGTAGCACACAGTTTAATGACTAGGATAGTTGTGAGTGTCATGGAATTAATACCACACTGGTGTTATGAACAAGGCATTCTGGGGAACACAGAAGAATGTGGTTATTTGGAGAATAGAAAAAGAATTGAAAAATGGGTAACATTTGAATTGGACATTACCAGATGAGTAGTAGGGAACATTTCCAAGAAGAGAAGTGGGGGAAAGGAGTATTCAAGACAGGAGAACAGCATGTCCAAAGGGTATAACAGCAACAATGCATCCAGGGATGGTGAGGTCTAGTTGAGCTCAAAGTTTTGGAAAGTAGAAGAAAAGTAGATTGAGATCAGATTGCAAATAATTTTGCACGTCATACTAATGACTTTTTCTTTTAAGGTTTGGGAAGCCACCTATGCTTTTTAAGTAGGGGGTAGTAAAATCAGGCCTATGTTTTAGAAAGAATATCCTGGTGACAGCATAGAGGATTATTTTAAAAGCGAATAATTTTGAAGATATTACAATAATACAAGCAAGCAGTGACAAGAAACTTAACTAAGGCAGGGTACTGGGAATTAGGAAAAAAGGACAAAAAGCTTTCATGATTAAAAAGGGGTTTATGAGGCCATTTTAATAAATATTATTCTGATGCCTCTGAGGAGAGACTTACAAACAGGGTGACAATAGAATATTCTAGAGATGTTAAGGCCTGAGACTGGAAGAGAAGGAGATGGATTAGAGAAATGTCTCAAACATCTCTGGGGAAAATAATGGATAGTATTTGAGGATCTATTAGTCTAGAGAAGTGGTCCCCAAACTGTGATTCCCTGACCAGTGGCATCAGCATCACCCACAAGCTTGTTAGAAATGCAAATTGGTGGGCCCCACCTCAGACCAGCTAAATAAGACTAGAGGCTGAGGCCCAGCAATCTGTATTGTAACAAGCCCTCCTGGTGACGCTGATGGGAGGTAAAGTTTGAGAACCATCAGCCAAGGGGCACAAAAGCTATGGAAAAAAGTGAGTGAGCTATAATAGGCCTTAAAAGACCAGATTTTGGAAAACCTGGGTTCACATATCTGATCTGCCTCTTACCCAACTGCGCCACAAGTTGTGTTACAGCTGTGTGACAATCTTTGGCAAGTTACTTAAAATCTTTGCATTTAGTCTCCTCTTGTCTTAAATGGGACATGCATGTTACATGCAGTTGCAACGATTCAATAAAAGAATTCATTATAAAGTTCATGGACAAGCATACAATGAGAGAGGTAACTGTGAATTTTAATACAGATTATAGAAAGAACTATAGTTGTGAGAAAGAAAGTTCCATATTTGACATAAAACTTTAGGTAACAATCCAGTGACAGGACATAACGGAAGCTGAAAATGTGTGTTTGGACTCTAGAAAGAGATCGAAGCTAAACAGCTGTATAAGAAGGTCACAGAATATAAGCAATAGCTACCACCATGTATGTGGTCAAGATCATCCAAGAAGAACACAGGAGCTAAAAAGAGAAAAGGACATCAATATTGAAGAATGGGATGAAGGAGAATAGTCAGCAAAGGAGCTTGAGAAAGAAAACAATGGGACAAGAAGAGAAACAGGAGCCAGAAAGTTTACAGAGACCAAAACAGGAGTGTCAAGAAAACAGGGCCAACAGTCTCAAATACTACTAAGTTTAAAAAAATAGATAGATGAACAGATTAATAAGGAAAAGCCATTGGACTGGGAAGTTACAAGGTTAATGGAAACCTCTGAGAAAGCATTTCTTCTTGAGTAGAGGAAGAAGAAACTTAACCCTAATGGGATGAAAAGAGTAAGAAAGGCAAGAAGCAAAAACTGACCTGAGAAACTAATCTGGGATGGAAAGCAGAAAAATATAGTGGCAAAGTCAGTGGACACCAGCATATGAAGAATATTTTTAAGGAAACAGGAGGATAATATAGTTGTGGGCTGAAGGAAGGAGCCAGTAATTGAGAAATTGAAGGCAAAAGCAAGAAGTGAGCAAGCAAGGAGGGATAAGGAATGGGACTGGAAAAACCTTCAGCTTTGAAAAGGAAAAAGAGCAATTGTTTTCTGATGCAGGAGAGTAAATTATTAAAGATACAGCTTAGGGATGAAGAGGGAGGATGGGGAAAAGACTTAATGGTGTGCATTCCTGAGGGCCTTTATTTTCTTAGAGAAATAGGAGATGAATTTAGCTTTCAAGAGTAAAGAAGATTGTAGCAGTGTTGAGAACTTGAGGAAACAGCCAAGGTTTAGAATATCTATTGTGAAAATGGAAAAAGGCACTAAATATGAATGAGAGTGACATTGACACAGCACTAAGAGTTAGCATTGAGTCAGGAAAGCACAGATTTGTTGTGGTGCTAAATATAATATTAGGTGGTCCTCTCCAGCAATGGAGGTGGACAGAGAAAATGAATGATAATGAGGAGGCTGAGGACGATGTTCACAACAACTGTCATGTGCCAAGCAATTTAGAAACTCATCCGGAGCCAGTACTGTATAGTGAACAAGTGAATGGGCTATGCAGTCACACTTCCTAGGTCTGAATCCCAGCTATTCTACTTCAAACTATGCGAACCTGGGCAAGTTACTCAACCTTTCTGTGTCTTAGTTTCATTATCTGTTAATGGGTATAAATATAATAGTTCCTACCTTATTAGGATTGTTGGGACAATTGAATAAATTAATTCATGGAGAGCATTTTTGTGGTTTATTTTTAAAATTTTTTTATATTTTTATTGATACATTGTACATACTCATATAAGGCATTTAGAACAGTGCTGGGCACATAATGAGCACTTGATAAATGTTAGTTATATATCACTGCAGTATTGAGGCTAGGTTGAGCAACACAAGAGTTTATACATAAAGTTTCAAAACTATCACAACCCTCAGCACATAGCCAAAAGTGAAATTAATCCTTGAAAAGCATAACCACAACAGTATGAAAAGATCAAAAATAGTCTTAGCTACCAACCATACCTATGACAGACATCCTTTTTCTGGTGTTGTTGAAATCCAAAAAGGCAAGTAATTGATAAGTAACTAGTGTTCCCAATTCTTCTATTGTTATGGTCTCTGGGGTCCGGGATTTAAAAATGAACCCAAAATTTCTAGCGGCAGTCACTAGAGCCCCTTCATCAGGTGACTGAACTTGGTAAATCAGCTCTCCTAAAAGGTAAAGAAACAAGTGTATCAATACTGACTAACAGCTAACATTCATAGAGTTCCAATGCCAACTCCAACTCAGTATTTAACACCCAACTCAAGCATCAGGTCTAAAAATCTTTCCTGTCCTCAGATCTTTTCTACTCACCAACAGCTCAATCTGGTATCTGTCCTCTGGGATACCATAGGACTCTATGCATATCACTGCTATAGCCCTTGTCATCTTATAGGAAAACATCCATTTCTGAGTCTGCCTCTTCACTGTGCTCAGTTTCTTAGGTTAGAGATCAAACCTTTGTATTTTCTGTGACTAGAGATGTGCCATGAATGTTTTGTAAACTAAAACATTTTAATATATATTAACCCAAATAATCCTCAGGGCAGCCTTTGAGGTAGAGATTATTAAAATTATTATTTCCATTTTATACTGGTGGAACCTATGACTGAAAGAGGTTACATGAGTTTGATGAGATCACACAGCTAAAGAGTGATGGAGAGATACTCCAAATTCTACTTCAGTCTGCCACTAATGACCATTTTATGAGAATGCATACAAGAAATCCCTTGAAATGTAAGAAATCAAACCAGGATATTAATACTTGTTACCTGATATTATGTGTAGTTGGAGTGGGGGTAAGAGGGGAGAGGAGACAAAAAGAATAAAATAAGTTATATGTATATATACATATAGAGAGAGAGAGTTTATAAAACAGCATATATAAAGTAAGCCCTTATATAAAATTATATTATATTTATATGTAAAAATTAATTTGAAAATTAATTAATGTTTAAAGACTATTAATTAGGCATAGCTAGACCCATATTTCCTGATTTATAGTCATGTCCAAGATAATTGTTAAGTAAACAAGTTGCATATTAATGGCTATACTATGAGTTCTTTTTGTTAAAAAGAAACAAATCACCTAAATATCTAGAAATATTCTTGAATATATGTATATATTTATGAGCCAGAGGAAAGGGTGAAATGATAAACACTAGATGTTACCAGTGGTTACCTCTGTAGGGGTGAGACTGGAGTTCAGGGAAGCTACCATTAGCTTCATCTTTATAAATTTTTGTATTGTATTGTTCCACTTAATACAATAGACATGAATGAATTTTTGAAATTCACAAAAGGAAAAAACTTAAAGCAATTACTTGATCTACCCACGAAATAACATAAGTTCTACTTCTGGTAACATGGTGGAATGGGTGTCAGGACCAATCTCAACTGCTACAAACAACTATAAAAGCATTTTAATATTCTTAAATACATTCATGAACTTGCAAGAAAGTAAGAACTGTTCAGGTCAGAGACTGAGAAAAAGAACACTTAAGGGATTAAAGAAGCACATTAGCCAGCATTTGCCTTGAGGGTGTTTTCTGAACCAGGAGAACTTGATCATTGGTTTTCAATGTCTCTGGGCTTTAATTTAAAAAGCCATAGCCCAGTACCTGTCTAAGGTGAGAGTCCAGTGAAAGATGGCCTCTCAAAACTGGGTCCCCCAAAGACTACTCTCAATATAAGGGTAAACTGGACACCCATGCCCCCTTGAAGAGGGCTTGGAATAAAACTTGCCTAAATAGAACCCTCCTTATAATTGGAAGGGAAAAAAATATCTGCCAAGAATTTATAACCAATCACTGACTCTCATGTAAACTTGCATTCTGAATTCACAATATCTAGGTGGCCTGAAAGAAATCAAGTTGAAACTTTAGTTTAAAATGTTTCTACATTAGAACATTGAAGCAAATGTAAATCCTTTCTGGAGGAACCAACTGGACCCAAAAAATTTATATAAATTAAGTTCAAAGTAAAATGGTCAGCTCACAGTGAAAAGTATACAACAACAACAAGTAAAACCTAAGAACCAACAGAAACAATGCAGAATAAGATCTGAAAAAAAAATTAGATATTGGAAGTATCAGAAACAGCACATGCAATATATTTAACAGATTTCAAGAAATAAAATTGAGATATAAAATTAAACAGATTTGAGAAAGAACCAAAGACCTTGTAGGAAGAATTAGTGGGCTGAGGAAAACATATAAATGGAATAGATTAGGTTCAACTAGGGCAAGAAGCCAGTTCACTATACCATTATCTACCTGTCTCACAGCTTCAAAATGTTAAGTGGCCCAAGCGGTTTTGTTCTATCCTATGAACCCTGAGTTCCAAACAACCATCTCACAAGTGTGAGGACCTTCTCATAATGGAGCCTAAATAAGACTATTCTAATATCAAGGTCAATTTATCTCTGTTACTGGGAAAATTCATTCTAAGCATATGTCTGAAGGTCATCTGCATCTATTAGATATGCATACTAATAATGAGAGATGTGTGACTCAACTGTATTTCAGTATTTGTCCTGGCTACCCAGAAGCTTACAGTCAAATGTGGTGCTCAATTGTAAGAACGATGTCATCCCTTGACTAGCATATTTGGGTCCTCACTTTTCCATTGTCCTTGTTTCTTTTCTTTTTCACTTAAATCTCTCCACATTTTTTCAAAACATATGGGATATAAACTATGTTCTATCTTTAACTTGAAAATCCTTCAAATTTAACATCAGTTTCTGTGTTAAAAAACAAAAACAAAAAACAAGGCTCACTGCTCAAATGCTTAATTTGTAAATCCTTCAAATTTAGTGTCAGTTTCAATTTTAAAAAACAAAAACAAGGTTCACCACTCAGACATAACTTTTCACTTACCTGCGCTATTCTCTTCTGACATTACAGTGTGGCAGAGAGCAAGTAACCTAAGGAATTCATGAACTTTGGGATCACCCATTTTAATGGATTCCATCAGATGGTGGTCAAAGAACTGAAATTCTCTATCCGCTTGAGATTTGACTGAGAAATCCACAGGCTCTTTTTCCTGTAGGAGAACAACAACAACAAAAATAACCAAAACCTCATTCCAATAATTATCTTTTAAAATTCAAAAATAGTTCCCCCAAGTATTTTTAGTGTATTATTTTGCAGCCTCAAATGTCTGGCACTAAAATGGCTGTTTCATCATTACTGTTAAATATAATCTTCTCATTTCAGAACCATGTACCAAAGAAGTGAACTTTCCAAAAGTATATGGGAAAGAAAAATCACAAAACTATATGGGATGGCTGTACAGATCCTCAAATGCTCAATACAACTTCAAAATACAAAAAACCACAGAAAATGCAAAGTTTTTTCAAAACCTACTTTACGGCAAAACCTGATCTGACTTGAACCCATTTGTGCAGCAATATCTGACCTGGAATGTTATGTATTTAATGATGGCTTCTTAAAGCCTACCTAATACTTGTGAATTAATATTTTCTAATATAAAAACATTAATGTGTTTGATTACAGGTACTTTCTCAGATGTCACTGGAGTTATTGCACAATAAAATGGCAGACAACACCATATTGTCTTTCTACAACCAGAAAATCCTAAATTTCTAAATATATCTGGCTCCAAAGTTTTCGATAAGGAACTGTGAGCCTGTATCTATTTCAGGAGCAAGCCTACAGAAGGTTCCACTCTGAACACTTACATATAAGAGCTTTATCAGCTGCAGAGTCCACATTTCCTCCCCCAGGATTATTGCTAAAGTTTTTATTCTTAAAGACTCCATTAACTTTTGCAATTGATTCTAAAGTTACAAGAGCAGATAGGATTGTAACTACTCTTTTAAAGAGAAACTGCATTAACTTTTGCAATTGATTCTAAAGTTACAAAAGCAGATAGGATTATAACTACTTTTTTAAAGAGAAACAATGCTGTGGGCAATTGCAATTATCTATTCTGTGTCACAAAGCTTGTTAATACCTACAGTAAAATTGGAGCCACATGTAGGTCCTTTGTTCCTTTAAATCAAATTTATTCTAAAATTAATAATACTGAATAAAATAAGAAATATTTATTATTATCTTTATAATAGGCCCGACTTTATGCTAACAGTTTTATATGGAATATTACGTATAATCTTCCGAACAATGATGTGTAGTGGATACTACTATTATCCCCGTTTTACAGATGAGAACCTGAGCATTGCCAAGGCCAACCATATACATCCATCAGCCAGGACTCAAACTTAGCCAAAAATCCATGCTTCAAATACTTTGCCATAACAACTCCTTAATATAATTCTGGATTATTTCCCTGCCCCCTTACTAATATAATAACGGCTGCCATATATCAAGTGTTTACAGTATACTAGTTTCTTTTTTAAGTACTTTTAATGTTTTCAATCAAAGCAATACATGCAAAGAGTTACAAAATCAAATACTACATTAAGGCATATCTAGTAAAGCAAGAGACTCTTCATGCCCCCACCTCCATCACCACAGCCCCAGTCCCACTCCCCAGAGAAAATTACTCTCAAACTTCAGAAGGTACATCAAACGGTTATCCCAAAAACTGTAAATTATGTACATATATTACCATTTCTGGATTTATAAATATTAGACCTTTTCCAAAATCAGACGAAGATTTAAGTCATTTACTTTACTTCTCCACTTTCTTTTTCCAAAAATATAGGCATATCCAGTTTAATTTCCTTAATGATTATTTCTGCAACTCTAAGTAACATACAGAAGGCTGTTTTGTTTTGTTTCAGTTCATCAATTATAAACACTCCCTAACTGGTAAGATGACGTTATTACCCACTCCTCATCTCCTCTTCACTTCTCCCTCCAACCTATTTATTTTTTTTTCTATTTCACTATAGAGGTTTAAAACATTTGTGTTCTTTCCTGTAGCCAAACTTAAATACTTTTTATTGGTCTAAAGATTGATTCTAAAAGTTGAAAATGAATAAAAGATATGTACATAAGTCTGTCTTTGAACTATGGTTCACAGCAGAGGAAAATGTGCACTTTGTTATATGGGCCTTCGTGGTGTCACCCACTCAAGGCTGATTGTTTGTCAGGTCTGCTGCTCAGCTGCATCCTGGGATTACTCTCTTGGGCTGGAGTCACTGTTTCCTCACCCCATGCCACCCCCTTTCTTAATTGATTCTCTTGCTTTGTTGTAGCATATCTTAAACATATTTCATAAGAAAAAGATCATGGGAGGCAAAAGTTATGAGGCTTTCTGCTTGAAAATGTCTTTATCCTGCCTCACACTTGTCTCATGGTTTGACACAATATCGAATTTTAGGTTGAGAGCCATTTGAAGGGATCACTCCACTGTCCTCTGGCATCTTGTGTTGCTGATGGTAAATCTGATGTTAGTCTGACTTTCATCTTTTGGTAAGTGCCCCACTTCTCTCCTTTAAAAGCTTTAAGTTCCTCTCTTTATCCTTTCTGGTTTGTAATTTTAGAGGTATTGATCTTATTTCATTCATTGTTTCTGAGTATTCAGGAGACTCTTTCAATTGGAAGATTTGGGGAAGTTCTCTTCTGATATTTCTTTATAATTTTCTCCTCTTCATTATTTTTTGGTTGTTTGTTTGTTTGTTTTTCCATTCTTTCATCTAGAAAACAGTCTTAGTTAAATTTTGGATCTGCCAGTTGACCCTTTATTTTGTCTTTATTCTCTGATGTTCTGAGTCTTTCTTTTCATTCTACTTTCTGGGAGAGTCTCTTGACTTAATCTTCCAGCCCTTCTATTGAATGTTTTGGTTTGTCAAGATTTTTTTTTTTAATTTCCAGGAACTCTTTTCTTTTTTTCCTGTGTTCTCTCCAGAGCATCTTGTTCTTGTTTCATGGATGTTATAACTTCCCAAATCTCTGTGCTGATGTTCGAGTTTTCCAATTTATAGTTTATAACTGTTGGTGGGTTCTGTTCTATTTTCTTAATTATCTTAGGTCATATTTTTTACTGCATTTTGGTTTTTATCTCTCACATTTATCACAGAAATGTTCCTAATGTACAGTGACTTGTTACTGCTCAGGCATCTTTAACACCAAGACTGAGCGAACTCTACAAAGGCAGGACTTATTGGCTATCACGTTTCACTTTAGGGTGAATGAGAGAGAAGGTGGTCCTTGTGATTTCAAGCCCCTAAGATCAAGGATGTAGCAGACTTTTCACTAGGGCACAAAAACCCTCATTAGCTGCCCCAATTCTACCCAGAAAATATGTGCTATGTTTATACTGAAGACCTCTTTTTGCAGGGAGGAATTCAATAGACCTTCACATATTCAATTAAGCCTCACAGGGCCAGGACTAGGTAAGACAAGAGACAGGTATAGTTCACAATATTTAAGGAGGCAAACTCCGTGTTTTCATTTGTGCATTCAGAAAACATGTATTGAGTGCCCAGTACGTACCAAGCACTTTTCTAGGTGATAGGGATTCAGAAATGAACAAAACAAAAATCTCTAGCCTCATGGATCTTAGACTATCTATGGTTTGACATTTTTCAGCCAACTATTAAGATATTTGAAACACAAAATATGAGTACTTTAACTCTTATGAAAAGACAAAAATATTAAAAAGAATATTTTAATAGTAATTCCAGTACTGAACACACATATTGTCCAGAATTTCAGGATATATCAGCCATTCATTGATTAATACACAATACAGTATGCTTTGAAATAGGCAGTGAACATTTATTCATCAAATATTTATCATGCACCTACTGTGGGCCAGGCAATGTTTTGAGTGCTGGGGATAGAATGGTAAACCAAATGCTATTCCTGCCCTCAATGAAATCCAGTCTATTTTGGGACACTGAAAAACAGGCCATATATGGTAAGTGCCATGATAAGGCAAGCACGTTGGACCCGGGGGAAGGAAGAGAGGTGTCAGGAAATATTCCCAAACAAGTAACATCTAAGCCAAAGCTGAAGAGATGAGCAGGAGTTACCCAGATAGAAAGGTAGGCAAATATTGTTTCAAGCCAAGGGTATAATTTGCAAAGGCCTATGTGAGAAAGTGAGTGTGGCAATTAAGTACATAGTTTACAGGCCGTGTAGAACTACCACACAATAGAAACTATAAAGCAACCAGCTGACAGTTTCATGGTAGGGTCAAAACTGCCCATATCAATATTAACTTTGAATGCAAATGGTCTACATGCCCCACTTAAAAGGCACACAGAGGCAAACTGGATAAAACAAGAGACCCATCTCACATGTAGCAACACCCACAGGCTCAAAGCAAAAAGTTGGAGAAAGTTCTGTCACACAAATGGAAAACAGAAAAGACCAAGGATCACTATTCTTCTAACAGATGAAACACACTGTAAACCAATAACAGTAAAAAAACAAAGAAGGGCATTACCTAATGATAAGGGATATAACTCAACCAGAAGACTTACCTATCCAAATTATATATGCAGTCAATATTGGAACACCCATATTCATAAAACAAGTACTTCTAGACCTACAAAAAGACTTAGAGAGCCACACAATAATAGAGGGAGACTCCAACACCCCACTGACAGCTTTAGACAGATCATCAAGGCAGAAAACTAGCAAAGAAATTCTGGACTTGAATTCAATACTTGACCAATTGGACCTAATAGACATCTACATAATACTCTACCCATCAACCACAGAATATACATACTTCTCTTCTGCACGTGACACATACTCCAAGATCAACCACATACTCAGCCATAAAGCAAATCTCAACAAAGTCAAAAAAATCAAAATTATATGAATCATATTCTCAGACCAAAGTAGGACAAAAATAGAAATCAATACCAAGAAGATCTCAGAAAACCACACAATTACATGTAAATTAAACACTCCTGAATGACTTTTGGGTAAAGTATGAAATTAAGGCAGAAGTCAAAAATTATTTGAAATAAATGAAAACAGAGACACAACATATCAAAATCTCTGGGATGAGGCAAAAGCAGTAATAAGGGGAAAGTTTATAATGCTAAACAATTTCCTTAAAAAGTTAGAAAGATCTCAATTAATGACTTAACGCATACCTACAAAAAAAAGAACAAGAAAAAATTAACCCCAAAGCTAGCAGAACAAACTAACACCAAAGCTAACAAATGTCACAGCAGAACTGAATGCAATTGAGACCCAAAAGTCTATACAATCAATAAAACCAAAAGTTGGTTTTTTTGAAAGAATAAACAAGATTGATAGACCACTAGCAAGATTAACAAAGAAAAAAAAGAGAAAAGATCCAAAAAACATAATAAAAAACACAAATGTGACATTATAATCAATCTCACAGAAACACAAAAGATCCTCAGAGGCTATTATGAATACCTCTATGCACACAAACTGGAAAACCTAGAGGAAGTGGATAAATTCCTGGAAACACACAATATCCCAAGATTGAAACAAGAAGAAATTGAAACCTTGAACAGACCAATATTGAGTTCTGAAATTGAATTAGTAATTTAAAAACCCACAAACCAAAAATACGTTCAGACCAGATGGATTCACAGCCAAATTCTACCAGATGTATACAGAAAAGCTGGTACCAATTCTATTGAAACTACTACAAAAAATTGAGCAGGATGGACTCTTCTCTAACTCATTCTACAAAGCCAGCATTCCCTGATAGAAAATATGCCAAAGACACAATGATAAAAGAAAACTACAGGCCAATATCAGAGAAATTCAAATCAAAACCACAATGAGATACCATCTCACACCAGTCAGAATGGCATTAGAAAGCCAAAAACAACAGATGCTGGTGAGGATGTGGAGTAAAGGGAATGCTTATACACTGTTGGTGGGAGTGTAAATTAGTTCAGCCACTGTGGAAAGCAGTCTGGAGATTTCTCAAATAATCTAAAACAGAACTACCATTTAAGCCAACAGCCCATTACTGGGTATCTACCCAAAAGAAAATAAATTGTTCTGCCGAAAATACACATGCACTTGTATGTTCATCATGGTATTATTCACAATAGCAAAGACATGGAATCAACCCAGGTGCCATCAACAATGGACTGGATAAAGAAAATGTGGTACATACACACCATGGAATACTATACAGCCATAAAAAAGAATGAAATCATGCCCTTTGTAGCCACATGGATGCAGCTGGAGGCCATTACCTTAAGCAAACTAATGTAAGAGCACAAAATCAAACACTATATGTTCTCATTTATAAGTGGGAGCTAAACATTGGGTACACATAGTCATAAAGGTGCAACAATAGACACCAGGGACTGCTACAGCAGGGAGGTAGGGAGTGGGGTAAGGGTTGAAGAACTACCTATTCAGTACTATGTTCACTCCCTGGGTGATGGAATCAATCATACCTCAAATCTCCGCATCATGCAATATACCCATGTAACAAACCTGCACAAGTATCCCTTGAATCTAAATTGAAGTTGAAATTATAAAAAAAATTTTAATCAACAAACAAAATAGACAAAGAAAAATGAGGGTGGTTTATTTGGAAAGACTCTAAGGAGTACCATATGGCTGAAGTATCTGGTTCATGTGGCCGAAAATGAATCTGGAAAGAGAATAAGGGGCTAGGTCCTCAATGACTTAGTCTACAAAAGGCCAAACTCTTCTAGACAATTACTAAGGCTTCTTTCCTCACTTCTGGATGATTTGCCTATTGCACTCTAAAAGTATCTGAAATCAAAAAAGGAGGAATTTTCAGGCAGAGCACCAATTGGTCAATAACATTTAGATTTTTGACTTGTTCATCACAGCATAAAAACAGAGTCCCTCCTTGTCTTGCTAGAATTCACCCTCGAGAGACATAGAGAGAAAGACAGAGAGAGCAAGACAGAGAATGAGAAAGAGAAAGCAAACTATATTTTTAGGGAAATTAATAGAACCCAAGCCACACCTTTTTGAATTAGGTGTGATTGCAACCAAACTGGGAAAAGAAAGAATTATGGTGGGGGATAGGGAGTAGACATTTATAGGGGAGGGGTAATAAAGGGAGAAGAGTCAAGATAATACAAAGAGAGCACTCACAGTGGTTAAAATCTCACAGGAAAAAAAGCCCACTAACACACAATGCTTAGAGGGAAGGAACATAACCTTTATTTACTATAATAGTAAAGGGTGTGAATCAACTGTCAAGAGGAGGTTCCTGGACTTGGTTTGATCCCAGAGACAAAGAAGGCAAAACTAAACAAGGAATTCCAGAGACAATAAAAATTTCCAGGAAACATGCTGACTCTGGGTTAGCAGAGAGAAAAAGTTTGACCTATTGCCATAGGCTGGTGCAAGGTAACACCTAATCACATTTAATACAAAATCCTGAACCAGAACAAAGAAATCACCCTTACCCTTATTCCAAAATGAACCTTCTGCAATTAACTGATCAAAGAAAAATTCAGTTCCTACAATAATGAATAATTTAAAAAAAACCTTTATTGAAAAGGGAAGGCTTGTACACTGCTGGTAGGAATATAAATTAGTACACCCTCTATGGAAAACAATATGGATATTTCTCCAAGAAATGAAAGTAGATCTACCATTGAATCCAGCAAACCCACTACTAGGTATCTACCCAAAGGAAAATAAGTCATCATATAAAAAGACACCTGCACACATATTTTTATCAAAGCACAATGCACAATTGCAAAGATACAAAACCAATTTAAAACGGGCATCAACTGATGAGTAAATAAAGAAAATGTGGTATATATACACCGTGGAATACTACTCAGCCATAAAAAAAGAATAAAATGTTTTTTTGCAGCAACTTGGATGAGGTTGGAGCCCACTCTTCCAAGTGAAATAACTAAGAAATGGAAAACCAAATACCATATGTCCTCACTTATAAGTGGAAGCTAAGCTATGGGTATGCAAAGGTATATAGAGTGGTGTAACAGACATTGCAGATTCAGAAGTGAGGAGGGTGGGAAGAGGGTAAGCGATAAAAATCTACATATGAGATACAATGCACACTACTCAGGTGATGAGTGCACTGTAATCTCAGACTTCACGACTGCAATTCATCCATGTAACCAAAAACCACTTGTACCCCAAATGCTATTGAAATAAAACTATATTAAAAATAAAATAAAAAGAAACCTCTATAGGAATCATACAATGATACTACAAAAAAAAGTAATGTACAGAAAAAAATAATAAAAGATGAAGTACATTCACTAGTAATAAAGCAGAAGAAAACTGTGACCAAACATTTCCTCCTTAATTTAAAAAAGGAAAATTGGATGAAGCCAACAATCTATAAAGCAATAACACAAGACAGAAACTTGGGGAGGAGGTATTTAGAAAATCAGCAGAAAATAAAATAACATGGCAGTCTTCAAAAAAGAAGAAAAAAATAGGGCTACTGCAGAAACTAAAGTGAAATTGGAGAGAGCACTGGGGTAAAAAAGAAACTACAGAAAACACAGTAGTCCCATATCTCCCCACATCCTAGTGATTTAAAGAGGAATAGAAGTAAGAAAAGTCATTTAAAAAAAAAGTCATTAAAAAAACATGGTGAAACCCGGTCTCTACTAAAAAATACAAAAAATTAGCTGGACGAGGTGGCAGGTGCCTGTAGTCCCAGCTACTCGGGAGGCTGAGGCAGGAGAATGGCATGAACCTGGGAGGCAGAGCTTGCAGTGAGCCGAGATCGCGCCACTGCACTCCAGCCTGGGTGACAGAGCAAGACTCCATCTCAAAAAAATAAAAAATAAAATAAAAAGAAATGAACAAAATAAAATTCCAGAAATTAGTCTAAAGAAACAGAGGTATATGAATTACCTGGCAAATAATTCAAAATAGCTGTTGTAAAGATGCTCTACAAGCTCAAGAAAATGACGCATAAGCAAAATTAACAAAATTTTTTTTTTATCTTTACAAATATCAACAAAAAGACTTTAAAAAAATTTTTAAAAACAAATTTTGGAGCTGAAGAATACAATAAATGAATTGAAAAATTCACTACAAGGGTTCAACAGCAGACTTGATCAAACAGGAAAAAAAATTCACCAAACAAAGACAAGTCATTTGTAATTATCCAGTTAAGGGGAAAAAAGAGAAAAAGAATGAAAAAGGTGAAAAAATCTTTATGGACTCATAGGCCACCATTAAACAGAACAGCTTATGCATTATGAGAGTTTGAGGACAAGAGAGATGGAAAGGACCAGAAAGCTTATTTAAATAAATAATGCCTGATAACTTCCCAACTCTAGAGAAGGAAATGGAGATCCATTTTCAAGAAGCCCAAAGATCACCAAATTAAATGAAACAAACAAACAAAAAAAAAACCACACTAAAATATAATCAAATTGTCAAAAGTCAAAGAGAATTTTAAAAACAGGAAGAGAAAAGCAACTCATCATGTACAAGGGAACCTCCACAAGATCATCAGTAGATTTTCCAGCAGAAACCTTGCAGTCCAGGAGGGAGTGGGACAATATTTTCAAAGGACTGAAAAAAACATCTGCCAACAAAGAATAACAGACCCAGCTAAACTCTCCTTCAAAAACGAAAGAGAGATAAAGACTTTCTCAGAGAGAAACTCTTAGGGAGTGAATCACCACTAGACCTGCCTTACAAGAAATGCCAAAGGGAGTCTTTCAGATTGAAATGAAAGGATGCAAAACAGCAACATGATAGCGTGAAAAAATATGAAAGTCATTGGTAAAGGTAAATATATGGATGAATACAGAATACTGTATTACTGTAATGGTGGTAGTTAAATCACTTTTCATTCAAATATAAAAGCTGACAGACCAAACTATTTAAAATAACTGTAACCACAATAGCTTAAAGGTACATAAAATGAACAGATGCAAATTGTGACATTTAAAAGTATAGCATTTTTGTATGTGATTTAACTTGTTATCAACTTAAACTATCATAACTATAAGACATCTTATGTAATCTCCAAGGCAAACAGAAAAAGTACCTATAGAACTTACATAAAAGAAAAACAGAAAGGAATCAAAGCATCTTAATACGAAAGACTGACAAAACACAAAGGAAGACAGCAAGAGACAAAAAGACAAAAGAACTACTATATAACAGAAAATGAGTAACAAAATGGTAATAGTAAATCCTTTCCTGTAACAATTACTTTAAATGTGAATGGATTAAGTTCACCAATTAAAAGATATAAAGTGATTAAATGGATTTTTAAAAAATCATCACCCAACTATATGCTGCCTGCAAGAAACTCACTTGAGATTTAAGGACACACATAGTCTAAAAGTGAAGGGATGGAAAAAAATATTCCATGAAAATGGCAAACAAAAGAGAGAAGAGGTGGTCATATTTAAAAGAGACACAGCAGACTTTAAGTCAAAAACCATTACAAGAGACAAATATGGACATTTCATAAAAGGGTCAATCCACCAGGATGATGTAGCAATTATAAGTCTACATGCCCCCAACATCAGATCATCGAAATATATGAAGCAACCATTGACAGAACTGAAGGGAGACTTAGACAGCATTACAATAATAGTAAGAGGTGTCAATATTTCACTTTCAACACTAGATAGGAAATCCAGACAGATCAATAAGGAAACAGAGGACTTGAACAACCCTATAGACCAAATGGACCCAACATATATACAACAAAACATTCTGCCCAACAACAGCAGAATGCACATTCTGTGTCAAGGTAGCACAGACTATTGCCAAGAATAGATCACATGTTAGAGCACAAAAGAAATCTCAACAAATTTAAGATTAAGATTATGTCAAATATATTTTCTGACCACAATGTGATGAAACTAGAAATCAATAGCAAAAGGAAAAGTGGAATCCTCACCAAAATGTGGAAATTAAATAGTATTCTTGAATAGCCACTGGCTCAAAAAAGAAATTTGAAAATATTTCAAGACAAATGAAAGTGAAATACAACATGCCAAACCTCATGGCATATAGCAAAAGCAGTACTAAGGAGGAAGTTCATAGCAATAAATGCATATAATTAAAAGAAGAACGATCTCAGACAATTTAATTTTATACCTCAAAGAGCTAGAGTCATGTAACAAAAAGCTAAAATAAATAAAACCATGAGGGAAAGAAAAAACATGATGACAGAAATTAAGAGAATCTTAAGAGACTTACGAAAAGTTATAGACCAACAAAGTGGAAACACTAGAAAAACAGACAAACTCCTAGAAACATAAAACCTACCAAAACTAAATCATGAAAAATAGAAAGTCTAAGCATACCCATAGCTAGTATAGAGAGTGAATCAGTAATCTGAAACCTCCTGACAAAGAAAAGCCCAAGACCAGATGGTTTCACTGGTGAATTCTACCAAACATGTAGAGTATAATTAATGCCAATCCTACTCAAACTCTTCCAAAAAAATTGATCAAGAGGGAACACTTCCAAACTCATTTTGAAGGCCAGTATTATTCTGACAACAAAACCAGACAAAGACAACACAAGAAAAGTATATATAAGCTGATTACCCCAATTAACATGCAAAAATCCCCAACAAAAGACTAGTAAATTGAATCACATTAAAAGGATCATATGCTACAACAAAGTGGGATTTATTCCTGGGATTGAAGGATGATTCAACATACAAAAATCAATATGAAACACCACATTAACAGAACAAAGAATAAAATCACATGATCATCTCAAAATATGCAGAAAAAGCATTTGACAAAATTAAACATCCATTCATGATTTAAAAAGAAACTCTCAACAAAAAAGAAACAGCAGAAAAATACCTTATCATAATAAAGTCCATATATGAAAAACCCACAGATAACATCATACTCAATGTCAAAAAACTGAAAGCTTTTTCTGTAAAATCAAGAACATGGCAGGGATGCCCATTCTCATCACTTCTACTAGATGTAATACTAGTAGTCCTAGCCAGTGCAGTTAGACAAGAAAAAGAAAGAAAAGGCACATCAATTGGAAAGGAAGAAATAAAAATGTCCCTATGTGAAGATGATGCTATCTTACATATCCTAGGTGCACCATTTTTTAAAAATATTAAAATAAATGAATTCTGTAAAGTTACAAGACAAAAAATTTTAAAAAGTAAAGTTGCAGTACAAAAATCAGTTACATTTCTATATAGTAACAACAAGCAACCCCCAAAAATGAAGAAAACGATCTCATCTAAAGTAACATCAAAAAGAATACAACACTAAGGAATAACATTAACGAAGGAGATGAAAGACTTGTAGTAAATTCTTATGATTATATGTTGCCTTTGCATTCATTTTGAATATAATTCAACTTTCTCAGTCCAGAAGCAGGGCTCAGTCATCCTTAACACACTTCCCAGTTCTATACCACACACAAACGGACTAAGCCAGTAGCCACAGATTAGAACTTAGAAGCATCTTCTCTTGCCTAGCAGACTGGGTTCCCCAATTTCCTGTTGCTTCCTTTAAACAGATCATTCAAGCATTTTCCTGTGAGCTTAAAGTGACCCAAACTCTATTTCCTTACATATCCTGCTAATTAATCCTTTTTTTTTTTTTAAATCTCTCTGCCTGACTCTTCCTTCCTGTTTCTTGCAACCCAGGGATGAAGGACTGCCCTCCTAACTTATTATACCCTCCTTGCCCAGGATCTCTAAGTAAAAATATTTGAACTTATTTCTTATCATGGTGGTGTATTGAATTTACATCTTCCATCTGAAGAAGCAGGGGCTGCCCCAGACTGGGTTGTTCCTGGAACACTGGGAAGAACACAAGGCCTAGCTCCCAGCACCGGGACAATGGTCAGCCAGGCATAAACTGAACACTGGTCAGACAAGAGCCACAGGAGTGTCTGCCAATATAAACAAGTTTCCCATGTGAAGGACTCCTTGGCAAATGATCAGACAACTAAGCATTAGGTCACCTGCCAGGTAAAAGAAATATCCCCTGAAAGGCACACTGTAAACATCTATGTCCAGCTCTCCTTCATTTCTATCACGGTAGGGTTGTTGCTAGCTGCTCTGGCGCTGGAGCCCCAGTTTGAGCTGGGGGCTCTCAAAACCCTTGCACACTGAAAATTAGAAAACATTGATGAGGCCGGGTGCGGTGGCTCATGCTTGTAATCCCAGCATTTTGAGAAGCCAAGGTAGGCGGATCACGAAGTCAGGAGATTGAGACCATCCTGGCCAACATGGTGAAACCCTGTCTCTACTAAAATACAAAACATTAGCCGGGCGTGGTGACACGTGCCTGTAGTCCCAGCTACTTGGGAGGCTGAGGCAGAGCAATCACTTGAACCTGGGAGGCAGAGGTTGCAAGTGAGCTGAGATCTCACCACTGCACTCCAGCCTGGCGACTGGCGACAGAGTGAGACTCTGTCTCAAAAAAAAAAAAAAAAAAGAAAACATTGATGAAAGCAATTAAAGACACAAATAAATGAATATGTATCCAATGGTCATGGAGTAGAAGACTTAATATTGTTAAAATCTCCATATTGCCCAAAGTGAACCATAGAAATCCCCATCAAAATTTCAATGGTATTTTTTTACAGAAGTATAAAAAAAATTCTAAAATTGATATGGAACCACAAATGACCCCAGATAGCCAAAACTATCTTGAGGAAGAAGGACCAAGCTGGGGTCCTCACAATTCCTGATTTCAAACATGTTACAAGCTACAGTCATCAAAGCAGTGGGGTACTGGTATCCCCAGTAAAGACAGACACAGACCAGTGGAATAGAATAGAGAACACAGAAATAAACCCACACATAAACAGATGAATGAATTTCAACAAGGGTTCCAAGACTATACAGCAGGGAAAGGATAGTCTTTTCAACAGAGTGAGGAAAACTAGATATGCACAGGCAAAAGAAAAAAATGGACCATTATCTTACATCTAACACAAAAATCAAATTAAAATACATTGAAAATTGAAACATAATCCCTGCAACTATAAAACTCCTAGAAGAAAATATGGAAGAAAAGCTTCATAACAATGGTCTCGACAATGACTTCTTGCATAGACATGACAACAAAAGCACAGACAATGAAAGCAAAAACAAATAAGTGGAACTATATCAAATGTAAAAGTCTCTGCTCAGGACTGGGCGCAATGGCTTATGCCTGTAATCCCAGCACTTTGGGAGGTCGAGGCGGCAGATCAGGAGGTCAGGAGTTCGAGACCAGCCTGGCCAGCATGGTGAAACCCTGTCTCTACTAAAAATACAAAAAAAAAAAAAAAAAATCAGCCAGGCATGGTGGCACTCGCCTGTAGTCCCAGCTACTTGGGAGGCTGAGGCAGGAGAATTGTTTGAACCTGGCAGATGGAGGTTGCAGTGAGCCAAGATTGTGCCACTGCACTCCAGCCTGGGTGACAGAGTGAGACTCTGTCTCAAAAAAAAGACTGCTCAGCAAAGGAAATAATCAACAGAGTGAAAAGGCAACTTATGGAATAGGAGGAAATATGTGCAGATCATATATCTGATAAGGGGTTACTAGCCTGTTGAGCTTTTTTTCATATGTTTGTTAGCCATGTAAATGTCTTCTTTTGAGAAGTGTCTGTTCATATACTTTGCCGACTTTTTGATGGAGTTGTCTTTTTCTTGCAAATATGTTTACGTTCCTTGTAAATTATGGATATTAGACCTTTGTCAGATGGGTAGATTGCAAAATTTTTCTCCCATTCTGTAGGTAGCCTGTTCACTCTGATGATAGTTTCTTTTGCTGTGCAGAAGCTCTTTAGTTTAATTACATCCCATCAGTCAATTTTGGATTTTGTTGCAATTCCTTTTGGCATTTTTGTAATGAAGTCTTTGCCCATGTCTATGTCTTGAATGGTATTGCCTAGGTTTTCTTCTGCTGAATAGAAGATCCTTTCCCTATTGCTTGTTTTTGTCAGGTTCGTCGAAGATCAGATGGTTGTAAATGTGTGGTCTTATTTGTGAGGTGTCTGTTCTGCCCCATTAGTCTATATGTTTGTTTTGGTACTGGTATTGTGCTGTTTTGGTTATGGTAGCCTGGTAGTATAGTTTGAAGTCAGGTAGCATGATGCCTCCAGCCTTGTTATTTTTGCTTAGGATTGTCTTGGCTATACAGGGTCTTCTTCGATTCCATATGAAATTTAACATAGCTTTTTCTAATTCTGTGAAGAATGACAATGGTAGTTTGATGGGAATAGCATTGAATCTATAAATTACTTTGGGCAGTATGGCCATTTTCATGATATTGATTCTTCCTATCCATGAGCATGGAATGTTTTCCCATTTGTTTGTGTTCTCTCTTATGTCCTTGAGCAGTGGTTTGTAGTTCTCCTTGAAGAAGTCCTTCACATCCTTTGTTTGCTGTATTCCTTGGTATTTTATTCTCTTCGTAGTGATTGTGAATGCGAGTTCATTCATGATTTGGCTCTCTGCTTGCCTATTGTTGGTGTAAAGGAATGTTTGTGATTTCTGCACATTGATTTTGTATCCTGAGACTTTGCTGAAGTTGCTTATCAGTTCAAGAAGTTTTTGTGCTGAGACGATGGGGTTTTCTAAATATAAAATCATATCGTATGCCAACAAAGACAATTTGACTTCCTCTCTTCCTATTTGAATACCCTTTATTTCTTTCTCTTGCCTGACTACCCTGGCCAGAACTTTCAATATTATGTTGAATGGGAATGGTGAGAGAGGGCATCTTGCACTGGTTTTCAAAGGGAATGCTTCCAGCTTTTGCCCATTCAATATGATATTGGTTGTGGGTTTGTCATAAATAGCTATTATTTTGAGATATGTCCCATCAATACCTAGCTTATCGAGAGTTTTTAACATTAAGGGATGTTAAAGTTTATCAAAGGCCTTTTCTGCATCTATTGAGAAAATCATGTGATTTTTGTCTTTGGTTCTGTTTATGTGATGGATTATGTTTATTGATTTGCATATGTTGAACCAGCCTTGCATCCCAGGGATGAAGCTGACTTGATCATGGTGGATAAGTTTTTTGATGTGCTGGTGGATTCAGTTTGCCAGTATTTTATTGAAGATTTTTGCATCGATATTCATCAGGGATATTGGCCTGAAGTTTTCTTTTTTTGTTGTGTCTCTTCCTGGTTTTGGTATCAGGATGATGCTGGCTTCATAAAATGAGTATGGAGGAGTCCCTCCTTTTCAATTGTTTGAAATAGTTTCAGAAGGAATGGTACCAGCTCCTCCTTGTATTTCTGGTACAATTCAGCTGTGAATCTGTCTGGTCCTGGGCTTTTTTTGGTTGGTAGGCTATTAATTACTGCCTCAATTTCAGAGCTTGTTATTGGTCTACTCAAGGATTCAACTTCTTCCTGGTTTAGTCTTGATAAGGTGTATGCATCCAGGAATTTATCCATTTCTTCTAGGTTTTCTAGTTTATTAGTGTAGAGGTGTTTATAGTATTCTCTGATGGTAGTTTGTGTTTCTGCGAGGTCAGTGGTGATATTCCCTTTATCATTTTTTATTGTGTCTGTTTGATTCTTCTCTCTCTTCTTCTTTTTTAGTCTAGCTAGCCATCTATGTATTAACTAAAAAAAAAAAACAAACAAACAAACAAACAAAAAAAACAACAACAACAACAAAAAACCAGCTCCTGGATTCGTTGATTTTTTGGAGGGTTTTTTGTGTCTCTAGCTCCTTCAATTCTTCCATGCTGTTAGTTATTTCTTGTCTTCTGCTAGCTTTTGGATTAGTTTGCTCTTGCCTCTCTAGCTCTTTTAATTGTAATGTTAGGGTGTTGATTTGAGAACTTTCTAGCTTTCTGATGTGGGCATTTAGTGCTATAAATTTCCCTCTTAATGCTGCTTTAGCTGTGTCTCAGAGATTCTGGTACACTGTCTCTTTGTTCTCATTGGTTTCAAAGAACTTCTTGATTTCTGCCTTAATTTCATTACCCAGGAGTCATTCAGAAGCAGGTTGTTTAATTTCCATGAAATTGTGTCATTTTGAGTGAGTTTCTTAATCCTGAGTTCTAATTTAATTGCACTGTGGTCTGAGAGACTGTTTTTTTGTGATTTCAGTTCTTTTGCATTTGCTGAGGAGTGTTTTACATCCAATTATGTGTTCAATTTTAGAATAAGTGCCATGTGGCACTAAGAAGAATGTATATTCTGTTGATCTGGGGTAGACAGTACTGTAGACATCTACTAGTTCCACTTGATCCAGAGCTGAGTTCAAGTGCTGAATATCCTTGGTAATTTGCAGTCTCATTGATGTGTCTAATACTGACAGTGGGATGTTAAAGTCTCCCACTATTATTGTGTGGGAGTCTAAGTCTCTGTAGATCTCTAAGAACTTGTTTTATGAATCTGGTTGCTCCTGTACTGGGTGCATATATATTCAGAATAGTTAACTCTTCTTGTTGAATTGTTCCCTTTACCATTATGTAATGCCCTTCTTAGTCTTTTTTTTATCTTTCTTGGTTTAAAGTCCGATTTGTCAGAGACTAGGATTGCAAACCCTGCTTTTTTTTGCTTTCCATTTTCTTGATAAATTTTCCTCCATCCCTGTATTTGGAGCCTGTTTCTTTGCACATAAGATGAGTCTCCTGAATACAGCACACTAATGGGTCTTGATTCCCTATCCAATTTCCCAGTCTGTGCCTTTTCATTGGGGCATTTAGCTCATTTATATTTAAGGTTAGTATTGTTATATGTGAATTTGATCCTGTCATCATGATGCTATTTGGTTATTTTGCACACTAGTTGATGCGGTTTCTTCATAGTGTCATTGGTCTTTATAATTTAATGTATTTTTTCAGTGGCTGGTACGGGTTTTTCCTTTCCATATTCAGTGTTTCTTTCAGGAGCTCTTGCACAGCAGGCTTGGTGGTAACAAAATCCCTCAGCATTTGCTTATCTGGAAAGGATTTTATTTCTCCTTCACTTATGAATCTTAGTTTGGCTGGATACGAAATCCTGGGTTGAAAATTCTTTTCTTTAAGAATGTTGAATATTGACCCCCAATCTCTTCTGGCTTGTAGAGTTTCTGCTGAGAGATCTGCTGATAGTCTGATGGGCTTCCCTCTGTGGGCAACATGGCCTTACTCTCTGGCTGCCCTTAGCAGTTTTTCCTTCATTTGGACCTTGGAGAATCTGAAGATTATATGCCTTGGGGTTGATCTTCTCGTGGAGTATCTTAATGACGTTCTCTGTATTTCTTGAATTTTCATGTTGGACTGTCTTGCTAGGTTAGGGAAGTTCTCCTGGATAATATCCTAAAGTGTTTCTTTTCAGATTGTTTCCATTTTCCCCTTCTCCTTCTGGTCCTCCAATCAATCATAGGTTTGGTGTTTTTATGAAGTCCCATATTTCTTGGAGCTTTGTTCCTTACTTTTCGTTCTTTTTTTCTCTATTCTTGTCTGCTTGTCTTATTTCAGTAAGGTAGTCTTTGAACTCTGATATCCTTTCTTCTGTTTAGTCAATTCGGCTGTTGATACTTGTGTATATTTCACGAACTTCTCATACTGTGTTTTTCAGCTCCATCAGGTCATTTATGTTCCTCTCTAAACTGATTATTCCAGTTAGCAATTCCTCTAACCTTTTATCAAGATTCTTAGGTTCTTTGCATTGGGTTAGAACACACTCCTTTAGCTCATCATAGTTTTTTATTACCCATTTTCTGAAGCCTACATCTACCAATTCACCCATCTGATCCTCTGTCCAGTTCTGCACCCTTGATGGAGAGATGTTGCAATCATTTGGAGGTGAAGAGGTGCTCTAGCCTTTTGGGTTTTCAGCACTTTTTTTTGTTAATTCTTTCTCATCTTCATGAGTTTGTCTCATTTTGGTCTTTGAGGCTGCTGACCCTTGGATGGGGTTTTTGTGGGGGCCTTTTGTTGTTGTTGTTGTTGTCAATACTGTTGTTGCTTTCTGCTTGTTTTTCTTTCAATAGTCAGGTTCCTCTTCTGCAGGGCTGCTGCAGTTTGCTGGGGGTTCACTTCAGGCCTTATTCATCTGATTCACTCCCATGCCTGGAGATGTCACTCAAGGAGGCTGGAGAGCAGCAAAAATGGGTGCCTTCTCCTTCTTCTGGGACCTCTGACCTCGAGGGGCACCAACCTGATGCCAGTAGGATCACTCTTGTATAGGGTGTCTGACAACCCCTGTTGAAGGGTCTCGCCCAGCTGGGTGGCATGGGGAGCAGGACCCATTTAACGAAGCACTTTGTCTCTTGGTGGAAGGGCTGTGTTTCACTGGGTGGAAACCCATTTAATCTGGGCTGCCTAGATTCCTCAGAACAACCAGGAGGAGAGGCTAAGTCTGCTGGTGCGCAGAGACTGCGGCCACCCCTCCCCCTAGGGGCTCAGGTCCAGGGAAAGCCAAATTCTATCCCTAAGTCTCTGGCTGGAGTTACTGGAGATCCTACAGGGAAGCCCAGCTCACTGAGAAGGATGGGTCAGGGTTAGACCTGAAGAGGCCCTCTGGCCGCAGACTACCACAGCCAGTGTGTTGAGCTGTGGGGACAAGTCTTGGGACCAAGCTGTTCAGCCTCCCTGGCTCCAGCAGGGGAAAAGTGCATCCTGGAGCTACAGAAATTGGTGCTGCCCTTCCCCCACCCAAGGAGCTTAGCATGTTAGGCAGTTGTGAGTCCCATTGCTGATTGCTGCTCCTTCCTCAAGGAGCTCAAAAGGCTTAGACAGCAGGCAGCAGCAGCCAGTGGTGGTCACCCCTCCCTCGGGGAGTTCAGCAGGGCTTAAGCAGATTCCAGCTGAGAATGTGCACATTCCGGAGTTGGGATGCTAGACTTTGGTGGGTTTGCAAGTGGGATCTTCTGATCAGTGGGTTGCACAGTTCTGTGGAAAAAGCACAGTTTCCCCGGCTGGGTAGCGTGCTCACTCACTGCCTCCCTTGGCTGGAGGCAGGGGGTTCCCCTTCTCTGTATGTCTCTCAGGTAGGCCGCCCACCACACTGCTCTTCCTTCTCTCCGTGGGTCATGCCAGCCTTCTAGTCAATTTTGAAGAGAGAACCTGGATACCTTGGTTGCCGGTGAAGGATTCACATGCTTATTATGGCTTTTTTTATGGGAGCCTCTGAATGTCACTGCTACTAGTCAGCCATTTTGGCCCTGCCCTGGCTTCCCTACTTTTGAGGGTTTGGGTCTCAGACTGGCTTTCTTGCTCCTCAGCTTGCAGATGGCCTATTGTGGGACTTCATCTTGTGACTGTGTGAGTCAATTCTCCTTAATAAACTCCCCTTCGTGTATACATATATCCTATTAGTTCTGTCCCTCTAGAGAACCCTGACTAATACAGCAACAAAACAATTGATAAGTAGGACCTAATTACACTAAAGAGCTTCTGCACAGCAAGAGAACCATCAAGAGAGTAAACAGACAACCCACAGATTGGGAGAAAATACTCACAAACTATGCATTCAACAAAGACTTAATATCGAGAATTGATAAGGAACTTAAATCATCAAGCAAAAAATGAATATTCCTACTAAAAAGTCAGCAAAGGACATGAACAGACACTTCTCAAAAGAAGACATACAGGCGGCAAACATGAAAAAATGCTCATGATCATTAATCATCAGAGAAATGCAAATCAAAATCATAACGAGATACCATCTCACACCAGTCAGAAAAATTTTTGTTAAAAAATCAAAAAACAACAGCCATTGGTGAGGCTGCGGAGAAAAGGGGATACTTACACGCTCTTGGTGCAAATGAAATGAGTCCAGCCACTGTGGAGAGCCATTTGGAGATTTCTCAGAAAACTAACAGTTGAACTACCATTTGACTCAGCAACCCTATTACTGGGTAATTCCCAAAAGAAAATAAATCATTCTACCAAAAGGACACCTACACCCATATGCCTATCACATTGCTATTCATAACAGCAAAAAACATAGAATAAACCCAGATGCCCATCAGCGGTGGATAGGATTAAGAAAATGTGGTAAATATACACTATGCAGTACTATGCAGCCATTAAAAAATGAACAAAATTATATTCTTTGCAGCTACACAGATGCAGCTGGAGGCCATTATCTTAAGCAAACGTAGAAACAGAAAACCAAATACCACATGTTCTCACTTATAAGTGGAAGCTAAACATTGGGCACACATGGACACAAAGATGGGAACAATAGCCAGTGGGAATTACTAGAGGTAGCATAGAGAGAGGAGAACAGGAGCTGAAAAACTACCTCTTGGGTACTGTGCTTACTACCTGGGTGATGGGTTCAACTGTATCCCAAACCTCAGCATTCTGCAATATGCCTTTGTAACAAACCTGCACATGTACCCCGATTCTAAAACAAAAATGGGAGAAAGAAAACAAACAAACAAAAAACACACAAACAAGACAGAAAATCCCAAGTATTGTTGAGGATGTAGAAAGACTGGAATCCTGGTGCACTGTTCATAGAAATGTAAAATGGTGTAGTCACTATAGAAAACAGTATGAAAGTTCCTCAAAAAATTAAAAATAAAACTACCATACTATCCTGCAATCTCTTATATGTCCAAAAGAATGGAAATCAGGATCTTGAAAAGATATTTGCATTCCCATGTTCATTGCAGCATTATCACAATAGCCAAGAGGTGGAAGCAACCTAAATGTCCATGAATAGACAAACAGATAAGGGAAATGTGATAGATACATACAATGGAATATTATTCAGCCATAAAAAAGGAGGAAATCCTGTCATGCTACAATATGGATGACTCTTGGCATTATTATAAATGAAAAGCGCTGGTCACAGAATGACAAATACAGAATTATTCCACTTTTATGAGATCTCTAAAGTAGTCAAACTCATTGAAACATGAAATAAAATGGTTCTTGCTAGAGACTGGGGAAATGAGAATATGGTGATTTGCTGTGAAATTAGTATAGAGTTTCAGTCATGCAACATTAAAAAAAATTCTACAGATTTGCTATGAGCTTACAGTTAACACTACCATACTCAACACTAAAAAAGTTGTTAAGAGTAAAAAATAGAAACAAAATGAATAAAATGGAATTCAATAAAGAACAGAAAAAAATAGTGGGAAAAGATTCAATAGTAAATATGATCCCTATTAAGGGATTACTGACTTCTGGAATGTACAATATATACTTTTAAAAGTTTATGACTCAAGTATTATCCCTGTAATAATGTCTTTTCAAAAACATTTGATGGGAAATAAGTTTGACAGATGATTTGTCTTAGAGATTGTAGAATAATATTATTTTACACTTTATCCAAGTATATGAGATGACTTATACACAAGACACTCAGTTACTTATGTTGGTCACAGAATCATAGAAACTTATTTAATCACAGACTGTTTTGTTCATGTAATAAATTTTGAACACAGTTGCATTATAAGTTTTTATATTTTAAAATATTTAAAATAAGTGTATATATTATTATATGACTAGTAAGTTCTAAAATAAACACTGGCCTTGGACTTCCCTAAAACCATCCAGAGAAGAAACTGGCCCAAAGAGTTTATAGACAAACTGTCATTCAAATATAAAGTTAACAAATAGTTCTCAACAGATTTTTCTTGAGACAGAGTATCACTCTCACCCGGGCTGGAATGCAGTGGCGAGATCATGGCTCATTGCAGCCTGGAACTGATGGACTCAAGTGATCCTCCTATCTCAGCCTCTCAAGTGTCTAGGACTACAGGTGTGCCCCAGCATGCCTAGCTAATTGGTTTTTTTTGTTGTTTGTAGAGACAGGGTCTCACTATGTTGCCCAGGCTGGTCTCAAACTCCTAGCCTCAAACAATCCTCCCACCTCACCTCTCAAAGTGCTGTGACTATAGGTGTGAGCCACCACACTTGGCCTGAATAGATATTTCTTATGAAGTATTCTTGAAATTAGAGGGTGAACTTCAGCCAAATAGAAAAATAACTGAAAAAAATAAATGAGAAAGGGACTAGTTAGTGGTGGACACAAAATATCTTTAGCTGAAGGAATAGGTCTAAAACCAATAGATTAGGATGACAAAACAAAATGCAAATATTACACACTTGACTATGTGAAAAGATTGCAAAAAAAAAATTGGGAGAACATGTTGATTTCCTCATTTTGGTATTTGAAAACCAAAAAATATCTTTTAAAGCTGCAAATCGACTCATAGAAATTTATATACATTTCAGATTAAGAGTACTATTAAGAAAAATATTAGGAAAATATGAGGAAACGAAAGAGAAATAATAATCTCATCATTGTTCATATTAGGAAATTGATCAATGCTGCCTTAAGAAAAAATTTAAAGTATTATGTAAACACTTGAGAGTATACAGTACAGAAACAATAAAATACTTCCTTAAATATTACAAGAAACGCACACAAACACACACACACAGAGTAAAAGAAAGAGACCATATAAGGAAATAATTATTAAGAATTATAAAGACAAAAAGTAATAACCTAAAATATTATAACAGAACCAAGACAAGATATAGCCCCATGTAAATGGGCCAAACTCATTAAAAGATTGGAACTTAAAGCAAAAGCAAACTATAGCCCTGTGTTCTACACAAAAGATATACCTAAATCAAAGTAATTCAGAAACTTTGAAAATAAAAGGTGGGCAAATATAAACGAAAAATACTCAAGAATAATGATCTTAATATCAAATGACGTTTAAATCAGGCCAAGAAGAATTGAATGAGTCAAAAAAGAGTACTTTTAATGTTAAATTGTGTAATTCATAATAAAAGTTAAACCATTATGACCATCAATGTAACCAAAAACTAGCATCAATACTCAATAAAACAGACTTTGGAATATATATGACCTATGATCAGAACACTTTAATTAGCTTCTTCAACTCAAACAGATAACATAAATAAAAGATAAATAATTATATAGAAGACCTAAAAAAATATAATTAACAAGATAGAGCTAAATTATACATAGCTAATTCCTACCTTAAGAACAGAGAATACAAGTACTTTCTTCTTAAGGGTCCTGAAACATTAATAACAATTAACCTTATTAAGCCACAAAGAAAATCTCAATAAATTCTAAAAGGTAGAAACAATAAAAATATATTCTTTTATTAACAGTGCAATAAAATTAGGGAGAAAAAAACCCTTACCATCTGCAAATTTTAAATTCTTCCTTAAAAGCTTATGGTTCAAACTCAGTGGTTCAATTTGAACTCACTGATATTAGAAAAATAAAGATAAAATAATCATATAAAAATAAAATTAAAATACTTTAATAAACTACATGCCAAAATATATGTAATAAAACTAAAGCAGTGTTCAGGGGGAAATTGTTAACCTTAAATATTTGTATTCTTAAAAAACAGGAAAGAATAAAAATAAATAAATAAAGCATCCAAGTATGAAGTAGGGAAAAGCAAAACAAAAAACTGTAAGGAACGAAGAAGGCATTAATAAAGAAGCAGAAGTTATTGATTAAAATGCAGGAAAAAAATAAGTAAATCCAACAGCTATACTTTTTCATGGAAGAAGGGGCAACTAAACTATTTACTAACATAATTAAGACAGGAAAGGACAAAAACAACACATAAGAAATAATAAAAAGAACCACAGATAAAGAGGAAATTAAAAGACCTATGAGTCTTTTCAAATAAATGCGAAAAGAAATATGAATTTAAAAGACTTATGAGTCTTTGTAAATAAATGTGAAAATAAATGTGAATTTAAAAGACTTATGAGAGCTTGCAAATAAATGTGAAAATCTGATTGAATTTGACAATATTCTAAAAAAATATAATTTTCCAAATCACTCCAAAAGAGATAGAAATTCTAAACAGATAACTACTGTAGACAAGACTGTAAGAACATTATCTAAGAGCTACCACCTGAAATAGCACCAGGTCCACATAATTTTATAGGGGAATTTTATGAAAACTTTAAGGCATATATTATTTTGATTTTATATAAACTGTCCCACAGAATACAAAAAGAAGGAAGGATCCCTTATTTATGTTTCTAAAGCAAATATAACATTGGTAGCAAAACAAATATTATCCCAAAAAAGAACACTGCAGAACCATGTCTCTTACAAAGATCAATGTGCATATCTAAATAAAGCATTAGTAAATAGAATCTAGTAGCATATTAAAAAACAGTTTAACATGACAAGTGGCATTTATTCCAGGAAAATATGGATGAAATTGAATCTGTTAATATGATTCATCATATTAATATATCCACGGAAGAAAAAACATTTTATTATCCTCATGGGTGACAAAGGGCTATTGCTAAATTCAGTATCCAACTTGTACTTTAGAAAAATAAATTTTTATGTGTGAAAATAAATTTATATTTATGGAATAGATGAATATTCCAAAAATATATCTATTCTAATCCAAATTTTTCATTCTGTTTAGTGGGATAATACTAGAAGCATATGCACTAATGTCAGAAATGAAGATATTTAAAAAAAGACCATATTACTTTGTATTATTCTAAGAGTACTAACCAATGCAATTAGATAAGAAAAATAAATTAAAAGTAAAAAAGTTAGAATGACAGGGATAAAATTGTCTCTATTTCCAGATAGTATGGTTATATACTTGGAAACCCCACAAAAAAGACTAGAAGTTACTATAAACAAAAGAAAATATAGTAAGACAGTGTTATACAAAATTAACAATCAAATTTATTGCTTTCATATTAAGAGGCATAATGGAGAGAAAGACACTAGGTGGAAACAATAACCCCAAAAATTAATTGCATACCTAGGAATAATTTTTTTTAATGAGCAAGGTATTTATGCAGAAAACCTGAAAATGCTTCTGAGAGGCACAAAATATGAATTAAGTAGCTTGAAATACATACTGTGTTCTTGGATAAGAAGATTCAACATCATAAGGATATTAACACTTCCTAAGATAATCAATAAATTTAACATCATTCTAACAAAAATATCATGAGGAAAGCTAAATAAGCAAAACAGTTAAGAGAAATCTAGGGGAAAAAAAGAGCACTGAAAAACAACCAGTCTTACCAAATGTTAGAGCCTTGAGCCTTGTCAATAATTTTTTTGGTTTTTTTTTTTTTTTGGAGACGGAGTCTCTGTCACCCAGTCTGGAGTGCAGTGGCGAGATCTCAGCTCACTGCAACCTCTGCCTCCCAGGTTCAAGCAAATCTCCTGCCTCAGGCTCCCAAGTAGCTGGGACTATAGGCACCACCACCACGCTTGGCTAATTTTTATGTTTTTAGTACAGACGGGGTTTCACCATGTTGGCCAGGCTGGCCTTGAACTCTTGACCTCATGTGATCCTCCTGCCTCAGCCTCCCAAAGTGCTGGGATTACAGGCATGAGCCACCACGCCCAGCCTTTGTCAATAATTAAAACAGTATGATGCTAACATATGCCAGAAAGAAAACACATCAAAAATTCAGTAATAGACCTAGTACACAAGAGTTAGGCATGCTATAAAAGTAATATCCCAAATCAGTGAAAAAGAGGACAGGCTTTTAAATAAATGGGTAAAGTCAGTAATCATCTAGAGAAAAATATATTTGGACTTATATTTTACATCCCACACCAGGATAAAATCCAAATGAATCTAAGATTTAAATGTAAAACATTAACTCTATAATGATGGTGTGCTTTATATCTAAGGCATAAACCTCAGTGATGGAGGAAAAAGTGATAAACTCAATTACATGAAAATAAAATATTTTTCATGGCAAAAATACCAGAAAAATAATCATGGGACAAAGGACAAATTGGGAAAAGAATACATAAAACTCATTTCACAGACAAATACTTATTTTCCCTAATATAGAAATATACAAGTTAATTTTTGTAATAGACAACCCAATAGAAGAAAATGGGTAAAAAAATTATGAACCAGAGGCCGGGCGCAGTGGCTCACGCCTGTAATCCCAGCACTTTGGGAGGCTGAGGCGGGTGGATCACGAGGTCAGGAGATCAAGACCATCCTGGCTAACATGGTGAAACCTGGTCTCTACTAAAAAATACAAAAAATTAGCCAGGCATGGTGGCGGGCGCCTGTAGTCCCAGCTACTCGGGAGGCTGAGGCAGGAGAATGGCGTGAACCCAGGAGGCAGAGCTTGCAGTGAGCCGAGATTGCGCCACTGCGCTCCAGCCTGGGCGAAAGAGCAAGACTCCATCTCAAAAAAAAAAAAAAATTATGAACCAGAAACTTACAGAAATATCATAAGCTCTTAAACATGAAAATATGTTGACCCTACTTATAACAAGAGAAGTTAAAATTAGAACCAATATTGATGTACCCATTTTTCATATAATCTCATCAAAGATCATAAACTTTGATAAAACATTGTGTTGGTGACAGTGGGGGAAATCAGACACTCTTACACTTGTTTGTGTCAGGGTAAATTGTTATAAATTCTAAAGAAGGCAATTTGCAATATTTATCAAATTACAAATGCAGATACCTTTTGATTTAGCAATTCTATTTCTAGAAACAGATTCTATATTCTCTAACATGTGAAATAACATATGTACACAGTTTTTTTGCTGCATTTTCTTTACTAGAAAAATATTGAAAATCCTAAATGTCCATTAGAGTCTCTTCATATAAATTTTGGAACATCAATATAACAAAATACCATTCAGCCATTAAAAAGAACGAGAAAGTACTTTTTTAAAACTAATCTAGAAAGATCTCCAAGATATATTGTTGAGAACGCTGAAGAACATTATGTAAATTATGCTACCACCTATATAATTATTTTTCTCACTATGTAAAAGGTGTGGAAATATAATTCCTTGTATCTGCATAAATATCTCAAGAATAAAAAATAGAAGGAACTCTGTGGTTGGTTCAGTAATATGAGAAGGAATTTTGAATCATATTAATCTATTTTTTAATGCTATGCATTAAGTATCTCATCTGGTCTTGGTGGAAATCAGGACACTAAAAGTTTATCATTTTCTTAAAAGTACATATAATTTGAAATTAAAACTAAGAATAAAATTTTATCACTTCCACACCTGAGTTATTTCTGTCTTCTGATCCAGGTCATCATGTACTTCACCTGACAAAACAAAAATTGAGAATTAAAAGTAAGTGAAACCGAAATTAGAATTAGACATTTAGTTTTAAGGAATACACTTATTATTTATTACATCACCATTACTAAATGGCATTATGAATTTAAACAGGCGAATGGTTTTAGGAGTGCTTTCAAATTGTAACCATAAACATGGCAATTATGCAGTGAGACATTCGTGTTTGCCCAAGATAGGACTAAAGTGCAGTAGGCATTAAAACAAAAAATGAAGCAATTATGTTTTTCTGTAAATGTTATCATTCTGTTATTACATTATCTATGATATTTGCAAGAGGCAAATTTCTATCTTCCACATCATTCCCACTGTTGAGAAATCCAAAATGATATCCTTGCCAGGCCAATTCTTCCCAATGCAGAACTTTGCCTATCTTGGTTTGGGCCAGACACATCTGTGTAATATCAAGATCAAATTAGCATGTAAGCCTTAAACAATGCCAGTACTTTCTGCAGTCAGAAAACATAGCCACCCATATGCCAGAAATTTAAAATAACTTTTTTCTTAGTACAAAGCTAATATGTACTTATTATAGATCTAATAGAAAATAAGGGACATTTACAATAGAAAATAAAAATCACTTCCCTTCATCCAGAAATAACTAGTATTTGTAGAATGATTTTATTGTGTATTTTTATATACACATATATTCACCATATTGTTCATAATCTTCTTGTTTTTACAGTTTTTAACCATGTAAAGTATGAGAATTTCTCCTATCAAATTGTTGTGAATCTTATTTTGAATCGTTGTATAGTAGCCCATGATTATAGATGTAGCATAATTTATTTTCCCTTTCCCTATTGTGAGTCATTAATTTTTTAAATTTTTACTTGGCATTGGAAGGTTTCATACTATTTGCCAGGATTAAATTTCTTATAATAATAATGAGTTACTTAAAGAAACTACCATCAGAGTGAACAGACAACCTACAGAATGAGAGAAAATTTTTGCAATCTATCCATCTGACAAAGGTCTAATATCCAGAATCTACAAGGAACTTAAACAAATTTACAAGAGAAAAAACCCGACAACCGCCATTAAAATGTGGGCAAAGGACATGAACAGACACTTCTCAAAAGAAGAATAAATGGGGACAACAAAAATATGAAAAAAAGCTTAACATTACTGATCATTGTAGAGAAATGCAAATCAAAACCACAATGAGAAACCACCTCACGCCAGTCAGAATGGCTATTACTAAAAGGTCAAAAAATAACAGGTGCTGGCAAGGTTGTGGAGAGAAAGAAACTCTTACAGTGGGACTGGAAATTAGTTCAACCATTGTGGAAGACAGTGTGGCGATTCCTCAAGGACCTAAAGGCAGAAATAACATTAGATCCAGCATTCCAATTACTGGGTATATATCAAAGGAATATAAATCATTCTATTATAAAGATACACACACATACGTTCATTGCAACACTAATCACAATAGAAAAGACACGGAATTAGCCTAATGCCCATCAGTGATAGACTGGGTAAAGAAAATGTGGTACATATACACTATGGAATACTATGCAGCCGTGAAAAGGAATGAGGTCATGTCCTTTGCCGGGACATGGATAGAGCTGGAATCCATCATCCTCAGCAAACTAACACAGGAACAGGAAACCAAACACTGCATGTTCTCACTTATAAGTGGGAGCTGAATGATGAGAACACATGGACACATGCGGGATACAGCACACACTGGGGCCTGTTGATGTGGGAAGGGAGAGCATCAAGAATAGCTAAAGGATGCTGGGCTTAATACCTAGGTGATGGGATGATCTGTCTAGGAAACCACCATGGCACACGTTTACCTATGTAACAAACCTGTACATCCTGAACATGTACCCCTGAACTTAAAAGTTGAAAAAAAAAAAGTTACTTGAATCAACCTGTGCCAGGCTCTTAAATTATCACTGATCCTTATAATAAACTTGCAAAGTGAAGATTTTCATTTCTGTTTTATGGATAAGGGAACCAAAGAATGGTTCAAAATGACATGACTAAATGAAAACTAAAGTAAGCATAGTGGGTTTTTAAATCTAAGTTCTCTCTCTCTTCTTTATACAATGCTATGAGCACCAACCACTTGACAAGCAGTTCTATTTGTTGTTTCTCTGGGGTGCTGGTCTGAATCTGGAATGCTGTATGGCTGCTGTGTGGGAGGAGTCCCTGAGCTAGTGAGTGAATCTGGCCTAGCACCTGGAATTTAAATCTCAAATTCACTGTGTTATGCTCTAGTGGTTACCCTGTATGCAGTCACTGTAATAAAATGATGGAAAAGAGAAAAAGAAAAAAAAAACTGTGTCTTTGTGTTAAATGGTCTGCCTCCTCCCTACAGTAAAAGCCCATTTACAGGGCTGTTGATGAAAGTGAAGAAAAATTGCCTAAGAAGATAATATTTCTTAGCCAGGAAATAGAAGATTTAGATAAATTAAAGTCAAATGTTAAATTTTCCCAAGGCCTACATCTGTGATATTAATACCCCCAACTTGTATGAAAACAAGGAAAAATGATTCTGAAACATTGAGTGCTTTACTAAGAATTTATTTTAATGATGTTATAAATGCATTATAAATTATAACAGCATATAAATTAAGAGTCTAAAGGGATTACTTAAACCTTTAAGTTACTTTCCTGCATTTCACGAGAGGAATTACAAGCTATCATGGGATTTGTGAATTTGGAGATTTGCAAAAATCTTGTGAAAGTCAAGAGCCTTCTCCAAAAATAGGACATTTATCACAAAATGTGATAAACATTTCAACAAATGAATCCTGGTCCACATGTCTGATAAGTCCTTTAAGATTGCTTCCTAGAAGTGATTGTATTATTAGATCAATATGTGGCAAAAAAAATCCAAAAGGTCCCCAAAACTCAAAATATTTTCAATATTCTGATTAAAAGTTTCCCATTTAAACTATGTTTTGGGTTAAAGCAATATTTTTAGAAAGCCTCTGAAAATAATGTCCAATGGGAACTTTTTAAGGAAAGGTTCTATGTTATTTACCAGTCATTATGATACTGATATAAGATTAATACATTGATATAACAATGCAACTGTGGGCTTGTGGAAGTCCAGGTTGGAAATCATCTTGTCTACTGCCAGAGAAGGCAGGAGGGGAAGCTGGGAGTGGAAGACAGCTGAGGAAACCATAATGCCCATGGGTTATAGGGGTGTGGGTAACCAAAGGAGGTCAAAAAGTAGGAGATTGCAAACATCAACTTCTTCTTAGTTTTGTTCAGGGTCAAATCTTGCTTTAAAATACTTGGCAATGTGTGAAGTTTCCCATCAGGGGACAAAGGAAAAGTTTCCCCTTTTTCTTGGATTTCCTTTACCTCCTGAGATTTCTGTATTGAGAAAGTGGACACTCAGAATCCCATGAAGGGACATTGGGAGACCAGAGGAATCCACAGAAAGTTCCGCAGAGCCTCTGTGCTCTCAGCAGAAGGAACAATCTGCAAAACGGCCAGCGTTGGGGTGACAAGGGTCACATATAAACAGAATGCTTGAAAAGCCAAATGTAGAGCATGTATTCTGATAAAAGCACGCAAACAAGAAGTGGGTATTAATGAAACAGCTTATCTGGCCATTCAAGGCAGCCCCGTAAATGAATAGTAGATTCCCAAAACCATGTGCACTTACATAAACCCCAGAGCTGATAGGAATCAAGTATAAAATGCTGCCCTTACTGACATAACTCAGGCTACCAAGAACTTGCCCTCCCTAGGATATGGTTCTATTCAGCACTACAAAACAGAATCACACAGCTGGGGGGACCTGGGCAAGATGGACAAATAGGAACAGCTCTGGTCCGTAGCTCCCAATGAGATCAACACAGAAGGGAGGCAATTCTGCATTTCCAACTAAGGTAACTGGCTAATCTCATTGGGACTGGTTAGACAGTGGGTGCAGCCCATGAAGGGCAAGCAGAAATAGGGTGGGGTGTCACCTCACCGGGGAAGTGCAAGGAGTCAGGGAACTCCCTCCCCTAGCAAAGGGAAGCCTTGAGGGACTGTGCCATGAAGAACGGTGCATTCCAGCCCAGATACTACGCTTTTCCCATGGTCTTCACAACCCGCAGAGCAGGAGATTCCCGCAGGTGCCTACACCACCAGGGCCCTGGGTTTCAAGCACAAAACTGGGCAGCCATTTGGGCAGGCCCCAAGCTAGCTGCAGGAGTTTTTTTTCATACCCCAGTGGCACCTGGAATGCCAGTGAGACAGAACCATTCACACCCCTGGAAAGGGGACTGAAGTCAGGGAGCCAAGTGGTCTAACTCAGCAGATCCCACCCCCATGGAGCCCAGCAAGCTAAGATCCACTGGCTTGAAATTCTCACTGCCAGCACAGCAGTCTGAAGTTGACCTGGGACGCTCGAACTTGGTGGTGGGAGGGGCATCCACCATTACGGAGGCTTGAGTAGGCAGTTTTCCCCTCACGGTGTAAACAAAGCCAGGATGTTCAAACCAGGCGGAGCCCACTGCAGCTCAGCAAAGCCTCTGTAGCCAGACTGCCTTTCTAGATTCCTCCTCTCTGGGCAGGAAATCTCTGAAAGAAAGGCAGCGGCCCCAGTCAGGGGCTTATAGATAAAACTCCCATCTCCCTGGGACAGCGCACCTGGGGGAAGGGGTGGCTGTGCGCGCAGCGTCAGCAGAATTATATGTTCCTGCCTGCCGGCTCTGAAGAGAGCAGCAGATCTCCCAGCACAGCACTCCAGCTCTGCTAAGGGACAGACTGCTTCCTCAAGTGGGTCCCTGACCCCTGTGTATCCTGACTGGGAGACATCTCCCAGCGGAGGTCGACAGACACCTTATATAGGAGAGTCCTGGCTGACATCTGGCAAGTGCCCCTCTGGGACAAAGCTTCCAGAGGAAAGAACAGGCAGCAATTTTTGCTGTTCTGCAGCCTCCGCTGGTGATACTCAGGCAAACAGGGTCTGGAGTGGACCTCCAGCAAACTCCAGCAGACCTGCAGCTGAGGGGCCTGACTGTTAGAAGGAAAACTAACAAACAGAAGTGAATAGCATCAACATCAACAAAAAGGACATCCACACAAAACGCCATCTGAAGGTCACCCACAACAAAGACCAAAGGTAGATAAATCCATGAAGATGAGGAAAAACCAGTGCAAAAAAGCTGAAAATGCCAAAAACCAGAACGCCTCTTCTCCTGCAAAGGATCACAACTGCTCACCAGCAAGGGAACAAAACTGGACAGAGAATGAGTTTGACAAACTGACAGAAGTAGGCTTCAGAAGGTGGGTAAAAACAAACTCCTCCCAGCTAAAGGAACATGTTCTAACCCAATGCAAGGAAGCTAAGAACTTTGTAAAAAGGTTAGACAAATTGCTAGCTAGAATAACCAGTTGGGAGAAGAACATAAGTGACCTGATGGAGCTGAAAAACACAGCACAAGAACTTCGTGAAGCATACACAGGAATCAATAGCTGAATCGATCAAGTGGAAGAAAGGATATCAGAGAGATTGAAGATCAACTTAATGAAATAAAGCATGAAGAAAAGATTAGAGAAAAAAGAATGAAAAGGAACGAATAAAGCCTCCAAGAAATATGCGACTATGTGAAAAGACCAAACCTACGTTTCATTGGTGTACCTGAAAGTGATGGGGAGAATGGAACCAAGTTGGAAAACACCCTTCAGGATATTATCCAGGAGAACTTCCCCAACCTAGTGAGGCAGGCCAACATTCAAATTCAGAAAATACAGAGAACACCACAAAGATACTCCTTGAGAAGAGCAACTCCAAGACACATACTCATCAGATTCATCAAGGTTGAAATGAAGGAAAAAATGTTAAGCACAGCCAGAGAAAAAGGTCAGGTTACCCACAAAGGGAAGCCCATCAGACTAACAGTGGATCTCTCTGCAGAAACTCTACAAGCCAGAAGAGAGTGAGGGTCAATATTCAACAGTCTTAAAGTAAAGAATTTTCAACCCAGAATTTCATATCCAGCCAAACTAAGCTTCATAAGTGAAGGAGAAATAAACGCCTTTACAGACAAGGAAATGTTGAGAGATTTTTGTCACCACCAGGCCTGCCTTACAAGAGCTCCTGAAAGAAGCACTAAATATGGAAAGGAAAAACCCATACCAGCCACTGCAAAAACATACCAAATTGTAAAGACCATTGACACTATGAAGAAACTGCATCAACTAATGGGCAAAATGACCAGCTAGCATCATAATGACAGGATCAAATTCACACATAACAATATTAACCTTAAATGTAAATGGGCTAAATGCCCCAATTAAAAGACACACTGGCAAACTGCATAAAGAGTCAAGACCCACTGGTGTGCTGTATTCAGGAGAGCCATCTCATGTGCAAAGACACACATAGGCTCAAAATAAAGGGATGGAGGAATATTTACCAAACAAATGGAAAGCAAAAAAAAGCAGGGGTTGCAATCCTAGTCTCTGAAAAAACAGACTTTAAACCAACAAAGACCAAAAGAGACAAAGAAGGGCATTACATAATGGTAAAGGGATCAATGCAACAAGAAGAGTTAACTATCCTAAATATATATGCATCCAATACAGGAGCACCCAGATTCATAAAGCAAGTTCTTAGAGACGTACAAACAGACTTAGACTCCCACACAATTATAGTGGGAGACTTTAACACCTCATTGTCAATATTAGACAGATCAACGAGACAGAAAATTAACAAGGATATTCAGCACTTGAACTCAACTCTGGACCAAGCGGACCTAATAGACATCTACAGAACTCTCCACCCCAAATCAACAGAATATACATTCTTCTCAGCACCACATTGCATTTATTCTAAACCTGACCACATAATTGGAAGTAAAACACTCCTCAGCAAATGCAAAAGAATGGAAATCACAACAAACAGTCTCTCAGACCACAGTGTAATCAAAGTAGAACTCAGGGTTAAGAAATTCACTCAAAACCACACAACTACATGGAAACTGAACAACTTGCTCCTGAATGACTACTAGGTAAATAACGAAATAAAGGCAGAAATAAGTAAGTTCTTTGAAACCAATGAGAACAAAGAAACGATGTACCAGAATCTCTGGGACACAGATAAAGCAGTGTTTAGAGGGAAATTTATAGCAACAAATGCCTACAGGAGAAAGATGGAAAGATCTAAAATTGACATCCTAACATCACAATTAAAATAACTAGAGAATAAAGAGCAAACAAATTCAAAAGCTAGCAGAAGACAAGAAATAACTAACATCAGAACAGAATGGAAGGAGATAGAGACACGAAAAACCCTTCAAAAAATCAATGAGTCCAGGAGCTGGTTTTTTGAAAAGATTAACAAAATAGACAGACCACTAGCCAGAATAATAAAGAAGGAAAGAGAGAAGAATCAAATAGACACAATAAAAAATTATGAAGGGGATATCACCACTGATCACACAGAAATAAAACTACCATGAGATAATACTATAAACACCTCTATGCAAATAAACTAGAAAATCTAGAAGAAATGGATACATTCCTGGACACATCAACCTCCCAAGACTAAACCAGGAAGAAGTCAAATGCCTGAATAGACCAATAACAAGTTCTGAAATTGAGGCAGTAATTAATAGCCTACCAACAAAAAAAGCCCAAGACCAGAGAGATTCACAGCTGAAATGTACCAGAAATACAAAGAGGAGCTGGTACCATTCCTTCTGAAACTATTCCAAACAATAGAAATGGAGAAACTCCTCCCTAACTCATTTTATCAGGCCAGCCTCATCCTGATACCAAAACTGGGAAGAGACACAACAAAAAAAGAAAATTTCAGACCAATATCCCTGATGAACATCAGTGCGAAAATCCTCAATAAAATACTGGCAAACCAAATCCAGCAGCACTTCAAAAAGCTTATCCACCACGATCAAGTTGGCTTCATCCCTGGGATGTAAGGTGGTTCAACATATGCAAACCAATAAATATAATCCATCACATAAACAGAACCAATGATAAAAACCACATGATTATCTCAATAGATGCAGAAAAGGCCTTTGATAAAATTCAGCACCCCTTCATGCTAAAAACTCTCAATAAACTAGGTATTGAGGGAATGTATCTCAAAATAATAAGAGCTATTTATGACAAACCCACAGCCAATATCATACTGAATGGGCAAAAGCTGGAAGCATTCCCTTTGAAAACCAGCACAAGACAAGGATGCTCTCTCTCGCCACTTCTGTTCAACATAGTATTGGAAGTTCTGACCAGGGCAATCAGGCAAGAGAACGAAATAAAGGGTATTCAGATAGGAAGAGAGGAAATCAAATTGTCTCTGTTTGCAGATGACATGATTGCATATTTAGAAAACCCCATCGTCTCAGCCTCAAATCCCCTTAAGCTGATAAGCAACTTCAGCAAAGTCTCAGGATACAAAATCAGTGTGCAAAAATCAAAAGCATTCCTATACACCAATAATAGACAAACAGAGAGCCAAATGATGAGTGAACTCCCATTCACAATAGCTACAAAGAGAATAAAATACCTAGAAATACAGCGAACAAGGAATGCGAAGGACCTTTTCAAGGAGAGCTACAAACCACTGTTCTAGAACATGAGAGAGGACACAAACAATGGGAAAACATCCCATGCTCATGGATAGGAAGAATCAATATTGTGAAAATGGCCATACTTCCCAAAGTAATTTATAGATTCAGTGCTATCCCCATCAAGCTACCATTGACTTTCTTCACAGAATTAGAAAAAACTACTTTAAATTTCATATGGAACCAAAAAAGAGCCCATATAGCCAAGACAATCCTAAGCAAAAAGAACAAAGCTGGAGGCATTACACTACCTGACTTCAAACTATACTACAAGGCTACAGCAACCAAAACAGCATGTACTGCTACCAAAAGAGATATATAGACCAACTGAACAGAACAGAGGCCTCAGAAATAACGCCACACACCTACAACCCATCTGATCCTTGACAAACCTTCAAAAACAAGCAATGGAGAAAGGATTCCCTGTTTAATAAATGGTATTGGGAAAACTGGCTAGCCATATGCAGAAAACTGTAACTGGACCCCTTCCTTACACCTTATACAAAAATTAACTCAAGATGGACTAAAAAGTTAAACATAAGACCTAAAACCATAAAAACCTAGAAGAAAACCTAGGCAATGCCATTCAGGACATAGGCATGGGCAAAGACTTCATGACTAAAACACCAAAAGCAATGGCAACGAAAGCCAAAATTGACAAATGGGACCTAATTAAACTAAAGAGCTTCTGCACAGCAAAAGAAACTATCATCAGAGTGAACAGGCAACCTACAGAATGGGAGAAAATATTTTCAATCTATCCATCTGACAAAGGACTAATATCCAGAATCTACAAAGAACTTAAACAAATTTACAAGATAAAAACAAACAACCCCATCAAAAAGTGGGCAAAGGATATGAACAGACACTTCTCAAAAGAAGACATTTATGTGGCCAGCAAACATATGAAAAAAAGCTCATCATCACTGGTCATTAGAGAAATGCAAATCAAAACCACAGTGAGACATCATCTCAGGCCAGTTAGAATGGCAATCATTAAAAAGTCAGGAAAAAAACACATGCTGGAGAGGATGTAGAGAAATAGGAACACTTTTACACTGTTGGTGGGAATGTGAATTAGTTCAACCATTGTGGAAGACAGTGTGGCAATTCCTCAAGGATCTAAACCAGAAATACCATTTGACCCAGCAATTCCATTACTGGGTATATACCCAAAGGATTACAAATCATTCTACTGTAAAGACACATGCACACATATGTTTACTGCAGCACTATTCACAATACCAAAGACTTGGAACCTACCCAAATGCCCATCAGTGATAGACTGGATAAAGAAAATATGGCACATATACACCATGAAATACTATTGCAGCCATAAAAAAGGATGAATTCATGTCCTTTGCAGAGACATGGGTGAGGCTGGAAACCATCATTCTCAGCAAACTAACACAGGAACAGAAAACCAAACACCGCATATTCTCACTCGTAAGTGGGAACTGAACAATGAGAACACATGAACACAGGGAGGGGAACATCACACACCAGGGAGTGTTGGGACGTGGGAGGCTAGGGGAGGGATGGCATTAGGAGAAATACCTAATGTAGACGACGGGTTGATGGGTACAGCAAACCACCATGGTACATGTATACCTATGTAACAAACTTGCACGTTCTGCACATGTATCCCAAAACTTAAAGTATAATAATAATAATAAAGAATCACACAGAGCACTGAAACGAACTTCAGAGAGTATCATATCTAACCCTTTTCTCTATCCATGAATGGCAATAAATCCAAAGTTTCATCTAAATTACTCAACATTTATCCAATACATATTTAGTGAGAATTTATCATCTGCCAAGCATATCAGCATCTATATGGTAGATGCTGACGGTGCCCATATTAATAAGAAAGCCAGCGACTGTTTTGGATTTTTAAATTTTTTTTTAATGGGGTCAGTTATTCAAGAAATTGTTAACAATATCGTTAAGAGAAAGGAACTGTTTCTCTTACCATAGATTCTCCCATTAATGGAACATCTTTTAAAGGTCATGATGTTTTGAGTGAGGGTACCCGTTTTGTCGGAGAAAATGTACTCAATCTGCCCCAGTTCCTCATTGAGCGTGGTCGTTCGAGCCACTGCAGGTATTGCTTTTCGAGAATAATACATCTTCCGGTCCCAGTTTATAAAATAACTGTGTCCTAGACGAATTACTTCCACACTATCATCCATTAAAATGGAAAAAAAGAAAGAAATGCTCCATTAATTTCAGAACATACAATATTTTGCCAAAATAAGAAGTCTGCCAAAGTCTCCAGGGGTTAGAGGAAAATGTGGATGCTCTGTCCCTAGGTCCCAGGGATCTTCAGAAGCTTCTCAACAGAGTCTGTTTATAAACATTTCCAAGTCATTTTCTACAACACCATAAAACAATAAGTCAGCTTAGAATAAAGCTTTAGGGAATGTTTCCTGGTTTTCTACATTAAACAGGCCCGGTGGAGACTTTGTGTGTAGTGTATTATTTTGTGTCTCCTCCTATAAGATACGGCAGTGGTCCCCAACCTTTTGGTCACCGGGGACCAGTTTTGTGGAGGACGCTTTTCCACAGATCAGGGGAAGGGGGATGGTTTCAGGATGATTCAAGCACATTACAATTAATGTGCACTTTATTTCTATTATAATACTGCAATATATAAACTGCTGTGCAGTTCACAATAGGGTTTGCACTCCTTTGAGAATCTAATGCTGCTGCCACTGATCTGACAGGAGGCAGAGCTCAGGTCTGTGGCCTGGGAGTTAGGGAACTCTGTGGTAGGGGAAACTAATGATTATTGAAGATGTTTGTCTTATGTCTGATCTAAAGAAATGTGCTATTGAGAACATTCTCTCCAATACATTGTTTGATGTGGCTTCACTTTGCCAAAAGAGATAGAAAACAGTATTTCCATGAAGCAGAACCAAACCATAACAAATACTGAGTGAAAACAGGATGTGTTGTCATACCACTCTTCCCATTTACCATGAAAAGTGTTGCATCACATTCTAATTACATAATTACATTAATTATTACAATAATTATGATTAATATAATTCTGATTACATTCTAGTAATCATTTATGACTTCCAGCTCCAGAAGCAGAATTTTTATGGCAAAGTGTATGAACTCTCTCAATGCTCAACGTCATACATAATGCCAAACTAATTTCCAAAAACGTCATAGCAACATAAGTTTCTACCATCAGATTATTAAGAATTATCTTTCACCACATGCAAATTCAAAAGGTATGTCACCACTGTTCACTGCATTTCTTATCAATGAGTTTAACACTTTTTTCAAATTTTATTGGCCAGTGACATTTCTTCTTGGAACTATCTAATTGTATCTGCCTATTTTATTTTTCCTATTCTGATATCAGTGTATTTATTAATGATTTGTAAGAATTCTATAGTTATTAAGTCTATTAATTCTGTCAAAAAACAATGCAAATATTTTATCCAATTTATCATTTGTCTTTTTTTTTTTTTTTTTTGAGACGGAGTTCCGCTCTTGTTGCCTAAGCTGGAGTGCAACGGCGCAATCTCGGCTCACTGCAACTTCCGCCTCCCTGGTTCAAGCAATTCTCCTGCCTCAGCCTCCCGAGTAGCTGGGATTACAGGCATGCTCCACTATGCCCAGCTAATTTTTGTATTTTTAGTAGAGACGGGGTTTCACTACTACTACTCGAACTACTTGAGTACTCGAACTACTGCCCTCAGGTGATCCACCCACCTCGGCCTCCCAAAGTCCTGGGATTATAGGTGTGAGCCACCGCACCCAGCCACTTGTCCTTTTTTTTTTTTTTAGAGACAGGGTCTTGCTATGTTGCCCAGGTTGGCCTCAAATTCCTGAGCTCAAGCGATCCTCCCACCTCTGCCTCTAGAGTAGCTGGGACTGCATGCACCACCACAGCTGGCTGATTGTCTTTTCATTTTGTTTCCAGTTTTTCAATATGAGTTTTCTCTTTCTAAAGGATCAAATTTATCAAAAGTTTATACTTTCTGTTTTTGTAGTTTTGTTTAGATATGTCTTCTCTATGCCAAGATTATATATACAGACATCTACATTTTTCTTTGTTTTTATTGATATTTTCCTTATTTAATTCCTTATCCCAATTGAAATTTTTGATTGAAATTGAAAGTTTGATATACATATGAGGAGCAAATTTCAAGTTTTCCAAATAAGAAGATTTTACATCACCATTTGTTGAACAATCAATCCTTTCTCCATTAAGCTGGGATGCTTTCTGTGTCACAAATAAATCATTTTACTCACTAGCATCTGATTTATGGATTTCAATTTTATTCATTGATATGACAGCTACTACATCTGTTGTTTTCATTATTGTAGCTTTATAATAACTGGCAATACGTACAAGAAACAAAATCACCTTTATTCTCTTCCTCTTCAAAAATTCTTAACTATAATCACCCATTTATTTTTCCTGATAGAATCAATGTATCCATCTAAGTAAACATTTGAATCAATGTATTAATTTTTCTACAAAATTTATTTGAGATTTTTATTAGGTCTATGTTAAACTCTTAATTATTTGAAAAGAACTGATATTTTATAAACTTAAATACAACTTCAAGAAGGTCAAATCTTTTTAGGAATTCCATTTTTTAAAGTACCTCAATTAGTAAGGAATTTTAGTTTAGTTTAGTTTTGCTTTTTCATATAGATTCATACCATAGTCTTATAGATTTGTTCTTGAACATCACAGTTGTCCCTTGAATCTGTGGGGGATCCCTTACATAAAATGGCAGAGTATTTGCATATAGCCTATCCATAACTTTTTTGTATACCTTAAGTCATCTCTAGATTACTTATAATACCTAATACAATGTAAATGCTATGTAAATAGTTGTTATACTGTATTGTTTAGGGAATAATGACAAGAAAAAACTCTGTACATGTTCAGTACAGACACAACCATCCTTTTTTTATCCAAATATTTTCCATCTATGTTTGGTAGAGTCCATAGATACAAAACCCACGTATACAAAGGGCAGAATATAAAACTTTTTACTGATAGGATAAGTTTTTAAATTGTTGTTGTCTAAAAGAAAGCTTTTAATTTTTTTAATGTTACTTTCATAATCAGACACAACCAAATTGTCCTACTGAAAGTTTTACAGATTATTCTTATGGATTGACTAGATTTATAATCATATTATTGTCTGTGTTCTTCCTTTCTAATAGGTTTATTTCAGTTTCATGTCTTATTTTATTCATGGATATTTCAGTTTCACGTCTTTGTAATTTACAAGGATATCCAGAACAGTAGAAAATAGTTACGGTAATAGCAGGAACCATAGCTTATTTCTGATCTTAGTGGAAATTAATCCTTGGTTTTTCTCATCTGTAAAGTGAGAAAGTTGGGCTAGATGACACTCAAATCCTTTCTGGTTATAAATTATATGCTTCAAGTTCTAAAAGTACATGACATACCTATGTTTCCCTCCCCAAAAGAGGTATGGCGCCAATTCATTTTTTAACTATTTGGATGGTAGCAGTTTTTTTCTCCCTGAAATTACACTGTGACTATGTAGAGTATGATATGGTATTAAGATACATAACTGACACTCTTTGTTTATTTATTTATATATTTTCATATATGGTTTACTCTTCTGCATCCCACCCCACCCCCACCCTCCATGTAAATTCCTTGCTAGCTGGTCTGATTCAGCTTTATTTTCCTTACTCTTTTCACTCAAAAAGCATTAGCACTTACAATGGGCTGGGGTAGTGTCTTGCCCATCAGAGGCAGTCAATCAGTCTTGAGTGTATGAATTTTAACTCTTTAGACTCTAATTTTACCAACAGGGACATTAAGACTTAGAGAGATAAAGTGACTAACCCAAGGTCACATCAATAATTAGCCACAGAGCCAAGACTAGAACTCAGGGATTTGGGAAAGCCAGTGCAGAACAGGCCTTAAGAATGGCATTATGAGGGTCACAACACAAATCATGAAGTTCTTTATTTATCTGAAAGTCTAGTAGCTCCCTGTAATCTTAAACCAAAGTGAATGAAACAATTTGATTGTTGTGTTATAGTATAATCCAATGGAAGTATTCAAAATTTATTCAAATTCCTAGAACTTAAAAGTCTGAAGAGAAAATGGGCATCGTTTTTGTTTGGGAAAAGAGGATTCAGAAGACTCACAGTGGAACATTCAGCGCTTTCTTTTACAATAGCAGAGAAAAGGAGAAAAATATTCAGAGTTAACATAATCCAGCCACTTAGTGTTTTCTGCCTGAATACTCACAGAACAGAGCTTATAATTTCACCCAGTCTCAGGCAAAACAAGCAACATAGAAATGAATTCCTATTGCTTTGGAAAGAACACTCAAAAGCTAATTCCTTGGGAAAACAATGGCTGCATTTCTTAAGATTATGTATTTAAAAAAAACTGTAGCTGGGTACGCCTTAACACAACAGATAAACAAACTGACAACATAGAAATATCCTACCAAAGTAAGTGTCCTTTGCTCACCTGGAATTGTTAACCATTCAAAGCAAATACTGAACTTCTATCCTCAAGTGATATATGGCACTAATTTACTCTTTGTACATATTCTAAAGCCTAATAGAAGCTTTGGCAGAAGGTCTTCATCATTCCGGACAGAAATACCTGGGTGTTCTCTTTTCCTATGTCTCAATCTTTAGGACCGAGAAACCTGAAATTCCTTGGAATGCTTTTTCCCTCGAGTTAAGATCAGAATCACTGTACTTATTTGGTAAGAGAAAAGCTCTCATTTGTCTTCATCAATATGCCTAACAACAAGGACAGAACTCTAGACTCTTTTTTTTCTTTTGATTTCTTCACTGAGTAATAAATCATACATAGCTTAGGGATATAGGAAAACACTGTCCCAACTCTCAGAAGACTTCTGCCCCTCTTTAGCTCATGATCCTGAGCAAATCCTCTCATCCCATTTTGAAAGCAGCTCAGCAAATCCTACTTCATAAGATTGTTGGGAAACATAAATGAGATAAAGTATGTGGAAGTGTAAAATATAAAAGGCTAAAAAAAGAGAAAAGTATTCAGAGTTTTAAGGTATCATATTTTATGGTATATTATAGAACATCAGTAATTTTGAACATTATAAGAAAGAATGCATAAGAAAGTAGTTTTTAAGTGATAAAGTGTTATACTGATATCAAATATATATTTATAATGTTATCTAAAGGTAAGGTGATATTATTTGGAGAATAAAGTAACTCAGAAATTAATTCTTTTAATCCCCTTATTTTATGGGGAAGTACATATTTGACAAGCAAACTAAGGCACAGAGAAGCCAAGCACTTTCTCCAAGGTCACACAGCTATTAGTGGCAGTACCAAGACCAGAAACTGGGTTTGGACAATTATAAATACGTTTTCTGTCAATTGTACCATGGCACATTAGAAGTATAAGGAATGCCAACCTGAGAATCTACCTTTGGTCTCTTAAAAAAAAATCAATCTTTCAAATCATTAAATGAAAATGCCAATGTACTTCAAAGAAAGAATGTATACATAATATACTTCCTTTGTGAGGACATATGAAACTGCACATGTGCAGATGGAAAGCCACTATGCACATTTATTATTCATTTAGGACATAAAGGAATGCTATAAAAGCTGACTGTAGCTCTTCCGGCAAAGAGCAGGATTTACTACAGACTTTATAATTGGATACAAGCATGAGAGGTCCTCAGAATCAAAGATGAGCCAGTAGGATATAGTTTAAATAGAGCCCTCTCTGACCACAGCTCCAGAGGGCCCGAAGCAATATGTGGTATTGTGGCCACATGCCACTACTTCAAGTGAATTTCCCACAACTTGGCATTTCAGTTTCCTGACCACTACCCAAAACAAGGGTGGATTTTGTGCATTAAACTTCCCTTGCTTCATCATAGCTAGGTTTTTGAAGAGAGATAAAAAGAGGTTCATAAAAATAAGTGGGGATTTGGAGCTGATGATTTTGTGTACTGTTAAAGTACTGATGATGAGAACTGTCAACCAACCAAGTCCCATCTTAGCTCCAATGTTTTGGGGACAGTCTGGCTCAGCCTTGTTAGGATTAGGATCAAAAATGTCCCAGGTACAGATTCTAGGGCCAATTTCTAAGCTTTATCAAATACACACACACACACACACACACACACACACACACACACACACACACATGCATACATATGTATATAAATAAAGAGGGGTGTGTGTGTGTGTGTGTGTGTATGTGTTCTGTTTGTGTGCATAGACAGAGAGGCAAAAAGAGAGACCACCTTAGCTCTAATTTATGGGACCGAATCTAATCCTGACAGATCAAATTGTAGTAGAAGTTATAAATCATACTTCTTATCTTACAATGGACTAGCACCACCTACTATATTTTAACTCCTTTATGTACATACTTATAGTTACTAATAATAGGAAAAGCTAATATTCATTAAGCTTTTATAATGTGTCAGGAATTCTTAGAGCTTTATAGACATGTATTCACTCCTCATACAATCGTATGAGGTAGAACTATTATTTTCTTCATTTTTAAAATGAGGGAACTGAGGCACTAGAAGATGAAGCTACTTGCCCAAGGTTATGGAGCTAGTAAGTGGTAGAATAGGACCTGAATCCATGTATCTATAGAGCCAGTCTAGTGGCAAAGAGGCACCCTCTCTATAGATCTCCCCAATGTTCTTCCTTTTCTTACTCAAAATTAACCCAATTCTAATTGATCAGGTTACATGAGATTATATTGTAGTGCATGTCTTACAAAGAAAAACATTTCTAAGAAACCAAATCAAATCAAGAAGAAAATTAACCGCATTTATTGTAATTTGAAAACATAAAAGTTAACAGATTAAACAGCTAAGCTGTCCCATTTGTAACAGATGTTGCAGATCATAAGCAGTTAAGAGCAAGACATCTATTGCACTGCTGAAACTTTAAAACAAATAATATTGGAAACAAAGGTTTTGATGAAATTATTTCATTAAAATATAAACTCTCATCTTACCTCACATATAAGGAAATGGGTACAACTGTATTGAGAATAATAATATATGACCAGAATGTTAAGAATCCGGAGAACACAGAGCTCTTCTCTCCTTCATTCCAAAAGAGGAAAGTTCTGAATTGGTCCCCAGTTTGACTCTCCCAGATTGAATTTCCTATTGCAAGAATAATTCCCAAGCATATCAGAAACCCAAAAATCTGAAATAAGATAGAAGTGTGGTTAAGGTTAACTTGAACTCAAAATTAGTCATATCAACATGATCTAATTACGCATCTAACTCCAAGAAATAGTCATTTGAAAAGCAAGTATGCAAACCTCTTCTTACCATTAATCATATGAATTACGTCAGGAACTCAGCTAAATATTTTACATACATTTTCTCACTGAATTTGCCCATTGACTCTCTAAGATGGGAACAGTCATTATCCCCACTTTACAGTTTAAAAACAAAGTAAAATGGAAGCACAAGAAAGACTATGTAACTTGTCTATGTTCATAGACATGGGCATGTCTTCTTGGCCTCATAGGCTCTGTATGAAGGTGACTGGTATTGCTGGAGAAAACCCCAGGTCTGCAGGTGATACTGAAAGTAAAACACAGAGCCTGGCCAATATTTTGTGCACAGCAATTGCTAATTACCTTCTTTCCTTATTCAGAGTCCAATTGTTACATATCAGGTAAGCAAATACATATTGAGCTCAGATTCTTTATGATTGTGAGCCTGTGATAGGGTACATGGGAAAACATGGTTTGAAGTCACAGTCTTTATATTTTAAAGTGGCTGTCTTCGAACTTTACCCCTATATAAGCAGACAAAGCAGTATTACACAAAGACTAGATAGTATATCAATAGTATGAGGTAGCACAGGATTAACTGACAAAAGGATGGAATGTAAGGAATATCTGAATGTTTTTGGTAAACGAGTAGTAGAGAATATCATTTCAAAAGAATCAGAAGTAAAAAAAAAATTCATAAGAGAAAGATAGTCATGAGCTAAGGATGTTAGAAGCCTCTGTGAGGGAGGAGAACTGTGAGGTGGGGCTCAAAGGATTTATAACCAGAACCACCTACATAATTTGCAGGGTTCAGTGCAAAATGAAAACGTGGGACCTTCTGTCCTAAAAGTATTAAGAATTTCTAGATGGCAACAGAAGTTGAATAAACCAAACATAAGGCCCTCTGAGTGTGGGGCCCTGTGTGGTTACACAGATCACACACCCGTGAAGCCAGCCCTGCCCACCATAAGCTATGTATACAGGATCTGAAAAAAAGTAAGAAAACAAAAACACCAAACTGCCTTAAAAACTATGTTTGGTTTTCCAAAAACAAATCCCTGGGATATGGGGAATTTGTAAGACCATGAATACCTCCATAAACACTAACCTACCTCTCATGATAAATTCTACCACTGGTTGAGAAATTAGCATAATCTAGAAAATAGAAGGCAGTATAACTGAGCCTCAAATGCAAAATCCCCAAAAACAAACTCCACAAGGAGAATGTAGGCTTCTTAAAGAATTCCCAGCAAGATTCAGTAAATGTACTAAGATAACAATGACTAGTGATATTGCCTAGTTTTGTAACTTACCCATAGTACTAGAGTATTCATCAATCTATCAATGCTTGTCCTTTTAAACTTTGTCTTACCACTATTCTGCATTAGTTTAGTGTCAGGACCTGCAAAAACAAAAAAAAGTAAATAACTTTGAAATGATATGATTATGTATTCTTATTAATGCTCATATCAAATGTCTCTGAAAGAAAAAAATATATATTTTTCACAATAATTTAACTTTTATTAAGAGCAAGGGCCATTAAGTTGTACATGATTCTCAACAATTAGGTTAACAACAATCCTGGAAGCTGCAAGAGATGTGATCTTCTTAGACTAGGATAAATACAGTCAGAACTTGTAGTTGAAAGGTTTAAGTGAAGCTATTTTTTCAATGTCTATACATGAATATGCTTCTAGTTTGACATAGTTAAAGATAACAAAGTCAACAAAAGTGAGGAATAATTTGGAAATATTAAAAATAATGCAGCAACAAACACAATTCAGAACACTAAGGTAAAAAATGGAAAAATAAATCAAATTCTAGATCTGTTTCCCAAAAAGATTTGAGGTCCCTTTGAAGGAGAAACTAGAATAGCCCCCCAAAATACATCAGCAAGTAATTTAAACCTTTATTGTGTATTGTATACTGCACGTATGTAATATGTAATTTTTGTAAAGACAAGAACTGTCTTAAATGTTGTGTTAGATTTATTTCAGGTAATTACATTATCCCATGATAAGTGCCTTGTTCCAGGAATTCTAAGAATATAATCAACTGCTTTAGAAGTGGGTTATTAGATGATAAACAAATAAGAATATTGAAAAATATTGTTAAAGAAATTCCTTGTGGACAGAGAAAATGCTAAATAGAAGCAATTAAGTTTTAATTAAAGCTAATTTCTCCAGTGTTTCCTCTTCACATATTCTCCTCATGATTTTCAATCCATAGAGCCATTTAATATAGGAGAAAGGGGGAAATTAAAGAAAGGAGAAAAGGGAGGCACACCCAAAATTATATACCACTCCAGAAGTCAGGGAAGGACAGGCACATCCTTAAAAGACTTTTCTTTATGTAAAAGAAAAAAAGAAGCAATAATTGAGGTTTCATAACAATTCATTGTCTTAAGTTGGAAATTGTACTGCAGTATCCTATTCCTAGCTACTGCTGTGTATAGACCACCCACATTTTCTCAGAATCATTTATTAAAATCATATGAACATTGAGGGTGGGAAATATTTCTTTTATGGTAAAGATCACAAAGGCCAAATAGTCTGTAGCCATAGCACCCTGAACATACTTGATCTCATCTGATCTCAGAAGCTAAGCTAAGCAGGTCAGGCCTGGTTAGTACTTAGATGGGAGACTGGGGATATTTGGTGCTGTAGGCTTAAAAAAAACACACACACACATACACACATAAAGTTTGTGGTTGCTAAAAACTGAAATATGAAAAGACCAGTTAGGTGCTGAAAATGTACATTCCATTAGGCACACAAATGCACACAGACTAATAAGGAATCCTTTTTATGGATTATTAAGCATTTATGTAAATATAACCACAAATGTTTATATGCACATCCTGAAAGAATTTTCTACACTCAACAGCCTCCGTTTTCTTATCTCCCACTCGTTACTCAACCCAGTCTCTGGGCCAATCACAACGCCAAAACAGATCTGGTGTTATCATCAATATCCTCCATAACTTCTTGACTATTCAGCAACCTTTGACACTGTTGACTATTCCATCCTTTTGAAACATACTCTTCCTTTAGCTTCTGTGTTATAATATTCTCCTGCTTTCCTTCCTACCTCTTTGGTAGCTCCCTTCCTGTCTTCCATGATACTTACTCTCCCTTCCCTTTACCCAGCTACTAAAGACTGAGAATCCTTAAGACTCAGGCATAGGTCACCTTATCTTCTTACTCAATCTACCTTCCCTGAGCAATCTCACCTAAGACCGTAGCTTTGAGACCAACAGTTTTAATAATATAGACAAGATGTGTATCCCCAGCTCATGCTGTTCCTCTGAGCTTTAAATCTATATATTTAAACCTACGTATTTTGTTGCCTGTATATTTCCACCTGGATTCTTCTAAGGCCTCTCAAGTGGCCCTTGTCCAATCTGGCTTACAATCTTCCTCCAAGCTTCTTATCTCAGTGAGCATCATCACCATCCATCCAGTTGCGAAGGTTGGAAGAAACCTCAGTCATAGTTGATAACTTTATCATCCTCACCTTCAAGCCTGGTCATCAAAGCTTGTCAATTCAACTTTCTAAACTTTCTAAAAGCCTTCTGAATTTATCTACTTCCCTCTCCTTTCCTAATCTGAGGGACCATCACCTCTCAACTGTGAAAACCTAGAAACTTTGTCTCCCTGTATCCACTCTGCCCCCAAAACTAACCAATATTTTTCCTCCTTCCCAACCCCAGGACCTGCTGTCTATTTACAAACATTACAAACAGTGTTGGCAAGATTAAGCTTTTCACAATTAACACATATACACCCCACCTGTTTGAAAACTTACAATGGCGTCCCTAAGCTCTTAGGATAAAGACCAAACTTCTGGATACTGACCACAAGGTCTACCAGCATGGTCTAGCCCCTATCCATGTCTCCAGTCCCATATCCATCCCTATCCTCTGTGCTCTCCATACCCCATACTGGCCTTCTTTTTTGACCTCACTTTCCTTACTCCTGCCACAGGGCCTTGGCCATTGATATGATTTTGGCTTGAGATTAATGCCTCTTTCTCTCTCCTACCATACTGAAAATCATATGAGTGAAGGTACTGCATTTGTTTTTGTTCACATTTTTAATCCCCAATGAGTAAGTAGCATAATGCCCAGCATATAGTAGACATTCAATAAATAATTTGTAAGTATTTTAAGCAAATTAATTTTTTGAACATCTACATTTCACCTATAATCTCAGCTAATGCTTACAACAAACTAACAAATTAGGTACTATTATCCTCAGTTCACTAATAATGAAACTGAGTTTAAATAATTGAACTTGCCTGAGATTTCTCACCTAGTAAGTGTCAGAGCGAGAATTTGAACCTCGACATAAGTAATTCTAAAGTTCTTGGTCTTTACTATTTTCTAAAACTATATGAAATAGTCAACCAATATTTAAGACTGTGTCTCATTCAGGATCCTAAAAGGAAATAGATGACACATTGAACAAAGAGAATTGGAGGAAGTTTTATTTATAAAAGAACTCTTTACAAAAAGCATAGGTGGGATTATAGGGGAAACAAAAGGTTAGTGCATTAACCAAGGGCATGTAGCAAGCAAGCTGTTTCTCCACCTGAGCCAGAAGGGATGAAGGGAAGGAATGGCTACTGGACCCTAAGGGAAAGAGGTGACAGGAATTTGCAGCCCTTAGAGTAAGAGTGGCCTTCTGTTGATAGATCTGGCCAGCCTGAAGTTAGCACACAAGAATGCAGCCTGGAGGAGTAAATACCTTGATCGTAATCTCCTTCTTCCTTTTGATCTCTTCCTAGGGATCCCCGAGACAAAGCCCAACCAGAAGCAGAAGTACAAGGTAACCTATTAGTATAAACCATACAAATAAGCCTCCTAGGGCAGAAAGAATGGTAGAAAAAGGTGAGAGGAAATCTGGAGAGCAAACAGAAGACATCTAGGACAAAAATGCAGTGTGCACTCAAGATGGTACAGACTCCTAGAGACTGTTTAAATGAATATAATTCCTGCCCTCAGAAACAAGATTTTCTCCTCTCTTGAGCATAAAGAAGGCATTACCAGGGAGGTGTAGCCTAGCTGTTAATATATATTAGAACTTCATAAATTATAGGTTTGTAAAGCAAATCATATCTGTGTCATCTATATTCATTGCACAATTCCTAGTGGTAGGTATAACTAGAGTAATAACACAGAAAGAATACTTAATAATTCATTTTGGATTTTTTTTTTTTTTGAGATGGAGTCTCGTTCTGTCACCCAGGCTGGAGTGCAGTGGTGCAATCGCAGCTCACTACAAGCTCCACCTCCCAGGTTCATGCCATTCTCCTACCTCAGCCTCCCGAGTAGCTGGGACTACAGGCGCCTGCCAACACGCCTGGCTAATTTTTTGTATTTTTAGTAGAGATGGGGTTTCACCATGTTAGCCAGGATGGTCTCAATCTCCTGACCTCGTGATCCACCCGCCTCAGCCTCCCAAAGTGCTGGGATTACAGGCGTGAGCCACCGCGCCCAGCAGATATTTTTCATTAGACCTAGGTGTTCACCTGGAACTAGTTCCCCAACTAAATGTCTTAAGACTTAGAGGTTTTGTGACATCCATTTGTTCATCTCCGACACGGACGAAGCCAACCACTAATTCTTCTGTTTGCCAGCATTCTAATTAAGCTTTCTGCTAACATTTGTGACCAGACTAAAGTCAATGCAGGCATGCTCTGCTTTACAAACATCCAGTTGATAAGGTCTCCTGCAAGTGAACACTGTGGCCAAATCACAAAAGAAGAAGGTGTTCCTCTCTCCCTGCTGCCTGCTGCCAAGGTCCAGAGAGCAGTAAGTTTTTCCAACTCTCAGCCTAGAGAGCAGGCTGGGTGCTCTGAATTAAATTTGAAAGAAGGGAAGCAGAAAAGGAAGGAAAATAGCATTTGTCAAGCATCCTTTTCCGTATGCATTATCTCACTGAGCCTTTAAAATGACCCTAATGTACTCATTATTATCCCCATGTTACAGCAGAAAAAAAGTAAAGCTTCCGAAGTTTAAGTAACCAAAGCTTACAGTCCTACAGCTGGTAAAATAATAATAACAATAAATAAAAAATAATAATAAATCCAAACTCAGGTCTGCCCAATCCAAATTCTGTGAACTTTCTGTTACACTTCCTTGGAGGGAGACCTATTCAACTTACCAACCAACTTCCTTGTTTTTCAGAACATTTTCCCACAAAGAAACCTTACAAAGAAGAACTTGGCCTCTCAGCGGTTCACAACAACTGCCCTAGCATGAAACGTTGTAGCTGAACTAGAGTCCTGAATTAGCCATTCCAAACAAGGTCACGGAAATGCAAAGTTTGGGACTATATCCCATCCATAGGATGAAGCACCTCCATCTCTATGATGACAGGAAGCAAATCAGGAGGGTATTTCCCATCAGAAGACCATGAAATTTCCCTATCATTAAGTAGGAAGATAAAGGAATGTTCATGGTCAAGCCTAGCTCTCTTTTTCTCTGTGTAATGAAATATATGATCATATGTTTATTTCTCCAACTAAAATGTAAAAGCGCATATACTGGCTCATTTCTAGGGATTTCCCAAGTCTTTACAATGGCAATGCCCCAAGCGGCAAGAGCACTGCTAACACCAACAGCTGACAGTATTTAGAGGAATTGGGAGAACGTTTCTAGGTTTGGAACACTTTTAAGACTTTAATGAACACTTTGTTGTTGTTGAGGAAGGTCAGTTAAGAAAAACATTCCAATTTTGATTGCACATAGTCAAGAGGCCCAAAACACATCTTAATTTGGTGTCACAATAAACAGGACTTTTAAAATCAAGGGCTGGCAATTGAAGCCATGAGTACAATTTGAGTGGCTTTATGAAATGATGCTACTGTAAGCTTTCTTAGCAAGAGAGGGCCACCTCGGGCCTACAGAAATAAAGCAGAGAAAAGAAATTTGGTGGGCAAGAAGAGTAAGAGGCACCTCCTCCCACCCCACCCACCCCCATCATGCACAGTCTTTCCAGAACCCACTCTCCTATTTACAAACAGTGGAAAAAGCTATGGAGTATAAACAGAAATGATTACAGGATCAAGAAGCCTTTTCCAAATGGTCTGCTTGACCTTTGCAAACTACAAAATTAACTGCACAGCCAGGAGCTTTCTTTCATACTCTTACCCACTTTAAAGGCAGATTCATACATAAAATGACAAAGGTGATTAAGATGGGGTTAATGAAGAAAAATTAAGCAGTAGGTATCTAGCACCCACTGTCTAGTTAAAGCTCCAGCATCCTTAAGAATAAGATGTCAGTAGTTCCTCATACAGCAGGGGCCACCTGGACTATTTTCAGAGCAATAGTGTTTTCTCCTGGCATCCTACAATCTTAAGTCAACTCCAGAGCACGACTTTGCATGGAATGAAAGCACTGCGCTCATCAGAACACAGAGAATCATAGACTGTGCTGGTGTACGTTGCAGGAAAGGTTCCCACAGAGCTGGCCTTGGGTCACATGCTGTACCTGCAAAAATAACCATTCCAAAACACCAGCTGGTATTTCTCAGGATGCAGCCTCTCAGGATTATCTTCTCATTGTTGAGGGAATGCTTGCTGTCTTTCCAAGAAAGGATTCCCATGAATTTATCTAACTTGTTGTTAGGCACCTCACAGACAACAATCCCTGGAAAATAAAAAAACAAAACAAACCTCTTTATGACTCACCCAAAATTCTCTTCAGAAGCCCACAGCACTGTTTTACCACTGTTTCCCTCTCCTTTAGACAGCCTGGGGTTACATATAAAGAATTGTGCTAGAAAAAAATAAGCTGGGAGGTAGAAAAATGGAAAGCCATCAACTATTTTGAAACACAGTTTTCTGTACTGTCCAAATAAAAATAGAAAAAACAAATAATAACAGAAACCTTAACAGCCATGGGATATTTTTTCCTTAAAAAAGAAAAAAAAAGCATATCTTTACTTCCGGTTTGTAACAAATAATTTTTGAAAAGATAAAGCAGTGACTGTCCTAAAAGTTTCTCTTATTCCATCTCTTTTAGCTAAATGTGAACTTTTACACAGTTTAAAATAGCATACTTCTAGTCTCACAACAAAAGTTAACCATCTTTCTGACCTCACAATCAGGATTTCTGAGGTCCTACTGTATTCCACCAGAAAGAAACCTGGGCCTTGTTTGCCACATGAGTCTGAGAATGCGTGTGATTCCTTTCAGCTGTTCTATGCTTCTTATCTTGATTAGATTCAGAGTTCTGGGGACTCTCAAAGGCACCATATAACTTGCCCCTAACTGGCTAGAAGATGTTTCTAGTTTCTTTAATTCCAAACCAAGGGCATGCCCACTCCAAATCAACGAATCAATTCGTTCCATTATTTCAATATGAAAATATACATTCAGGATGAGGGTTCTCTAGATAGAAAAAGAAACCACAAATAATCTTTCACGGACCCTGCCACAAAACATAACTATTAGATTAATATACATATCCACTGCAAACAGGTAAGGTTAAATTTTTTATATATAATGAGTACAAAGACGTGAAAGAACAGAATGGAGGGAGAGAGGGACAGAGGGAGGAAGGAAAAAAGAGAGGGGAGATATGAAAAAGGAAGCTGTGGGTAGATCCAATCAGGGTTTGAGCCAGAGTCAGGGGTGAGATTAGTACCTACAAAGTTCTCTCTCTCAAAAACAAACAAACAAAAATACATTTACATTTAATCAGAATTCAAAAGAGCAAGTTGGAACATAAAACATAGCATTTGGAAAATAAAAAGGGGACTGTATCTTTAGCGCTGATTAAAGAGAAAGGGGACCACGTCAGCCTAGAGATCCTCTATATTACACTGACTCCATCCACTCTTCAAGCTGCCTTCTGAACTTAAAAGAGGCTTCTTAGGGGGGTCCCCTTTCTCCCTAGGATGCTCCCTTTAAAACTACTAAACAGAGGTAACAGCAACCAGTTGCCACATGGCCACGTCACTCCTGACCAACCATTTCACTAACAGACCTTGCATTAAAAAAGCAAAAGCAAATAAAACTGTGAAAGGAATGAGGGACTTATGTCCTCAGGGCTGCTTTTCCAACCTCCACCTGTCTTTCCCCAATATAACAAAAGTACTGCCTGAAGCCTCCCCACTTAGGCACTCACTGGCAGTTTCCCAGACATCCCTATTTCCCACTGCTAAATAGAGACTGCTGGCAGGAGGATTTGGATAAGACAAACAACCTTGCCAAGGGAAGGGGCTGAATTCTGGTTAGCTCCGTGATAGCCTATCACTGATAGTAAAAAGTAAATTAAAACTGATTTAAACTGGCTCAAGTTGTTTGGACAACTATGTTGTAGATGAGGAGACATTTTCTAAATCCCTGAATTCAGTATCTTTTTTTCTTGACCAATAATTTTCATTCTGAATTGTAAAATCTTGAATTGGCTATCACCAGCAAAATCTACATAAAATAACAGGTTGACAGCAACGCTTGAAGTTTATTCCAGATTCTTGACCCAAGACTCAATTTCTCAGGCTTCAAACCTAGCCACTTAAAAAAAAAAAATGTGCTTTGGGCAAAAACAACATGATATGCAGTCCCTGCCAAAAGGAATATAAAAAACAGGTTCATTTGATCATTTCTATTGTCATAAGCAAAGACTGACATGGAGGCAAATACAGCCTTAAACATGTTGGCTTGCCCCTCCCTGACCTCACACCAAGGGTGTGGTTCTAGACAGGAACAGGGAGTAAGGCCAAGGGGTACTGCCTGGGTTCTTGGAGGCTAAGCCCCAATTCAGCCTTTCTCAAAGAGTGTGGTCTCGGTGATGTAAGTTCTAAATACAGGCCCCAGTCAAAACAAAATGGTGGGAACAAAGCCAAACTACATTTGTTTTTATCATCAGAAGTGCTCGGCTTCCCCTTTTTAAGCTCTATTAGCATAAAACACACACTTCCCAATTTCTTTTGTACCACTTTCGAAAAGGGATGAACAGATTCCTTTGAAGGGAGCACTGTATTCACCTCTGTATTCCTATAACCTATTATACTATCTACATAATAGGATCTTTGTCGAAGAGATGGATAGAAAAAATTTCAGATGATTTCGAGAGAGGTTAAGAGATGAGATGGATATTAGAGCAGATCTAAGAAAAACAGAAAAAGTGGGTATATTTCCATGATAGTAATAAAGGACTAGAAAATCAAATAGCCCAGGCACAACAGCCGGGGCTTAGTTTGGCCTAAATCTAAAGGGAGTCGAGTAGATCTGAGAGTACTGAAAAAAGGTGAGAGCATTAAAGTGCATTAGAAGCAACCAAAATGAGAGCCTAGCCATGAAGCATAACAAGGATGAGGGGAAAGCTCTCTTAGGACCCTTCTTCTTTTTGCTAGTTGAATCAGAGAAGAGAAAGAGGCAGTAAATGATCAGTTTGACAATCGATGAGGAAACAGTTAAGGAAAAAATCGCATCATTTCTCACATAGTCATTTACTGAATACATGTTTGGAGCACAAAGTCATCTTTAATGGGCAATAATAAAGCTGGAAGAAAATCACGTCAATAATGAAGTGTAAATACAATCAAACTAGCTGGTCATATCTGTTTGCCCCTCTGAAGAGAAGACATGAAAGCAGATTGCAATTTATCCATTTGACAATCACACAGAAATGCTCTAGACCCATACTGAAAAAAATCTACAGGATCTCATTCTGGACCTTCTTAAGCATTCTAGATTTAGTCAGCTGGATCGTTGGTTAATTACCAACTTGACAGACTTCTCGAGCTAAGTATTTACCTCAAAGTGAAAGTCTGTAGTTTATCATAAAAATGGAACTCAGTGCCCAATAGTCTATGATTTTCCAGAGAAGCTGGCTTCATCTCTTCCTATACATTATTAATAGAAATAGTTCTTGATTATCTGTACTGCAACTCTTCCATAAGACAAATCATCCAGCAAATAAAACATCAATATTGCTGTTCAAGAATTTCTCTAGCCAAGAGTTTTTTTAGCGTTTTAGAGATTGCCCACTAGTGTTTGCCCTGATGATTGTGACAAATACTTATTTTCTTAGAAAGAAGTATGTCACCTTCCTATTTTCTAAAGCTTCTTTACTCTTCAACTGTCAAGGCTCACCCATCCATCATTACCACCATAATGGCATGTCGGCACCAGCAGTAAAGAGGGAAATTATTCTTCACGCCTTTACATGGAATCTATGCCTCATGAGTCAGCTGTGCTGTTGGGTTGTGCTCCAGTCCAGGTGAATAGGAAAGCTATCTGGTAAGCAAAAAAACTCACAAGATGCTAACCAAGCTATTTTTTTTAACCAAAAAGAGATGCTTATTTTTCCATGTTTTAATTACACACATGCTATTCTTTAGAAAGAACCACAAAATATACAAGGATTCCTGAATAAAGAGTCAACCTTTCCTCGGTTCAGAATTCAGCATTAACAGTCATACAAAATATGTAAACTTGTCAGGAGTTGCAGAAAACAGATCTCAGTTCAGTCAGTAACAATATGCAAAAGATTCTTAAACACATTTCGACAATTTACATCCGGGGTTTTCCCCAAGGAATAAGAATGTCCAGTTTACATAATAATAATTGACAAGTATTTCAGTTACTTGTTTATAAAAGCTTTTCAATTCCCATAAGACTTTAACATGAAAATCAAGGCCCAATCTCTTTTTATATTATATTTGATCTATAATATTAGATCAAGTTATGTATCTTTTCTTACAAAATTCAAGAGACCATAAATCATTTTTTCTGATGTTTGAAATGTATAAAAATATTTTCATGAGAACTTTTCAAATAAATGGATTTACCTGCCAAAACCCAACTCTCTTGTGTGCACTGGTCTCTACATTTGGCCAAGTCTTCTATAAACTCTTATCAGGGATCCTGACATTCAAAATCACTGAGAACATTGCTACGTTTTAAAAATATGATGACCTCATCCTTGTGCTGGATGGACTTGATCTCTGGTAATTAATTTCGTACCTTTGGGTTTAGAATATTTTAAAATTTCATTTATTTCCCTAATCAAGAGCTAAGCTCTTGTGCTAATTTTCCCTAACCCTCCAATGCTGTCTTTCTACTTTGGTTTACAACCTGGGGTTTTGTGTCCTTTTGTGTCCTTTGTAAAATAGGCTTTGCCAGAAGTCCAGGGTTCATAGTCTGGCTTCTCCACTTAACAGCCATATGACACTGGGAAAGTTAATCAATTTACCTGGGTCTCTTTATCCATAAATTGAGCTAACAATAATCTCTTCCTTCAAGAGCTGTAAGGGTTTAACAAGATAATGTGTGCAATTACTCAGCATGGTGCCTGGTACATAGTGAGTTCTTGCTCACATATCAGCATCATGTTTAGGGCCTGAGAACTTTAGGGCCTTTACCTTATCAAAGGCTTCTTTAGGGATGAGCCCTTGTTCAAGTCTGTCTTCTCCCCTGGGAAATAAGCTCTATAAAAGTAAGGCCTGAGCCTGACTTATTAACCACTGTATCCCAGTCTTAACAAATCCCTTGGCCTTGTGTTAAATATACATTTGCTGAATGAATAATGGGTGACTGTATGTATGGATGAAAGAAATAAGTCCACCAGAAAGACACTATCTTTGAATATAGATGCAAAAGTGAGGAGGCAGAGAGACTTACCAGAGACATCCTGAGATTTCAACCCATCTCAGTTCTGACCCTATGTGTCCGAAACCTGGAGTCCCCAGTGGGAACTTCTCTGGGGATAGGAGTGGGAAATTCAGGTCTTTAGATACTTGGAAGATGTGCTTTTATGATTCAAGGACAGAAAATTGTAATTTGGTGCTAGAGAAAGTATTTTGGCAAGTCTCAGAAGAGGAAAACACACAGTAACCAGAAGCAAAAATAATGCCATACCCAGATTTGCCCAGAAGTCACAAATTAAAACATGTACTTAGCACAGACAGAACATGGTAAAGAGTGTGCCTCCCATATCTTCTCATCGATTATACCTTGCCAAAGCTAGCCAGGGCATTGCCAAACATATACAATGTTGATATCCTATTTTAATTTAAACTAAAGGATGCAATATCTAGTTTTGATTCCCATGAGTCAAGAAAGTCTTTTTCCAATCACCAGAGGAAAACCTGAAATCTACTGATATTTCATTAGGACAAAGTTGAATAAAGAAGACACAAAAAAGGGAGTAGAAAAAGAACGAGGAGCAAAGGATCAAAAGAACCTTGGTAATATATGGAGAGATCATTTATAATTCTACATACTTTGTTTTGCATCTTGTACTTAGGAGGTACTTAATAAACAGACTTAAACTAATATGGAGAGAGTGATAAAAACAAAGATAAAGAATGACAGAAAAGTGACACTGCAGGTGGAGAAAATAGCTAACAAAAAGAAGTGAAGGAAGACGATGAGATGAGAACAGTAAGCAAGAATACAGGAAGGAAAGAAAGGAAAGAAGAATGGTGAAATGGAGTAGTTAGAAAACCATGTGCTGATAGTAGTGTGTGTGTGTGTGTCAGAGATATTAAAATTGAAATGTGTAAATTAGGGCTTGGAAAGAAGTGATGGAGAAAACAATCGAAGGCCAAGGAAAGCAAGAGCAATCGTGGGAAGGATTTAGGGCTTATTAACTGTCCTAACTCTTTCAAAGACTTCCATGCCGCACCTTGCATCATCCTCTTGGTCTTTAAATTTGGCTGCTAACTGGGGGGAATCTAATTTGTATATTGTTTCTAATTTATTTTCCCTTAATTCGTCTATTCATTCTTCTGATGTTTTCTTAGAAACAGGAAATTATATTTTTACTTATTAGAATAAACCCATAAAACTCCCTGTTGCCTTGAACTTTAAGGTAGATTGAAATGCAGCCCAAGATTTTAAAATGAAAAAGTAACTTAACAGAAACCTGGATTTTAGCCCAGAAGTGTACCAGCCTCATGAATCTGGCATTACATGTTTTCTGAAAAGCTGACCACAGTTTAAGTATATATAATCATAAAAAAGAGAGGTCTGTGTTGTCTTTATTTGTGAAAACAATTATTCATTGGGGATTTGGTGAGTTGCCCATTCTGTATGAAGCAAATTCAAGTCATATCTAGTAAGTAATAATTATTAACACACCTTAAAAGTAAATTTTGTGAAGTATTTTTAAATGGCTATTTTTATATATAAGCAAGTCCTTTAACTTCTCAAGACCTGTTACCTCATCTGAGAGGAAAATGTTTTCAGCCTGAGCAACATCACTTGTATTGGTTTAAATTTGGAGCTACTGTGTTCCATTTTCTTACTTCAGAAAGGATGTGAAGTAAAGACATTTAAAAACTACCATGCCAGCTGATCCCTCTCCCAGACACCTGCCTTCCAGGAGGAGAGGATCCAGCACTCCTTCCTGGTCCTACAAGGCCACTTCAGGAAGCTAAAGCTTCCTCCTCACCCCATCGTTTCACACTCTCTTCCCAGTCTCTTTACGTTAGGACTTTCCTTTGCCCTCCCATGTCTTTTTGGGCCCTGACGCTAGTCTTCCTCTCGGCCCCCCAATGGGATTTGTAACTATTTATTTATTCATCCAGCAGGGATTTACTGAGTACCTACTATGTGCTAGACGTTGTTCTAGAAGCTTGGCGTACATCAGTGAATAAAACAAAGATCCCTGTGTAGCTTACACTGAAGCAGATAAAGATGGACAATAAATAATTAACTTAAAAAATAAATGAATTATCCAGTATGCCAGACAGTGCTAAGTGCTATAAGAAGAAGAAAAAGCCAAGCAGGGTATGGTGGATTGAGAGTGTAAGGAGTCATGCTGAAGAGGGGGATGCTTAACCCCAGTCCTGCAGTTCCATGTAAGAAATCCACCTAATCCAGCCTGGCTCCTTATGCATTATCCTGGCATCAACTTACATGGCCACGATTCTTGAAGGGTGTGGTAGAGACAGTTAATGCTCAACAAGTATTCATACTTGTTATTTCCTAGCCTCCCTTGCAGTTAAGTCAGGGCCAGGTGACAATGTTAGCCAATGAACTATAAGAGGAAGAAGAATTTAAAAACCATTGTGTCTCTTTCATCTTACCCTTAGCCCAGTGCAGTGATCTCAGATGCCATTAGTCCAGATACTGTGGCTCCATGATGGAGAAGGCCACCCAACCCACTAAGAATGTGACATGAGCAAGAATAAGCCTTTACTGTGTTTATGCCACTAAGATTGCAGGGCTGTTTATAACTGCATCATAGTGTAGCCTATCTGAGCAAGCATCTAGGAAAGAATGGGACCTAAATAATTGCTAACAATCATGTTCTGCTTTTTGATGATTAGCAACACTAAAAATCATGAATTTCTACCTCCTCGTAGATCAATAGAGGTATAAAGGTAAATTCTGCCGGGAAAGAAATGAGTAATAGTAAATTATATTTAGATGGCCTTTTTGGGCCTCCATGAATATTCAATGAGGTATTTTAAGCAAGTATTTTGATTCATGAACACAATTTACTTTTCTTGGATTCACATAACAGTAAAATTTCATTGAAAAAATTACTTAGTAGAAAATGTGTAATTTGTTTTATTCTAATCAAAATATTTCTTGGACCATTCAGTTTCCTGGCTACTCTCTGACTTCAATCTCAATTCGGAGGAATTTTTTTTTCTATAAACATCTGTTATAAAAGCACTCATTTAAGAGAGATTAAAATATTAACAGAATCCAGAGTTTACAAGCAATTGCAAAGCACAGGCAATAGGAGCTCTAAGCTCTGCACTGGAGAAACTTTACAATATAAACTTGCCTGTGCTTTAACTCATGTGATTATGCTAATACCCTTGTCCATGTTTTCCCTAAGTGGATCCCCCAAAAACACATTTTGAAAGATTGTCTCAAACTCATGAAAATCCATTAGTAAATAAAGCCAATCTGTATGGATATACTAATATTCTGGGCCAGACTGTCAAGTGGGTAAAGCAGGAGACCACTGAGGAGTGAAAGGGAGACTCCAGAGATTCTCTCTGCAGCCTATTATGGTGCCTAAAATCCTACAATCAGTGTCTCTTTCCTTTGACTCTTGAAGTACTGTGTTTCTCTGTGGTATCTTAATCATACATGCAGATATCCTTAGAATGGACAACATCTAGAGGTTGTTCCATGACTACTTAAGAATAACTTTAACAGAATAGAACGAGATATAGGTAGAAAAGGAAAGGCAAGAGAGATTATACTGAAGATCGGGGACCAGCTGAATGGTATGAAGATGGAAATACTAAAACCATGGTCTAAAATAAAAGTCAACAGATGACCAACTGATTAATAAATCAGAATATTCTTCTTGAACACCTAATATCTTCAAGACATTATGCTAAGCGCCGTGCAAGGTACTGAAATACATGAGGCAGGATGACTGTCTTCATGAAGTTTGAGGTCTCCTAGTTAGTCTTTGTTATGGAGCCAGGAAATGGATGGGTGGTTAGACCTAGAACTAGAAATACAAGGGTGGCCAATATTTCTCCCCAGCAAGTCTGTATATGGCTTCAGGGAGGCCAACATCAAGCAAGTAAAGGGTATTATGGGATTGAAGTAAATGATATTTAAAAAGGAAACAAGCATGAAATGAACGATAAACTGATAAAGCCATTCTCTCCTTGGCAAACATTTTTACTCTTTTTAGCGTGCGAAGAAATTACAGGCTTTGATGCCTGGAGAATTTGATGTCCTTCCACCAAATAAAAAGAAACATAAATTGGATCTCACATTACTTTGTTGCATTGCTTTTTGGGTTTGAGGTTTTTGTTTGTTTATCTGTTTAAAATACTTACCATCAAACCCTGCAAGTCTGCTGATATCTGCTCCAAGTTCTGAAGTAACTGATAGTGCATGGCGGACTTTTAGGTTCGTTTCCCTGTGAAATTATTGACATGACATGAATTTTTATATGGAACAGCCCAACAGCATCCTACCAAAGCAATCAGGTGGGTGTAGCACATGCAAAGCCAAACCCAAGAGATCCAAGAAACTCTCCTTTGAATGTCATTCACACTTCGCTCACTGTTTCAGGAAAGTAGGCAGGGCTTCTTGGGCTCCAAAGAGTTGGCATTCTACCCACGGCACATCTTTATAACAACACAATGATCTGTTTTGCAGTTTGAAAGAACAGAGGACATAACAAATATGGTTTCATTTGAACCTACTCAGACATCACGCATGAGTTACAAAACACATTCAGAATTGGAACACAGTTGCCAAATAAAGGAGGCTAATATCACTCCAGAGTCTACTATCTACATAGGAGTTTTACTTGCAAAAAATGGTCATGACTAATTTCACAGTAGCTGAAATTTAAATGGGAAAGGGAATACAGCTTTCATTTTCTTAGAGAATCAATCCAAGAAACCCATAAGTCTAAAATAGACAACCTAGACAAGCTCAGCAAGTCACAGTGAGTTGGGCATCTTCTTATAGGTGAGACCACACATATTTTGGACAGATGGCTCTCTGATATTCATAAATGGCCAGCAGTTAAGATTCTATGGCCATCACTTACGTCTTGTTTTAAGGGCTTGCCATCCCAGTTTTCTCACTGAATTCAGCCTAATTCTCTTATACTGTAGCTTAAGATCAGCTATCAGAGTTCTATCTTTTATGGAAATGTTTAGTGGTACTTTCCTTCAGTCAACAAATATTGATTAAATACATACCCTAGTCACCCAAGATACGCAATGCTGCCCCAAGAGGATGACAATCCTCTTGGGGAAAACAAGTGGTAGGTAAAAAAGCAAACATCACTGTGTGGAATTTTGTGCAAACCCGTGAAATAACTCATTTTAGACAGCCAAAAAGCAGGTACCTAAGAAGGCATCCAATCTTAACCTTCCGTAAATGAATTTCACAATGATGTAGGACAATATGAGTCCAACTCAAGGAATACGCATTGCTAAAATAGCTTTCTTCAGGAAAGACTAAGTTGGATGTATAATTCAAGCTAGTTTGCTTAAAAGTAATCTTATTAATCAAAACCTGCTGATTTCTAGGACGCAGAGATGAGTAGGAATTGAGATAGTCAAGAACTTCATAGATGAAGCAGAAATTGAGCTGGGCTTGACGGACAAGAGTGAGAAAAGTGGTATAGAGGCTAAAGGGCCAACATGTCCATCCATTTAAACAACTGTTCAAATAACTGAAATAGTCACACCAAAAAAGCCAGATAGCCCTAGTTCTTTAGCCCTAATCTACGTCATGTAATTTATCAAAGTTTATCATCATTTTGAATTACTTCCTCAGGATCCTCTCCACTATCTCAGTTCTATCTTCAAATGTGAAAAAACAAAAGAGGAAGAATAATCACACACAGGCCTTCTTGATACTTTTAAAAAGTATTTTCCTTTGGGTATATACCCAGTAATGGGATGGCTGAGTCAAATGGTATTTCTAGTTCTAGATCCCTGAGGAATCGCCACACTGACTTCCACAAGGGTTGAACTAGTTTACAGTCCCACCAACAGTGTAAAAGTGTTCCTATTTCTCCACATCCTCTCCAGCACCTGTTGTTTCCTGACTTTTTAATGATTGCCATTCTAACTGGCGTGAGACGGTATCTCATTGTAGTTTAGATTTGCATTTCTCTGATGGCCAGTGATGGTGAGCATTTTTTCACGTGTTTTTTGGCTGCATAAATGTCTTCTTTTGAGAAGTGTCTGTTCATGTCCTTCACCCACTTTTTGATGAGGTTGTTTGTTTTTTTCTTGTAAATTTGTTTGAGTTCATTGTAGATTCTGGATATTAGCCCTTTGTCAGATGAGTAGGTTGTGAAAATTGTCTCCCATTTTGTAGTTGCCTGTTCACTCTGATGTTAGTTTCTTTTGCTGTGCAGAAGCTCTTTAGTTTAATTAGATCCCATTTGTCAATTTTGGCTTTTGTTGCCATTGCTCTTGGTGTTTTAGACATGAAGTCCTTGCCCATGCCTATGTCCTGAATGGTAATGCTTAGGTTTTCTTCTAGGGTTTTTATGGTTTTAGGTCTAACGTTTAAGTCTTTAATCCATCTTGAATTAATTTTTGTATAAGGTGTAAGGAAGGGATCCAGTTTCAGCTTTCTACATATGGCTAGCCAGTTTTCCCAGCACCATTTATTAAATAGGGAATCCTTTCCCCATTGCTTGTTTTTCTCAGGTTTGTCAAATATCAGATAGTTGTAGATAAATCATGCTGCTATAAAGACACATGCACACATATGTTTATTGTGGCACTATTCACAATAGCAAAGACTTGGAACCAACCCAAATGTCCAACAATGATAGATTGGATTAAGAAAATGTGGCACATATACACCATGGAATACTATGCAGCCAAAAAAAATGATGAGTTCATGTCCTTTGTAGGGACATGGATGAAATTGGAAATCATCATTCTCAGTAAACTATCGCAAGAACAAAAAACCAAACACCGCATATTCTCACTCATAGGTGGGAACTGAACAATGAGAACACATGGACACAGGAAGGGGAACATCACACTCTGGGGACTGTTGTGGGGTGGGGGGAGGGCGGAGGGATAGCTTTAGGAGATATACCTAATGCTAAATGACGAGTTAATGGGTGCAGCACACCAGCATGGCACATGTATACATATGTAACTAACCTGCACATTGTGCACATGTACCCTAAAACTTAAAGTATAATAATAATAAAATGAAATTTAAAAAAAAGTATTTTCCAGGACTCCTGATTAATGCCTTCATTGTCATTCCACACTCTTGCTTAATCTGCCTGAGTATCTTGATAAACTTCAAAGTGATTTTCAGCATAAGAAACAATACCAAAAGATGCTGTGTACCCCTTATTCAGAATTGCATCTTACTACAGTTTCACATCTTGCAAAATATAGTATAATATCACAACCACGATATTGATATTGAAATAGTTAAGATACAGAACACTTCTATCACTGCGGGATCCCTCAGGTTGTGCTCCATAGCCGTACCCACCTCCCTGCCTTTCCCACCCCATCTTAACACCTGGAAACTACTAATCTGTTCTCTATTTCCATGATTTTGCCTTTTCAAAAGGCAAAAATTTTATAAACAGAATTATACTGTATGTGACCTTTGGGATTGGCTATTTTTTGTCAGTATAATTCTCTGAAGATTCATCCAGAGTGTTACATGTATCAGTAGTTCACTCATTTTCATTGCTAAGTAGTATTCCATGGTATGGATGTACCACAATTTATTCAACCATTGACTTATTGAAGGATATTCAAGTTGTTTTCATTTCTGGATGTTATGTATAAAGCCACCATAAACATTCATGTACAGGTTTTTGTACAAACATGTCTTCATTTCTCTGGGATAAATGCCCAGGGGTGAAATTGTTGGGTTGTATGTTAACTGCATGTTCAGTTTTTAAGAAACTACAAAACCATTTTCCAGAGTGATTGTAGCATGTTACATTCCCACCCACAATGTATGAATAATCCTGTTTCCCTACTTCCTTGCTAGCATTTGGAGTTGTCACTCTTTTTCATTTTAGCCATTCTGATAGGTCTGTAGTGAGATCTTATTGTAGTTTTAGCTTGTATTTCCTCAGTAGTTAATGATGTTGAGCATCTTTTCATGTGCTTATTTGCCATTTGTACGTCCTCTTTGGTGAAATGTCTCTTTTATGTCATTTGCCCATTTTCAAATGGGATGGTTTGTTTTTTTACTATTGAGTTTTAAGAAGTTTTTTTAAAATATATTCAAGATACAAGTCCCTGGTCAAATAGATGGTTTACAAATATTTTCTTCCAGTCTGTAACTTATCTTTAAGTCCTCCTAACAGGAACTTCTGTGGAACAAAAATTTTTAATTTCTTGAAGTCCAGTTTATCAAAGTTTTCCTTTTATGGATTATGTTTACTGTGTCAAGTCTAAGAATCTGACCAGACAGCCCTAGATTTCAAAGATTTCCTCCTATTTTTTTCCTCAAAGCTTTTTATACTTTACATTTGAAATCAATTTCTGTAATACTTATAGAGCTATTCAAATTATCTATTTCATATTAAGTGTATAGTCTTTTTTTTGAGAAAGTGGTCCATTTCTTCTAAATTGTCAAATTTATGTGTGCACAGTTGTTTGTAGTATTTCTTTTTTACCTTTATAATGTCTTCAGGATCTATACCAAATTTCCATGGTTCATGCATAATATGCTAATTTGTGTCTTCTCTTTTTTTTTCTTTTATCAGTATTCTTAGAGGTTTGTCACTTGTATTGATGTTTCCAAAGAACTAGCTCTGTGTCGTTGATTTTCTTTATTTTTTTTGTTTTCAAGTCTATTTATTTCTGCTCTTATCTTATTATCTCCTTTCTTATGCTTCTTTGGGGTTTATTTTGCTGTTTTCTAGGGTTTTTAGATGAATGATGAGATTATTTATTTGAGAATTTTTCTCTTTTCAAATGTATGCCATAAATGTTCCTCTCAGAACTGTTTTAGTTGTGTCTGAACTGTTCTGTCCAAAGTAGGGTCCCACAGACTAAAGTACTATTTGAATAGCTCAATATGACAATAATTTGGAAGGCACCAGTTAAAACCATGGACTCTGGTGTCAGACTGCCAGGTTCGAGTCCTGGCTTCACTCTTCAGATGCTTTGGACAAATTACCTAGGCTCTCTAAGCCTTGATTTCATTGTCTGTACAATAGGGCATAATTACATAGCACCTACATCAGGATTAAATGATAAATTCCATCTAAAGAACACAAATACATAGTGTCATTAAAATGTAAGCATTCAATAAATGTTTTTATGCCAGACAAACTAAATCCTCTGAAACAGAACTGCTATATGGTCTATAACTAAATTCTAAATTAATATCAACATCAAAACTGCATCATATTCTGTTTCTCTCTTCTTTTTCTATGTCTTCATTTGACACAGTTCCAAAAGGTTGCCTTTTAAAGTAACATCAGTCCTTCCTTCCCTCCTCAAGGAATCTTGATCTCTACCCCTCTCATTTTCCCTATAAAATCACTTGAAATCAAAACAAGCAAAAACTTTTTTTAAAAAATCTAAGGAATCTTACTGAAGATTCTCTGTGTAAAGTTATTCCTGTATATAAGTTTCGCTCACTGTTTCTGCAAGAAAATAAATTTAAGAGAAAAAACAGTTTCAAAATTACTGTAGAGTAATTAACTATGGACTTTGCAATGTAAACTCCTATGTCTCCCAAGAAGATACTGAACAAGGTTAAGTCTTATCTCTAAAGACATTACTTTTAAATAAATTAAAAACCAACCAAATTATTCTAATTTTAATAACTTACCCATCAAGCTCAGCAGTTTCAACATAACAGAGACCATGTGGCTCACTACTTGATAGGAGAAGTAAATCAGCCTATTTTCAAAAATCATAACAAAAGAATACTTGAGAAGTTAGATTGGTTGAAAGTCTTCTACAGTATATCACCTCTTGACTACTAAAGAGGCAACAGAGCCTCAGAAACAGAGTAAAAGAAGTGAGATCCTGTTCTACCTCTATGTCATATGCCCTGAACCAAACCCTCCCTCTTCCCTGTTCCTCCTTTATATGCCCCTTGACTATCACAACATAAGCAAGGAAAGGAGCTATCATATGAATTAATAGCCACTTGATTCACCTTTTTTTAATGAAACATATAAATTCTATTTTCTTGCTTTGATAATTACTAACATAAAACTCTCTCCAATAAATAATTGGAAATATATGCACAAACTTTAATTACCTAGTGTCATCAGTTAAAAGCAGGGAGCAGGCAAAGGAGATGGGGAAAAGACAGAAGGGAAATAGATGGAGGAAACTGAAAAAATAAAATAAAAATAAGAGGGGCAAGGAAGTTAAGAAAGAGATAAAGATGGAAAGAAAAAAGTAAAAGATGGTAGGGAGTAAGAAAGAGGAGAGCTAAGATAAAGTAGGGACTAAGGAAAACAGCAAGACAGAAGAGAAAATGTAGTCAAAGGCAGTGGGAAAAAATCAGATACTGAGTAGTTTGGATTTTTCAGAGATAAACAGTTCTATTCTGATGTCCAATTGAGCTTTGCATATCACCTATCACAATTCAGTTTTAGCATCCTGGTAGCTCTCTAAATTGGCAAAGTGCTTATTGATTTTATTTCAAAGCTCTAAACTTATTTTAAAAATAAGTGTTTTTATAAAATTTTGAAGGGTCTGAATGTCTAAAAAGAATTGGCTTAAATTTTAGCAATTTAGTTTGAGACATTAGCCTAACAATTTTCTAGCTATGTCTGAATGTATGATTGGCATTCCAAATCTGTGATATTTTCTTACCTTTATTTTTAAAAACATTAGAATTGCTTTGTTCTTGAATCTTGGGGGTTAAATTTAGAATCAACTTACTTTCTTGATTGTCTCAAGCTTTTAAATTTGCAACTCAAAAATAGGGTGTGCATGTGTGTGTGTGTGTGTGTGTGTGTGTGTGTGTGTGTGGTTTTGTCTAAACTGGGATAAAACAGAGCTGGGGAAAAATACCCTGTGACGGCCCCTAAAAGAATAAGTGGGTTTGCATTAGCAAGGCTCTTACACAACTCTGAATCAAAGAGCCACAGAAGCTTGTTGAGGCAGAAATTCTCTGACTTGTCACACTGTGAACAGAGGAAAGCCACATAAAGAAAGTGATGCCGCTCTTGGGCCAAAAACTACCCATCCTGATTTTAAAGGAAAAAAAAATTTTTTTTGAAAATTCACCTTGATCTTATTTCCCACATTCAAATTTCAATGCATAAAACCAGGCACAAGGCACTAAACAGCAATAGAGCTTAACAGTCAGTCTATGGGCCTGCACCTCTCCTCCCCTGGGCTTAAAAGGCTCATGTTAAACAAAATCCAAAATTCTCTAATCCTAAGAATCTGTGATTGAATATAGAGAAAGATGCCTATTTGTACCCAGGGCTGCTTTTCTTTGAAACTCGAATCCAGTGTTACTGTTGAAGACTGGGTGGGGCTGCACTGACACTCACACCATGGTAAACAAGGGGTGGAGTCCCTGCACACAGCTGGCTAGGAACATGTGACTGAGGCGCCACTGCCATCTGGCGGTCAGATTCTCTCCTGAGCAGTGACCCAGCTTCCCACAGGCTGACCCCCATAGGTTCCGGGCTAACTGTTCTTGCTCACTGTACTCTCCAGGACCAAGACGCCTACCTTCCCCACCTCCGCCCATCTCCCCAGTTACCAGCTTTTTCTTTGATGTTCTCTGAACCTTCCTCCTGCTTTCCTACTCCTTGATGGCCTTGCTGCACTCCCTTCATCCATCCTCCCTTCTCCCTGTCCCTCTGCTGAGGCCTGCTGTTCCCTTTTGTTAACCTCGTCCTTCAAGGCGTTAATTCATTGTGGTTGAGGAGGGAGTGCGAAGGGAAGGCCCAGCGGGGCCGGGAGGATAAGCGGTCAATGCGCTCATTGTCATGCAGGCAGGCCTATTTTCTAGTGCCCTCAGTCATAATTCTGAAAAGGAAAGGGCAGGAGAGCTGCAGAAAAAGCCCTGCTCATCCCTTGTCACCCGTTTGCCAGAAGTGCTGTGCCAGGAGTGGAGCAACCCATGAATTTTGGGGCCCACTTTCCCCAGGACTCTGAGTCTCACAACAGGCCTCCTCAAGCTGACTCATCCAGTAAATCCTACGGGGACCCAATTCCTAGTTGATCCAGAAACTTGTGTTCCAGGTGTAGGTGTTTATGATTCCAAATAACGTAGCTGATATTTAGTTAGGGTTTACTATGTGTCCAGCACCATCCTAAGAGCTTCACATGCGCTATTTTATTTAACATTCACAGAAATCCTGTAACGCAGGTCTTATTGTTATCTCCACTTTACAGATGAGCAAAGTAAGGCCCAGAGGGCTTCTGTAACTTCCTCAAGGTTACACAGTAAGGGTAGGAGCCAGGATTTGAATCTGGGCATACAGTATGAGGCATATACTGCAAGGGATACCAAAATGAGTAAAAATCTCTTTGCTTCAAGGATTTGTATAGTTTAATAAAGGCAGAATATAAGGTTTCTAAGAGCCTCATTAACAAAGTGCTATGAAAGGAGTGCAAATGAGAGTGCAACGTTGGGTTGGTAGTTGAGGAAGGGCATCATGGAATATTCTAGATGCAGTGAAAGGAAGTCCCCAAGGCAGAATGACTAGCAGGAGTAAAGAAGAGGAAAGGAAAAGCGTGAATATCCAAACTCACAAGTGGGCCAGGATATCATTAATTCTGATCAGAACCACCTATCATATGCCCCATATTTACTTTCTTTTGTGAATTATTCATGCCTTTTCTCCTTGCTCTGCCAGGAGAGGCTCTGCTATGTTCTTCATGAAGGAACCAGTGTTTTCCAACACAACGCCCCTTCCCCAACTTCCATGGGCAACAGAAAACAAATATTCCCATCAGAAGGAATCTGAAAAGAATGCACTGAACATATTTGGGTCCTCAGAGCCAAAGACATTGTCCTCATAGGGTTATTAGGCATAATAAATATTTGTTGAGTTAAAGAATAAAGTAAAATGTAAAGCAATGATAACACCCTAAAGCTGTACAATTCTTTAAGGATTTATAAAACCCTCTCTCATAATTGTGTCGTTTTACTCTCTTCACAACCCTGTGAGTGAGTAGTATTATTCCCATTGTATGGATGAGGAACCCAGGAGGTCATATCTGGCCCAGGAGTGAGGGAGGAATAGACTCTACCACACCCACCAGAAGAACTAAATTAACTCATGTAAAGCCCATGGCCCTTCCAAAGTCATTGAGGAACCCAAGGGCCCAAGAGACTTAACACAATCCTCATGGACACTCATAGCTTAAATTGCAGAGCTGGAATTAGAATTTAGAACTTCTGATCCCAAAATGTATGCTCTTTTCCTCTGGTGGGCTACTAAATCACTGGAACACAACTACGAAAAACAGAAAGTATTTCACTTTGTTTTATGTTTTGTTTTGCTTTGTTGGTGTTCAAAAATCAAAACTACAATGGTGAAAGAATATTTGGATTGTGGCTCCATGACCTGATGGAAAGATAAATTTGTAGAATTAAGTTGAACACTTTTGGATCGCCTTTTATTTTTTAGGCCATTCTCACACAGAGTTCTTCATCTTCTCTATCATCTACAACATTATCTTTTATTTTAATCTAAAAATAAAAATAAACCAAATACCTCATGCATTGAGTCAAAAAATGAGAATGAGATCCTAAAAATGAAGTTTATATGGTAATAGGTAACGTTTGTATTTAAAATTTAAATTTCAGGTCCAATAAATGCATATTGATTACTAATATGTACGGGATACATCATTGTTTTTCTAATTACAGTGATTTGAGAAGAATAAGAAAAAGATGGTGACAAAGAAGAGAAGGAAGGCTGAGAATAATAATGGACATCATAAAATTTATTAACAGGCAGGCTGTTCCTCTAGTCAAAAAAAAAAAAAATCCTTGCCTGAATATTTTACCCCCACTTTCTACTGTCATATAAATATGACAAATAGATATATATCAGAGAGAGAGACAGAAAGAGATAGAAAGATAGAGATGGTTTACTTACAGCAAATAGGTTGGAACAACAAGCAACTCTGACGTGAAGTTATAAAACTTAAAAGAGCAATGAGGGCAATGAGACCACCAAAAAAAAAAAAAAAAAAAAAGGCCTCTCTGGAAGTGTGTCCAAGATAGGTGTTGAAAAAGAACAGATGAAATTCCCTGATGAGTCAAGAAAGAGCAAAAGCCCACCCCAGTCACGCCTGGAGTTTAGGTCAAATTAATCATTCTAGCCCTATCATTTCCGAAGAATAAAATTGTCAATTCCTCTATCAGAAGAATGCCTTGGTTTTAAAACAACAATTCTATGAATGCCTTTTTGTGAAGGGAAAGGAAGGACTTTTCAAACAAGCTAAACAACTCAATTCTAGTAATGTTCAAATATGCTCATGCCAAGTAAGGATTTTATTTCTACCATCAGCTAAGAAAAGTGAAACAACACAAGAGTACTGCTGTCCAGTGAAGGAGAAAGGTACACCTGGCTCCCACGGTCCGAGTTCCGGTGGTATCAGGAACTCTGCAGTATGTTTTTCTAACAAAATTTATTTGGTTCTTCTAATGCAAGTCAGACTCCTTGTGGTATCTGAATTATACTCTGCATTTTTCCTGGTCCTTCCAAAAAACTAGGAATTCTGGCAATTCAGCCCACAAGTATTCTTGAATTTTAAAATGTACATACAAATGCAGAACATAAAAAAAATAAATAAATAAAAATAAATAAAAGGTAAGTAACTTCTGAATATGCCAGCTAATTGGCAATCTCCGGTGAGCTTTTTTCCTTGCTTAAAATTTACTGATAAACTGACATAAATCAGGTTGCAAATTCTAAGTTCGAACAGCTAGAAGTTATGCATCTGCACTGGGCACAACATATTTTCTGATCACTTGGCTTCCAGCATCCAAGCCAAGAGCCCCTAACTCTGGTAGCCCAGACTCAAGTCAATGAGGATGACTGTTCCAATGGAGTAAGGAACAGCAAATGGTAGTGGTTAGAAGTGGAGGCACTTGAGCTACATTGCATAGACTTAACTCCTGAATGTCCCATTGGCGAGCTGTTTGACGGCACTGTGCCTCTGTTTTCTCATCTGTAAAGTGAGAGCAGTAAGGATACTACATAACCTGCCCTTACTGGGCTAATGTGAGGATTAAATGAGCTAATCACATGAAGTGCTTGTTAATATTGTCTGGCATGTGGCGTATGGCCAATAAATGCTAGCAATTGTTTTCATGACCTTCATGACCTGGTTTCCCCCAAATCTACCTCAGTATAACTCCTAAGTGGGTCTCTTTCAGGGGCCTGTAAGTTTTGCCCCCCGAATATAAGCTCTCTGAAGCCCCTGCCAGCTGATACCAGAGTGCAGGGAGATATATTAGTACTCCTAAGTGATTCCAATGGTTCACCAAAAAAAAAATTGTCTTGCCCTTGAAAATGGTTTTGTAGGTGCTGAGTAGATAGACATGGAAAAACTTTGAACAAAATTACCTAATCAAGAGGTTCAGTGAGGTGGATTTGAAGGACTCCCATCCTCGGTTATCCAAAGATTAGGCCAACAGAACTACATTTGTAGGAGTCAAACAGAGAACAATGGAGATAAAAATATCTTTTTTTGATAAAGCTGTTATTACTGATAAAGACCAGGCTTCAGGTCTGTGGCCCAAATGGGCTTCACTCCTGTTAGACAAACTCATTGAGCCACAGATGCTGGAAGCTCTAAGTTGCCCTGGCCCTCCCAATACCCCCACCACAGGGATTTGCTTCTATAAAATTGATAGCGTGGAAGAGCAGAGCAGAACAGACTCTCTGCACACAGGTGCAGCTCAAAGAGAACAAGAATTAAGGAAGCATCACCTAGGTCATGTGGCGCCACTCCCAGCTCCCAAACTCACCAATCAGAGAAGACACTCCTAGGAGAGAGGCGTGAGCAACTGGATGAAAGACACTTAGAGTGTTATTTTGGTGCTGTCCCTCCAAACGATAACAAGAGGAAGAGTGGAAAATAAGCATTCTCACCCCATCATGGGAACCACCATAAAAGGCCACATCCGTGTGTCTAATACAGTAGCCACAAATCACATGTAGCTATTTAAATCTAAATTAATTAAAATTCAAAATTCTGCTCTTCAATTGCACTTGTGCTTGCCTTCTGTATTTCACTTCATTGAAGCTTTTGCAATAGCAAGTAAGCACACATACCATAATATAGAAAATATAACCAAATTAAAAACAAAGACCAAAGAAAACACAAATTCAAATATAAAGGCTAGATGGCCAATTGGAGCCTAGATCTGCTGGCCATGAGGCACCATAGAGTTAAAAGCTTTGAGACATAGATTTGACTGCTGCTTTTCTGGACCCACTCCTAAAAATGTGATAAATCAGCACACTATGGCGTTAGTAAACAAGTGAGTCCAGTCTGATGTTCACCCTTGTTAGAGCACGTTCATGGGGCTCCTAACACTCATTGTTTTTACTGAATACCTGAAGTAAAAACAAACCTAGCATTGCCCCTGAAATATTCTATTCCAAATAAAATGATAGTTAAGTGTGTGGCATATATCAGTTTATGCTAATTCTTCAATAATCTGACACTATCTAGCTGAAGTCATTGCCAAAAACATTTGAATGCACACATCTTAGAATTCCACACGTCCCTTTTTTATAAGTTAAGGTTATCCACTTAGAAGCACCAAAACTCTTTCACTGTAATCATTTTAATTGAGAGTAGAACTCGAATGAGTTGCCTGGAGCCCTTTCTTCTTAGACAAAGAACCCTGAATATATGTGATCTTTAATTAGGGCAGATACTGTTTACTGGTATCCTATTGATCCAGAACATCTGAATTTTTGTAAATTTATATCTACTTTTCTTTTTTTTCCTGTCTTCTTTCTTACAAAGATCAACACTTAATTATTCAGCTAACATTTACCAAATGCCCCTGTTGATGGAACATGGCACCAAGTGTTGGAGAACAGGCAAATCAATAGGTGCTTTGCCTGCAAGAATCGTATAGTCTAGTGTCAGCTTAGAAGAGAATCACAGCATGGAACGGATTTTTGAGATCCTGTAGTGGTCTAGCATCTTATTTGACACATGGACAAACCAAAGACAAAGAAGATAAAGTCTTTACTGTCACTGAAAGAATGAAGCAAAGTCTCAGTTCTCTCCCAGTTCCCCATCTAGTGCCCTTACACTGGAGCTACCTTGATTCCACGCACAGAGTATGTTCTAACAGACACCACCTTCCAGGGTATTATTCCTAATCTTTAATGAGCTGAAAAATAAGATGGACAAGCAAATTTAAATTGTGGCTTAAATAAAAGTAAATAGATTGCGAGTGAGAACCTGGCAAACTGTTCTACTTATAAGGAGCTTAACCAGAGTGGACTTTGAGACCTCTGTTTTGGCTGCCGACACCTTTGTGTTTATTTTTGGCTCCCAGCTATTTTCCAAAGCATTGTGGTTACCAGAGAAATAAGCACTTCTCTACTGAAAGTGTGAACTCTTTTGTGAATGGCCTGTCTACTGAGTAGTCTCCTTAGTGTGGGTTGTTCTGGAGAATTCAGTATACACAGATGGTGCATTAATGAAAGAAGACTGTTTCTGAAAGTGAATGTTTAGGACTCTTAACTGAGTTGTTATTCTTGTAAATAACTCTTGGGGCCATATTTTTTTCCCTGTGGTAAAATGTCTCAACTTGATACACAAAATAGCACTCAACACAAAAAATTTCATATGTAATCTAATATATATTTGACAGAAACAATACAATAACTTGAATTTTTTAATCTCTGATCTCAATAACTTTTGTTACCTTAAATTTAATTTGAACTATAGTTAGTTGCATATATTTTAGTGATTAGACTAATCCCTTGAATTTTATTAAGGAAATTATAACATAGGCCATTTGAGTATATAAATTATAATATACTTGATAAAGTAAACTCTCATTAATAACATGTTATTAATTCAGCACAATCAATACACATTTTCTAATTTTTAAGGAAGAAACATATCTTTTCTCTTTCTCTAGCTTATTTTTTTTCAAATATACTGTAAATTAACAATACTAATCAGGATATTAACAGTACTAATCACAAAATATGTGAGAGCAGACTTTTTAAAGTACTCAGGAGCATTTTTAAAACTCTTATTTACATCAAATATTGGCTAATGTAAAATCTTTTGTTCCTATTAATTTAAAAGATCTCTAGGGAAATGGACAAGGTGATACTCATTCAACCTTATGTGAGTTGCCAAGTTATTGAAACTAATAAATCAACGTCTTTTAAAATATTTTATAATTGAGACTTTTTACTAATACATACTGATGATAATTATTCTGGATTAGTAAGGATTTACTAAATTTGCAAATGTAAATACTTCCATATATATGCTACTTTAATCTGAGATAAATTATTCAAACAATATTGAATACTTACAGCAACAAATTGGTTATTTTCTAATTTAATGATGTCTCCCACTTTGACATTCATCCATTTTTCATTCTGCAGTCTAAAAACAAAAATAAAATTAATTTTCTTCAAGAATGAAGAATTGAAAGTATAACCAAGGGAATGTATTCACAATGTAGCATCATATAACAGAGGAAGCAGGCAAGACTTTCCTAGTATGTTAATTCAAAATGGTCTTACATTAACACGGGAACAAAGGCCCAGAGAGGTTAAGTGATTGGTCAAAGATACCCAGTGAGTTAGGGGTACTCCTGGGCTAAACTCAAATGCTAAACTCTTGGCTGAGCACTCTTTCCACCACCTATGGTGCCAGCTTTATGCAGCAGCTATGAAATCTCAATAAATTTTAGTCACTGACATTCTTTTCCAACTCGATTGATAAATACAGAAACATCATTGCCATTGCCTCAGAAGTCTATTTAACTGGAGGCAAAAAAGCAAAGGAGACAGTGGCAAGGTAGAGCAATAACTAAAATGCAAGTAAAAGGAAAAATATGTTAAACTCTGGAAAGGACAAGAACAACAAAGCATGATAAAAGAAGCCTTGGAAGACTGAATGAGAAGGACTACCTACAAACCAGCACTGAGGCTGAAGGACAGGCTTGGTGGTATTCTAACAGGACAGCAGCTCAGAATAGAGAACAACACAGTCAACCTACTGCACTGCTTTCTGTGCAGGTCATGTATATGATGGAGCCCCAAGACCACCCTCCACCCAGTTCAAAGGGGTTTATTATGAAAAGCTATTGTGTCCATTGAATTTGGCCCCTGATGACAAGTTAGTCAGGGCTGTCCAAAACCAGACAGGCCCTCTGGATGCAGACCACCTGGGCCAGTATACCATGATGCTAATCATTCCTTCTGAAATTCCCTGAAATGTAAACCAGCTTTGTTTTCCAACTTGGAAGTTTTCATCACATTTCTTTCTCAGAGATTCCCTTCTAAGAGAAAAGGTTGGGATGAGTAGAGCAGGTTTGCCCAACAAGTTGAGGTGGACAGGTTAATTTCATTGTACTTTAAAAAAAATAACCTAATTTACTTGTTTTATAGGCTGGAAAATAGTTTTAAATATTTATTCGACTGTGAAATATGCCTCACACTATCAACTCTGCTGGATCATTTGGCTTAAACACTCAAATAATTTTTCTTTAATACAGATCCAAGTACACGTTGTTCTGGAAATTTTTCAATTGCAGTATTTTCATCTCTAGCCAGAATTCAATCATTTTTCCAGTGCTACACTTTTCTGAACTTTAACTAGTTTGACAACAATAGAAGAACCTAGGAAGCCTTCTAAATCTCATTTATCTTTACAGGTATGAATTATGTGCTGGTTAATTTCTCCTAGAGACACCTCCTCTGGCACCTTAGTGACACTTCTCAGCAAACAGCATCTTAGAAAAAATGGGCATGAGTGGACAGAGAAGGCTATTGTGTCATTTTTGGAAACTGCACTGCTACCAAATTGCCTTGAAGTCTCTACTGAAAGTGCACCTGTCTCAGGAAGAAGTCAAGATGATATTGCGTCTTATTTCCAAACTCTTATTCTTCCAACTTGTATAGCACAAGCTCTAGGAAGGATTATACAAGAAACAGTAGGCAGTAGTTCTGGATGTTGACGCCGAGCCTAGCACAATCCAAACTACTTCATCAATAACCTTTACAATGGACAATTGGACACACTTTTCAGGTTTGTGGACAGAACCCTAACAAGAAGAAAGCACAGCCCTCACAAAGTAAGACCATGAGAGGAAATTGTCTTATGATTTGACAAAGTTATCAGAAACTGAACGAAGAGTAAGAAAAAGAAGCACAAAATAGGTTATTTTAAAGAGGAGAAAATAACACTCTACAAATGTAACTAGAGTTTACAGAAAAAGAGCCTGGAGATATTGGTAAACCATAGTCTGTGTGAGATGCCTTGCTTAACCTCTGATTTGAATATATCCCTGTAGAACAATCAGTGGGTACAATACAATCAGAGGAGTTTTTACATTATCCCCTATTCTGTCTTAGCAAATATTAATATATATAACTGCACTTAACTAGGAACTCAGAGATACATCTAATGAGCACTAAGGATCATAGCAACAGAAGTACCCAAACTTGCTGAATAAGCATAAACTGATAAAGACCTATAAACAAATTTAAATAATCTATATTTTGAATCCAATCATTTTTCTTGTCCTACCTACAACCACCACCACTGACAATAATACATAAAAAAAATCCCAGCAGAACTGGAGGGTCAGACAAAATGATTTGCTTTAAAACTCATCTTCAAAATATTTCTAGACTTCTAAAATTTTAGCTTGTATGGTGATTGGGTTTTGTCACCAACTTGAAACATGAAAGCAGACACTCCCTGGCTCTACATGTGTGATGCAGCTGTTCTCAGGGTTCATGTTTAAAGCAATCTTGCACCATAGCTCTTCTAGGGGGACATAGGATGGCCTTTTGGGCTGTGAAGGTGACACTGGCTCCACAGACTCAGCACCTTCAAACTTTGCTTTTGCCATTGTCAAAAGGTGAAAACTCCTGTAGATGAATTGCAGTATATGAATATTCTGAAAAGAAAGGAGAAGTTATAAGATTTTAAAATGTGGCTCAATTTTCAGCATCATATAATTATTTCAGAGTATAAAACTCTGACATAATCTAGTTAATGCTTCTTAGAATCCGTTTTTTTAAATACATATGGGATAATAAGATAGCCTTTACCTTAGCAAACTCACAAGTCAATTGCTAAATAAGCCAAAATCCAAGTAAAAAATTCATAAAATTTAGATTCCAAAGGCACCATAAAACATACGGAGTTTAACTGCCACAGAACAGCAACTAGAATTATTTGAAGCAAATTTTTTAAAAATATGCCACTATATATCTACTCTCAGAACTCTGAGTTCTAAGAAAAGGAGGTAAGAGATAGCAACTGCAACTAATAATTTTTGATAAACTGGTCTGAACCTGCTTCTTCCTGATGAGGCATAGCATACTAAGAGCTGCTAGACTTCACTGAAAATCTCCTTGAGAAAATGCAAGTCTGAGAGTGAGGTAGCACCTATCATGCTCCACGTCACTAGACTATTGCTTTCAGAAGCTGAAAATCAAGTGTTGACCTTAAGGAACACTTTTGGAAGCAATATTGCAAGTGCATTGCTAAAGCTTGAGAAACAAAAGAGGGGATTTTCAATGGGTTCATCAAGGTCATCCTTTCCATGTTCTAATGCTCCTGATTTCCCACCAGCAACATGGATTCCTGAAAAGGGGATTTCCTCACAAGCTACAGAAGTGTTGGGGTACTAGAGAGAGTAGATAATAAAGGTCAATATAATTGACCTCCCCAATTAACCAATCAATCCACTTAACCCTGAGCTTGGTTTCTTCTTTAATCTCAAGTACATGTCAGCCTTATAACACTCAAAAGTATTCCCTTGCTCATACACTTTTTTTGTTCACCACTCCATCCTGAGGACTTAGAATAATACCTAGTTCACAGCAGGCACTCAGTAAGTATGCAGTGAATGAATGATAAATAAATTAAGGAGTATAGAATCATTATTTCCAAAAACATTTGCTGAATGATAGCATTTGCCTGAATGTCTAATAAGAATTATAGCATCCCATGTTTATTTAGTGCTTACTGCATTCCAGGGACTGTACTGATCCCTTCATGTATAGAGCGCCAAATAAAATAAATAACACCTCAATTAAATTTGAATTTCAGATAAACAACAAATTATTTTTAGTATATATTCCATGAAATATTTGGGACACATTTATACAAAAACATTATTATTGTTTATCTGAAATCCAAATTTAAATAGAGTCTTATATTTTAATTTGCTACATCTGGCAACACTATTCATGTATCTTATCTCATTTAATCCTCACAACAGCCCTAGAGATAGGTATTGTTTTGACTTCCATTTTACAGAATAGGACACTGAGGTTCATAGAAATTGAGATCTTTGCCTTATTTTGCAGTATCTATCAAAAGTTTAAATGACCACACACTTTGAAAACTGATCCTACAGGTACTCAAATATGAATGTACCAGGATATTTATTGCAGCATTATTTGTAGCAGAAATTGATTAGAAGCCACGAAAATGTCCATCAATAGGAATTAGATAGATGTACAATGAAACACTTACTTAATCATGGTTCATTCACTCAATGGAATATAGTGCAGCCACTGAAAAGGATAAGGTAGGTCTATATGTGCTAATATGAAATATGCTGTAAGTTACATTATTAGGAAATGTAAAAAGAAGTAAGTGCATGTAGGATATATTATACATTTTTATAGGCATAGAAAATTTCTTGAAAGATACACAAGAAACTACTGTGGTTGACAATAGAGAAAGAAAATGAAGAGGGAAATTGGGATGGAAGAGAGACTTCGTTTCCATTTTACGTTCTTTTGTACTGTTTAAATTATTTGGCATTACACATATTAGTATTTTAATGGCCAACTGAAAAGAAGAATAGAAGCAGAAAGAAGTAATAGAAGAAAACTTGGCCAAGGTCACATATAAGTGGCAGGTCTGGGACCAGAACCCAAGTTTGTCTGGCTACAAAGCCCATGCTCTTAATACATCTATATTTATTGTTGCTTTTTATTTCCCAGAGTAATTATGTATTACCTATATAGAAAAAGATTGGACCCTAAGGAGCTGAAAGGACCCAATCATGGCAACAGTGCACACTCCCAGCATTTAAAACCAGTTGATCCAAAGACAGCTTGCAATCATGATCCCCTGACACAAACACTCAGTGGACAGCAGCAGTTTCTGGTTCTTTTCAATCCCAGTACCATCAGAGCTGCGCTAGAGGAAAACATACAGCTTGGCCCTAATCCCCTAATAACAGACTGGTGAACAGGATCTCACTACGTTGAGAATGAACATAACGCTCATATCTTTGGAATCTATTTATTTTAAAGAATGCAGATGTTTCCCTTTTTCCTCCATTCTTCTTAGCAAAATGCTTATGCTGAGGCAAAATCACACAGGGAGGTCTCTGGTCAGCTGCTGAAGATGCTCTCTCACCAATTTTGCCAGGGAGGAGGGTGAAAATAAGAGATGATGAAAGATGTAGTGCTATAGCATGGAGAATTTAGTTTAACAATTTGCTGAGAAAAAGTAATCAATCTTACAGATGCCCTGCCTAATTTATATAAATCCTATTGTGCATTATTCAGATGCAGAAATAGACACACAATTTAGTCTTCCTATTTTGAAAACAAAATGATCAACTCACTAAGTTTTACCTGAACAATAAGCCTGCTGAATGTTTTACAGGAAATGTATTCTCTTTCATCATTTTCCTAAACTGAAACCCTTGCCCAAATGAGCCTCCTAAGACTCTATCTTCTGTAGATTCTTAGTAGGATTCTGTGAATAGATGGCTATAGATTATGAAGACACAGGAATTCAGAAGAAAATGATTTCAAAGAAAGACAATTCCATCTGTTCTCCCTTATGAAAGCTAGAGGAACTATCTTAGATTGACCATGGAGAAAACAGAGCTATTGGTCTAGGTTGGATTCCTGGGTAGTAGATTTAGAGGGAGCTTTATGTATAAGAGGTTGATTGGCAAGTTCTCTTGGGATTAACACCTGTAAGAGAGGAAAGAAGCACTGCTGGACAGAGGGAGCAGTTGGGCTGTTGATGTAGCCACAATGAAAGCCACAGCCAAGACCACGGAGAGCTCTGGAGCTCTGGAGCTGGAACAGGCCTTTACAATAGGATCAAGGGGACCAGGACTTTATACCATGGCATGATTCAGTCATTGGATGCAGGATGACCCCAGAAAGGAGGAGTGTCCTTAAGGAAAACACTCTCGTCAGCCAAGGGCAATTCCCAGAGAGGACTGCCAGCTGAAGGTTATATGTGGGCAGCACTCCTGACAGCTGGGAAAATATGTTCTGCAGTCCTAAGGGGGGATGTGGGTGGCACAGCAAAACATCCACTACAAACTGAGAGCCCATTCCCAGCTTTGCTATCAATATCTTCATGTATTTATAACATTCCCTTGAGGGGCAGTGGGCAGGGGAGGTCTCACTTTGTTGCCAAGGCTGGTCTTGAACTCCTGGCTTCAAGTGATTTTCCCGCCTCAACCTCCCAAAGTGCTGAGATTACAGGTGTGAACCAATATTCCTTTTTTAATTCTAAGCTCCACCTTTCTATCATTTCAATTTCAATACTATAAAGTTAATGCAGGCAAGCTGCCATGAATCTTTGTGCTTCCCCAATCCAAGTTTAAAACTTCTGGGGAAAACAAATCTGTAAAATATTAGGTCATCTGATTCACCTCCTTTGCCAACAGTACAATAAAGTTGGGAGATACATTTCTAGTACCTATCTATTAAAAATATTCTACAGATAACCACCGACTATCTAACTATCCTAAGAACAATGTCTATAGGAAAAAATCACTGTTTCTGAAATCTTTCTTATATGAAGAACATATTTTGATTTAAAAAATGTACAATCACCTTAGCCCAAGTAGATCAACTATTTTCTTCATCTAAGTGGCCACATATTATTTTGAAAAATCAGAGAATTCACTCTTACTAAGCTTAATAGCAAATAATTATCCTCTTTTTGAAAAAAACAAATACCCCAAAAGAAGATAGTTTCCAATGGAAAAGAAAACCTGGATATCTTAGTTCCAGGATAAAAGGCCTATGTTATATTTTTTCATTGCCTCTAGTGATAGTCTCAATCAATTTGCCCATATAGAGCCAAGTGAAGAGATAACCTAATGTCTCTTAAACCAGAAAAAATATTGGCTGCCTTACATGTCAACTAATAATACAAGCCATAGCAACACAGACAAAGCGAAAGTGTTGCTCAATGGTGTGATGTGGTTTGTTCTGGCCAGAAAACCTAACATTCTGGAAATAGCATTTCTGATTTTACAGCACAAAGTACAATTAAAGGTATCACTGGAATATCAGGAGTTGATTTACTTATTAGGTTTGCAGTAATACTGTCCCAGAACTTTTTAAGAAAATTTCAAGATGTCACTTCAAAATAAGTTGTAATGTTTATCATCCCTAGTTCCTCAAAAATGGGATAGCACATAAGTCGAATTCTTTTTTTTTCTTTTTTTTTTTTTTGAAACGGAGTCTCACTCTGTCATCCAGGCTGGAGTGCAGTGGCACCATCTTGGCTCACTGCACCCTTGACCTCCTGGGTTCAAACTATTCTCATGCCTCAGCAGCCTGAGTAGCTGGGATTACAGACATGCATCACCACACCTGGCTAATTTTTGTATTTTTAGTAGAGACAGCGTTTCGCCATGTTGGCCAGGCTGGTCTTGAACTCCTGGCCTCAAGTGATCTGCCCGCCTCAGCCTCCCAAAGTGCTGGAATTACAGGCATGAGCCACCAAGCTTGGCCCTAGAATTCTTAATGAGTTCATCACTGGCATATGCGGTATCATCACCCTGCATTAATGAGTTTAAGACCACTCTTATGTGTACAAAATGACCCCTCTAATCTAGACACCATGCTGAGTGTCAGAGCTGCAAGTGGAATCAGATACAGACTGTGGTTATCAAAAAACCTGAAGACTAGTGGAAAAATATAAGTCTGGCTCTTAAATAACCACAACTAAACTATCTCTGTCTTCTGATACCCGGAGTATATGGATATCTTCCCGTCAACAATGAAGAATACCTGCACTTCAGAATGACCTCAGTGTTAGATTGTTTGCCATATAGCTGTCATCAAAAGTCCAGTGAGAAAACTGATAGACCAGAAAGATTGTCTAATAAAGGATATATTAACTTTCATTTCTCAAGATATTCCAAGCTTTGTCCCCATAAATGGTGAGCTCATCCGAAAACTATATGCCTGGACTGTATTATTCTGGTCCCTCTAGGCTTGTCTTCTCAGAATCATAATTTAACATCACGTCAACAGATTTCAGTCAGGATTTATTTATAATCATGGGTAAAATATCTCTACTCTCTGAAGCTTCGACCATTATGTCACTTACATTTTTCTCAGGACCAGGATAAATCTTCTTCCTTACAATTACCAGAGTACTTCCTGTCATTAAACCCTCAGCTTTGTACCTTCAGCACCTTCATTATGAGGAGAAACAAAGTTCGAGTCAATGTAAATCCATGAATGACAAATCTTGATCGGTCATTTAAACAAAAACCAGGAAATTTTATAGTAAGACTCTGTCCCTGTCCTTTGAGGATGACTTTTTAGGAACAATCTTGACACTTGCAGAAACCAAATTCTGTTGAGAATGGGCCAGAAATTGGAATTTAAATTTTACACCTTTAAAGAAGAGAATATTGGCCCCCTTGTTTATGAAGGAAATGATGTAGCATAGTAGAAGAGTACATGTTGTAGAACTGGAAAACATGCACTTGAGTCAAAGCTTCAGAACCAACCAGCCTTCAGGCAAGATATTGATTGAGACTGGAATTCTCTGCTATGACCTACCAAAACCGGCTCTTATCAACCCCTCAGAATGTCTTTATTCAGAAAACTGAGGTCTTTGAAATGCCACAAACCCACCTAACATTTAAACACCTGTCTTTCATGACATTTTTTACTTTCAGATGAAATAGATTCATTAAAGCATTTTGTAAACTGTAAAATAATATATACATTTAAAATACTGTGACTATTTTTTATTATTATGAAGCACCTCATTATAAGGATTGTACATTCTGATTTTGATTTCAAGTCTTCAAAAGAGCTATCTGCACTCACTTTCTCTACTTCTTGACTGTCCATGCTTTCTCCAATCAGGATTTTGTCTCCATCCTTCCAACTGCAATCTCTCTGGTCATCCTGTATGTTACTAAATCCAATGATCAGTTCTCAGTCTTCACTTTATTTATCACAGTTGGCCACCCCCTCTTTCTTCAAACCTTTTCTTTGTTTTAATTCCAGAACATCCAAGTAGTTTTCCTCTTATTTCATTAGTCACTGCTTCTCACACACTTAGCCAGCCCTTTCTCTTTTGCCCATCTTCAAACTTTAGAGTGCCTGAGAGCTAGAGTTCCTCTCTCCACTATGTAGGGCCCAGAATCTTCATCCAAGGTGGCCAAATGACTTTTTTTTTTTTGAAACAGGGTCTCTGTTGCCCAGACTGGAGTGCATGGCATGATCTCTGCTTGCTGCAGCCTTGAATTTCCAGGCATCAATCCTCCCTCCTCAGCCTCCTGAGTAGCTGCAACTGCAGGTGCACACCACCATGCCTGGCTAATTTTTATATTTTTAGTAGAAATGGGGTTTTGCCCATTTGCCCAGGTTGGTCTCAAATTTCTGCTCTCAAGTGATCTGCTTGCCTTGGCCTCCCAAAGTGCTGAGATTATAGGCATAGGCTACTGCAACAGGCCTTGGATGAGTTTTTTGTTTTTTTTTTTTTTTAGATGGAGTTTTTCTTGTTGCCCGGGCAGGATGGAGTGCAATGGCACAGTCTCGGCTCACTGCAACATCCACTTCCCAGGTTCAAGCAGTTGTCCTGCCTCAGCCTCCCAAGCAGCTGGGATTACAGGTGCCCACCACCATGCCTGGCTAATTTTTTTGTATTTTTAGTAGAGACAGGGTTTCACCATGTTGGCCAGGCTGGTCTCAAACTCCTGACCTCAGGTGATCTGCCCGCCTCAGCCTCCCAAAGTGTGATGACTTTTAAATTATATCTTCAGCCCACACCTCTCCCCTAAGCTTCAGTAATGCATTCCTCTACAGAATGACTAATATCTTGATAGAATTCTGGTTTCCTAGACCAGGCAGAAAACCACCACCACCACCACATGCTTCTTCCCCAGTTTTCTCCATCTTGGAACCTCAGCCAACAACTAGGTTTCCTGATGCCTCTCTTCATACCCACCCAGTACACCAACATATTGCCTCTGCCCTCAAAATACATCTCAGTCTGTGGTTATTAGGTGATATTTATTAAGGTACTACTGCTATTTTGTCAAATGTAGTAATGGTAGTATGGCTAAATATATGTAAATCCTTATATGTTCAAGATAAATACTAAAGTATTGATAGATAACAGAATATGACATACAGGATTTGCTTTTAAAATACCCCAGAAAATAAAATAATAAAAATTGATACAAAATAGCAAGAAGTATGCAAGTATACAAGAATAGCAAGTTGCTGCAGCTATGTAATACATAGAAAAGGATTCATTGTACTGTTCTATTTGTGTGTGCATGTGTGTCTGAAAATCCATGAGTGATGGTGATTATGATAGATAGATAGATAGATAGATAGATAGATAGATAGATAGATAGATAGATAATTCTACTTCTGTTTATGTCCTTCACTGCTAACACTCATGTCCATGGCATCATCATCATACCTGGACAAGAGTAGAAAACAAAATTTGTCACCGTCATTCTGCTCTTGTCTCTCTCTGCTGTCTACTGTCTACACAGAAGCCAGCGAAATCTTTTTATTGTTCATATAATTTTCCTGCTGAAAACCCTCCAGTAGCTTCTCATTACATTTAACATAAAATTGGAATTCTCTATCACTACCTCTAGGAATTGGCTCTTGCCAGCCCTTCAGCACTCCCCTTTATCACAATACTCTAGCCACAGTAGACATCTTACTGTCAGGTTCATTTCCACCTTGGAGCTTTTATACTTGTTGTTTCTTCTACCCAAGATCTTGGCATGGCTAGCTGCCTCTCAGTTCAAATATTACCTCTTCAAGGGGCCTTCTCTGGTCACCGTCTTTAAAATCATCTCCCCATCTCCCATCCCATCACTCTCTATCCTATTCCCCTATTTCATTTTCTTTGTTGTACTTACAACTACTTGAAATTATATTATTTATTTACATTTTGTTTATTATGTGTCTTCCACACTAGAATGTTGTTCACTAGGGCAGGGATTTATCTGGCCTCCTCATTTCTGTATCCTTAGTACATAGGAGAGTGCGTGGCACATATTAGGGGCTCAATACATATTGGTGAAGGAATATTTGAACAGATTAGCTATTTATGTGATCACTCATAATGTGTGCATAGCATATTTAGTTCTAGAGCTGACACGAGTAATAGTTTCACAAGGCTATGTCTCCTGGGAAGACCCTAAGAAAGTGTAACAAAGCTAATGACAAAGTCTGGAAAGAGGGTAAGGACAGGATGAATCATTGTAAGGCAAAGGATATCAGTTTAGACAATAAAAGAAATAAATAAAAACTTTTTTCCAAAGGAAAAAAGTGGAAAGCAAAATTGCATATATTGCATGGGCTCTTTTGCATATATGTATATTTGCCACAAAAAAATGCAACAACAAGGGATAATACATTTCCCTAAAAAGTAGACATTTTTACTTTTCTGAGTTTTTCACATTTTTAGTTGATAAATTTTAGATAAAAACTCACTTCTCAGAAGCCTCCTTTGTTCCCCAGACTGGCCTAAGTACCCCTTCTTTAGTGCTTCCGTTGAGGTCCATCAACACATCCATCCTCCTATACATTATATTGAAACTAAAAACTTGGTTGTCTCCCTGCCCTACAAACTGTGAGTTATGAAAACAGAAATGCTACGTTAATCATCTTTGGCACATGGGAGATACTCACTATCTGCAGAAATAAGATAGACCTAAAGATTCCTCTGGTTCAGAGCACCCATGCTATGTCTGCTCTTAACAATGCTGGGACAATAAATCAAATGACCCCAACAAAATTGGCTGTATTATTGAGGCTTATCACTTTTTCCAATTCAAGCCAATAGGATTAGAGTGTAAGCAGGAACTGCGACACGCTCCCCTGGCCCAACCTATGACATGAACTAGAGTGCCCCAAAAAATCCTCTATTTCTAGACCCGTCAGGTCTGGGTAAACCTGGCCTCTGGTGAAGGTCCTAAATCTGTTTCCCCATGCCCCGCTGACCACAGTAAGTCCCTGGAACAGGGGAAAGCCTTGGGCTCAGGGATGGTATATCAAATGGCAGTTGCATTTCTCATATTTTAGGAATGAGATGGATAAGAAAGACCTTCTAATGTAATCCCTTCATTATTCATTGGCACTACTCAAACCCCAAAGTCTCTAGGTTGTTTTTCTACTCCCTGGATATATCTATATGATAATTTTTTGCCTGGAGTAGACTCCATTTTTCTCTATTAGGAAGATGAAAACTTTCTGCCAGAAAGTTGCCCTTTTAATTACTTTCTGGGAAACACTCTAAGTTATGTGCTCCACCCAGCTCCAGGATGAAGTTTTTCTGCTTAATAGCAATGACAGGCTGGTCTCATACTCCTCCAAGCCCTCTCTGCTTTCTAGTGATCAAGGGGTTTCAAGACCTTATGGTCTTATTTATAGTCTGTAAAAATATGTCTAAATATATGTATAAATAATCTTCTCTCTTCTGAATTCCTTTCTTAATCACAAGAGCCACTACTGGGAACGATATTTTCAATTTGGTTAATCAGGAGATTTCGTGCCAGGGATCGTGACCATAATTAGGTACATTTGGGTAAAACTTTTATTAGTTTGACATTATCAGTACCAGATTTGAAATTTAACACAAGCAAATCTGCAGGCCAATTATAAGCATTTATACCACAGTCCTTTGCATATTTGTTTGCATAAACTCTAATCCCTACATTTTTAGGCATCTATTACTCTAAAATGCTCCCTATTTAATAGGGCCTCTGTTGCTTATTGTTTTCCTATCATTCTTTTTATCTCAATTCCAGTGTTCTTTCTTCTTCATCCTTAGAAAGAGAGTAAGAAATGAGATACAGAGCAAAGACAAAATTTAGAATACAGAGAAAGCAAGAAAAAAGAATCTAAAGACAGCCACCAAAACAGAATGAAAGGTGTCCCTGGTAACCTAGTGTGGAAAGCATGACAGCATCTCTTCACCTCTGCACCCACAAAAAATTGAGACCAAAGGCAAAAAAAAAAAAAAAAAGAAAAAAAAGAAAAAAAAAAAGCCTTTTAAAACTATAATGAAGGATCAGGTGAAAAAGAGAAAGACTAATAAAGAAAATAGGACATATGCTGAAAAATATTTCTCAAAATGAGAAGTGATACTCTAGTACATTAGTTATCTGATGGGGTGCAAATTAAGGAAGCCATGTACCTTTTCTCATTTTTTATTTGTCTTATTCTTACTGGAAAATTAGGTTCTATTATTTTTAAAAATATTAACATATTATCACTCAAGTTTCAAAGGAAGGATTAAATGAATAAAAGTAAATTCCCATAAAAGTTATGCATCTAGCAGTTTAGCTATGGTTCTGTGACCCCAAAACTTATTTCTAATAAAGCAAGCATTTGCAGAGCTGAGTTCTCACAGTGGTTAAGTCTGGATTTGTCCACCCTGGACAGACGGAGAGAGTAAACAGATTCTATGATAGAGGTAGGTTATTTCCAACAGATACTTAATAACTGAGCCTAGAAAGAAAAAAACCTCAGCTCTTCCCTTTTGGCAGAGCTTTAAATTTTTTTTCACATTTTGAAACTATTTACAGTTCATATGGTTTCCAGACCTACTCTCCAAAACCAAGGGCATCATCCCCTGCCTGGGTCTCTCAGTGCTCCACATGTGATTTCTCAGGCAGCCAGCCAGATGAGCATTTGATTTGAAAATGAAGCCTTAAATTTAGCAGTGTGAAAGGGGAAAGCATGTAAGAACATAAATGCCTGGAAAGGGGCAAGGTAACAGATGAGGACAGCTGGGTGAATACTCTTCGTCGTCCAGGCAATTCAGAAAGTGCCGCTGCAAGGGAAACGTCCACTGCAAACCCCAGCAAGTCTATTTCTGCTTCTCCACTGGGTGTCTAGGGCTGCCTGTCACATTTTTGCTTGTCCAACTTGCTGCAACCTGGGGGCAGCTGCGAATGAAACAGTAAGCATTGCTTCAAATCATATCTTGAGCTCTGCTAATTAAGAAATGAAGTCCAGGCAGACCTAAATCCTTCCCTTTCCTTAAGTGTCAGACACTGTCCCATACATGTTAATTTCCAGCAGTGCCCAAGAGACTCCCAATAACACAGAACACTAGGGTAAAGATGGGCTTGGTATCCGAGGACCTCACACTCTCAAGTGCAATGATAGCCAGCAGCGATGTGCACAAACACACAATATATGAATACTTCTCCTTGCCCCATATTAGTTACAGGGAAGAAAAGAGGAGTCTAAAATATATTCTGCTTTTGCCCCAAGAGGCTTTATTTAATTCACTTTAGTGCATTTTGCCCACTATCATGTAATTATTGCGTATCAACTGCATGGGAATATGGAGATTGTCTCAGCCTCAAGTAAGTCACAGCAGTAATAGGAACAGACAGACAAGTATAGCAATAGGCAATTAGCCTCTCCCCATATCTATCTTGACCCCTCTGCATTAGCTTCTTCCCATGCAGCAGGTATGAGATTTTCCAAAGACAAACCCTTCCACACAATCTCTCTGTTATGAGGAAAAAGACCCAAACTCTTAATGTAGCCTTGAAGGCCCTGCAGGGTCTGGCCTCTGATGGCTTCTCCAGCCCTGTCTGCCCCTGCTCTTCTCTCCGCCTTATTCTCTGGACTTCTGCCAATCAGTCCCTCATAATCACCATCCTCCTTCCCCTCCACAGGACCTTTGCACATGATTTTCCCTCTGGAATTCTTCTCATCCCATTGCTCCAACTCCTATTACCACCTTTGCCTAGTTAACTCCTAGTCATCATTATGTTTTCAGCTCAAATGTACTACTCCCTTAAAGAATCCATTCCTAAACTGCTTCACCTCACCTCTACCAACCCCCACAAAAAAATACCTGTCTTTAGAACCACACTCTTTTCCTTAGCAGCATTTGCCTTGGTTTGTAATTATACACTACTTAGCATGGCTATTTTATTATCTACTTCCCTGACCAGACACTAAGCTCTGTGATTGCAGAGAACATGTCTGTTTGGGTTGACCTGCATTTGCAGAATATAGCTCAATGCCTGGCACACAGGATTCACTCAATAAAGATTGACAAGTAAATGAAAGGTAAGGAGACCATTATGATACTATGTGTCATGATATAATAGAGTGCTATTATCAAGACAAAGAAAGATGGTGGGAATATGATCAGGACATTACCCTAGTAGCCTCATGCTTTGAATTGTCTCCTGACACCTTTTGCTACAATTTCTTCCATCTGGAATACAATTTATCTCCACTGTTGGAAGACCCGATGATTAAAGTTCTTCTTCCTTACCTAATCCATTTTGTAACTTTCAGATCCTACCCTCCTTGTTCCACTGTCATCTCTACTACTATTACTATCAAATCCATCCTCATACTTTCAATATTCCATTTGCTGTTAAATCTTTTTATCAGGTGGAGTCACTGACTCCCCTTCTTTGGCTCCTCACCATCACACCAAAGCTGAAGAGGATCACAGAGTCACTGTACTTAAAGCCTGAGAGGAACCTTGAAATATCTGGCCTAGTGGTACTCAAACTTCAATGTACATGAGAATCCCATGAAGTGCTCATTAAAAATAGAGTCCTCAGTCCCAGACCCAAAAAGTTTGATTCAAGAGGTCCGGGAAAGAGCCCAGGAATCTGCACCTGGGTGATTCAGATGCAGGTGGTCCTCAGACCTCATGTGCAGAAGTACTGACCAGTGCTGTGATGCTTGTGGAGGCTCCTCAAGATCTACCATAAAGGGTGAGAGGGCAGCCGAGAGCACCTGCTCTGAGCAACTGCACTATACATAAGATTTCATTTGAAAAGGGTTCTGCTTATTGGAAAAAGAAATGTTTGAAAATGACTGGTATCCAATATCTTTGTTTCATAGATGAGAAAACTCAAGTCCTTGGTCCTCAGTCATGTAGCCAATTCATGACAGAGCAGGACTGAACCTCAGCCTCCTGACACCAGGCTAGTGGACTTTTCCCAATGCCTTCCTGCCTTGTGGGGTAGAAAGACAACAGAGGTTCTCACTGCTGTGTTGCCCAAGAGTCTTACAATGAGTAGCCTGCATATGAAGATGGTACTTGTGACGGACCACATTGCACCAGAGCACATAACTGGAGGGACAGGAGATGGTGGATTTGGGCTCATTTTTCATCCAGCATATTCTCAGCCTCCCTCTTCAATAAGCCTGTAAAGACCTAGTAATCCTCTATGGCCTGAACTGTTCCTGGGTTCTCCAATGCTCTCCCCACCCTCTCACCCCACCATTCCATTAGCTGTTCAATGGCTGACCTTTGCTGGGGGGCCAATTCTATCAAGGGTTATTCTGAGACAATGAAATCCCTGCCACTAGCCCTCCAAAACTAGTATTAGCCATCCCTACCCCATATGTGTGCACCCAAAGCACCCAGTGCACCTGGAGCACCTCATACTTCCTTGCACCTACTGCTGTCAAATAAGAGTCTGTTTATTTGTCCATCTCTTCCCCTAGACCCCAGACTCCTTGAGGGCAGTGACATGGGTCCTAATAGTCCATGTGTCCGTAGCATCTAGCACAGTGGCTGGTACTCAGAAGTGTTATTTAAATATGGGATGGATGGGTGGATGGATGGATGGATGGATGGATGGATGGAAAACATGAATCCCTGCTGCTACTCTCAATGTTCCTATAAAACCTCTATCATATCCCTGAGGAAGCCCTAGTACATGCTGATTGACACTGAGCCAGCTAGATTATCTGAATGAAATTCGTCCCGTTGCCAACAGAGCCCCTTAAATCTCCACTGCTGTTTGTGTGCTCTCCTCCATGAAGCCCTCTCCAAACTCAATTCCATTTCTCAATACTTAACTTTTTTCTTTCCCCCTGCAACTCCATCATACTGGACTGAACACTGGACATTAAGCAAATTTAAAATCCAGTAAGTGTTTATTGTGAAGGAATGCTAAGCTTATGGAAAATGTACTTTATTGCACCATAGACAGTAAGTTCTCACTTAACGTCGTGGATAGGTCCTCGAAAACTATGATTTTAAGTGTAATGAAATGTAACAAAATCAAGTTTTTCCTCACCCATGCTATAATGAAATGACTTTGAACTCAACAACGTTATTTGAGGACCTACTGTATACTGTTTCACTTGAAGTCACAGTTTCCAAGAACCTATCAGCAATGTTAAGTGAGGACTTACTGTATTCTCCATTAGAAAATACCATCAACTTTCTTCACATCTTCAAAATCTATTCTTTCTCCATCATTAGAGTCCATTACCTTCCTTCTACAATATTCAGTATCACTCTCAATTATATTTCCCAGGCTTCCTCATCTCACAGCTCTTCCACAATGTCACTGCCAGAGTCTTCTTTCCATATGTTGCTGATGATGTTACTTTTTACAGCCCCCAAATTTCCCAGGTCCTTTTGAGTCCTTAGATCTAATTTAGAGATCATTACTCTTACTTTCTATGCTGTCTGCCTCTATCTTTTCCTTTTCCTTCCAGTATTGCACATCTGATTCTTGTCAAAGATCAGTAAGCAGAGAGAATTAGAACATGCCTAACATGGAATAAGGAAATAGATCTCAGTATTTTAGAAAACTGGTCAAGTTTAAAAATGTTCCAGTGTTCCTGAGTTACAGCTTCAAAGCACCATTCCCAACTAGGCTCCCAAAACCTACCAAGGTTTTCTACCACCAGGCATTGTTTCATCTGCAGAGCCTGTATACTGACAAGAACTTTTGAGAGCTGCACATTCCTAATGAGATGAGTCATTTTGCTCACACACCTTACCCAGAAGTAAAAACAACAAAATGTGAGAGTATCCTGGCAATTCTACAGATAAACCTATCCTGTACCATATACATATGATTGCATTATATTTGGGGAAAACACTATATCTTATTAAATTCTGTATCCTCAGCATATAGTAGGTTGGTGCAAAAGTAATTGTGGAATAACTTTTACTTTTGCACCAACCTAATAGCATTCTGCCTGACACATAGTAGGCAGAGAATAAGTGTCTACTGAGTGAAAGAACGAACAAATGAACGAACATAGAACCTCTCAAGTAAAAGCTAAAAAGAAGTGAATATTAGTCTTCTAGGGCTGCTATAACATGTCACCACAAACTATGTGGCTTAAAAGCAAATCATCACGAACCAACTGCTTTAAAACAACTTTGGCCGGGCGCAGTGGCTCACACCTGTAATCCCAGCACTTTGGGAGGCCGAGGCAGGCGGATCATGAGGTCAGGAGATTGAGACTATCCTGGCCAACATGGTAAAACCCCGTATCTACTAAAATACAAAAAATTAGCCAGGCTTGGTGGCACACGCCTGTAGTCCCAGCTACTCGGGAGGCCGAGGCAAGAGAATCGCTTGAATCCAGGAGGTGGAGGTTGCAGTGAGCTGAGATCACGCCACACGCCACTGCACTCCAGCCTGGCAACAGAGCAAGACTCCATCTTAAAAAAAAAAAAAAAAAAACAGAAAAATACAGCAGAATTTTATTCTCTTGCAGCTCTTCAGGCAAGAATTCCAAAATCAAAGTGTTAGCAAGGCTGTAAACCCTCTGGAGACTCTAAGGGAGAATCTGTTCCAGGCTTCTCTCCTAGCTTCTGATAGCTTCAAGCATTCCTTGGCTTGGGGCTATGTAATTCCAATCTCTGCCTCCACCTGCACATAAGCTTCTTTTCTGTGTCTCTTCTTTCCTTCTCTTCTCTCATAAAGACACTGGTGGTTGGGTTTAGAGTCCACCCTAATCCAGGATGATCTTACCTCAAGATCTTTAATTTAATTATGTCTGCTAAGAGCCTTTTTCCAACTAAGATCATATTTACAGATTCTGTTGCAAATATCTTTGTACTATTCAACCATGACAGTAGGACGTGGTATAAAATAATCTCGATTATTGTTAAAAGGAATATTGTGTGGAGAAGCAGAGAGGAAAAAGAAGAGGAGGAAGCAAAGATGAAGGAGAGGGAATCATAAAATGCATCCACAAATTAATTGTAGTTAACTCTGATCTGGGTAGCAAGATCAAGGGTGATTTCTATGTTTTGTTTGTACTCTTCCAAGTTTTCTTAATTTACTACACACAGCAAAAACATCATACACCAATTTAAAATGCATGGAAGAAATTAACCCATTGAAATATATCAGGAAGTGTAAAGCAAAATGCCCCTGTAGTAAAAATTTGCTGGGAGGAAAAATTGATGAGAAATAATCAACAAATGCTGTTAAAATGTTGGTTTGGTTTGGTGTAGACAACCTTTGAGCTCTGAATGAAACCAAATTTCTTCACTATAATATTTTGATCTCTTTTAGCTTTCAGATTTTAAGATCCTAAGAAAACTTTATATTTTTAAAATTAATGTTCTAACATCTCCAAGGCCTTTGTGGTTGAGGTTTGAGTTTTTTTTTTCTTTCCAAAAGAAATTCTGGATCTCCTCCCAATAACAACTGAGAAAAGATGCATAAACCTATTCTTTTAAAAAAGAGAAAGAACAGAGTTCTAAATGGCACATAGAACTTGGTGTATCTTTAACTTCCATTATCATCTAAGATAAATGCATCCTGGTTACAAAAGACCCTGCTATTCTGGTGATTCGCTGCAATAGATTTGAGTTCAGAGCTGAGGGAGAATCAAACTACTTTGTGTAATAGGGGGGAGATCAATTTGAGGGGCCCCAGACACCAAGACAGGGGAGACTGGAGCCAGCTACACTGAGCACAGAATGGGGGAAGGAGACATTAAAAAGGCCAAAAACTGAGGAGAACTTTGGTGAAGAAAAATGTTGAAATGGGATTTCATGTTGCTGGCTAAGGAGTGTATGAAATAAACCCCCTCAATTTTCTCCCCCACAAATTCTTCAGTCAACTCTACCTTGCCCTCTAAGCCTTTTATGTGAGAGGGCTCTTTGAAGGAGCTTTAAGAAGAGAAAAAGAGAACAGCTAACATCTGGGTCACATAAACTTTAAAAAGAAATTAAGAGATGCCACTGGAAACCCATGTGCAGAGTTTTGAAAGTGTTATAATTTCCTCTTATTTCAAGATGTACCTCATTTGGAGAAATAGTCACCATTTAGAAATTCAACCCTTAAGAAATTGTATTCATGCAATATAATAACTGATTACAGTGGAAAATCATTTAAAAGAACTACAATAATGTCACGGCTCACATACAGAAACCAGCCCATTGGCAAAGGAACCCTTCCATCTGCAAAGCTGAGAACCAGAAACTGCCCAAGAAATGATCAATCCAAGACTTAAGAAGCTGAAATTAACTTATTGAAGGCAAAATTGTTTTGAAGCACTATTACTGTAAGTTGAATATTCATTTTTAAACCACTTCACTGAGTTCAAAAAGCACTGAGACCACTCTTTGTAGCTTGCTTTTGAACTCATTGTTATGCCTATGGCTGTTACACCCATAAAAGTGTGTTTTATTAATATTGTTTTTTAAAAAAAGAATCAAGTTTTTCTCCTCAAAATCTTCTTTCAAATCTGCAAGTCTGTTCCTATAGACCCTAAATACCTTTCCCCTAGCCCCAGTGGTACCATCATAATGTATACGTAATCTGGGTGGGCTGGAGATAAAAGACTCCGGTAGTTGGTCCTGTGCCTTGTGTTTAACCACTCTAATTTCAAGCCCACAATTGAAAGGGAATAACTCAATGGAGGGTACATCAATTCTCCCATGTGATCAACAAGATCCCACTCTCCCACTTACAAGACACACACAGACACACTAAATGTGTGTAAGCTGCAAATACACTGAGTTCAATGATCTTTGGGTTTTTTTTTGTTGCAGGTGCTCAAATAGAAAAAGTAAGAGAATATTTAATAAGAGTAGTAATTCACACTTACCCAAGACTGACATACTGGATAAAATCCAGCAGAAGGCCATATCATATACATCCACCCCCCTACCACCACCTTCCTTGGTAAGTTGTTTCCAAGAATATAGCAGCAAATTATAAATCTCTTGACCATAGGTCTACATGCCTCTAACCTGGAAGTACAAGGAAGGTGGGAACAGGTCCTTCCTAGCTGCCTGAAGGATCTGCTAGCCACCCCTCTGAATCAATACACAAATTTGCTATCAAGATGCTACAGACCAGAACTACTACTTTATATACTTCACTTTTAAATGCTATATAGTTAATTATTGTAATATAAAACGTATTCAAATTGTTTTAAATTGTTACTGTTTGGGGATTTACATGTATTATACTTTTTGATTCAACAAATATTTATTCTTTAAAATTTTACTTTAAGTTCTGGGATACGTGTGCAGGTTTGTTACATAGGTATACATGTGCCATTGTGGTTTGCTGCACCTATCAACCCGTCATCTAGGTTTTAAACCCTGCATGCATTAGGTATTTGTCCTAATGCTCTCCCTCCCCTTGCCCCCCACCCCCTGACAGGCCCTGGTGTGTGATGTTCCCCTCCCTATGTCCATGTGTTCTCATTGTTCAACTCCCACTTATGAATGAGAACATGTGGTATTTGGTTTTCTGTTCCTGTGTTAGTTTGCTGAGAATAATGGCTTCCAGCTTCATCCATGTCCCTGCAAAGGATATGAACTCATTCTTTTTTATGGCTGCATAGTATTCCATGGTGTATATGTGCCATATTTTCTTTATCCAGTCTATCATTGATGGGCATTTGGGTTGGTTCCAAGTTTTTGCTACTGTAAATAGTGCTGCAATAAACATACATGTGCATGTGCTTTTAGGGTAGAATGACTTATAATACTTTGGGCAAATATCCAGTAATGGAATTGCTGGGTCAAATGGTATTTCTGGTTCTAGATCAAGAAAGATCAAGAAATTATATTTTAAAATTGAAAACAAACATCCAAACAACAGAGAAATGGTACGTGAATTGTGAGATATGCACTGGATGGAATGTTATGTAGCCCCTAAAAATCGTATGTATAAAGAAATAAGAAATCATAATGATATGATATAAAGTAGAAGCAGAAGGATAAAAATGTAAATACATAATTATAAGAAATCTTGGCATAGAAAAAAAGACAGAGAGGAAATATAAGAAAATAGTAACAATAATTACTTTGGATAGTGGAAGAATGAATGTTATTTTCTTCCATCCACTTTTTCTTGTTTTCCAAATTTCTCTTAATGAATATATGCTGCTTTTATAAAGGAAAAAAATATACAACAAAGAAAAAATAAAACAGAATTTTAAATCCTAATATCCAAAGGGAGTCATCACTCAAACTAGAAAAGTTGATTGAACAAGTTGTTCCTATTGAAAGAGTATATTTGTTCAGGTAATTATGCAGCATCTAGAAACACCAGACTTGGAAAGTGCAGAGACAATACTCTACAGTAGTAAAAGAAAGCTCCTTCCTTTCCCCATAATACAGTTTCCAAAAATGAATAAGATTGATGGAAACAGGCCTATGAGAGCTTCAGAGATTTAAGCAAAGTTTACCAATGCCCAGGAAAGTATAAAGTAGAATGTTGCACAAAAAGCTTACAGTCAAGTACAATTTAAAATCTAAAAGTGTCAGGGAAATATCCCGACTAAATGAAGGGTAATTGCACTGAAGCATCTGATCTCAGACTGTTCTAATGCAAAATCTTAAGTTTAGAAGATGCTGGAGAAGTAAAAATGTTAAGAAGTGATATGGACTCTATTTGTTAATAATGACACAAAGAAGGGATGCTAGCAGCCTGGAAGAATGAACAGAGAATCCTCAGCTTTTTAAAATATTTATTATGTGAAAAACTATGCTTACCATCTTATTTTTTAATAATTTAACTTTTATTTTAGATTCAGGGGATACATGTGCAGGATCGTTACATGGGAATATTGTGTGATGCTGAGGTTTGGGATACAAATGATCCTACCACTCAGGTAGTGGGCATAGTACTCAATAGGTAGTTTTCCAATCCCTGTCCTGCTCCCCTTCTCCTTTCTCTAGTAGTTCACAATGATTATTGTTCCTATCTTTATATCCTTGTGTACTCAATAACTAGCCCCCACTTATAAGTGAGAACTTGTGGTATTTGGTTTTCTGTTCCTGTGTTAATTTACTTAGGATAATACCCTCCAGCAGCATCCGTGTTGCTGCAGAGAACATGATTTTGTTCCTTTTTATGGCTATGTAGTATTCCATGGTGTATATATACCACATTTTCTTCATCCAGTCCATTATTGATGGGCATTTAGGAAGATTCCATGTCTTTGCTATTGTGAACAGTGCTGCAATGAGCATATGTGTGTGTGTGCATTTATGGTAGAATGACTTATTTTCCACTGGGTGTATATCCAGTAATGAAATTGCTGGGTCAAATAGTAGTTCTGTTTTAGGTTCTTTGACAAATATCCACACTGCTTTCCACAGTGACTAAGTAATTTACATTCCCACCAACGGTGTATAGATGCTTGCCATTTTGGATTAAATGGAATTCCTTTCCTTGTTTTTTTTTTTTTTTTTTTTAGAAAGAGTTTCACTCTTGTCACCCAGGCTGGAGTGCAATGGCATGATCTCGGCCCACTGCAACCTCCCCCTCTGGGTTCAAATAATTCTCCTGCCTCATCCTCCTGGGTAGCTGGGATTACCGGTGCCTGCCACCATGCCCAGCTAATTTTTGTATTTTTGGTAGAGATGGGGTTTCACCATGTTGGTCAAGCTGGTCTCAAACTCCTGATCTCAGGTTATCCACCTTCTCAGCCTCCCAAAGTGCTGGGTTTATGGGCATGAGCCACCACACCCGGCCATTGAGTGTCTCTTAAAATTAGACATAAAATATAAGTATAAACAGACAGATATGGGTAAAGACATGGCTTCAATTAGAGGTTCTCAAACCTGTCTGTACATTAGATTCATCTTGGAAACTTTAAGAAACACCAGGGCCTCATCCCCAAGACCCTCATTTAATTGCTCTGGGCTGTAAATGGGATGTGGGTATTTTTTAACTCCTCCAAGTGATTCTAATGTGATGTCCAGTTTGAGGAGCGTGGGATTAGGTGACCTCTGCAGGAACTTTCAGGATCCCTCTCATTTGCCCTTCACCTGCCCAGTTGCTCCCACGGTGGCCAGGAATAGTTAGCATGACTTGAGGAAACATCCTCTTATGAAACATTTAAGTATGTATTGGTACTCGCAGACTTGCCAACAGTATCTTGTAGCCTAGGGCTGAGAATGTGCACTTCTTGTGCAGCAGTCACATTAACGTCTACAAGAAGGAATCATGCCACCGCTACTTACTTTTAAAACAAAAGTCATCAAAAGATTTTACCAAAAGCTAATACAACACCCATTTCTTAAGCACTTTCACATATTACAACAGTTTGTAAAGGCAAAAGATTTGTCCTGATTTGAAAGGAATAGATTAAGAAAACAAAAAAAAAAGTGAAATTGTAGAGGAAGGTTAGAAGGGAAGGGTTTCACTTCCATAATTATATTGTGGCTGAGGTTTACATTATAATTCACTTGGTGCTAAGAATGTTACGAGTAATGCTCCAGGCACTGAAAGTGTGGATGTATGTGTGTACTTACATATGCAAATTAACATATAGGTAAACTACATATATATTACATAATGATGTTTATATGTATATGATTGTATACAAAGCCCTTCAAACATAAAATAAATAGAGAAGACTTGATGAGACCACAAAGTCCACACTTGACACATTGCATCATGAATGGATAGAACTCTAACGTAGACTCTTACCTGCCATGAAACCCTGGGCTAGTCATCCCTTCTGGGCCTTAATCTCCTCATCTTTAAAATTGGGGCACTATTACCCACACCTTAGGGTTTTATGAGACTTAAGTGTGGGAGCACTGGGGCCCACACATAGTAGTTGCTCAATAAACGTGTTGAATCTGAATGTAGCCACCCACCATCCTGGCTCCTGAGCACAGGAGAAGGGGTACCTGAAGCCCAGAAGGAAAATCAATTGCCCAAAGTCACACAGTAATCACTTACAAGGACCCAGGTTTCCTGACTGCTACTTTTCATCCCACTTTCTTCCCTTTAGGGTCCTCCTCTCCAAAGCTGACTATACCCTGCCTCCTTCCAGGACATGCCAATGGCTCCTGCCCTAGTTTGAAGACCCTAAGTCCAAGACCTTCTGCCAGAAATACACAAGGGAAGCCACAAGCACCTGGCAGTGCCCAACCCAATGTGACACCCACCCCAGCAACTCCTGGACTCCCAGAGCCCAGATCCCCTCCAGCCATTTTACTTTATTCCTGAATTGTGGCCCACAGATGCCAAGGATAGGGCCAAAACACTTTTTAAATATTTTCTCTTAATATTGCCATGGGCTTAATCATGCATTAACTACTATCTTATACCTGCTTCCCTGGAAGCAGATCCTGAGATGAGTATTCACATGCAAGTGGTTCATTAAGAAAGTATTTCTAGGAGAAACTGGGAAGGGAGATGAGAAGCAACAGAGGAAAGGGGAAGAAGCCAAGCAAGAGCGTGATTGCAGGCAAGTCCTGTCCTCAGCCCGAGCTCAAGGGGCACTCATGAGTGCAAGTTACACCTCAGTGTTTGTCCAACCTGAGGCAGGAGAGCTGCTGTTTGACGCTCGTGCGCCAGTTGGTCACTGGGTCCAATATCCCAAGGGCCAAGCCATGAAGAAAGCGGCAGGTGCAAGCTCATAGAAGTAATGCACATGGGTGATTGGGGATGAGCACAGGAAGACAGGGAGATCTGGGCAGAACCCCAACAGCATCCTCCATAACCGATTTCCCCAATATCTCAAAATCCAAAAAGTGAAAAGCCAGTCTCCATAGCCTGAGCACATTCTACAGAAACCACCATATGCACTGGAATTGGCTAATGATGGGATTTAGCAAAATTTAACAGGACAAGCCCGTCTTGTAGGTTGCCCTCTCTGCAAGGACTTGTTACAGCATAGTTTGAAAATTCAACAGATACTGTGGTAGGCTCAAGGGACACAAACACAATCAAGAGAAAGGACCCCTACCCTAGAGAAGCTCAAGGTTGTGGATAATCTCTCAAATGGACATTTTTGCCTGATTTTTCACTGAATCCTAAAAAATGCTCCATTCCATTCTCAATGATAGATGATTCTCCCTTCAACTTTACAGGATCGGCAACAATGCTTTTCAATACATCATGCCATATTGAGTTACAAAGAGATACTATCTCACAAGGAATTAACAAAAAGCTAAATAAAACCACAAGAAAGTAACACTAACACTATTTCAAATGATAATGATAATGACAGTCACCATGTGTGGGAGACATATAGTCATCAAATTTCTGAATATCGAAGTTATTGGATTAATCCCATAGCCTCCAAATAGAGGCCCCAACGTCTATCACAATCCAGGTATTTTGACTGGTAATTTGAGAGACATTAAAAGATATGCTAGAGTTATTAGTTCAAATTCACTACGTAAGTGTATTTACTTTTAACACACTTTATATGAGATGAGACTTCAAAGTAATGAGACTGATGATTAGATGTTCCTTGAGAAAGGAACGTATTAACATCAGATCTAATACACAGTCAGAACTTTCAGACTTGAGAAAGTCAAGATATGCAACAGTGCTACCCACAACCACACATACTCTGTCTTATAAAGAGCCTTTTAAAGAAGTAACAAGACTACATGGAGAATGCTAACAACATACAAGACACTGGGCCAAGCATTTTACAGAACTCCTTTAACTTTCACAGCAACTCCATCCATGGGAGAGAACACATTATAACCCCACCTTACAGAGGAGAAATCCAGTGCTTACAGATATTAAAAACTTCCCCAAGACCACAGAATTATTCAGAGTAGGACAAAACTCATACTTAAGTCTCTCAGTGCAAAATGCATACTTTTAACACCATATTGTGGCGGCAATGATTCAAAACCAGCTAACCTGGAATTGAACCATGGGGGTCCAGGCACCTTTATGGCTTATCCATGTCACACCAGGATCACACTTTCCAAGGCTCTGTCTCTACAACTATGGTTTTAACTTAAGATCATTTTTCTTCACTGTCCTTTTTACACCATTTTCTAAAACAAGCCAAAAGAAAAACTGTAGGTATTCATTATGTTATTAGAAATCAATCAATATTTTAGTTATAGAGATTACTTCAATATCACCATGTATTGCCTAAGCTACCTAGCCCCTCTTGATATCTTTAGCATTTTCCCTCACATATGGCTAATTCATTTTATGATTTTCTCTTTAAAAATTACATTCTTCACGGTATCCAAATGATTCAAAATCATTGCCTGATGTGACTGACTGCCAGATTTAAGTACATCATTAAAATTTACTTTGCCACATTATCATTAGCAAAAAAATAAGGGGGGGACAGCAAAAAAGAGAGTAAGAAATGATGGAAAGAAGTTTTAAAATTACCCCTGCTAAGTTTTCTGGAGGTGTTTTTGCAGTCGTTTGTGGATAAATGCATGTGTTTTTAAAGCATTTCTGATTCTAGCACTGTTCCCACAAATACTTTTTCTTCATTGATGGATGAATATAAAAGCAATGAAAAAATTGTACTATGGTAGATGGCCCATGTATATTCCACTATCAAGTGAATACAAAATTCTTATCACTATCACTTGATACAGTAATGTGTGAGAAGTCTCTCTAGCAATATTCCCCAGAAATTACCAAATTAAATAATTCACACACTCATGAAACATCTACCACATACAGAACCCCATATGCACCAATTCTAAATAGTACTGGATCTAGAAATGGAAAGTGACAAAGATGTGTCTGTGTTCCATAAAAGGTACACCAAAGGAATCTGAAGTCAAAGTTGAGTGAGTAGCACAAGCATTTGCGGAACATAAAAGAGAGCCATGAAGATAAAATGGAATTAAAGTTCAATTTTTAATAAATTAAAGGGAAAAAAGAATCATGTATCTAATTAAAAGAGAAAGCCACCAATCGTCAAGAGCTGTTTCAGGGTCCTAGAAATTTTCAGAATAACCCACAGAATGTATTTCTTACTTGCTGTTGATGAGCACTTCAGACTGCCGATTATTCACTTGATTATCACTCTTGTGGCGAAACTGAAAAATCAAAGTGTTTGTGAGAAAACACATTACAAGGTACTTTGTCAGCCCAAATAAGCACACTGGCAATACTTTGAGTTCATCCATTTAAACTGTGTTGTCACTGGTCTAAGATGACACTGTTTGAGCTTCCTGTGAACCCAGCTCTACATGTTCTAAATCTAAATCAAAACCCTTCTCACTACATTACACTCCGGATGTCACCAATGAAACAACAAGGCTAGCCACTACTCTTCCAATCTCCACACGTTTAGTTGCTTCTAAGAAGACAATATGCTCTCTACTGTACCTTATAGTCTCAGAGAAAACCATGTATTAATTTTGATGTCTTTAACAAGGAATGGGGCTTCCATTTCTCTCCCATGTGTACTGAATGCTTTATTAGAACATCATTCTTTCTGTTTTATGGATTTCTTTGAAGTCAAGAAGTTACTTGTAACAACATCAATTTTTATTCTCCAGAAACTCTAATTGTTAACAGTGATCTTATGAAGTACTGAGCATTTAAAGCAAAAATTAGAATCCAATACTGAAACACATTTGGTGTAGATTTGTGATTTATGTCCAAATGGTTGTATTTCTTATTGTTTAATCCAGTAATGTAAGCATCTTATATAGCTTGAAAGAATCTCAATATTAAGAGCTCTCTACTAGGCTCATAAATTAGCAGTCATTCAGGTAAGTCTTCCTATGTGAAATGTCAAGATCAGATAGTAGTAGTAGGCTATAAGAGAAAAAAAAGTAATATAGAGAAAATGGTAATACCATTAGTAATAGGCTATAATATAGTTATTTCAGCAAATTAGCCTACATGCACAGATGAATAGGGGTAGTCTTTTCAGGAGACAGAAACTTCGATTTCATAGACTTTAATCATCAGAATGTTTTCTTTTTTTCTTAAATACAAAATGTTGTGTCAAAATCACAAAATACAAAATGCTTCAACCAGCCCTTTTCCTTTTTCTACAGCCTTCCCAAATCCATCCCAATCTTTCTATTATGCTATGCCCAGTACATACAATTACTCAGAATGACAGGTATAAGTTAATAGATATTACCAGTAAAAATAAGAAAACAAGCTGTTTAGCATTTGTTAACATAAAAATAGTTTATAATATTGGTAAAGAAGTAAATTAAGTCACACGTCACCCATTGACATGAAAACTTCTTCCTACGAGTAGAACAACAGAAATGGAAACATTATTTGATCTGAGTGCACAATTTGGAAGGGTTGCTGAATATTCTCTCCTCCACCATATCTACACAGCATTCGTCTCCACTCTGCCCTGTGCCATGAAAAGTTGGGCTCTGTGGTCCCTGCCCTGTGGCTTCTGGTAAGATTTGGCCAACAGATAGTACTGGCAGAAGATTCGAGTCAGAGAAGAGTGAAATGAGGGAATTTATCCCCTGGCTTTCTTCTAGCTGGGTTAGCAATGGCTGCTTCCACAGATAGCCACAGCTGCTACAAACAGGCCTCAACTACGTCTCCAGGTCTGGTCACTCCTTCATTCCTTTGCCTCTTCAGGTCTAGTAGTATTGCCAACCATGTTGCTGCCATAGCTGCTTTTCCTTGCCCACACCCTTTGTGAATGATCCCATCATTATTAAACTCTCCAATCCACCCAATTTCAGGATAACCTCTGTGTTTTGCCAAGACCCTGACTGGTGAAGGTGTCCAGTTAATGAACTGGCACATAACATCACAAAAGGTGAAAGCACATTCAAGCATTAACTGCAATGGAATCAAAAGGAGACTTTTTGTTTAGTCATGTAAATCCCCTAAATTGACTAGCTGAACATCACAGAAAAAGACCAGTCAGCTCATCCCCCAAAAGCTGAGCAGCTCACTCTCGGGGAGATGCAATCACTTCTACTTCTGCTCAGGTTTTACCAACAGGACTTGATATTGGAGTAGATGGAGTCTGGAAGGATTAGAAATGGTAGTTTCAAGGCCAGCCTGACTCTTATTGACAATTTCTCCTCTAAGAAATAAATATGAAGTCTCAGAGGGGAACTTCCACAGGAAAGAAAGGAAGTAGAGGGCTAGCATTCATTGTGTACTCCCTGTGAGCTAGGTTCTATACCTGATGCTTTACACATATCTCTTTCTGTCTTCCCAACAGCTCTGGTGTCATTGGCCATGTTATACAGAAAAGGAAAGATTTGAGAAGTTAAGTCATTTGCCTCATGTCAAACTGTTAGTACATGGTAGGGTAAGGTGGTAGGATAGTAAGGTGTCTTTCTCCAAAGCCAATATTCTTTCTACTCTACCATTTATTCCTCTATGAAGTGTGACTATAATGAAGACCTTTAAGGCCAATATGTAGGAACTCATGCATCTAAATGAGTACCATTTCCCTGAAAAATCAGATAACAAGGAAAAACCACACATTTACTCCAAAGATGCCATTGCTCAAATGATTGTTGAAATTTCCTCTCTTAGAATTACCTCTGGAGCTCATAGCCCGTTCCTCAGAATGTTCTCTATCCTTTGAGAATTGAGCTCTATGTCCTTTGAAAAGACATAATGAGATGTCTCATGTTTTGAAATATATGAAAGCCACTCTTAGAAAGCATGTCTGGTTGATAAGATTTTTGATTAGGCTTGAGAAGTAGCATTTGTTTCCAAAGCTGTGAAGCCATTAAGTCATAAGACTACCTTGTACACTGACCTTCAGAAGACAATTCTATAAGAAGAGACCCCAAAGTACCTTGAACAACGGCAACCTCACAGGAATCAGTAAACTCCAGGAACATCCCAAGTTAGCCACTTTAATGTGATATTACTCATCAGTGTGGATGGATCCTATGTGTTTGTTAAAAATCTGGGGCCAGGCATGGTGGCTCATGCCTGTAATCCCAGGACTTTGAGAAGCCAAGGCAGGCAGATCACGAGGTCAGATCGAGACCATCTTGGCTAACATGGTGAAACCCCATCTCTACTAAAAATACAAAAAATTAGCCAGGTGTAGTGGTGCGTGCCTATAGTCCCAGCTACTCAGGAGGCTGAGGCAGGAGAATTTCTTGAACCCGGGAGGCGGAGGTTGCAGTGAGCCAAGATTGCGCCACTGCACTCCAGCTTGGGTGACAGAGCAAAACTCCGTCTCAAAACAAACAAACAAACAAAAAATTTCCAACACAGTAAAACCCCATCTCTGCTAAAACACAAAAAATTAGCCAGGCGTTGCAGCATACACCTGTAGTCCCAGCTACTCAGGAGGCTGAGGCAAGAGAATTGCTTGAACCCACGAGGCAGAAGTTGCAGTGAGCCGAGATCATGCCACTGCACTCCAACCTGGGTGACAGAGTGAGACTCTGTCTTAAAAAAAAAAAAAAAAACTAACTAACCTCAAAGGTTATAGTCAAAATGTGAACCATGAAATAGGCTAGAAATTTCATTAAGAAATGAAGAGTTATATCCTGTGTATTCTTTAAAAAATGATATATGAAGACACATGCATTATTTGTGTGTATGTGTGCTCTTTTAAAATGACTTGCATCAAATTGTTGATTTATCAAAAAATTATATGTAAGATAACTATGAGGAAATATCACATGAACCAACTTGATAAGTACAAATCTTCCCATATGTCTTCACCATACTCAACTACTCTTAGCAGGGGTGAGTTCCCACTTTCTCCATAATATCTTCCCTAATTCTCTTTCACACATCCCACCTCTGTTATCAATCTAGCTACTGAAGTTCATCTTCCCCCCTTAAAGAACCAAAGCACTTTGGTTCTTTTAAATTATGAATTTCACACCATTTTTATCTCATATTATTGTTGTTCATGAACATGACCCACCTCCCTCTACTGAATGTTAAGTTTTTTTTAACTTCATTTTCTGGTGTCTCTTTCATTTCTGCATTCTCCATATAGCTTAGCACAGAGGGGTGTGGTGAGTAAGTGCCAGTGTTCTGAAGCCAGATTGCTTGAGATGGACTATTACAGACTAAAACAACCATGAAAAAGTATGTCTGTTAAGCCAATAATATAGATAAGATGGAATCACAAAAAACACTCCGTTAATCTAAAAGTAGGGAGAGAAAAATAGAACGAAGAGCCAATGGGCCATATAGAAAGCAACAGCTAGATAATAGATGGCCTAACCATAATGATAATTATATTAAACATAAATGGGTTAAATATTCCAATTGAAAGGCAGAGATTTTCAGATTTTATTAAAAATTATTAGCCTACTATATATGCTGTCTACAAGAAAACCATTTTAAAGATACAGATGGGTTAAAAATAGGCAACAGGAAATATGGGTGTGAGCTCAGAGGAGTGACTTGGGCTAGGAATATAAACCTGTAACTCATTGGCATAGACAGTTATTGAGGGGGCACATGCAATCACTCAGGATGAAAATATAATTTGTCTGGATTTAGAATGTTTGGTTTTCCCAAGACTATGTTTTGTCTTTGAGTGAGAATGACTTCCTTTGGGTTATGCAGACTTTAAAATTCTCTATTGCCTTATATCTGACTTATTTACATTAGTTTCCTGACTTTTGAAGCTACAGTTGACCCTTGAACAACATAAATTTGAACTGCACAGGTCCACTTATACACAGATTTTTTTTCTCTAAAGGCTATATTGAGTGTGCTTGCTCTCCTGCTTCCCCTTCCTCTGCTTCTGCAACCCCTGAGACAGTAAAACCAATCCCTCCTCTTCCTCTTCCTCCTTAGCCTACTAAACATGAAGATGACAAGAATGAAAACCTTCATGATGATCTACTTCCACTTAATGAATAGCATATATATTTCTCTTCTTCATAATTTTCTTAATAACATTTTCTTTTCTCTAGCTTACTTTATTATAAGAATACAGTGTAGGCCGGGCGCGGTGGCTCACGCCTGTAATCCCAGCACTTTGGGAGGCCGAGGCAGGTGGATCATGAGGTCAGGAGATCGAGACCATCCTGGCTAACAAGGTGAAACCCCGTCTCTACTAAAAATACAAAAAATTAGCCGGGCGCGGTGGCGGGCGCCTGTGGTCCCAGCTACTCGGGAGGCTGAGGCAGGAGAATGGCGTGAACCCGGGAAGCGGAGCTTGCAGTGAGCCGAGATTGCGCCACTGCAGTCCGCAGTCCGGCCTGGGCGACAGAGCGAGACTCCGTTTCAAAAAAAAAAAAAAAAAAGAATACAGTGTATAATAAATATAACATACAAAATATGTGTTAATCAACTGTTTATGTTATTGGTAAGGCTTCTGGCCAACAATAGGCTATTAGTAAAGTTTTGAGAGAGTCAAAACTTATACATGAATTTTTGACTGTACAGGGAGTTGGTGTCCCTAACCCCCACATCATTCAAGGATCAACTATATTTGACTTTGTAACTCCTAATATAATGACAAGAATGTATAAGAATACCTAATATTTACCAGCTCTCAAACCTTAAACAAAGACATGTGATAAAGAATAAGTAACACTTCACTGAGTGAATGCAGGTTGATTTCCAATTCTGCTCTTCCACAAATTGGTTGTATTATTAGCAAATCACTAGCTCTTTCTGGGCTTTAGTTTTCTCATCTATAAAAGGAGAAAGTGAATCTAGTTACTGAAGCCTTCTTGCTTTTAAACAGGCTCTGGTTTTACAGCACCTGTATTAATCATCAAACAAATAGTAAAATAGCTTTATATGATATTAACCAAAATAACTTCATTCAAAATTTCAAATGTATCTTCATTATCTATTTCTGAGAAGCCACAACTGAAATTGAGACCTCAAGAATGCTCAAGAGCAAATACTCACATAGTCATCTGTGGCATCTTTGACAGCTGTCATAGTTATCACCAGGACCAAAGGCACAATGGTGGTAAACCAGGTCAAGGAGGAAATTTCTGGAATTAGCTGAAACAAACATTCCAAATAGTTTAGGGCTTTTAAAGTTAGAAAATATATCTTCCAAACTGTGTCATTTAATTTCAAATTAATGGGGTTATATTGACTTATTTGTACAAATGGAGAATGACTTTCAATAATTTAAGTGTTTGTATTTGGTTATAAGACACATAGAGTAGAATTATTATTGAACTTGTTTTCAAACTACCTAACCAAAAACTGAAATTTTTATAGCAAGGGGAGAAGCTTCTTGAAATCTCTCACAGATGATCACTTTCTCCAATATGTTAAATTTCACCCATCTTTTTCTGCTTTTCATCTCAACTTTTAACAATTTTACCAACTCCTCTTTTTACCAATTCCCAAAGAGAGATTGTTTGAACATCTGCCTTGCACCAGACACTGTGCCAGGTACTTTCCATTTATTACATCATTTAATCCTCGGAAAAGTTCATTGAGTTAGATTCCTACTAGGATTGTTTTTGTATAATCCCAGAAGGTTTGTATTCCACATAAATAGTACCCCCAGTACACAACACAGAATACTACATTATGACGGGTGACCAGGAGTCAGGAAATGTTGCAGACCTGGGTATCATGTCCCAATTTTATAAATGAAGAATCTAACAGGTCATGCAACTGGGCCAAGATCACATACTGTTAAAATTTGAAACTAGGTCTCTTGGACTCCAAGCCCTATTCCCTTGTGCCCATACCTCCAAAGCCACCCACATAAGAGAGACATAGTGACAGTGGACATAAATCTCTTAGGTGGTTTTCAAATGGGATTCATTTGAAAATCTGCTGCTTCGGGGCCATCAGGCAGGAAAGGATGGGGTAGAGACGGTCAGTGGCTAAAGATCAGGCCCCATCAAAACAACTCTAAATCAATTTTACATAGCAGCTTCCATGTAAGATTTTTTAAAAAAAACTCAAAAGCCTCTGATGTAGCAGTAAAAATGTTGAGCTTGGTGTCAGAAAAGCTAAATTCTAGTCCTAGTTCATCATCAACTCATGGTGAAAGCTTTACCACCTAATCTCTCTGGGTCTAATTTCTTCAGCAATAAAGAAAGGAGAGGTTAGACTGAACCATCCCAAAGTTCCCTTCTAAATATAAAATTCTATGAACAAGAGCCTTTGGCCACAAATGAGAAAGCCATTAGAGAAATGAATTCAAAATTCTGGAATGGTGTGAAGTGTTACTTGAAGAAACCAAAAGCAACTTCATGGGGAGAGGTGGGGGGAAGAAATTTGGACTCTAAGCTTTCTTCAACAAATAGTAAGATGTTTATTCATTGTTTGTTTTTGTTTTCCTGATCAGCACCCAGTTCTTCTCAAATATACTCCTATTTCTTAGGGAACCATCATATCCCCTCACTTTCTGTCCACATAACTTTAGGAAACTGATTCCACCATGGATCCAGGGTTTGGCATATGATCTTGGTTAAGCCAATTACTGGATCAAACTCTTGAGCCACAGTGACAGGTTTAGGAATGAAGATACAGCTCCAATCAGAACTAATCTCAAGACTTTTGCTGGAGCAACAGAAAAAGTAATTCCTTCATTCGTTTTCTCTCTCTCTCTTTCTCTCTTTCTCTCTCTCCCCCTCCCCCTCTCTGCCCCACTCTCTCTCTCTCTGACTTGAGTTGAAACCAGGAAGCTGTCAGGGCCACCAAGTAGAGGGCCTACCTAAGAAAGGCCAATGTGTGAAAACAAAAACAAAAACAAAACAAAACAAAAACAGAGAAAGAGAAGCCACATCCTGATGAAATTGTGCCCATGAATCCAGTAATACCTGAAATGAGATACCCATGAATAATTTATCTTTTGCTCAAACTAATTAAGATTTCTGTCACTTGAAACATATTCTTAAATAGATATTCAATTAAAGAGAAAACAGTACTCAAATCTATTAATCTAATCCATCTTCTTACTTCTTAGCCATTCTTGACCTACCAGTTTGATCTGCTTAAAGTATGCTAACATAAATACTAGGTAAATAACTGGCTAACATGAACTATTTATGTGTGTGTATAGTATGTATGTGTACAGTATATATGTAGCTTCCTTGATTCATATGTTTTTCCTTCCCAAAATATCCATAAAAGCTGAAATTTCATTTAAAGGCAAATTTTAGTTAGGAGAAAAAGCAAAGGTTACTAAATACCAATTAACCATTCAAAACTGTAAAAGTAGTCACCTACAGTGAAATAACATATAGCATCATCACTTTATATATATTAAAAATATGTCACTGTTCTTAAATGAAAATGAAATGTGCAGAATTAAGCTCTGCAACCTACTCAGTCTTAGTCACCTAAGATTCTGCCTCAACTCTGGCAATCCCCACACTGTAGATGTGAAAGGGAGATAAAGAAAGGAGGGAGGCTGTGAACAGTAATTATTAGGCTCTGGTTTGGTTCAAATAAAGTGCAAGGCTGTGTTTTAAAGTGACCTCAGTGTTTAAAATGATGAATGTACTACTTTTTAACCATTCCTACCTCTCCCACGTTTGTGAAAAGAAACAGCAACAACAAGATTAAAAATCTGATAAAGGATGATTGTACCTAATCACGAACATTTAGCTAAGTAAATTGACTTACTTTTTACAATTTTATGAATACTTTAAACAAACAGATAATAGAGAAATACAACCTAAATATTACCTGTAAAATCAGAAGGCAAAGAAAATAGGCATTTGCCACTCTTTGGAACTGTTCAAATAAATTAATTGGCAAGAAGGTGAGAATATTATATTTCGATGTGTGGATACGATTATCCTGGAAAAGAAATAGCATCATGTTAGTTTGGGGCAAGGCATTGCTCATGATCAGAAATAGCTCTAAAACCTACAAGCCTGAGCCAGAGTAAGAAAGATAAGCCGGTTATCTAGGAAATTTCAACTCTGTGTGGCTCAAGGCCTTCATTTTTCCCAAGATGATATGCTCCTGATACTAGATGAAATTACTGGTCCATGCCATAAACTCACCTGTAACTAAATATGTATCAAATGCAAAAGTCTACCCCTGAGATTTCTGACTTAAGCACTCAACTATTTGGCAGTCATTGCTTGAGTACCTACTGTATGCAGTATTGAGTTCCTGTTGGAGCCCGCAAGGCAGGAGGGAACTTCAGAAATCATCTGGTCCACCTTCCCAAAGCATGACCCTTTTAGATACCTCCGACAAGGGGCTCCTAGGTCTGTCTTAGAAGATCTCCTGGGATGGGAAACTGACTGCCTCGCAAGGCAGCCCGTCCCCATTTCAGAACGGGAATTGCTGGAATGGTCCTTATTATGAGGAACCCAAATCTGCCTCCCTATAACTTCTTTTTTTTTAATAACTATTTTTTTCTACTTTTATTTTAGGTTCAGGAGCATGTGTGCAGGCTTGTCACATGAGAGAACTACATGTCACTGAGGTTTGGTGTATGAATGATCCTGTCGTCAGGTAAAGAGCATGTTAGAGTGGGTGGAGAGCTAGACATTAACAGGAGGGGAGCTCCTGGGAAAGGAAACCTCTGGGAAGGCTCACACCTGAGGGACCACCCAAAATTTGCATATTAATGCCATTTCTAATGCTTGTCGGGGGGCACTTAGTCATATGTGGGTAGGAGAGCGAGAAGGTAGCCACACAGAAAGAAACACCGCGGAATGCCTCTTAAGACACCCCAATAATCATTCACTCTGCAGTTAAAATGTCAGAATGTCGTTAGCTACATGCTAATAAGAAGGGCAAAGGGGGCCAAGCACAGTGGCTCACGCCTATAATCCCAGCATTTTGGGAGGCAGAGGTAGGTGGATCACTTGAGGTCAGGAGTTCGAGACCAGCCTGGCCAACAAGATGAAACCCCCTCTCTACTACAAATACAAAAATTAGCCAGGCATGGTGGTGCACGCCTGTAATCCCAGCTACTGAGGAGGCTGAGGCAGGAGAATCGCTTGAACCCAGGAAGCGGAGGTCGCAGTGAGCCGGAATTGCACCACTGCACTCCAGCCTGGGTGATGGAGCAAGACTCTGCCAAAAAAAAAAAAGGAAAAAAGATGGGCAAAGGGGACATTACCAAGAGAAACCTGGCACCACAAGTACAGATTAGGACACACAAGGAAATTCCAAAGAGATATGTAGGCCCAACAGGTATAGATTTGACCACTATACAACCTTTCTGGGGTGGCAGCAATGAGCAGGGCCACCATCAGACAGGATTTGTACTGATCACCAGCCCACACATGCACATTAACCAACAGTAAGGGAGGGTCCCACAAGCCTAGGTGAGGAGTTAAGGCAGGAGCGGGAAAAACTAGGCAAAGGAGAAAGGTGGAGACTTGAGACAGGGGCAGTAATTTGCAGAAAAAGTCCAGCATGATAAAGCTCCCTGTGCAGAACCTTTGGAACTGTTTTCGCACAGGATCATCCCACTCCTCCTTTGGGGTGTACCCATTTTTCCTACAATAAGCTCTTTACAATATATTTCTTTTCAATAAAATTTTTTGCTATCTTTGTACTGTCTCTTGGTTGAAATCTTTCTTCCAAGTTAGACAAGAGCTGGGACATCCACTCTCCCTAGTAACAAGCATAGTATCCAATAGGTAGTTTTTCAACCCTTACCCCACCCTTTCACTCTCCTCACTCTAGTAATCCCCAATGTCTATTGCTGCTGTATATGTCCATGAGTACTCATTGTTTAGCCCCCACTCATAAGTGAGAACTTGCAGTCTTTGGTTTTATGATCCTGTGTTAATTCACTTCAGATAATGGCCTCCAGCTTCACCCATGCTGCTGCAAAGGACATGTTTCATTCTTTTTTTATGCCTGTGTGGTATTCCATGGTGTATATGTACCACATTTTTCTTTATCCAGTCCACCATTGATGGGCATCTAGGTTGACTCCATGTCTTTGCTATTGTAAATAGTGCCGTAATGAACATACAAGTGCATGTGTCTTTATGGTAGAACGATTTATTTTCCATTGGGTGTATACCCAGTAATTGGATTGCTGGGTCAAATACTAGTTCTGTTTTAGGTTCTTTGAGGAATTGCCACACTGTTTTCCACAATGGCTGAACTTATTTACACTCCTACCAACAGTGTATAAGCATTCCTTTTTCTCTGCAACCTCAACATCTGTTATTTTTTTTTCTTTTTTTACTTTTTAATAATGGCCATTCTGACTGGTGTGAGATGGCATCTCATTGTGGTTTTGATTTGCCTTTCTTTAATGATTAGTGGTATTTAGCATTTTTTCATATATTTGTTGGTCACATGTATGTCTTCTTTTGAGAAGTGTCTTCTTGCCACATAGCAAATTCCATGCCTGGGGTCACCTAGACCAAGTCTAAGGCCTTTCTATGTTGATAACCTTCAAATACTTGAGAACCACTCATAGGACTCCCATAAATATTTATTCTGACTCAGACATTCCCAAACCTTTCAACCATTCTCTATGATTTATTTTACAGACATTTCTTCCCAGTGAGGCTCTTTTGGGTCCATCCCAGCTTCTCTGCATCTCTCTTAAAACATGATGCCTAGAACCAAACACAACTGCAGATCTAGCTCAACAAGTCTATGTATAGTAAGGACTTTGATGTCCTGTGTTCTGAACTATTGTACTGACATGTCCAAAGATTTCATTGGCATTCTGGCAATTGTGTCTCACTATATCTTCATATTAAGTTTTGATCAACAAAAATTCCTAGATCATTTCTACATAAATCACTATTAAATCATCTTTCCCTTTCTATACATTTATAGTTGGTTTTTAAAATATTTATGTATACATCTTTCATATTTCCTATTACACCAGCCTAATGAAAAAATATTTAATCTTGAGTATACTATCTAAAGCATTAAATATTCCTCCCAGCTTTGTGTCATCAGAAAATTTCAAACACATGCCTTTTATATGTTCTTCCAAAGCTGTAGACAAATATACATTAAAAAAAAAACAGGCTAAATGCACCAAAAGAAATTTTAATTAAACCAATAAAGCTATGGCAAACTACTAGAGACCTCTCTACAAATTAATGTTAACAATTTTTTCAGGTTTAATATGTTTTATATAAAACATATTAAATATGTTTTATTTAACCACTTGTAAAGCCATGTAACTATATTATTTGAGGCTTAATTCTATCCTATCCACAAAGATAACATGAGAAATTTGGGGTGACAGATATTACTGAAATTCAGAATCAATATGCCCAGAATAATATTTTTTAAATGAGGTTAGTTTGGGGTAACTTGTTTTAGGTGAACCTACACTGGCTCCTAGCCATCACTCCTATCTGTTTTTTTAGAGTCCAGTCATCTGTTAAATGACCATTTTTAACATTTGATATGGTTGGGCTGTGTCCCTACCCAAATCTCATCTTGAATTGTAGTTCCCATAATCCTCACATGTCGTAGGAGGGACCCGATGGGAGATAACTGAATCATTAGAGTGGTTACCCTGATGCTGCTATGCTCATGATAGTGAGTGAGTTTTCACAAGATCTGACCATTTTATAAGGGGCTTTCCCTTCTTTTGCTCAGCACTTCTCCTTGTTGCCTCCATGTGAAGAAGGACGTGTTTGCTTCCCCTTCCATCATGACTCTAAGATTCCTTAGGCCTCCCCAGCCATGCTGAACTGTGAATTAATTAAACCTCTTTTCTTTATAAGTTACCCAGTCTCAGGTATGTCTTTATTAGCAGCATGAAAACGGACTAATACAACATTTGTCAGGAATCAAGGTGTCCAGTTTTGTGCTACAAGTTCTGGGAAAATAAGAAGAGATGTCAAGAGAAGAGTTTCCAGCTTAGTTGGTCTGATGCACATTAATGTACTGAAAACCGTTCTGAAAGCTAATAATGATGATATTGCAGTATGTTAACTACTCAAGAAGTTAACACACTGCAAAATAGGGTGTTGGTACTGTCAATCACATGTTTTTCTAAAGAAAGGATTTGGAGAAAAGAATGGGGAAGATTAAAGCTAAGGAGAAAATACAGTTAAATAAGGAGCTCACATTCCTAATTCTGTTTTATATTTTCCTTCTAACTTAAAGCTAAAATAGAGGTTAGCCTAGCATCTTGCAAAAAGGACATATGCAATGTCTATAACTGTCAAAACCACGGCAGGAATTATAAAGACACTCTCCTACAAAACTGAGTTCCATATAGGTAAAGAGCTAATTCTGTGGGATAAATAATGCCAAACAGAAACTATGACAATTTTCTCCTATTTGCTTAGCATGACATATAGCAATGATTGTGTTTGTTCTACTCGTTCTGTTGTAACTTAGTCACAGATGATGAAAACCCTCACAGCTTTGAATGGGAACAAGGAACAAGGGCTCCCCCTCCTGGAAAATCTCTGGGCCAGTCTACTTTTCTTTGTTTTTCAACCAAAAGCAAAACACATTTCCATTTCCACTGCCCTGTCCAAGCATATGAGTACTGCATTGGTAAGACCTTAAATCAGGCACATTAATATTTAGTCATTTCATAGGCTATAGGCCTACAGTCCAATCTGAGTACAGTTCATTCCATAATAAGGCACAGAAAGATCTTCACCACTATCCTCTCAGAAGTACTTTCCCACCATGAATGACTACAAACATCCCAATCCAGAAGAAAAGGAGTAGACTCCACGGAGCCTCTTTGGTGCTGATAAAAGCCAAACTAGAGGCCACGGCATTAGCTTGTTAGTGAGGAGGAATGGTTAACAGATTCCATGATGAGGTAGGCTTGGGCTCACAGTCACAGGTGATGCCAGACCAGGGCAGGGTCCCACATAGTGGGAAAGTGCCTCCCCGTAAATGAATGTGAGGAAGCACATGTTCCCTGTGGAAAATGTGCTTCCAAGAGGGAGAAGGGCAAAGATGAGCTGAGGCCCATTATTCCTCCAAGATTGGCCCATCGGGTCAATGACTTCATCTCACATGTGGCAGAGTAGTAATGGAGTTGGGAGAGAGTGTCACACCAGTAGAGAACCCTCCACCTGGAAGGCAATGTCATTGCTTCTCTAAAATATTTTAACGCAAAGGCCCTTAGGTAGGCAAAAGGTGGCACACTTGGGGATCTAGAAGAGGGCCTATGAGGCTGGACTGCAGAGATCAGCACAGACTAGATGGAGTAGTTCCTCAGAATACATACTAAGAATTTTAGTCGTCCTTATTATCAAGACCAAAAGAGTCTTTATTATAAAGACTAATAAAGACTAAAATCCTAAGTGAAGGGGGAATTACTGAAACATCTTAAGCAAAGAAGTAACTTGAGATTTTTATTTTAAAATATCACCCTAGCTAGGTGGAAAACAAATCAGTGGTAACACAAGAATAGATATGAAAAGAGCGATGAGGAGGTCTTTGCATTAGTCCAGGTGAAAGATGATGCACAGCTTGGATCAGGGTGGGGACAGAAGGAACGACCATGAATGGTAATAATTACTGACATTTATCAAGCTCTTACTATGTGTACTAAGAGTTTTACATTTTACAGCTCATCTTATCCCACAACATTCTTATGAAATAGGTACTATTATTTCCTTTCTGTAGAAGGGAAATCCAAGGTTCAGAGAGATTAAGTAACTTACTAACTTACACGAGTTGACACAGCTTGTAAGTGGTGATTGTAAGAGCCAGGATTTGGATCTAGCAATAGACATTCTGCTCCAGAGCCCACCCTCTTCACCACTGTGCTGCCCCAATTCATTGCAAAGCAGTTATCTCTTCTGCTTTCAGAGTAATCTGCCCTTGCTCTCTCTTCCAGTCTGCATTTCAAGCCTGCTGCCACTTTCTTACCAAAGGAAATTCAGTTTATTTACCTTCTCCTCTCTAGTCAAGCCCTTCAGGCAGAGCCCTCGTTCTACTGCCTGATGTATGCTTACAGTTTCCTTGGATTCTCTTTCAGTTCCCCTCAAGAATGATTCTCTTGGCCCCTAACAAAGCTCAATGCAGACAAATAGTAGACATAACCACTCCCTTACTTTAGCTTTCAACAGAAGCACAGTGGCCAAAGTCCTTTATATTTCCAGCATTTACTACTTGGTGGGGGGGTGGGGTGAAGGTGGGGAATAAAGTAAAGAAAATGGAGTAAAAATGACAAATTTTTCAGAGATGGGCTACCAAATAAAATATTAATAAAATGGGAAGTATTATTTTTTCTAGAGATCCTCATTATACATGCAAATTAAGTATATTGCTTAAGTAAACAAAGCAAATAGAAAATAACAAACTCTGCTATATTAGCAAACATTTGGAGCATTTGGGAGATTGCCTCAATTTTTCCACTGGCAAAATGGAACTAATAACATTTCTCATATATTTATAGGACTATCATGGAAATGAGAGCATAGATGTAAAAATATTTCTGCTAAATTGAAAGAATTATGCAAATATAGGATTTTTGTGAGTGATCCCAAATAATTCAACTGTATCAAGAAATGCAATGTACTAGTCAGGATAACCAGCTATGCTACAGTAATAACTCCAAAATCTTCACAGCTTAACCCAGTAAGAGTTTGTTTCTTGTTCATGCTACTTGCCCAACATGAGTCTCCTCATCAGATACTCATAACGGAGCACCCACCATCTCCAATGCTTCGAGGTATATTACCAGAGGAAAAAGAAGCTCTGAACAGTCTCACTCTCAAATGTAATGCTTCAACCCAAATGCTCACAACTTACTGGCCAAAAGAGTCACCATGGGTCCAAAAGACAGAAAGCTAGAAACATTAATGGATATCACTAATGGCTATTGCAACCAGTAATGGACGCTAACCTAGTATTTTGAGAGTAAGAGACATATCTACTAGCAAATATATCAAAAACCAACTGGCTGGGCACGGTGGCTCACGCCGGTAATCCCAGCACTTTGGGAGGCTGAGGCAGGCGGATCACAAGGTCAGGAGATCGAGATCAGCCTGGCTAACATGGTGAAACCCCATCTCTACTAAAAATACAAAAAAATTGGCCGTGTGTGGTGGCAGGTGCCTGTAGTCCCAGCTACTTGGGAGGCTGAGGCAGGAGAATAGCATGAACCCAGGAGGCTGAGCTTGCAGTGAGCCGAGATCGTGCCACTGCACTCCAGCCTGGGCGACAGAGGGAGACTCCGCCTCAAAAAAAAAAAAAAAAAAAAAAAAAACAAAAAAAAAAAAACACCAACCTCAGCACTTTAAATTCAGTCCTGTTAACGACACATGTAATATTCCTTTGACTATTTCCTCTCCCCATCAGCTAAACAATGTGCCAAATTCCTTAGTTTCACGAACTGGATAGATTCATCTCCCATCCATAATTCCAGGGTCAAATTAGCTTAAGGCAAGTACATGGCCCACCCTCCTAATTACAATTTTGAATTCAGACACTGGCACATAAACTACGTCAATTCTGAAATTTGCTGATAATGTAAGCTTTCTCTTTTCTATTGCATTCCAATCTGGAAACAAGTAGCCCTAGAGATTACTAACAGCAACTTGGGGCTATGAGTGGGGAGGCTGCCAAGAACAAACTCCGCACTAAAAATGCAGGGCCAAGAAATGCAGAGAAAGAAACTAGACCAAGCCTCTCCTGAGACTAGCCCTATCTCTGGACTTTTCAGCTACATGATCTGTCCATTCAACTCAAACTAAGTCAATTTGAGTTGGTTTTTCTTTTACTCTCAACCAACCAAACACCAGGTAAGAACATTCATAATATATGCAAGATCAGTTTGCTTTTTAAATAATAGCTTACTTGTATCTCTATGTTTGTCTTAAAGAATGCATCCCAGAAGGCTTAAACCCAAATGAGCTCAGCAGTTGTCCAGAGACACTGCCTACGTCTATGAATCCCACAAGCCCCAGGAGCTTTTGCAATCAGTACCACAGTTTCCTCACTATCAAATCATCATCCCACATTTGATGAAACATTTGTACATCATGACAACTATAAAAAGTAACCTTCCAGAGCTTGAGGGGGAAAACATCTAGCCCTTCTTGCCACAAAAGGAGGCAAATACAGTATTTTTATGGTACAATCCAGATTCCAGAGACAGAAATAATCCTGACTAATAAGGGAGAGATTATCTCTAAGCCATAAAATAAAAAACAAAAAGGGATTGTGTCCACAAACTACTGGCATAAAAGAGGAAGTAGCCAAAAGGCATTTGTACCGCTCAGAAAATATGTGAATTACCCATGTTCATGCAAAGAACCCAAAAGAATGCATGTATGGGACCTGGAGATTAGACATCTGGTACCTCACTGATACCAGGAAGAACCCCTGGTAGTTCCTCAGTATCAGCTGACTGTTGCCTGGTGCAGAGTCCACAGCTTTCCAGGATAGGGGCAATGGAAAGACGACAGTGCTCTTCTACGAACGCTGCTGAGGAAGCCTCAATCACAGAAGAGGCTTTGCAGAGTGTGTCAATCAATACTGACTACACTCATCATCACCACCACCACCACCACCATCATCTTAACGTTCTCCTGAGCCTCAGCTCCCAGACTTGAGCAGAAAACGTGTATGAGGAGGCAAAGAGCAGAGGGCACATATCCCCCAACATTCATTCATTCATTCATTCAACTAATTTTTGTTAAAGTCCTTCTGTGCTTCAGGCAATAATGTTATTGAGCCAGGGCTACAGACATGAGTAAGCAAAGACCCTCCCATCATCGAGTAAGTTTGTATGTTAGTTGTGGAGAGAGAGGCAGGAACAAGCAGACAATAAACTTGTAAACTGATGACACAATTTCAGGAGGTGATCATCAAATACTATGACAAAAACAATGAACAATAGAGCAAGAGCACCTTGCCTGCCAAGACTCCCTCAGGAAGCCTTCTTGCTTGATTTTCCAGGTTAATGCAGTATCAAGATTACCCTACTTGGTGAGACCAGTGGGAATACGTGTCCCCTAGGGGTGCTCGTTTCCTGGGTGCCCAAAAGAATCCTTTGGGCTATGAGAAATAAAAAAGAACTTCATGTATATTTTAACTAAAAATGTTAAAGTTACTAACATTTAATTACTATACACAATATATGTATATGTATATGTGTATATATATATATATACACACACACACACACACACACCTATAGCAAAGACAATATAATATCTATATTATCTATAGTAAAAACATATAGTACACACATGCATATATGTGTATACACACATATAAATATTAACAGTAAAGACAATCTATGCATTGTCTATATGTATACACACATATAGATTAATTTCTTTTTATTTTTTTATTTTTTATTGAGACAGAGTCTCGCTATGTTGCCCAGGCTGATCTCGAACTCCTGGCCTCAGGTGATCCTCCCACCTCGGCCTCTCACAGAACTGGGATTACAGGTATGAGCCACCACATTCGGTCAGATTTAATTTTCTTTTACAAGTGAGGAACATGCTCATAAACTTTGAAAACTGTGGACTAAACACTTATGGACAAAGGAGCTCATCTGTGCCTCCTCCTTTTAGATCTCATGTCACTAAGACTTGGGCACATAATGGAGAACATATAACTTTCTATGTCATAGATTCTCTGGGTCATACAGTGACACCAGATAATGGTATTGCCTCCTTCCATCTCCAGGCGCTATGCTGAACACTATATCATCTCAGGCAGTCCTTAAAAAATCCAATGAGCTGTGACTATTTCAGCACCATTTTACAGATGAGGAAACTGAGGCTTTGAACAGTTGTGAGGGTTGCCCATAAAAGCAAGTATTGTACAATCCTGTGTTCTCCCAAATGGTGTTTCGTGAGCAACGAGTCAGAAACTAGGAAGTCTCTAGACTGCCTTTTGGTTAATGGACTCACTGGCCCTCATCCGACATCCTTCACTCTGGTGAAGAACAGAACCTCTCTAAACTAAAGCACAGTGAAGAGCTCACATTAATTCAATCAGCTGGAGCAGTCACTTCCAGTCCTTTCAATCTAGGGAGAACATTGCTGGGCTTGTCTAGGGAGCTCATTTTCCATCTAGACCCCAGGAACAGAGATAGTGGCCAGGAAAGCTTTCAGGCCTCTGTCTCCCCACAAAGCAAATCTGCCTGACAGCATCACAAACTTTGTTCTCTTTTCTACCTTCCAGCCTTAATTTAGGGTTCCAGTGTCTGAAAGACAGTTCTAGAGCTAGTAAATGGCCTAGGAATAGTAATTTATCTACAAAGAACTAATTTTGGATAATTATCAGGGGAACAAATTAAATTTCCCTCTGAGATTAATTTAATCACACTAATTTTTTTTTCTCCAGGGTGTTTAGACGTATATAACATTTTAAGTAGTTGCAGTAAAATGTTTACTTTCTTTTTGTGACATCTAAAAAGGGACTGAAAATACAGACAGAAAGAGAGAGAGAGAGAAAAAGACCTAGCATATGCCTTCTCCAGAGAGATAAGAAGAAGGCATACAAAAGAGCAAAAGAAAAGAAAGCAAAGATTGTATTTCAGTGGGACTTTCCTGGGGCATCCCTAATGATCTGTTTGCCTCCTATCTCTGCTGGCTAGAGCTCATCTATGCCTCCTCCTTTTAAATCAACTGGGGATCTAGGGAGTCAGCCCTCAGCTTTGGCCCACGAATTCGTCTTATCCTGAGCTTTAGGGATCTTGTATGATCAGAGTGGGCATTTCTTTGAGTTGAGGTGGGGGCTGGCTTGTTCAAGCCCATTTCCTGAACTACAACTTTGGACAACTTAGTGCAGATGGACTGCTTTGTTTATTTGGTCTGAAAATTAGACCATGTTCACACTGCTGTGTAGTCTGGGAACTAGGCCAAATTTCAAGACCTCAGTGTTTACAACAATAAGAAAGACACAATGGAAAAGTCCAGTTAACGTGGAAAGGCACCCATAAAGAATTTTCCAAAGGGCCAAAGAGTTATAATAGCACACGATACACAGTCTAATCCTTCCTAGCACTCTACTTCTTATACTAGAGTTCTACATAAATAACACCACCTCAGGGGTAGCCATGCAATTTTCTCCTGAACCTCTAAGGATCAGATGGAAAGTACATGCAGTTGTCAGCACCCTCTGCCATGCCCAGGGGGTACTGGAGCAACTGGGACCCTGATCCACTCATGAAGGTGTTCTCCTGCAACAGTCCTAGCCTTTCCTGGTCTCCAGCCCCTTCACAGCCAGGTTGGGGAGTAAATCTATATTCAAACAAACCCACAACACCTGGCTTTGTGGTTTTTTTTTTGTTGAGTGGCTTTTGTTTGGGAGTAGAGGTGTTGAGAGGGAGAGAATAGAAGACCAGGAAATACAGAAGGAAAATTCTCCACATGGGGCAGGTAGGGGAGGGCAGGGAAAAAAAAAAGAGTTTTAAAGCATCTTCTATCATTAAAACACATCAATAATAATTTATGAATAAAGTGCCAATCTTTAATTTTTGTGATTATATCATGCACAACGGGTTTGAGGAATTTTCACCAAATTTGAGGTTATGCTTGAGATAGTCTGAGTTAAATAAAGACTATCATAAATTTGCTTTGGGGGACTGACAATGGAGTTCCCTGATTACATATACAAAAATAGGCATTTGCCTTCTGTAGGAGCCAACAAGGAGATTCAATAAGAAGCCCATGTGGATGCTGAGCAGAGCAAGAGCTGCACGGTGAGAAGATGCACAGCGAGTCTCCAATCAAAACTCACTAGGCCAGATCCTCTAAGTCACTGAACTGATTTGCAACTGAGCCACTTCTACGGGAACAATTCTAAGTACCAGGCTTCAGGTCAAATAACAGTGTGACTTAGTTGTTTAATAGTTAATGATCCACCAGAGCATCACTAGGAAGGCCAGCTAGGAATAACTGTTAACGTACAAAACTGTGAAATAAAGCAAACTAGATCCTTTCCCCTGTTCCTTGAATGAATGAATGAATGAACAAATGAATGAATGAATCAAGGGCTCTGGCTGCAGTTCCTGAACCTCCTCCACCATCTCATTTCACTGCCTTCATAATCCTCTTCCCTAGTGCATTCCTCATCCATGTTCCTTTTCCCGATTCACTCCATCTGGCATAAGGGTTAGAAAACAAAGTTCATCCAGACACTTATGCAAGTGTGTCAGTTATTCAGGAGGAAGAAGCCAGAGAAGTCAGAGGGTTTGGAGGAACAAAATCAGGAGGCTTGTCAGAGGAATAGACAACTGTGCCCAGTATCCCTCCCTCTGAGGGTGACCAGGGGTGCTATCAATGAGACAAGGGACTTGAAGGGCTGGAGGAGGCAAAACCTAGGGGTCTGTGGCCTGAGCCCTTTTTTAGAAACTGGTTTTCCCCAAATGGTTAATATTTCTTGGTATATAACTCCACAAGATGTCAAGCCTGCTTTAGATATTCTCTTCCCACAATTGTCATTTCCAGTACTGTAAAATGAGTTGCCTATACCCTCAGTAAGGAAACTGAAACCCAGAAAGGCTAAAAGGCACTTGCCTCGGCCGAGCCAGAGCCATGACCCACAGCGTCCCCTGGGTTTCTAGGAAATTTTCTGATTCCAGAACTAAAGAAAAGCTGCCACTAGGAAGGAAGGAGGGCAGGCAGACATGCCGTACTGAAGGGAACTACTTATGTGACAAGACAGATCACCTCAAGCCTTAAACTTAATACACGCAGGTTAAGAACAAAGACCTTCCTCACAAACCTGGTTTCAGGAAAGCTTCAAGAACTTCTTGAAGACATTTTTCCCAAAAAATCTACTCATATTCACCACAACGAAACAACAATCCAATTAAATAATACTTGAGTGAGTGCAATTTTCCCAAGAGATATTTAGAAAAAAGTGAGGGCTTAGAGTCCTGAATCTGAAAAGTGATTCCATGTTTTATCAACTAAGTGACCTTTCTCTTAATTCCTCCAATCCTTCATTTCCCCCATGTAAATTTGCATGGGAATACCTGCCATGCAGAGTTGTTGTGAAGATTAAATGAGATAATACATGTAAAGTGCTTAGCATTGTGCTTGACAATTAAATACTTTCCCCGCCCCGCCCCCACCACCACCTCTTTGCTTTTGCCAAAATCTTCCAGGCACTACTAACTAAAATAAGAGAGAATCAGTTCAGAACTTCTGAAACTCAAATATGTATATGAATCATTTCGGTTTTTGTTAAAATGCAGTGATACACCTGGAGTTTTGTGGTGGGGCCCGAGAGTCTGCATTTCTAACAAGCTCCAGGTGAGGCCAATGATGCTGGTCTGTCTGTGGACCACACTTCAAGAAGCAGAGTATTAAAGAGCTCTAAGAGTTTTGATAGGCACAAATTGCTGTGATATAGGAAAGGTTGCATGCAGCTTTTTCAAAAGTTGATATAAGTTAAATTAGTACAAATCCAAGGGAGTCCCATTTGTGCACTAGAGACTATGAACTTTAGGAGGTACTGGATTCCCCCAGTAGGTCGTGGAGTTGAATCAATGTCACAGATGAAACACTGAAATGCCTTACTCCGAGATTTAGGCTAGAAGTACAATGTGCCCTTTTGACTCAGCTGAAGATATTTTTCTGGACTTCGTTTTCAATCCTTTAAGAGAAGTATATTGGATAAAAAAAAAATCAGTGAAAAATCAGATTTTTTTCCCTCCACTTTCAATTTAAGCTCTGGCAAATAAAAAGATCAGATCAAGCATCAAATTGGAAAATAAAGGAATCATGGAGGAAATTCCACAGGAATGTGGAAGCAAGAAGGAGCATAACAGGCTGAGGAAAAGGAATAGGGATCAAAGATATTCTTATTTTTAAAAAATGTACATCCCAAAGTACACAGGCATCATTTCCACAGGCAATAGCATATAGGCCCTGAACGGTTTCAGGAATTTAGTAATAACTATTTGTTGATAAAACATAAATTCATAACTATTCCAATGTCAAAATATCTGATTGATTTTAATAAGCCTATATAAAACTCACATTTGAATTAAAGAAACAAAAAAAATTAACTGCTTTTCATATTTAAAGCATTCAATTCCAGTATACCCTGGAAGTACTTTTCAGTGAGCTCATCATCTTCAGTCAGTTTAGGTTTAGATCTACTTAACATGTGACTGGCACTTGGCTTTTTGAGTAGCCAAATGGTTCCCCAAATCCAGACAGGGATTCAAAGTATAGTGCAAGTTGGGAAGTTTTCAAGCCAAGTCAGGTCATTTTTACACTACATAAATGAAACATGGTATTTTACCATTCTTTCATTCTCTTTGAAAGACATTACCAATATGAACAACTTTAAGAAAAGAAATGCATTTATCTCTTCCTAGAAAATTATCTTCCTTACTCAGATACAGTGAAAATGTTTATTATAAGCTAACACTATTCATTTTCATACTTAACTTTGTAATGTCTAATACTGTTATTTCATTTATGCATGTGAAATAATCTCAAAATTCCAAGAGTTCCTGAAGGGCTGAGACCTTATACGTTTTTAAGTGTCTAGAGCATTTAACAAAGTGATAAGCAAGAATTACTCAATACGTGTGATATAGTTTGGATGTGTGTCCCCACCCAAGTCTCATATTGAAATGTAATCTCCAGTGTTGGAGGTGGGGCCTAGTGGGAGGTGATTGGATCATGAGGGCAGTTTCTAAGGGATGGCTTATCACCATCCCCCTTGGTACTGTCCTTACAATAGTGAGTTCTAGTGAGATCTTGTCATTTAGAAGTGTATGTCACCTTCCCACTCACTCTCTTGCTCCTGCTTTCACCATGTGATGTGCCTGGTCCCCCTTCACCTTCTACTATGTTTGGAGGCTTCCTGAAGCCTCCCCAGAAGCAGATGCTGCTATGCTTCCTGTACAGCCTTGTAGAACTGAGCCAATTAATCCTCTTTTCTTATAAATTACCCAGTCTCAGGTACTTCTTTATGGCAATGCAAGAACAGTCCAAGACAACATGGCTGATAAACCCAATTGGAAAAAATACAAAATAATATATGAGAGGAAGACAATTCCACTTATGAGAAAATAACATGAGCTAATATAATTTTTCATAATTAATGATGCATCACAATAATTTTCAGTACATAACCTATAGAACTTCTTTTGCCAGAGAAAGATAGGCATTAGCACAAATATAGATTTTTCACATTATTTAGCACAACATGCAGTTTATTAATTTTCTCATATCAGAGTACAAGGGAGAAAAAAAATCAAATATTCCTTTAGCTCATTTTCTCACCTAGAAAAGCATTTCTTTTTCTGCAAAGCATTGCAAAGAAGTTCAGCTCATTTGTGCTTCTAACCTCAAAATCGTCTTTCTTAGGACAATGGCGTTTTTGTGGTATTGAATCTACAAGAGTCTTTGAAATATCACACATGGTACTAAGTGGTTTGCAAGAATCATAGGAATATGACTTGGGGAGGAATCTTCAAAGTTCAGTTATTCATTCTATCCTTCTGCTTCCATACATGTAGAAATAATCTAAACCAGCACTATAATAGATGTCTTTAAAAAAAAAAAAAGCCTTTCTGCTTATTAAGACAGAGAGCAATATTACTACATAATTAAACAAAAATTGGGCTGCCAGCAAAGACAGTTCATTATAGAAATTGGAACTAGCTAAGTAAACAAAATGTAATGATTAATGGCCCAACAGCAACCTATAGGGAGGTCTCTAGTGATAAGACGCATGGCCATGTTCTTCATTGTGTTGTGCTCAGTATTTTTATTATTAACTTAGATCAGTGATTAATCCAGGTTGCCCATTAGAATCACTAGGGGAGCTTTAAAAAAAAAAATGCCTGGACTCCACCCCTAAAGCTTCTGATTTCATTGGCCCATTTGTTTAACTATCAATGACAATACAGAGAGATGCTAAAGTCCACATAGATACAATAATAAAAGGAATAGTTTAATGACAGAGTAAGTGCCTATTATGTGCCAACAAGCCCTATGACAAGCAAGATATGGAGATAAATGTGACACGGTTCTTGTCATTAACAATAAAAATAAAATTAATATGAGATTAATAGACTCAACAGTCACTGAAAAGATAGTACAGTCTTAGACTGTATTAATAATCTTTCTCTACTTCAAGATGGTCAAATAAATTCTAGACTATTGTGTTTGACTTTGGAGGAACCCACTTGAAGAAGTTATAGAAAAACTGAGGCTCTTTGAAAAGAAAAGGAATAGCAGGTGATTTTCCTGGAGATCTGTTTATTTGATGAATTTGTGTTTGATATTTTAAACACAAATATCTGAAGTGTTGTTGCATGAAACAGAAGACATGTTTGCTCTGCTTTGGTCTCTGAAGAAAAGCTAAAACAATGGAAAATAAAGCAAGAGAATATCAATTTGGCTCAATTGATGGAAAAATTACCTAATGATTAAAACTACCCAAAGAAAGAAAAGGCTGTTTGGGGAGGTAATGAGGTCCCCTCTTCTAAAGGGATAAAAGCACAGACAGGACATGGAGTTGGTTAGAATTCTGTAAAGAGAGTTGAATGGAAAAGCTTTAAAGGATAATTCCACACTGAGATTCCACAGTGTATTGTACTGAAGCTAATTTCCTTGCAGTACCTAAGAAATCAGGTTTTTCCTTTTGTATAAAAAAAGCCCTTCTTCCCTAAACTTTTGGACAATTGGTACACAATGATGTCACCATCTATAACTTACCTAGATGACACCTGAACAGCCACATCTGTAATGATGTGAACTGACAACCAAGGAGGACACATAAAACCCAGTACAATCAGGACTGCTAGAGACACCAAGTCAAGGGTATCAGGAGCTAGAGATTTAGATCAACAGTCTTGGCATGTGACTCTGATTGCTGTCCTCTGCTTAATTCCTCTGAGAACAGTCTCTCATTATTCAAGCAAAAACATCCTTACAAAACTGTATACACTTCCTCACAACTACAACACTACCTCCGTGCACACAGTCATGCAATAGACACAGATTTATTGACAAATATATAGCCCAAGTCTTGGATCATTTTTAAAGAATTTTCAAGTTTAATGCCTAAGTAGCTTACTTTTGTAATAAACCTGCAAATTGTATACTTGATGTATTAGTCTATTCTCATGCTACTATAACAAAATACCTGAGACTGGTAATTTATAAAGACAAGAGGTTTAATTAGCTCATGGTTCTGCAGGCTGTACACAAAGCATAGAGGCTTCTGCTTCTGAGGAAGCCTTAAGAAACTTGCAATCATGGCAGAAGGCAAAGGGGAAGCAGGCACATCTTACACGGTTGAAGCAGGAGCAAAAGGGAGAGGGAGGAGGTGCTACACACTTTTAAACAACCAGATCTCAGGATAACTCACTGTCACTATCATGAGAACAACACCGAGGGGATGGTGCTAACCCACTCATAAGAACTTCACCCTCATAATCCAGTCACCTTCTACTATGCCCCACCTCCAACACTAGCGATGACAATTCGACATGAGATTTGGTGGGAACACAGATCCAAATCATATCATTTGATAATTGCTATGAGAGTAGATTTTAAGTGTTCTCATCATAAAAAAATGATAAGTTATGTGAGATAAGGCATATGTAAATCAGGTCGATTTAGCCATTTTGTAATTTATACATATTTCAAAACATTATGTTGTGTACTATAAATATATACAATTTTTATTTGTCAAAAAAAAGAAACTACATAGAAAATCAGGTGTAAAATGTGACAGTAATCTGGTACTAGTTTCATAATAGTGGACATGAAGTTAAGATCACCTTGGTACATAAATGATTTGATCTTTCAACAACAAAATGTAAAACATGATTGTTACCATCTTTTAACAATAAGATTCCCAGAACCAGACCATTTGGTCCAGTAAAGAAGATTGCAAAACAAGATAAAAACCACTTTGAGACCGTTGGGGTTAGTGGTTTTTTTCCGTTAACCTCTCAATTGTTACTAAACTTGCCCAATTTCATCCACACAGTTGATTTATGGATTATTTTCATGAACCATTTGCCAACAAAGGAAACTCCATTTATAGTTCCTTCTTCACAAGTAACTTACTCTTCTTTCTATGTAATCTTTTCATTTCTCAATCTTAAATTTATTCCATTACAGCCAAGCTATAACAGAGCAAAATTCTGCCATCAAAAATTGCTTATTTTAACTCTTGTAATTCCAATTACATATTGCTTGCATACTTTTCAGTTTTGTACCATTGCAGTGAAGAAAGTAAAAATAAAAATAAATAAATAAGCCAAATCTGTTTTTTTAACTTAAAATTTACTTCTCAAAGCAGATGGAATGGGAACTAGTTTATGAGGATGCTGAAATTATCTCAAGCCTGGAACAGGTAAATAACAAACAAATACCTCAGAGAACTTACCTAGATTCTTTAATTACTTTAATATGCCATTTTAGAACATTTAGGAATAGAAATTCAGAGGCCAGAAAAAAAAAAAAAAAGATTAAAACAGGCAAACTAAATTAGGGAAACAAGAAACCAGACGAATGCTTAGCCAAAGAATAACACTATTTAAACAAATCAGATGTCAAAAAGATAAAAAATATTTATGTTTTTATACTCTTGAATCCAGAAAGAAAATGAATTTGAGAGATATCCAAAAAATATATTTTCTCCTACAAGTAAATTATTTATAAAGAAAAAAATTAAAACCTTTGCCATGTCAAACTTAGAATAACATACACAGATATTAACAGCACACAAAACAGAAGCCATTTTCAATGTTTGCTAAAAAGCCACTGTTACTATGGTGATGCCCCAATACAAAAAAGCAACAACTAACAACCAGAAACCCATAACAAATGCAAGTTACTGGTGCTTTCCATGACTAATTCCAACGTGTCACACTGCTTGTCATCATCTGTACTCTTTAGTTGGTGCATCTGGTCATCAGCCCCATAGGTGAGGATCTGCATCATGTGGGCAGTACAGCTATGCTGCTCAAGAAGAATAGAGACCCAAATGTCCCATCAGTCCGGGGATGTGTTTCAACATGGTGACATCCCAAGAGTCTCCCAAAGAAAATATTTACGGAGTTTTACCTTTCCATGGATTTTAAACACATACTTAAAAAGCCAAAATATGTGAAAAGATTGATTTAAAAATGGTTGACCAAATTTCAGTCAGCCTGAAAGCTTTTATACTGTTTCTCTTCTCTTTATTGCAAGCTATTAATTGAATTAGCTCTACCCCACCCCCTCTTTCTTTTTTTTACAGTTTGTGGGGTTTTTTTCTGCCCTCCGACTTTTAAACCTCAACTTTCTTAAAAAATTAAAACGGCTTTCTTCAGGTCCTCCAGTTACTTCCTTCTATTAAAGATGTTTTCCCTTAGTTCTTAACCTCATAGGCACCTACCATTAGACCAGTTCACCACTCCCTCTTTCCTGAGACGTTCCCTTCCTTAACACTTTCCTACACTGTCCTCTCTTCGTTCACTTCAATCCTTGCTGTCCTCTGTTCCTTCTTAAGTTCTTTCCCTCCCACTCTCTAACAAACTGAGTTTCCACCCCATACCTCACATTTAGCAAGTTCCATCACTGCTTAACAAGCCTCACTTCTCTCCTAGCTCAAAGTTTCTCCTTCCAGCCGATATTCCTAAATCTACAGCTCCCACCACACCCAACTTACGTTCTGTGTTAACCTGGCCATTTCCGTTTGGGGATTTGGCCTATTTTATATGGAGGGCAAATAAAATCCCTTTTCACTTTGTGATTCCCCAGCTCCTGACAGCCAATTACCTCATGTTTAAACTCTCTTTTTAAATAGTCTGTTCTCACCTACCCAAACCATAATTCCTCATGACATACTGTCACTTCTCTTAGCCTGTAGTCTAAGGTCTGACTACAGGCTTTTGCTCCTGTCTCTCCTTGCTAACAGTGGTGGTACAAATAAACAAGGCAGGAATCATTTCCCACTTCCTCTGGCAAAACTTCCTCAAACACTTTCGTGTACTTTGAGCTCTCCTTTCCCTAGCATTTACAGGCCACATCACAAAATTAGAATTTCACAGCACCTTTTCATTCTTACCTATTATTAGTTTCATTCTAGTGTGCTGGGCTTCTCTTCCTGAGTAGACTATATCTGCTCCTTGAAGGTAGAAAGCAGAATTTGTACCCCCTTTCTTAATAGCTCCAGTAGCACTCAACACACTGCTAGTCTAAGCAGGCACGTCCTGTAGCATGCACTTTGGGGCCCACCTAAACATATTCTGCCTACACTAGCTTCTTCATGTATTGTTATCCCTTTGAGCTTTATATGCTTTTTGTACATTGCCGCAAATACTGTTTGGAAAATAAATGAGGAAAAGGCAACAAACATACATGTTGCTAGGTATAGAGCAGGTATGTTGTGAATATTAAATTCTGAAAATTATTTTTATTTCTATTAAAGAAAAGGGGACAATGAATGGTCTATGCACCCCACACACAGGAACATGAAATTTTCCTGTTAAGCCAGTCTTTTCTCAGAGAAACACAGATACATTATTATGATGTGGGCCTAAAGAGGCCCAGTGACCATCTCGGCTCACACACTGAGAATGATGGTGAACCATATTTTTCTACTCTACTCTCAACCACTTAGATTCTGAGTTAAGAGGAGAGAGAAGTTTGCTGACTGTGGAAACGTACAAAGTCCTATTTAAATGGGCGGGAGGGAAATAAAAGGAGTTCATGTTGCAGGGAGCCTTAGTGGTGTGATTGTAGCACTGACTGCTGGGGGTTGGAGGTACTCAACCACATTGTTGCACTGAATGAACACTTTGGAAAATCCAAATGGGCATTGTTTTACCAACCACAAAAAATCATGGGAGCAGCAAATAGATTTCATCCAATAACTAGGATATCAACAAGGCATTTGCAGATTCTAGGAATAAACTACAGCATTAGAATCATAATTTTTAGGTGGGACTCTTTCTTTCTAAGCATGTAAAACTACTGGTTAAATCTTCATCAATTTACATAAGCCTATGCACTTCCTAAATGGGATCAATAACTCCACTCAGGAAAAAAATCCTTTAAAAACTGCCTACCTACCTTTGTGCATTAAATATATTCAGATAAAATTTATTAAGTGTTTTGGCTTTACTGAAGTTTCTGAGTTTGAGGCAGGGTAAGTTTCTCATCACTCAAATAAGTTAATCTCCCTTCTCAAATTCTGTTAAAGTTCAAGAGAATTGAATGGGGATAGATCATGCCTGGGCCTATGTGACAGAGAGTGAGAGAAGAAGAACCAACGAGAACCAGTGCTTTCCATCATCATCTTTTTGAACTTTTAAACAAAATCAGAAAATAGCTATAATTAAGCTAACACTTTTTCTGATCTTTTAACATTAATACATTTTAATACAACTTCAACTGTTTTCACCACTTCTACCATTCACTCTGAAATCCTTTTAACAGGAATGAGTCTGGCTGTTTGGCTCACTCACAATTTTTCTTTTAACAATTATTAACATTAACATATTTTAAAACAACTGTTTTCTACTTCTATTATTCATTCCTATTATTAACCAAGAAAACATTGAACTCCCTTCTAATGAGAATAATTCTTCTAGCACTTGGCTCACTTTCCCTCCACTCTTCAATCCCATTTTGTCTTACACATTTTGGCAGTCTAAATCCCTCTTGTAATTTGACGTTTTTACCTTCCAGTTCTCACAATATCATGTCTAATTTACAAACTAATTTGACTTAGAATCATTAACCTTATCTTTTATGTTCTAAACCTTTATTTCTCAAAAGTGCTTTTGATCATTTTTAAACCTGTGCGATGTCCTATAATGTGATTTGCAGCTTTAGAGTTTGTTGATAAATGAAGGTTCTCGAGGTATTGAAGTATCTTCTGCCAGCCTTCCAGGAAAAAAGTTTGTCTGATCGGGCATAATGTTTCTGGAAATCACACAATTTATCAGAGCTATCTGTAAATTTTTCTCCTAAATTCTTACCTATAAAAGCCCAGGGTAATATTTAAGGCCACTCTTAGCCTCAGATTGTAAAATTGTGTATCTCCTTTATCTACTTTTGTCTTTAGAATATAAGAACTTTACCAGTGGTTATATGAGGAAAGGCAAAGTGATTAGGGTTTGTTTTGTTGTTGTTGTTTGGTTGGTTGATTGTTTTTTTGTTTTATTTGTATTTTGTTTGTTTTCCAAGAATGCTCAAAAGAGCCACATGACATCATGAAAAAAAATATAGGTTTTAGAATCTGGCCAGTCTGCACTAGAATTCCAGCTTTGTTACCTTTTAGTTGCATGACTTAGACAAGTTACTAAATGGAGCCCCATCTTCATCTCAGCAAGTTTTGTGGAAGCCTGAAATACGTTCAAAGCACCTGGTACACAGTTGGGTTCAAGCTGTATGGATATGAGCTATTATCTGTGTGACCCTGAGCAAGTCACTTAAGTGAGATCTCAATGGCTTAACATTTCCATATATTAAAAAAGGTAATAAAAAAGTAAGAAATAAGAGTATTTCGTGGACTAGTTATAAGATTAAATAAGTTTAATATAGTACAGTGCTTAGAACCATGCCTTTCATATGGTGAGCCCTACCTGTTTTAAGCTATCATTATCACTATCTTTATTAATTATTATTAGCACTCTCCCTGGGATATGCTGAAGTCTCTCCAAATTCATTTCCATCTGGAGTGATATTCTTTAAAGCTGGGCAAGACTGAGCAAAAGACACCAGGATGCTGCCTTTCTTAAAAGGATATTCCGTTTAGGGGTTAAAAAAAAAAAGCTTAAAATCAGATAGGCATAGGTTCAAATCCCAGCTCTACTTAGACTAGCTCATAGGGTTGTTGTATTTTACTCTACTTTACTCCTTACAATAACTGTATTAAATAGGTACTTTGATTATCCCCAACATATAGCAGAATAGACTGAGGCTGAGAGAGGCTCCACAGTTCACTGCATGGCCAGGCATCCTTTTGGGTGTTCCCAAACCAAGGCAACACCACCTAGGTGTAGTTGGGGGTCCCATGCTCCTAAGAGCATGGCAGGTGCTCATTTTCTCTGAGCCACAATGGAAGTCCTTTAATCTGGGATATCTGTGCCCCTCTCTGCTCTGTAGTTTTCTTTCTCCACTTTTGCTGTCATTCTTGGTTTTGCCAACCCATAGTGGAATTTGATTTTATCTTGGTTTTTTGTGTTGTGTTTTGTTTTGTTTTGTTTGTTTTTTGACATGGAGTCTCACTCTGTAACCCAGGCTGGACTGCAGTGGCACAATCTTGGCTCACTGCAACCTCCGCCTTCCAGGTTCAAGCAATTCTTCTGCCTCAGCCTCTTGTGTAGCTGGACTACACACGCCCCGCACCACCACACCTGGCTAATTTTTGTATTTTTAGTATAGACAGGGTTTCACCATATTGGCCAGGCTGGTCTCAAACTCCTGACCTCGTGATCCACCCACCTCGGACTCCCAAAGTTCTGGGATTACAGGCATGAATCACCATGCCCAGCCCATCTTGGTATGTTTTAACTCAGAGATGGAGCTACCTTGTTCAATCTGCTGTAGCCACAGGATATTCCTCTACTGCCTTGTGATTGTTAGGAAACCCAACAGAAGAGCCACAGCCACACATGTGCGTGCTTTTGTTCAATATCATGAAAACTCAAGAGAAAATCATGTCTATATCATTAGCATTTTATGACTTTTAAAAGAAAGAAAGATCTGAAGCAATGGCAAATTGTTAACATCTATTCAATATGGGTGGTAGGCAAATGGTATGTTGTTATTCCCCGTGCTTCTCTGTGAGTCTGCAATATTCCATTAATTAAGCAAAAATAATTGTAAATTGAAAAGAGCGTATCACTTTACAAGGCACAAACGAAATAAGGCTTTCCTTATAGGGTTACTACTCACAGAAGGAAAATACTTGTTGCATATTGGAAAACAAGTAAACGCAGCCAAGTACTTAAATGCATAATTACCCCATAGCAGATTAGTTATTGCTGGGTATTTTTCTCAAGGTCTTAAATATACATGTATCTAGCTCTCTGATTTGGGACTTGATGGTCAAGCCTTTCAGAGGTCATTCTCCACAGTTAAAGGACTGGCTATAGAATGGATGAAAAGGCATGGGGCCAAGTCTGGTGTTCACCAGGAGAAGCTGAATGACCATATGTCAGGAGGCCATACAGAGTGACATTTGTCACCTTGGGGAATTATAGCCCCTCCCTCTCCCAGGCTAAGAAGCATGTTGATCAGCCTCCTGAGAGGGATTTCTTGTCTCAAGAGCAGACTTACTTTAACCAAGCTTACAAGACTGATGAATAAAATCAGAATGCCAGTATATTGTTCTACAATGAGAAATCTGTCATGGAGGTGGCATACTGAATTCCTACAGGGAAACCTACATTGAAAATCAAATTATAATCACAAGTTTGCATGACTAGCACAGCACGAAAAAAGAGAAATTTAAGCTACCTCTCCTAAATATTAATAAATATTAATAAATATTAATATTAATTAATTAATAATTGATTAATAATTAATCAAGCTATAATAGCCCAATGCATTCATCTCCATATATGGGAAAGATCTGCCAATAGGAACAACACACAAAAAACTCCACTGACCAAAATTCTCTCTCCTCTAGTTGGTACCTAATGGACACTGCCAAAGTTTGCCCCTGGGACTCTCATATTTCTATGCTTTAATAGCCATCAAACCCCTCTTTGAATTGAGACTTTCTTTCATTAAATGTGCTGGTAAACTCAATCATACAACAGGTCTTATAGGCCACATATCACCTACAGAAACTACTCTACCAGTTTTCTATCTTAGAGCTTATAAAAGATTCCAGGTAGCAACTTACACAGAGTCATAGAAGAATAAGATCTTTATGAAGGCCCATGATGTAATTCATGAAGTTGTTCACCACTGTAGCTTACAACAGTGCCAGTCACTTAGTAGACATTCCATAAATATTCCTTACATCAATGAAAAAAATCCTCACTTAAACTGTTCAGTACAAGCCTAAAGCCCACACATGTAATCATTCTGTAAATACAATCATTCAGGACCTGGGAACTTTATCTTTTGTTTTTTTTTCCTTTCGAGATGGAGTCTCCCTCTGTCACCCAGGCTGGAGTGAGTGCAATGGTGCGATCTTGGCTCACTGCAACCTCCACCTCCTGGGTTCAAGCGGTTCTCCTGCCTCAGCCTCCCGAGTAGCTGGGACTACAGGCGCCCACCATCATGCCTAACTTTTGTATTTTTAATAGAGACAGGGTTTCACCATATTGGCCAGGCTGGTCTCGAACCCCTGACCTTGTGATCTGCCCACCTTGGCCTCCCAAACTAGTGTTGGGACTACAGGCATGAGTCACTGTGCCCGGCCTCTCTCTCTCTCTCTCTCTCTCTCTCTCTCTCTCTCTCTCTCTCTCTCTCTCTCTCTCTATATATATATATATATATATATATATATATATATATATACACACACACACACACACACACACACACACACACTATACATATACGCATATATATATGTGTGTGTGTATATATATGTGTGTGTGTGTTTTTAACTTCTGGGACACGTGCAGAATGTGCAGGTTTGTTACATAGGTATACACGTGCCATGGTGGTTTGCTGCACCCATCAGCCCGTCATCTACATTAGGTATTTCTCCTAATGCTATCCCTCCCCTAGCTCCCTAGGCCCTGACAGGCTCTGCTGTGTGATGTTCCTCTCCCTGAGTCCATGTATTCTCATTGTTCGACTCCCACTTAAGAGTGACAACATGCAGTGTTTGGTTTTCTGTTCCTGTGTTAGTTTGCTGAGAATGATGGTTTCCAACTTCATCCACATCCTTGCAAAGGACATGAACTCATTCTTTTTTATAGGTGCATAGCATTCCATGGTGTATATGTGCCACATTTTCTTTATCCAGTCTATGCCCAAATCATGGGCATTTAGGTTGGTTCCAGGTCCTTGCTATTGAGAACAGTGTTGCAATAAACATACATGTGCATGTGTCTTTATAGTAAAATTATTTATAATCCTTTGGGTATATACCCAGTAATGGGATTGCTGGGTCAAATAGTATTTCTGGTTCTAGATCCCTGAGGAATTGCCACACTGTCTTCCAGAATGGTGGGAGTGGAACTTTATCTTACATATATTTTTCCACATTCAGCCTGAGTTGCTTAGAGAAAATCCCTCAAATGCCATTCATCAACCACTAGCTAACGTCACTACATCCATCACTAAGTGCTACCAAAAAGGTCCATTTTCATATTATTCCTATGGATTCTACTAACCAAATGGGTACCAAAATGAGCTAAACATCAATTCTTGAGAAAGAAGAGATTTTATCATCTTCCCATGACAATAAGCATACCAACTACTCTTAGTGGGAGAGAAATATGTTTGTAAACATTACTAAGATCTGTATTTATGGAAATATATGTCACCTTGCTGTCAAAATGGGCCAATGAAGAAAGTTTTTGGTGAAGTCATAAAGTTCTAGAAGACATGCATCCCACTGTCTTTAGGTAAGACCTATCCTAGTACGTATGTGTTATGTGTGTTTCACTTACCGCATACTGGAACTTTTCATTATATTCACGGTCATTGGCTTTCACTATCCGTTCCACTTCTAAAGAGAGAGAAATCAAGTATGAAATTAAATTGTAGGCCCAGAGAAACAAATAACTCATTAAAACAACAAGACTTAGGTTGCTTTGTTGTTAAGGCTGCAAGAATTCTTTTCTTTCAAATTTGAAGGTATTGGCTTTTTCCAGTGTACATGTTGGAACATGTGTTGTAAAGTCCCAAAATGGAAAGCTACAATGTTTCTCATTGTCCTCCTGATGCCAACCATAAAGCAAAACATTATGTGTCTCCAATTTCTATGTATCTTCAGCACCACAAAGACCCTTTCTCTTAACTTCAAGTGGTTCCTAAGAGAAGGAGCTGACAAAGTCAAATGCATCCTGGCAAGGAATGCTTTGTGGGGTTTGTTGCTACAAAGTCACAAAATATAACATAGCCAAAAATAAACCATACAGAACTGGCCAGTGAGGTCACTGACCTTATGGTCTTAGAACCAAAGGTGATATCTGTAAGCAGCCCAGGCATATTAAGAGGAATGACACATAATCAGGAGACTGAGAGCTGCCCTTAGCTGGAAGTGACCAAAGAATAAAATCTCTTCTGAAAGCAAATGCAAACACCAGTACAAATAATAATATAAAAAGGACAATAAACCTAAAGATTATGACAGTGCAGAATAAAAATTTGCAGAGGGCAAGATAAGACAGTGCCCCAGAAACACCGGCAGAACAAGTTTAGTAGTAAGGGTAGCAAGCTCTTGCTCCATGTTTACTGAAGAGGTACTTCCAGAGTTGACCAAAGATTTAGGATGGAATGATGAAAGCTATGAGAAAAGAGTCAGCAAGGTAACCACCAGATGTCAATGCTGGATTCTCATGGCGAGTGACTTGACCCTCTCACCATTAAATTCCCTTAATCCCATAATTCTCCAACTGGGTAGGTGACAGGTGGTAAAAGGTGGAGGGATTGCAGTAAGAGTCTGAGTTTAGAGAAGGCACTTACAACCAGAGATAAAGGAGACTGGATGGTGGAAAGTAACTTGGAGACACGTGTTGGGGATGGAGGAGGGAAGAGCAAAAGAAAAGTGAAAAGAAGAGCTGGAAGCAGAAGGGAGATGAGGAAAATGAGGGAGATGAAGAGGGAGAGAAGGAAGGAAGGAATATATTTCAGCACCCACCTCTTGCATGCCAGGCACCATGAATTGTAAGAACAAATTTTTTCCAAAAGTGCAGGCAGAATCTCTCTGTAGCCCTGGTGGTTCAACTCCCAAGACTGAAGGTCACCTCTAAGGACTGCTCCTGACAAATGACACTCTGTCTTTGGTTATGACTGGGTTTCTACCATTTGCAGGGTGTTTTGTCTGTCCAGTAACCACCTGCATGGTTTCCCTCTTGCCTATCTAATAAAGCCAGGTCTCTGTGATGGTTCCTGTTTTCTAGTCCGGCTCAACTAACTGCTGATAAGAACAATATTGGACTGGTGTCAACAGTTGATGATACCTAAATGGGTTTGCTCCTAACCTATAACTTTGAAATCCAGAATCCACCAGGAAGCAACCTCTCAACCACCCACCCACCTGAAGGAAACACCTCAAACCCTGGCTAAAAAGCACCATCCTGTCTTTCTTGCTGATGCCCCAACAAAGAATTAAAACATCAAATCCCAAAGTGGTACTTTGAAAGGTGTGGGAACCTAAATGCTTAAAAAGCTAGAAACTTATTTATATAACATCACCATAACCCAGAAGTAGTAAAATTGCTGACAGGAAAGCAAAAAAATGTTACTGGGATGGTAGGAGCGAGGGCTCTTCCTGCATGGCAAAAGGTTAACCTGGACCACTGGTATGCTGCATGTAATTAATAGATTATAGCAGCAAAACAAAAATCAGATATATTAATTATATATTAATTGGCTTTAGCTTGTTTCATATACATTCAGATGATGATCCTTCTAAAATTTCACATTTATATGAAGCACATCCAAGAGTAGAATTCTATAGTTCTGTACCTAATTTTACCCACTCCAAACACCAGAATCTTGACTCTGTGAGCCACACAGAAACCATCCTGGGCTGGGTGCGGTGGCTCACGCCTGTAATCCCAGCACTTTGGGAGGCTGAAGCAGGCGGATCACAAGGTCAAGGGATCGAGACCATCCTGGCCAACATGGTGAAACCTCATCTCTACTAAAAATACAAAAATTAGCTGGGCGTGGTGGCACATGCCTATAGTCCCAGCTACTTGGGAGGCTGAGGCAGGAAAATCACTTGAACCTGGGAGGTGGAGGTTGCAGTGAGCCAAGATTACACCACTGCACCCCAGCCTGGCGACAGAGCAAGACTCCATCTCAAAAAAAAAAGAAAAAAGAAAAAAAAGAAACCATCCTGTCCAGCATCTCCATGTAACCACACTCCACAAGGATAGGGACTAGCCCATTCCCAAAGCAGCCAAGTAGTTTCTATGGTAGGTCAGTTTGGATCTTCTTTCAGGTATCCAAATTGCTCTCATCCCCCAAAACCTGATTAGAGCCAGGAAGCCCACTTTTGTTTCTAAATCCTTCTTAATAAGTCTTAATCGTTGTGTCTGTTACTTCTACTAATTATCATCTTTCTGAACTAAGTCTTCCTGGATTAATTCTGGCAGAAAATTTAGCATCCCTTCATTAAGTTCTGCAAAATACTGGCTTTGGTTCTAAATTGCTACAGTTTTCTGTCTTTAACCTGACTATGCTACACCTGAATTATCTTTGCAGGAATTAACTTTCTTCTCTGTGCTACCACAGTGTATGAGGGGATATAAAGACCTTTTGGCAATAAATCACATCCTGGAAAAAAAGGACGCTGAAAACAAATCCCCCATAACTATTCCCATTGAGAACGGCTCAGAGGTTCAATGACCTAATGCCTGATACTTCATAGGCATCATGGGATCCTTCCATATGTAAGAGGAATGAAAGGAAACTAGTCACCAAGGGGTTGATGATTTACCAGTGTGAACTCACACCTGCACAATTATCACTGAATTTGTCCAGTTCCAAAAAGGAGTAAGGCAATATATAAGGATGTATAAAATATAGTAAGCCAGCATGTTTAAAGTGGACTAAAAGAGCTAAAAGAGCTTCTGGTTTAAGATAGCAAGTTGAGTCTGTCTTTTTCCTCCCTTCTTTCTCAGGTCCCTCTGAAATTACAGAAAACATTTTTTAAGATTGAAAACATAACAGTGCTGGAAAACAAGAGTAGTGGCTAGCAGAGGTTCATAAATTTTGAAGAAAGCCTAGAGAATAAAATAGAAAGCAGATGAGATCATTTTGACTGGGAGAAAAAAGATAGAAATAACTCTAGCCAAAAGAATTAGAGAGTGATCTTCCCAATGAGCCCAGAGCAGCTCTAAATTCAGAGTCAGTAAATATGAAGATTGAGAGTATGTTATGGACAGGGTGACAGGCCCAGGTTATGCCTATTATCTTGTCAAAATAATTGATAGGTTCCCCTTTTATTCTCAAAAGTGTCTCCATTTGATGATAAATTATATTACCACCTTAGAGTAATTAAAAAAATAACTGAACCAGTTGGGATCTCCCACACCCCCTTCTTTGCCCACAAAGAGAGCAGACAACACGTCAGGGAAGGAAACCAAGGGTGGGTATTCAGGCCTGAGAAGGAAGAGCTCTGCCCCTCTACAGCAGCTATAGCCAACTTGGCCCCTAGTAAAGCCTGCCTGACTGGGGCCATTGTGGGATTTGCCAGACTGCCTGACTAACACACACAGAAAAGCCTCTGTCAGCAGGCTGCTCACTCCTGTTCAAAGGAGAGGCCTGGCAGAGAAAAAGACCCTGGCGATGGCACTAATCTATCTAGTCCTTTATTTATAAATACAAACCAGTAACAGCTGAGAAAAACCAAGAGCACAAAAAAGAGGGATCCAACAGGAAGAAATAATGCTGAATACAGGTAGAAAAAGGGGATTGGTTTCTCTTTTTAATTCTGATTAGTGCCTTGAATATATATACATAGATATATAGGTTTTTTAGAGATGCTCTTTTTTTTTTTGACATTGTGCCACTGCATACCACTCTGTCACCCAGGCTGGTATGCAGTGGCACAATTGTAGTTCACTGCAGTCTCGAACTCCTGGGTTCAAACCGTCCTCTCACCACAACCTCCTGAATAGCTGGGACTGCAAGCATGAGCCACCATACCCAGCACCTCAAAGATATTTAAGAAGACATGGCATCCATGAAACAAGAACAAGCTAATATAAACAAAGAAAACAGAGAACAAGAAAAAGTCCCTAGAAATTAAAAATATTAACTGGACACACTGGAGAGTAGAATGGACAAGACGAAAGAACAGATTGGATAAATCTCACAAAATATATATCAAAATGACAAACAGGAGGAAAATGTGAAAAAAAAAACTTAGGATAAGGGAACATAGACAATGGATAGGTAAAAACAATCAAGTAAATAGAAGAAAACTGCCCTGCTCCAGAGTAAGATGTAACTCTTCAAAGTGAAAGGGCCACCAAGTACCAATCAGGATGAATGAAAATGAACCCACAAACCTTCATAAAATTTTGAGCTCCAAGGACAAGCAGATAATCCCAAAAACTTCCAAAAGAAAAAAAAATGGTTAGCCTGAAACATAAGAATCAGACCAATATGACATTTCTCATCAGCAATAAGGATGCTAGAAGACATTGGAGTGATTATTTTCAGTTTTAAAGAAAAATATTTTGAAACTTAGAATTCTATACCGAGCCAAATAATCAAGTGTGAAGGGGAAATAAAGACATCTCTGCAAAAGTGTTTACAGACAACGACCATCTACAAAACAGCTACTCAAGAATGTACAACAGTAAGACCTACTATTTGACAGCAAACCAGGTGACTATAGTCAATAATAACTTAATTGTACACTTAAAAATAACTAAAAGTATAATTGGATTGTTTCTAATACAAAGGAAAATGTTTGAGGGGATGGATACCCCATTTTACATGACATGATTATTATATACTCCATGTCTGTACCAAAATATCTAATGTATAACCCATAAATAGATATACCTACTATGTACTCACAAAAATTAAAATAAAAAATTTTACAAAAAAGAATGTACAACAGGAAAAATACTTGTTTAAATGTTTAAAGTACAGTAGGGTGGAAGAAGACACAGAAGGAAGAATGATAATCAACCAGAGTCAAGAATGATAATAAAAATAGCTAATCCAATGACCCACACACCTGATCCAGGTGTGCCACAAATGCCACAGAATAAAGGAATGCTTGTCTATTGCCATTTATTTTACAAAGTCTGTGAGGTAATAAAGTCAATTTATCAGTAAAAGTACAATTATTAGTAGTTCTGGTAGGTAATAATAAATCAATTTCTCAGGAAAAGTACAATTACTAGTAATTCTTGCCTCAGGCATTAATTTACCTTAGAAATCCTCATAAGGAAGTCATTGTTTGATATAAAGAACATAAAATAAGGTTTTTGTAACAACCCTAAGGATATTATCTCAGGACACAATTCAGAGGGGTCTATGATGGGGTCTCTGTACTCATTCTCTGTTGATCTGATTAAATCCAGGAATATATTTTGGGATATTTGAATGAATGCATAAGCTATGTGTTCGTTGACTAATCATTCTTATTTCTATCAACTTCACTGTAATAAATACTATGTGACCATGAACTTGAGATTGAACTTCCTGGAACATACCTGGAATGCTGCTACACCGTATTGCTGGCTGAGTACAAGACCCGAAAGAAGATCAAGTTGGTAATAGCATTTGCATCATTTTTTGACACCTGAGGAGCCTAACAGAAACATGTGCCTGGATAGGAAGGAAGCCATCCTTTGTCATTCTAGTGATCCAAGATAACAGCCATCAGCAGAGGCAGAAATCTCTTAGACATTTGTTTTGAATCTGCTCCAGAATATAGAAAAATAGATAAGTAAGCCTTCAAAGTGCTACTCCATATAGGATGACGATAATAACCTTAAATCCCCCAAAATCATAAAATCCAATATAATTTGATGCCTTCCTCAACCAAATAGGATAGCAATTAAGCACTCATTGGATGCTTGTCTTTGAGCCATGTACTTCCAGTTATATTCTCCAAGATAATTAAATGAGAATACCTCATTTATTTTAGGAAGTAAACATTTATAAATCAGTTAAATATTAGGGAACATTTATCAAAAAGAATAACCCAGTTTCAGAATAATTAATCTATAGCTCCCTACTTCCCTGCAAAAAAAGAATTATCTCATAGGGCTGATGGTTTGTTAAAGTCGCTCCTGGTTTATGATTAAAAACAAAACTATATCCACTTATGCTTGTCTTTCCATTTGGAAAGGAAAGATACAGACAGAACATCCAAAAGTGTAATCAGATCACTAAGAAACAAGTTTAAAAGATGAGAGGGACATAATACTATCTTGCTAGAATTTTTTTTTTTAATAAGTAGAGACAGGGTCTCACTATGTTGCTTAGGCTGGTCCCGAACTCCTGGCCTCAAACAATCCTCCCACCTTGGCCTCCTAAAGTGCTGGAATTACAGGCATGAACCACCATGTCTGGCCCCCTGCTAGAAATTTTTAAGTTCAATTAAGGTGTTGTTCCCCTGTTAGGAAGATTTTTAGGACCCATAAAAATGAGAGTTTAATGAAAGAGTCCTCATGGGCCGGGCGCAGTGGCTCACGCCTGTAATCCCAGCACTTTGGGAGGCCGAGGCAGGCGGATCATGATGTCAGGAGATCGAGACCATCCTGGCTAACATGGTGAAACCCCATCTCTACGAAAAATACAAAAAATTAGCCAGGCGTGGTGGCGGGCACCTCTAGTCCCAGCTACTATGGAGGCTGAGGCAGGAGAATGGCGAGAACCCGGGAGGCGGAGCTTGCAGTGAGCCGAGATCACGCCACTGCACTCCAGCCTGGGGGACAGAGCGAGACTACGTCTCAAGAAAAAAAAAAAAAAAGAGTCCTCATAAAAGAAAAAGACGCTTGGACCTTGAGACAACAAGAGCCAATGATCCTTCTGCAAGTACCTATACAAGCACATTTTAACTCATACCTCTCCTTACTTATGGTTTCTCAGTAAAATAATGCCACTGTGTGTTATAATCATTTAATGAGGAAATATATGGAAAATACATTGTAAACAGAAAAATACCAGAAAAATCCTTTTTTAAAAAACTGAAAAATAGTAAATGGGCAAAAAAGGAAATCACTCAAGCTTGAATAGTCAGTCTTAAAGTTGCTAATATGATTATTTCCCAAGAAGATCTTGAAGTAATTTTTTTAATATTTTCAATGGAAATTGGCAAATGCCCATTGATTCTACTCCAGGTCCTCAAAGGCAACACCCAACTCCTAATCTGGCCTCTTCTCCATCATAATATAATAAATTATACATTATCCAACTTCCACTTCCAGTAGGCAAAAGAAAACAGGCCATTTACAACCTCTTCCTAAAAATCAGTTTGTGAACAATTTGTAACACCTTAGTATTTAAGATTAGGTAGTGAACGCATGAGGTCTGCTAATAAGAGCAAGAGTAAAGGGAAGAGTTAGCAAGTTTCCACTAGACCCACGAGCGATCACAGCAAGTATGAATCCCTAATTAACAAATACAACAGTCTTTCTTTAATTAACTCCAGAGCATTTTGTCCTTCACCAAATGTGGTTTAGAAAACAGCCTCAGGCACTTGGCTGTAGACCCTCAAAATCATGAAATGATGAAGCACCATGGAGCATTCGGGGTCCCTATATAGAACTCAGTGATAAAGACTGATATTTCCTGAGCAAGACTGGTACTGATCCAAAAGCTGAAGAATGTCTCCAAACATGAAGTGTCATTTGGGGTTTAGGGTGATTGTGGGTTTTTTGGGGTTGGGTCAGAAATCTCTGAAAAATTTCCTCAAGCTAAATCAATAACTTAAGCTTCTTCCTTTCCTAATTTTCTTTCATTCTTCATAATCTGGTCCATGTAGTTGGAAGCCAAAGCAATTCATTAAAGACATGAGGAAAGAACAATGAGTGGGGAGAGCTTTAAAGAAAAGGAGTCCCTCAGCCTCCAAGATTTCCTGAGTTGACTCCAAGAACACATTCTGATACAATTGAAAAATGTGTCCCCAGTTGGGGTTTCCTATTGAAACCCAGTGGTGACCTGCGGCTTCTGGAACTTATTGACATTTAAGCAGAAAACCAAAGAGAATAGAAGGAAAAAAAAACCTTCCCACAATTTTTTTACGCTTTCCTCACAAGAGAGCTTGGAAACAAAGTTAGGGGAGTCAAACAAATACTAAAGGGCCTTGGGTTTGTTTTTCTCTTGGCTGAGCCAATTTGCTCATCAGATCCAGATAGTTGGAAAATTTGATTTGAGAACTTTATTCCTTCCAGGGCTCACTATAGCTTCACAAAGAAATGTAAAATTTTTACCAATTCATTATTCATTCCTCTTCTAGGATACATGAACTGGATTATACAAATTACACATAAAATTAATAAAATATCCATATAAACCCTCAGCATGTAGCTTTCCATAAGTAAAGATTCATGACTAGAGATTTAAGACTTATTATGATAATGATAATAGTAATAGCTAACATTAATTGAGCACTTATTACAAGCTAGATACTACATGAAGTGTTTCACACACATTATTTTATTAATCCTCAGAACAATCCCATTAGGTACATGCTGTTATCAGCCCTACTTTACAGGGGAAGAAACAGAGTCCTAGCAAGATTATGCGGTAAAGTCAGAATGCAAACACAGAACTGCCTCCCTTATAAAAGAAACTCGGAGGAGATTCTAGATATAAGGAGATGGTGGTGGTACAGTGCATAGATGACTGGGAAACTGCAAATTGGTGTGTGCCTTGGTCCAAAGGTCAAAGAGAGGGGGAAGAGCCCTCTCATCAAATGCAATACTCCAGATGTACATCAAATCACACACCCCATCCCAAACAACCTCGTGGCCCAGTCACTTCCCATGCTTCATCATCTCCAGGGTTGGTCTCTGCTGCACTGGGAAGGCCTTCCTGTAGTGCGTGTTTCCTCTCTCCTTGGAGACTTTGGGCAGTTCACTAAGAATACTCCTGTTCAAAACTGACTGTTTTCTTTGAAACTTTTCTTATATGTGCCTGTTCTAATCTGTTCTTTTCTATCTACATTCTTTTACAATTAGATTATCTATAGCAAAAAAAATGCATTTTTATGGACTGGACCATACAGAATGCTTTCTCTAAAGATGAGAAATAGTCATTTCTTTCTTTCTGTATCATCTCTACTCAAAGAAAAAAAAAATCAGCATCTGCCCCAAAGATTATAAGAGCCTAGAAGCCAGAGGGCATTTAATTTTCCTCTGTGAAACACAGGCTGGCCACCTAAGGGTTGGCCAAGAAAGCCTCCTGTCATAAAATGAGAGGAAATAACTCCAGGCATAAAAGAAAGACAGGCAAGAAAGAGCTCTGAAGAGAGCACTTCTCTGCTTGATACCTCAGGGGTTGCACAGGAAGCTTTCAATTCGTGTTTGTCACTTTAAGATGCATGAAGCTATAAACTGAGTTTCTTTAATACGTATTGGTTTCTGCATCTCAGCTCCCTGAATCCATATGGCAATTAATTTACTAGAGCCAAGGGAAAGTGATTTATCCCAAAAATATTTATTGAGCTCGTTTGAGCAAGGCTAATAGAGCTGCTCATCTAGCTAGAATAGCTAGTCAGCAAAGACAAAACAAAGACAAACAAGACAATGATTGCCTTCAAAGTGTTTTCATGCCCACAGATATGTGCACAGCAAGGATGCAGAAGACAGGCCAGAGAGCCACAGCAACTGGAGAAAAGGAACATCACATCCAGACGGGTGGCCAAAAAGCATCCCTGCCTGTCCCAGGCAGCTCTGAAGGGAGCTTACGTAGCCATATACAAACCATGGAGTGTGCAGGGTTATTTTGCCAGGCACCTGACCCAGACTACACCACCGTGATGTAACGAAAAGGAATTTGGTGGAGGCGGTCTGCCATCTAAGACGGGGTAAAAAACATGGACACTAAAAGAGGACATCACCACAGTCTCATCTCAGCTGTTCCTTCTAATATCAGTCCAAGTGTGAAAAGACCAACAAAAAAATAGGAGCCTCACTTTATTTACCTATTCATGACACATTCAGGTAATAAGGCTTTAAAAAGAGATACAAGGGGGCCAGGATTTGAGGCAGAAAAGAAAGGTGGTAAATGCTCAGAATCGGCCACTTCTCAGGCCTCCTCTGCACACACCCTGGTCCAAGCCACCATCCTCGAGGCCCAGGCTACTGCAACAGCCTCCCCTCTGGTCTCAATGCTTCTGCCCCTTCGCCCTACCATCTATTCTCAACGAGCAGCCAGAATGCTTCTTTCAGAATTCTATCAGTTTTCCACTGCTGCTCTAACAAATTACCATGAATTTAGTGGCATAAGACAACATAAACATTATCTTACAGTTCTGAAAGTCAGCAGTCTGAAAAAGGTCTTACAGGGCTAAAATTAAGGTGTCAGCAGGGCTGAGTTCCTTCTAGAGATCCTAGGGAAGAATGTGTTTCTTGACTTTCCAGCTTCTAAAAGCTGCCCACGTCCCTTGGCTCATGGCCCACAGCAGTCCAACCTCTGCTTTCGTTGTCACATCTCATTCTCTGCCCTTGACCCTCCTGCCTCCCTCTGATAAGGATCCCTGCAAATTACACTGGGCCTACCTCCATCATTCAGGATATTCTCACCACCCTCAAGATCCCTTCACTTAAGCACATCCACAAAGTTCCTTTTGCCTTGTAAGGTAATGTATTCACAGGTTCTGGGACGTCATTGGGGCAAGGGGTATTATTTTGCCTACCGCAAGTCTTATCTCTCTCTCCTACTCAAGGCCATCCACTAGCTCTTCATCTGAAGACACAGAAGCCAGTTGTTACCAAGGCCTTCAGGGCCCTGCCTAATCTTTACACATCTACCCCATTACCTCCCTGGCCTCACATCACCACCAGAGGCCAAGTTACCATGAAGCTAAACAAGCTTCAGCTCACCTCACTTGCACAGTTCATCCCAAGGAGTAGCACTAGAAATGTGTTTGCATAGTCCTTTTTTTTCAGTTTATAAAAGTCAAATATTTTAGCCACAGGGGGCTGAGACCATCATCTCCTCCACTTTAACGTTCCTTCCATCACACTTTGCCTAATATCAGATGGTGCTGCTCGGAACCAGATAAGGGGCAATCAGGTGCAACTACATGAGTTTGTGTTTCCTGGAGTCTATTTATGTGATTCACAGATACTTCTACATAGAGTTCAGTTATTGGTGGTCAGGAATGCAGATCCACGCAGTGCCGTAACATAAGAATCTAGGGCCCAAGATCACATGGCAACATGATCACATCCTACGGCACCTGGCACTAGAAGTGTATGGATTGTGGAAGAGACTGGAGGTTTGAAATATAGAGCTACAAGTAAGCCTGTGCAGAATTCTCCCAATCATCAAACGTGTAAAATTATATGTGTAAGATTTAGTATTCAACAACTCCTAGTCAAAACAATATATCTCCCATCAGGAGTACAAGGAGTATCAAGTAAATGTATATGTATATGCATATGTATGTATCTATATGTAAAACATTTTATTACGTATTTCATTTTATTATATATAATATATATGATATAGATTATTTTATTATATATAATAAACGTATCATATATATTTATATATTTATATATGATATATATCATATATATTTATATATGATATATATCATATATATTTATATATGATATATATCATATATATTTATATATGATATATCAAATATATCATATATATTTATTATATATAATATATATAGATCTATATTTATTATATATAATATAATATATAGATCTATATATATTATATATAATAAATATAGAACTATACTTATTATATATAATAAAATAAATATAGATCTATATTATATATAATAAAATAGATCTATATTTATTATATATAATAAAATAATATAGAGATCTATATTTATTATATATAATAAAATAATATAGAGATCTATATTTATTATATATAATAAAATAATATAGAGATCTATATTTATTATATATAATAAAATAATATAGAGATCTATATTTATTATATATAATAAAATAATATAGAGATCTATATTTATTATATATAATTAATATAGAGATCTATATTTATTATATATAATAAAATAATATAGAGATCTATATTTATTATATATAATAAAATAATATAGAGATCTATAATTATATATAATAAAATAATAGAGATCTATATTATTATATATAATAAAATAATATAGAGATCTATATTTAATTATATATAATAAATATAGAGATCTATATTTATTATATATAATAAAATAATATAGAGATCTATATTTATTATATATAATAAAATAATATAGAGATCTATATTTATTATATATAATAAAATAATAGAGATCTATATTTATTATATATAATAAAATAATAGAGATCTATATTTATTATATATAATAAAATAATAGAGATCTATATTATTATATATAATAAAATAATATAGAGATCTATATTTATTATATATAAAATAATAGAGATCTATATTATTATATATAATAAAATAATATAGAGATCTATATTTATTATATATAATAAAATAATAGAGATCTATATTATTATATATAATAAAATAATATAGAGATCTATATTTATTATATATAATAAAATAATAGAGATCTATATTATTATATATAATAAAATAATATAGAGATCTATATTTATTATATATAATAAAATAATATAGAGATCTATATTTATTATATATAATAAAATAATATAGAGATCTATATTATTATATATAATAAAATAATATAGAGATCTATATTTATTATATATAATAAAATAATATAGAGATCTATATTATATATAATAAATATAGATTATATTTATTATATATAATATATAGATCTATATTTATTATATATAATATATAGATCTCTATTATATATAATAAATAGATCTCTGTATATTATATATAATAAAATAATATATAGATCTATATTTATTATATATAATAGAATAATATATAGATCTATATGTATTATATATAATAGAATAATATATAGATCTATATCTATTATATATAATAGATATAGATCTATATTTATATATAATATAGATCTATATATTATATATAATAAAATAATATATAGATATATATTATACATATCATATATTTATTATATATTACATATCATATATATTTGATACATAATATATATACACTCCTCATATTCTTGAGAGGTGATAAATTCTGTTTTGACTAGGAGTTGATGAATACATGTATGACATGATATGCTTATTATACTTAGTAAGTATAATAAACATATTTTTCTTTTTTCATGGGGATTTCACAGAATAAAATGCATTAGAATTCCTGTGCTTTTGAGCATAAACCTACTTATAGCAGCACTACTTATGGCAAGTATATCTGTAACAGTTCATATATGAAAGAAACTTGGTGGAAGTTTTTCCAAGGTTGACCATTCTAAATGTTTATGTGACATTGTGAAGTCACAAAGGTGAAAATTTTTTCTAAGCTACCATAATTCTTAAGTTAATGTTAATTAACTATACCAAAGGAAAAACTGAATTATCTAAGTCTCTCTTTAGAAAATTTTGTAACAAAATAATTGTTATATGAGAGGCAATCAAAAATAAAAGGCCAAAAATAAATAAATAAAACATTTTATAAAGGCACATTCAGCAAAATGAAGACACTGTGTTGTTTTTCTGAATTTTGGGATGCTTGGGGTATTTTTCAAATTTTCAAAATTATAATTTATAGAGATTTTCTCACTCTAAATTAATATTTTTATTATACCTGATTTTGTATTTTGTATTTATATTAGCTTAAGACCTCAAAAAACCTAGATCCAGGTTGGGCACGGTGGCTCACACCTGTAATCCCAGCACTTTAGGAGGCCAAGGCGGGTGGATCACCTGAGCAGAAGCTCGAGACCAGCCTGACCAACATGGTGAAACCACATCTCTACTAAAAATACAATTAGCTGGGCGTGGTGGCAGGCGTCTGTAGTCCCAGCTACTTGGGAAGAATTGCTTGAACCCGGGAGGCGTCTCTGCACTCCAGCTTGGGTGACAGAGCGAGACTCCCTCTAAAAAAAAAAACAAAAAACAAACAAACAAAAAAACCCTCGATCCAGCCCTGACAACCACTGTCCCCCATCTTCATTCAACTCCAGCCTCAGTGGCCTCTTGTTCCTTGACCACACCAGGTCCATTCTCATCTCATGGCCTTTGCACTTACTGTTCCCTCGCCTGGCATGCTTATTGCTCAAGTATTTACATGGCTGCCGCCTCACTTCTTTCAAATCTGCAATCAAATATGTCTTCTTAATTCAGCCTTCCATGGTTATCCTTTTTGAAACTGCAGCACACTCCCACCCAATGTAGAAGATTATTTATTCATTTATTTTGTTGATTGTCTTTCTGCCCCGCCCCCGACCAGAATGTGAGCTCCATGCAGGTTGAGGGCTTTTTACTTCTTTAAACCTGTTTTGTTCACAGCTGTACCTGCAACCTTTGGAACAGTGTCTAGCACATAATCAACGTTCAGTATATATTTCTGAAATGGACAGAATGATGGATAGATGGATGGATGGCTAGATAGATGAATGGATAGATAAATCAATAAGTGAATGAATGGTTTCTCAAAGATCAGATGGTTGTAGATGTGCAGTCTTATTTCTGAGTTCTCTATTCTGTTCCATTGGTCTATGTGTCTGTTTTTGTACCAGTACCATGCTGTTTTGGTTACCTGACAAAAACAAGCAATGGGGAAAGGATTTCCTATTTAATAAAGGGTGCTAGGAGAACTGGCTAGCCATATGCAGAAGATTGAAACTGGACCCCTTCCTTATGCCTTATATGAAAATTAACTCAAGATGGATTAAAGACTCAAATGTAAAACCCAAAACTATAAAAACCCTAAAAGAAAATCTAGGCAGTACCATTCAAGACATAGGCATGGGCAAAGATTTCATGACAAAAATATCAAAAGCAATTGCAACAAAAGTAAAAGTTGACAAATGGGATCTAATTAAACTAAAGAGCTTCTGCACAGCAAAATAAACTATCATCAGAGTGAACAGACAGCCTACAGAATGGGAAAAAATTTTTGCAATCTATCCACCTGACAAAGATCTAACACCCAGAATCTATAAGGAACTTAAACAAATTTACAAGAAAAAAGCAAACAACCACATTGAAAAGTGGGCAAAGGACATGAACTTCTCAAAAGAAGACATTTATGTGGGCAACAAACATGAAAAAAGGCTCAACATCACTGATTATTAGAGAAATGCAAACAAAAACCACAGTGAGATACTATCTCACACGAGTCAGAATGGCAATTATTAAAAAGTCAAGAAACCACAGATGCTAGTGAGGCTGTGGAGAAACAGGAACTTTTTTTTTTCTTTCTTTCTTTTTTTTGAGACAGAGTCTCACTCTGTCTCCCAGGCTGGAGTGCAATGGCGCGATCTTGAGAAACAGGAATGTTTTTACACTGTTGGTGGGAATATAAATTACTCCAACCATTGTGGAAGTCAGTATGGCGATTCCTCAAAGACCTACGGGCAGAAATACCATTTGCCCCAGCAATCCCATTACTAGGTATATACCCGAAGGAATATAAATCATTCTATTACAAAGATACATGCACACGTATGTTCATTGCAGCACTATTCACAATGACAAAGACATAGAATCAACCCAAATGCCCATCAATGATAGACTGGATAAAGAAAATGTGGTACATATACATCATGGAATACTATGCAGCCATAAAAAGGAATGAGATCATGTCCTGTGCAGGGACACGGATGGAGCTGGAAGCCATTATCCTCAGCACACTAAAACAGGAACAAAGAACCAAACATCGCATGTTCTCACTTACAAGTGGGAGCTGAACAGTGAGAACACATGGACACAGGGAGGGGAAGAACACACACTGGGGCCTGTGGGGTAGGGGAACAACGGGAGGGAGAGCATCGGGAAAAATAGTTAATGCATGCTGGGCTTAATTCCTAGGTGACAGGTTGATAGATGCAGCAAACCACCACATTTACCTATGTAACAAACCTGCACATCCTGCACATGTATCCCAGAACTTAAATAAAATAAAATAATAAAAATCTAATTCCCTATGTGATGCAATTCAGAGGTGGGACCTTGGGAGGTGATTAGGTCATGAAGGCAGAGGCCTCACAAATGAAATTAGTGCCACCCCTGTCAAAGGGACCACAGAAAGCTCCCTCATACCTTCTGCCATGTGAGGACACAGTAAAAACATGGCTGTCTATGAACAAGGAAGCAAGCCCCACCAGATACTGAATCTGCTGACCACTTGATTGGATTTCACCATCTCTAGAACTGTGAGGAATACATTTCTGTTTCGTTTTTAAAAAAGTGAATGAATGAATGACTAGTCAATATTTTTTATTTTTCATAAGACAATCAGCACTACTACAGTGAAACAAGATCATACTAGCCAAAATTATTGAAATGTGATTTTTTTTTTTTAGAGATGGGATTTCCCTGTGTTACCAGGGCTGGTCTCAAACTCTTGGGCTCAAAAGATTCTCTAGCCTTGGCCTTCCAAAGTACGGGGATTACAGGTATGAGCCACCTCACTTGGCCTGAAATGTGATGTTTAAATTAGCTTTTTCACCATGTAAAAAGTAAATTTACAATTCACAGTAGGCTTTTAATTTCTGAGTTATTAAGAGTACTTTTATTTATAGAAAATATCATATTTGGTTAGCTCTCTTTTAGGTGCTTTTAAAAAAAAGAAAATAGCACATTTGAGATTACCTCACATGCTTTAAGATTTCATTCTGCCATCAAAAGAGAGTCCAGATTTCAAAATTAAGTCCAGAAATTTAAAAATTATAATTATTTTTATATTGGGAAGTTCTGTTTGGACAAATTGTGAGAGCAACATTAGATGAGAACTAGGTCCCCTGGGGTACTCTAACTCAAGTAGCATTGACTGACAATACTCAGCCTAATACAGTGACAGATAACATTCATTAACTGCTTACCCCATATGTCAGATTCTGGCTCAAATACTGGATCAAAGGGGTGTTCTGTAGTAATGGTTGTATGGAAGGGACTTAAAAGCATTTTACAATAAAGTATAATTCTATGGATGAAAATTTTTACTTAAACTTTTTTTTATAAAACCACAATATGGCAATTAGATTGTATACTTGGAAATCATAAATAATGAAGAAACGTAGAGTTAGAAAAATGCATTTGGAAATATGTTCTAAGCCCAATGAATGTATCCAACATAGAATGTTATTTTAAGTATTTAATCATTTTATTTTTCACTGTAGTTTGAAGCATTTCCAAATAGATTTACATTTGTTTATGTGTCCTGACTAAAGTTTAGCTCATTCCAGCAGAGAAGACTAATTAATATATTGATTGACCATTTTCTTATTCAACTTAACATTTTTTTCATTTCTTACTCATACATCTTCCTGATGTATTCAAATAATCACCTAATAACTATAAAATACTAATATTTAATGTATTCTTATAAACTTATAAAACAGATTATTTAAAAATTAACTTGTGACTTCAGCTTCCTATATAATGCAGTAACTTGTGTCAGGACCAACCCACCTGCTAAGAATAACGATAAATGCTAGAGGAAATATACATAGCTACTTGAAGATCTCATGGAATGACAAAACAGCCAGAATTTAAATAGCCAAGATCCGGAAGAAAAGAGAAATGTATTAAAGTAAACCTGATATTCTGTACCTTTCCCCTTGAAACACTTGCTAATTCCTAAGCTGCCCAGAAGTGAGAAAAGACAATAATTAGAGTTCAGAGCCTAGCAGGGAAGAGAGGTCTTGGTACACACTAAGTTTTCATTTGACTTCTAAAGGATTATATTTGATGAGACAAACCAATGAAAACATACTAAACCTTATAAAGACTGAAATTCAGCCTCAAAAGTATCTCGGTCCCTGATTGGATCAAGACAATCTGCTCCTTCTCTAACTGCTACCCAGATGTAAAGTAAATCCTCCTGAAGGAAGACATTATCCAGATCCTCTACAATTTTTCATTTACAATATCTAGCGTTCAATAACAAATTAGTGGTTATGGCAGAAGATAATATCAAATTATTGAAAACAAAAAGAAATAAATACAAAATAAAAACAGATGATCCAGATATTAGAACTATTAGATTTGGACTTTAACTGATTAACATGTACATTAAAAAGATAACAAGATGGAAAATTTCACTAAAGAACGGAAATATATGTAAAAGAAACAAATGAAAACTCTAGAATTTGAAAATATAATAAATTCAGAATTCAACATATGAACAGAAAATTAGAAACAGCAACATAGGGTAATAGTAAGCTGGAAACTGGTCAGTAGAAAATATGAAAACTGCATATGGAAAGATGAAAAGTTTAAAATTTCAGAAAAGAGCATAAAAAGATAAGATATATGGTTAAAGGTTTATCATATGTGTAACTGGATCCCCATTGAGGAGAACAGAGAGAATAGGGGATAGAAACATGATCTGAGGATATTCTGACTGGGAATTTTCCAAAACTTTCAAAAGACATCAAACTACAAAATGAAGAATTTCTAAGAATCCCAAGCTGGATAAAAAAAGAAACTATATCTAGACACATAATAGTAATATTGCTCAAAGACAAAGTTTTTGAAGCAGCCACAGGAAAAAGATATGTCATCTTCAAAAAAGTAATAATAAGATTGTCACCTTACTTTTCAAAAAAGTCAGTGGAGGCCTGAATGCAATGGAAAGATATCTTTAAAGTGCCAGAAGAAAAGAGTATCAATATAGAATTCTCCACCCAGTGGAAATATTCACATTCAAATGTAAATCCAAAATAAATACTTTTTCTAACTGACAAAAAGTGATAGAATTCATTACCAGCATTCCCACATTTAAAAAAAAAAGGAAGTCTTAAGAAAGAAGAAAAACTATTCTAGATAGAATGCAGAAAAATAAAAAATAACAGAATGATTATGGGTAAATCTGCACAAATAATTACTGTACTGACAATAATACATGTTATTTATTACTGTTGCACTGCTGGTTTTAAAATGTACCAAGAATTAAATACATGGTAATGATAGCATAAAAATTTGATTAAAAGAGTTAAAATATTCTAAATTCATGATATTGTTGATAAAGTAGTAAAAGTACTCATTCAACTATACAGAAATGTTGTAACCAGAGTAATCACAAAAAGAAGTTTAAAGGAATGATGACTACCAAGCTAACAGGTGGTTGGAACTAGAATAATAAAAATATTTGATTAATGCAAAAGAAGGCAATAAAAAGAAAATCAATGAATAACAACAAATATTAAGATAATGCATTTATTTTACTACTGATACAAATATAGCAATAACTATATTAGATATAAGTAAGTAGACTAAATATTCTACTTAAAAGCCAAAGTTTATCAAACTGAATTTTTTAAAACTCTATATGCAGCATCTTAAATAAAAAAATATTAAAGAATTTAAAGTAAAAAAATGTGAAAATATATAACATGCAACATTAACCATAGGAAATCTGATATTATCATACTCATATCAGATAAATTAAACTTTAATACAATAAGCACTGCTAGAGATAGAGTCATCCCATAGTAACAAAAGATTGATCTTCCAGGACTATACAACAACTCTAAATTTGTATGCATCCAATAACGTAGCCTCAAAATATGTAAAGAAAAACCTGACAAACCAAAAGGAGAAATACACAAATTCAAAAATATCTTGATAAACTAAAGTATGTCTGTGAGGGTGAATTTTGTGTGTCAACTTGACTGGGCTACAGGGTGCTCAGATATTTGGTCAAGCACAGTTCTGGTGTGTCTGTGAGGGTCTTTCTGCATGAGATCAACATTTTAATCAGTAGGCAGCGTAAAGCAGATCACCGTCCCTGATGTGTGTGGGATTCATCCAATCAGCTCAAGGCCTGAATAGAACAAAAAGGCTGAGTAGAAGGAACTCCTCTTGCCTTTGAGCTGGGACATCAGTTTTTTCTTGCCTTCAGACTCAAACTAAAACATTGGCTCTTCCTGGGTCTCAAGCCTGCTGGCATTTGGACTGAAATCATGCCACTGGGTCTCCTGGGTCTCCAGTTTGCCAACTGCAAATCAGGACTTTTCAGCATCAATAATCATATGAGGCAAATCCATATAGCATTTATACATAATATAAATGAATATATATAAATGCATACATATATCCATATACGTATATATTTGGACACATACATACATGTATATATACACCTATATACAAATATAGGTGTATATACACATATATACAAATATACACATATATACGTATATACACATATACGTGTATATATATTTTTATATTATTATATATTGTATATTATATATCCATATATATTTGTATATATGTGTGTGTGTATATATATACTACTATATATATATATATACACACACACATATACATTCCGTTTTACTAGAGAATCCTGACTAATTCAATGACTCTACATCAACTTAATAAATACAGAAACATAACACCTGACTCAAGACCCTTTCATGGTTTTTCTGCCTTCACTGCGAGCTCAGTGAGCCATAAGTACAAATTCCCAAAAGCTGCTAATACAATCTTAATGGAAGCCAAATTCCAGATCAGCAGAATCTGGTACCACTCCATTCCAAGTTAAGTCAGACTACATCTTGAAAACTGGGTTCAACCGAACCCAGTTGTAAGCAATATAGAAGCCACTGGAGAAGCCAAGAGCATCAAAACGTTTTGTGACCATGATGTATTCATTCAAACATCTACTCAGTAGATGTCCAGGTTCTAGAACAAAGTGACACACACCATACTACATGTTGCAGGGTCAAAAATGAGAAAGATAGCAGCCCTTCCCTGGTGAAGCTCATATTATAGGTAAGATACTGAGAGTCTAAAAACTATGAACCATGTCATATATTAGAGGAAATTTGCAGGTGTCCACCCAAAAAATCAGAGACTGAAAGAGAGAGAGAATATTAGCAAAAGAAAGAGAGCATGTGGCAAAATGAGAGAGATCTTCAAATATTTGATTGTTTTTAAGGTAGATGGCAGAATAAATACTCTGTTATTCCAAAATTCAGAACAGAAAGTAAACTTTACAAGGATCTGAAATTCTGTTAACATACGGTTGAATTTACTGTCAAAACAGATAATGAGGTTGAACGCAGTGGCTCACACCTGTAATTGTTAACACTTTAGGAGGCCCAGGGTGAAAGATTACTTCAGGCCAGGCCTTCAAGACAAACCTGAACAGTATAGTGAGACCCTATCTTTACAAAAAATTAAAAAACTAGCCAGGTGTGGTGGCACAGTTGTAGATGTGGCTACTTGGGAGGCTGAAGTGGGAGGATCATTTGAGCCCAAGAGTTTGAGGCTGTAGTGAGCTATGATCACCACTGCACTCCAGCCTGGGTGACACAGTGAGACCCTGTTTCTAAAAAAAAAAAGAAAAGAAAGAGAATTAGACATCTCCCAAATTAGATATCTGAGCTACTTGTCAGAGCAATATTCAAGGAAAATATTCATCAGCGCTATAGTAACAGATTTTCAAAGTAGAAATAAAGCTGGAAAAACTGACTTCGAAGATTCTTCTAATTCCCAGGTTTTCTTATTCTGTGCAATCTAAAGCGATATTGATAAAACTATTAGATCGAAATCAGCAACAGTTGGAAATAACGTATAATGTTTAGGAAAGATTTCACAATAAACACCATAGTTTTAAAAGTTATCTCCATAGAGATGAACAGAAACCAAAATAGAGGAGGAGTTCTCTGAGGAACAAAGTGAACAGACAGAAAAGTGCAGAAGACTGAGCCAGGGGGAAATTCCACCACTGGGGTGCAATGAAGGAGACGGAGGCAGAGCAGCCTGAGAAGCAAGAAGAATCTGCATGAGGGTCATGAAATCCAAGAAAAAAAGAGTTTTTGTGGAGAGAATAGCCGCTCTCCCCTAATTCCACAGAGAGGTGAGGGAAGGGTGGTGGAGAGGAACACTCCCTGGGGCTTCTCTTTAGGAAGTCCTCTGTGACTGGTGGTTTGTGACAGCATCCTAACCTAGCCCATATCCTGAGTAATAAAACAGACTGCTCTATGTGAATAAAGTTAAAGCAGCACACAAACTTAGGAAGGGTTTGAAAGGCAGAAGACATCTCTTACCTGTACTTCTATTTATATCTCTGCACTACGACTATGGGAGGAGATTTAAAAATATATAGTGTATCCTGTCCGAGAAAAAAAACTTCTATTCCAAAGTGACTTAAATACAGGGTAAATTCTAGACCGCACCTAGGACTAAGGACTGCAATGCTGCCTCCCTGTCACTCCCAATCATAAAAGCTGATGAACCTATGAATGGAAGGTTTATGCCCTGCAATATTTATAACAAGCAGCAAAGATTCAGTCTCTACAATAATTTCAAGCATCTTTTTGCACAGAATTTTAGTATAGTGAAATGGAAGATATTAAGTCTTTCTCTCTCATCTCTAGTGGAACCAAAGATGATTTCCCATGCCTTTCCTCTCTGGACACCAAAAAGTTATTAAAACATAGAAGAGAACTCATGAGGAAACAGAACCCCAAAGTTATGAGAGGGCTTTTGTGAAGCCAGCACTGTCTTATGTATGTCACTCGCTGGCCAGCACCACGTGGTACTTCATTTCAACAGCCTCATTCAATCAAACTAAGAAAATAGATGACTTTTTAAAACATGATCCAATTTAAAATAAATTATTATGGTAGATGAAATGCAAATTCAAACAAAAACTAATTCCTTCAAAAGATCAACTGAAAATCTACTTGAGAAAACAGCTTTTGGATTTATCATTCCATAAGAGATAAACCCAATAAGAAATAACACTCTTTAAACATATAAATTAATACAAATAAAAATACTTTTATATGCCTTGATAAGGTACCTATAAGGATAGGTTCCATATCTTATTCATCTTTTTTATCACCCTCTATCAAAGGACAAGCACATTACCTGTTAAATAATATATGCTCAAAGCAATGTTTATGGTGTTATGTAATCTAATTATACAAAAAAAAAATACAGACTTTATTCCCCAACTGCAGAACAAAAACAATACTTTCCAAAATGCTGTTGGCATTGAACCTCCATGACCCCTAGGTCCTATTACGGCCTGTTAGTTTGTTAAACAGATGTGATAATGAAACATTTATTGTAAGAGAAGTCGTTGTAAATGCCTGAGAAGCAGGTATATAAACTTCAACCAAAGCAACTGACCACTGTCATTTGCACCACACTGGCAGGCCTCTAGAGAGTCACCATAAGTAAACAACCCTTTTGAAAGAGTCCCAGAGGGTACAGAAGAGGCTTCCAGGATGTCCTCTTGGAAATCAGATCCCTATACAAGTCACCTCAGTAAATAGGAAACCCACCTGTGTATATAATGCTCATGTCAGCCATAAAACTGGACAACACTATTTTTGTAAAACTTAGAAATTAGGAGTTTTCAGGAGAAAAACCTAGAAATCAATGAACTGTATCATATATCTATGAATTCAGTACTAACATTTACATACTGCTTTTATAATTTATGAGTTACTTCACATATATTTCATTTTACGTTCATGCTCACAGTAACCTTCAGAGGTAAACATTAGTCCCATTTTACAAATGCGAAAATTGAGGCTCAGAGGATTTGAATACAAATGCCTGGTAAGTAGAACCAGGTTCATTCCTATCACTTCTGACTCATGTTGTTTCTGTCATGCAACAATTGTGTTCACAAAGGACAATTACAGAATATTAACAGAGCCTTGTAAACCATCACTCTGGGCAAACCCAGTAAATTCTTATGCTATTGATCTGTTATGTCACAGCCATCTAAATTGAAATAGTATGTGTAAGCTGCCAAGAAAAAATTAAAGATTTTGGTTGTGTCATGAAAATACATGAGTACCATACAGTTCTGTATTGTCAGGTGATTTTTTTTTTTTTTTTTTTTTTTTTTTTTTTTTTTTTTTTTTTTAGATAGGGTCTCACTCTGTCACACAGGCTGGAGTACAATGGCACAATCATAGCTCACTGCAACCTTGACCTCCTGGGCTCAAGCTATCCTCCGAGCTCAGTCTCCTGAGTAGTACAGAACCATGCCACCATGCCCAGCTAATTTTTAATTTTTTGCAGAGACAAGGTATTGCTATGTGGCCCAGGCTGGTCTCAAACTCCTGGCCTCAAGTGATCCTCCCACCTCAGCCTCCCAAAGCACTAGGATAACAGGCATGAGCCACCAAGCCCAGTCTACCACATGGTTTTTAACTTATAGTGGCAATAATAACTTGAAAGGACTACTCCCACTAAAAGCATATTTAACTACTTTCTATATGTAGATTCACAAAAATAAGCATAAGAAGCTGTCTCCCTCTCTCCTCCCCAAGATATACAGAGTTGCTCTCTGGAAGGCTATTTCACCCCAGTATGCATATCTGATTCAGGGCTGACTTATCCATGAGGCATAGTAGGCAGAGTGCCTAGGGCCCATGATATTTTCAAGAGCCCACAAAACTGTTTCAATTTTCATTTATTTCAAAATCAGAGGAAAAATGAATATAATAGTAATGGATACATAATAATGAATCTAACCTGGATTATATTTGTCTTTATACTGACATATTCATCAAACATAATTTTTCATGTGTTTTTATGGAGGAAGGGACCCACAAAGGCAAAAGTGCCTAGAGCCCACAGAAGACATACACAGCCCCGGTCTGATTCATCCTACCCTACACCCCATAAACATACTAAGGCAGTAATGTGTTCTGGCTCCACAACCCCCACATTTTGGAATAAAGAACAGCTAAGCTGGTTTAAAGAAGGCCTCTAATTATGTACTTCTTTTGCTTCCCATATTTCTAAACTAATGAGATCTGAATTAGGTATTTTACCCATAAACAACCTTCTTCCTGATTGCGGAAAAGCATGTGTACAATTTTTTTTCTTTTCTTTTCTTTTTTTAGAGACTAGGTCCCAGTCTGTCACTCAGGCAGGAGTGCAGTAGCACAATCAGAGCTCACTGAAGCCTCAATCTCCTGGGTCCATGTGATCCTCCCACCTCAGTCCCCCAAGGAGCTGGAACTACAGGCACGTGCCACCATGCCCGGCTACTTTTTAAATTTTTGGTAGAGACAGGGGTCTCACTGCGTGGCCCACTCTGGTCTAAAACTCCTGACCTCAAGCGATCCTCCTACCTCAGCCTCCTGAAGTGCTGAGATTGCAGGTGTGAGCCACTGCACCCTGTCACTTGTACACTTCAAAACAATTTGTCTTTGGGCCTCTCATACAAGCTATAAGGAAAGAGTGAATTTCAAAGAACAAACAGAAAATAGACTGTAATCATAAATAGACTGTAATCATAATGTTTTAAACATTTGAGTCAAGGGGCTAGACCTTTTTACATCTTAAAGAATGCAAGACATGCCAGGCGCGGTGGCTCACGCCTGTAATCCCAGCACTTTGGGAGGCCGAGGCGGGCAGATCACCTGAGGTCAGGAGTTCAAGACCAACCTCAACATGGAGAAACCCCATCTCTACTAAAAATACAAAATTAGCCAGGCGTAGTGGTGCATGCCTGTAATCCCAGCTACTTGGGAGGCTGAGGCAGGAGAATTGCTTGAATCTGGGAGGCGGAGGTTGCGGTGAGCTGAGATCACACCACTGCACTCCAGCCTGGGCAACAAGAGCAAAACTCCATCTCAAAAAAAAAAAAAAAAAAAGAATGCAAGACATCTGAATATGGAGATAATAAAGAATAAAGCATATCTGGGAGAAAATTGTTATTTCCCCACAAGACCCATGGCTGGCTTGTCAAATTTTCACACACATCATCAATGTCCTATGCTTCCCAATGATGTTGTGAAAGTGCATAGAAATGTAAGGGCAACTTTATTAAAGGCTGCAGACGTGAACTTTCTCACTGAGATAAAATATCATCTCTGCATGATTTTTCCCTCTGACAACTCCAGGCTGATTAGATCTCCAGTCTGTGCCCCTCTGGCAAAGATACCACTTGTAGGTAAATATACCACTTGTAGGCAAATATACCACTTATAGTGATGTTTAATAAACTATTTTAAGTTATCCTTGCTACCATCAACTTAAAAATTGTATTAGAATACATATATTTTATTGAATTATAAAAAGCCATTTGAAGTCAAGGTTGGTGCTACCTCACAAATTATAAGGACTCAAAAATGTTTGTGGAGTGACTAAATAAATGAATGCATGTTTTAGGTTAAAATAAAAAGCTCTCCAGACTATTGCCAGATCTACAGAAACTGATGTCATCTAAAGATGTGTCAGTCCCACTCATGATGATACAAATGATGGTGATCATTTTATCACATCAGTCTTGCAGGTCATGGGCCATTGTAACAAGTCCAAGAAGAAGTGACTGGCCTCAGCTTTCTCTGCCAGTCACTGTCAGGAAGCGAATGCAGACACAGTTACACAGCCAAAACTTAGACTCACTATATAGCAATTAGCATTTGTCTGTAAAATGAAGTTCTGTGTGAGGAGGATTAACAAGTTCCATTCCTCATCAAAAAACTGTCAATTAACTAATTAATGTGTCAATTAACTAATTAATAAAAAAACAATTATGTACACAGTATTTGTGCCAAAAATGTTTAACCCAAATTACTTTAGAAGAAATTAAACCATGCTAGAATATTCAATAAAATGGTTAGACTAGACATTCCCAAAATTCAAAATAATGAAAAATTATTTTAAATTTAAAAGAAAATAAAGGAATTAGCCAAATTCAGTTTACGAACATTGATTGGATACTGTACCAAAAATTAAAACCAATTCCAAGAGATGAGATGTACTGGGGACTACTGAGGAAAGTGAAAAATGGGATATATGCCATTTATCAATGTTACATTTCTCAGGTATGGTGATGATAATGTGGGTATGCAGGAGAATGTCCTTGTTCTTAGGGGATGTGTGCTGAAGTATTTGGGGTAAGTGTCATGATGTCTACAACATTTGACAAAAACAACAGAAACCTGTGTGTCATAAAGACTCACATAAACTTAAGGTAATGGGGTGGAAAAAGATATTCTATGCACATGGACAACAAAAGCAAGCAGAAGTAGCTATTCTCATAACAGACAAAAGAAACCTTAAAGCAACAGCAGTTAAAAAAGACAAAGAGGGAAATTATATAATGATAAAAGGACTAGTCCAAAAGGAGATTATCACAATGTTAAATATATATGCACCTAACACTTGAGCTCCCAAATTTATAAAACAATTACTACTAGACCTAAGAAACAAGATAGACAGCAACACAATAATAGTGGGAGACTTTAGTACTCTACTAACAGCACTAGACGGGTCATCAAGACAGAAAGTCAACAAGGAAACGATGAACTTAAACTATACCCTAAAACAGATGGACTTAACAGATATTTACAGAACATTCTACCCAACAAATGCAGAATACACATTCTATTCATCAGCACATGGAATATTCTCCAAGACAGACCATATGAAAGTCCACAAAACAAGTCTCAACAAATTTAAGAAAATTGAAATTATAGCAAGTACTCTCTTAAACCACAGTGGAATAAAATTGGAAATCAACTCCAAAAGGAACCCTTAAAACCATGCAAATAAATGGAAATTAAATAACCTGCTCCTGAATGATCATTGGGTCAACAATGAAATCAAGATGGAAATTTAGAAATTCTTCAAACTGAACAATAATAGTGACACAACCTAACAAAACCTCTGGGATACAGCAAAAGCGGTGCTAAGAGGAAACTTCATAGCATTAAATGCCTACATCAAAAAGTCTGAAAGAGCACAAATAGACAATCTAAGGTCACATCTCAAGGAACTAGAGAAACAAGAACAAACCAAACCCAAGCCCAGCAGAAGAAAAGAAATAACCAAGATCAGAGCACACTAAATGAATTTGAAACAAAAAAAAACCACACAAAAGACAAATGAAACAAAAAGCTGAATCTTTGAAAAGGTAAATAAAATTGATAGACCATTAGTGAGATTAACCAAGAAAAGAAGAGAGAAGATCCAAATAAGCTCAATTAGAAATGAAACAGGAGATATTACAACCAATACCACAGAAATACAAAAGATCATTCAAGGCCACTATGAACACCTTTACATCCATAAACTGGAAAACCTAAAGGAGATGAATAAATTCCTGGAAATATACAACCCTCCTAGATTAAACCGGGAACAAACAGAAACTCTGAACAGACCAATAACAAACAGTGAGATTGAAATGGTAATTTAAAAGTTGCCAACAACAAAAAAGTCCAGGATCACAAGAATTCACAAATGAATTCTATCAGACATTCAAAGAATTGGTACCAATCCTTTTGACACTATTCCACAAGATAGACAAAGAGAGAATCCTCCCTAAATCATTCTATGAAGCCAGTATCACCCTAATACCAAAACCAGGGATGGACATAACAAAAAAAAAAAAACTACAGAACAATATCCTTTATGAATATAGATGTAAAACTCCTCAACAAAATACCAGCTAACCAAATCCAACAACATATCAAAAAGATTCTCCAACATAATCAAGCGAGTTTCGTACCAGGGATGCAGGGATGGTTTAACATACACAAGTCAATAAATGTGATACACCACATAAAGAGAATTAAAAACAAAAATCACATGATCATCTCAATAGATGCAGAAAAAGTATTTGACAAAATCCAGCATCCCTTTATGATTAAAACCCTCAGCAAAATCAGCATAGAAAGAGCACACCTTAAGTTAATAAAAGCCATCTATGACAAACCCACAGCCAACATTATATTGAATAGGGAAAAGTTGAAAGCATTCCCCCTGAGAACTGGAACAAGACAAGGATGCCCATTTTCACCACTTCTATTCAACATAGTACTGGAAGTCCTAGCCAGAGCAATCAGACAAGAGAAAGAAATAAAGGGCATCCAAATCAGTAAAGAGGAAGTCAAACTGTTGCTGTTTGCTGATGACATGATCACACACCTAGAAAACCCTAAAGACTCTTCCAAAAAGCTCCTAGAAACGGTAAATGAATTCATCAGTTTCAGGATACAAAATTAATATACACAAATCAGTAGCCCTGCTATACACCAACAGCAATCAAGCTGAGAATCAAATGAAGAACTCAAACCTTTTTATCATAGCCATAAAAAAGATACTTAGGAATATACTTAACCAAGGAGGTGAAAGACCTCTACAAGGAAGACTATAAAACACTGCTGAAAGAAATCATAGATGACACAAACAAATGGAAACACATGCTCATGGATGGGTAGAATCAATATTGTAAAAATGACTATACTGCCAAAAGCAATCTACAAATTCAATGCAATTCCCATCAAAATACCAACATCATTTTTCACAGAACTAGAAAAAACAATACTAAAATTCATGTGGAACCAAAAAGAGCCCACATAGCCAAAGCAAGACTAAGCAAAAAGAACAAATCTAGAAGCATTACATTACCCGACTTCAAACTATACTATAAGGCCCTAGGCACCAAAACAGCATAATACTGGTATAAAAACAGGCATGTAGACCAATGCAACAGAATAGAGAAGCCAGAAGTAAAGCTAAATATTTACAGTCACCTGATCTTCGACAAATCAAACAAAATCATCAATGGGGGAAAGGATACCCAATTTAACAAATGGTGCTGGGATAATTGGCAAGCCACATGTGGAAGAATGAAACTGGATTCTCATCTCTCACCTTATACAAAAATCAACTCAAGATGAATCAAAGACTTAAATCTAAGAACTGAAACTATAAAAATTATAGAAGATAACATGAGAAAAACCCTTCTAGACACTGGCTTACGCAAAGATTTCATGACCAAGAACCCAAGAGCAAATGCAACAAAAACAAACATAAATAAATGGTACTTCATTAAACTAAAAAGCTTCTGCACAGCAAAAGAAATAATCAGCCAATAGACAACCCACAGTGTAGGAGAAAAATCTTCACAATCTATACATCCGACAAAAGACTAATATCCAGAATCTACAAGGAACTCAAACAAATCAGCAAGAAAAAAAACAAACGGATCCCATCAAAAAGTGGCCTAAGGACATGAATAGACAATTCTCAAAAGAGGATATACAAATGGCCAACAAATATATGAAAAAATGCTCAACATCACTAATTATCAGGGAAATGCAAATCAAAACCACAATGTGATACCACCTCCCTGCTGCAAGAAAGGCCATAATCAAAAAATAATAAATGTTGATGTAGATGTGGTAAAAAGGAAATATGTTTACACTGTTGGTGGGAATGTAATCTAGTACAACCATTATGGAAAACAGTGTGAAGATTCCCTGAAGAACTAAAAGTAGATCTACCATTTGACCCAGCAATCCCACTCCTGGGTATCTACCCAGAGGAAGAGAAGTCATTATACAAAAAAGATACTTGCACACGCATGTTTATAGCAGCACAATTCTCAATCGCAAAAAATATGGAAGCAGCCAAAATGCCCATCAATCAACGAGCAAATAAAGAAAATGTTGCATACACACACACACACACACACACCCATATATACACTATGGAATACTACTCAGCCATAAGAATGAACGAAATAATGGCATTTGCAGCAACCTGGATGGAATTGGAGACCATTATTCTAAGTGAAGTAACTCAGGAATGGAAAACCAAACATCATATGTCCTCACCCATAAGTGGGAGCTAAGCTATGAGGATGCAAAGGCATAAGAATGATACAATGGATTTTGGGGACTTGGGGGAAAGGGTGGCAGGGAGAGTGAGGGAAAAAAGACTACAAATTGGGAACAGTGTATACTGCTCAGGTGATGGGTGCACCAAATCTCAGAAATCACCACTAAAGAACTTACTCATGTAACCAAACACTACCTATTCCCCAAAAACTTACTGAAATTTGAAAAAAAAAAAAAAAAAAGACCCCACGTGTGTGTTTGTACATATGAGGGCACGTGTTTGTATAGAAAAAGAGACAGACAGTAAGGAAGCACATGTGGCAAAATAGTAATAATTGTATAATTAAGGTGAAGGGTTTCTGCGTGTTCATCATATCATTCTTTCAATTCTGTAAAATTCAACATTTTCAAAATTAAAAGTTAGGGGAAATGTAAATAAAAATAATGTTATTGAGAAATGTTTAAAGACATAAAAGATGTCTGTGATTATAATTCTAAGTTTAAAGAGGAGGTTTCAAAATAATGTACAGGATAATTCCATTTGGGGATATATATTTGGATCGATATACACAAATACATTAATAGAGGTCACTATAATTAGAGCCCTGTAAAGTTGTGCAACACAGCAACCTCAAGTAGTTATTTCTAGGTGGCATGATTACAGCGACTTATGCTTTCTTATTTTTATTTCCAAAAATTTCCTACTTTTACATATATGCATTAATATATACATATACATATGAATTACTGTTTAAGAGAATAAGACCTGGATCTCAGATCATGTCAGAACACATCAAAAGTTTGCAACACTGGGTCCTGTTGAAAACTTGTTTGTGTTAAAGTCAGTTAATCTTATCTTCACACTATTAAGATTGTATATAAATAAATCATTTTACAGGAAAAAAAATGGGTGGCAATAATTCTAGACTCCTGATTAGCATTGGGAATATGAATATATTGCCCCAGAGGGCATAATTAATGGCCTGTGGGTGGGAACCACATTGAGACAGAGTTCAGCTCATTATGAGACTAAATGTTGCAATGAATAAGTATCCAATAAGAGAATGAAGTGCATCATGATATAATTACCTGCAGAAGTAGGTTAACCACCTATCAGGGACGATATTGGAAGGAAGGACAGGGCACTATGTAAACTCTAATCCAGCCTTTAGTCTCTAAAGAGTCTATGGTCAAAAATAAAGAAAACAGCCATAATAGGTTGGACACACGTCCACTGAAGGAAAAAGTACATAATAGCCTGTCACTGACTAACTAGAGACAAAAGAGACAATCAACACTCTCTGGTGTGGACGCTATATTAAAGAAATTGGATTCAGCAAACTGAAAAGTGTTAATAATACTATTAATTACTCAACCAAATTACTCAACCTAAAAAACAAAGTGTGTTTTCTGCTATCATGATCAAAATTATTTCTAACTATACGAACTCTGTTTTAAATGTTGGTGTGTTCACACAATGGAACACTGCTTTGAAATTTAAAATGAAGAACAAACTATTAATACATGCAACTGTATAGGTATATGTCAAAAACCTTATGCTGAGCAAAAGCAGCAATACGAAAGAACACATACTGTATGATTTCATTTATATTCATTTCAAAAGTAGGTAAAACTGATCTGACAGAAATCAAAAGATGGTCACAGTGAGTGTAGAAAGAATGAACGAAAAGGAGCACAAGGGAACTTTCTGGGGTGATAGAAATCAATGTTCTATATCTTGTTTTATACACCCTTTGTAGTTACATGGGTGTATATAATCGTCGAAGTTCACTGAGCTGAACACCTAGACCTGTGTGCTTTTTATATATAAATTAAACTTCCATGAAAAAATTAAAATTATATTTTTAAAATATCACTTTGCATCATTGGAAGAACTCAAAACTTACCACGCAATTTCTTTTCACTGCAGAACATTATTATACCTGATCTTTCACCAGGTCTCAACAGGTGGCCTACCTAAGAAAAAGAAGTATGCATATTAGTATCTGAAAAATGCACAATAACTATAAATTTACCTCCTTTAACTTTCTTCCTAGACAAATCTAGGTAATTAGGAAGTCACTGACACAGGAAAGAACAACAGATTTAATTTATGAGGCTTTAGTCCAGCCAGATAAGAATAATTCTGTACAAAAATAATCTATTTGTATTTTAAAGGCCGTATGAGACAACTCAAGGTAAGCACAAATGCGCCACTCAATTTGGCATTCAAATTGAATCAAATATATCTCAAATCCTGTGAATCAGAATATCTCAGGGGTGAGGTTCCAGAATCTGCCTTTTATTTAAATGCCATAGGTGATTCTTTCACAAGCCACAGCTGAGAACCACAACTGAACTTCGAGAGCTATGTGTGACAGGAAATTATTGCCCAGGCTCTAGAGAAACAAAATGCAATCCAAAACTTTTCCTCAATTTATTCTCATGAACGTAGTCTTCTCCAGGCAGTTATTTTTTTTAAACCAGAATAATATCATTATTATATTTCATTTTTTCCCTACATGTGGTCTAATTTTCTTCACATTGTAAACTCTTAGAGATTTAGAATGATAAATGAAGGAGCAAACAAGTAATTTCAAACATTCAAAACCCAAAAGACCAAGGAAATAAATGCACCTTTGCAAACACATGACAGTGCAGGCAGAGGTACTGACCACATGCTCTTTCAGTTAGAAAAAAAATGACTGGTTTGCTTCCTGCTCAGGAAAGTGGTGTGGCAGGATGCGGCCAACACACATAAAGAAGAAGTTGGTCAGTCATATGGTGACCAGAGAAGGGGAAGAACAACACTTATGGCTTAGTAGTTACAAGAAAAGAGGTTGCAGAGGAAGTTCATCAACACGCACTGCTCCACTACAGATCCCCGAGAAGTCTAAAAAGCCTGAGACCATCATTTCTTCCTTTTCTGGCCCCTGGAGTATGCCTAACAAATAGGGTCAGTGATACTTTGCAGGACCCAGTGTTTTCTAGGGGCCAGGTTACTAAAACTTACGAATCCAAGCAAGGACATAGGGGTGTCGCTGCCGGGTGTTGCTAAAAGCAAGGCTAGGTCATCAAATATGACCCCATCAGTAACTCCCCTGTTGCTCCCTCCACATCTTCAACCAGCTGCCAGCAAGGCTGCCCAAGACCATCCCTCCTAGCCCCGCCTCTCTACTCCCCCACCCCAGCCCCAGGCAGTGGGTTATCTCCAGGACATGCCTGCTGACCAGTGCTTGCTCTCCCTCTATGTTCCTCCCTTGTTCCAGGCTTGGCCACCTGTAGACCAGTCTCCACATCAAAGCCAGAGTTATCATTATAAAGGGGAATGGCATCATGTCACACCCCTGCTAAAAACCCTGCAAACACCTCTTGTTGGCCTCAGGAAAAAAACTCTAACATGACTCCTAGGACCTTCTGCGACTTGATCCCTGCTCATCTTTCCAGCCTGTTTCCTCATCACTCTCCTTCCCTGCTCCCATGCTTCCCTGCACCGCCTCATGTCTGCACTCCAGAAATATACAACTCAGCCTCTTTCCATTTGGGGGCCTTCACACATGCTCTTCCCTCTGCCTGTAGCCATCTGTCTCCACCCCCTTTATCCGACTAGCTCCTATTCATCTGTCCAATGTCAACTCATATTTCATTTCCTTTAGGAGGCCTTCTCTGACCTCCCCAAATCAGAGATAGGAGGAGCACTTCCTGTGTGTTCCCGTAGAACCTGGCACTGCCCATGTGAGAGCCCCTATCACTCTAGAATACATTTTTCTATTATATCGGCTATTTCCCCATTATTCCACAAACTCTTTTAGGACAAGGCTCCATAGCTGTATCTCCAGCATCTAATGCCTGTCTGGCACGTAGTAATGCTCAGTAAACACTTGTTGAATGAAAAATTAATTTATATTAGAAATGGAGGAAGGGCTTCCAGATGCTAAAAGACACTTTCCTTTTAGCAACTATCCCTCCCTGGATCCCAGACCCCGGCCCCAAAATGTCCTAGATCTGCCTTCCCAAGCTGGAGTGGCTGCAGCTTTTTTGGCTGCTCCCTCCTGTTTTCTGGTCCCTATCTTCCTACACACCCTTATCTTCAGCCTGGGAAGAACCTCAAAGCATGAGCAAAACTGGGTTAGCAATAGGAAGAGTGCTGCAGGCAAATTGAAGAGCAGAAGAAAGAAGAGAAAATGAGCAAACCTGGGGAGAGGAGGCACTAGAGTTATAAAGGAAGATTCACAAAAAGGATGTTTGGTGGTAAAGACTTCCTGTCAAAAATACCACAGACAAAAGTGAGTTTTCATCCATGAAGGACTTTGTTGTTTCTTTGTTTCACAAAATACTCAAAAAACAAACAAAAAACAAAATTGTTTTTGTTTCACGAATAGTCATAGCAACAAATACAAAATGGTATTGGGCAGGTGAATGAATTCTGTGACAACGACATCTGTATCTGGTGGCCCCACTTGGCCAGAGGGTAAAGGCTCATCAGCAAGCTCTAAGCCAACTTGTCAGGGCTTGAAAATTCTCCAGTGGGACTAAGTCAACATGTTCTGTGTTCATTGGCTGAGTCCCCAGAGCAGAGGAAAGGAAGAACAATTCTTCAAGCAAGATGAAAAAAAAGGGGACTCTACACCCAAACAGCGGCAATGAGAATGCAAGCAGAAGACATTTATCTCTCAGAAAGCTAATCAAAGTACCAGGCACTTGGCAGCTTATCCTTTCTTTGTCCTTATTGGATGCTAGATTGGTGTGAGGTACTGGTACTAACAGTTAACAAACATGAACTTAATACAATTGTGTAATATAAGGTAACTAAGGAGAATATATCCATGTAACCTCTTCTCTATCTTATTTTAGATCTTCCTGCTAGCACTTCTCATTTTAAAAGTTCCTAGACATTCAAACATAAAGCAATGTCATATTCTTCCATATTCTTCCTAAAATTACTTTTAAAACATACAGCTATGTTGCTACTGTTAATTTCTCCAATACCATCTTCCAAAGTGTCTTTGAAACCTTTTATTTTGAACATACTGAATAAATCCATTTTTCAATTTTAGCCATTTTTCATTTTGTAGAAAATATTCTGTCACGGTAATTATATAATCACTATTGCATGAAATAAACAATATTTCTATAAGATTTCCAGAAGTTGTTTCTTATTAATGATCCTAGTCAAGTGTTGTCACTCTAAAACATAAAGTAACATCGAAAAAATAAGAATTGACATTCAAGTCCATGTTTCCTCAAATCCAGTCTTTTTCTAGTAGCAATGGCAATCAGGTATACTTTACGGAGGACTCATAGTAATGTAGCAGATTCTAGTTTAACTCTAGAAGCAACATTTAGTCCTGTCATTCTTGCAAATTTATCAACTCACCGAAATACCACCACTGACACTCGCTCCACCTCTAAAGGTTGTCAGAGTAAAGAAAAAGTCATCTTTCATTGAACTTTTGGAACAGTAAAGATCTAAGGAAATAGATTAAACAAAATCAGTTGAAAGAAAAAGGTTTGCTAAAGTCAAGTCTAGCTCTAGAAGCAGGAACTTAGGATTTTGAAATTTAACCCTTTACAAGTACTGAAGCAAACAATATTTACAAGAATAAGTTCTCCCTCTTAAAAACTGCCTCAAAGTAGAGGAAATGGAAAAGGGAAAGCTGCTAGATGAGTCTTATGTTACCCTTAGCTTCATCTTATGCCAGGGATTAAAATGGTAGTTTCTTCATGTGAAAATCCTAGAGGGTTGCTTTTAATAAGGGAAGTGTGAGAAAGTAGAGAGAGGAATGTAGCAAATAATAGCTAAGGACTTTACATATATTAATTTAAAAAGCAGTGCATATTTGTTTTAAAGATTGAAATTCATACTTCCATAAATACTTTTTTTTTTTACATTTCAAGTTTGGGTGTTGAATCTTGGTCACAGAAAATAGTTTTCTAATGCAAGAAATAGCAAAGTCAAAAGAAGATGCCAGTTTGTACAGGGAAATTAAAGAGTTGGTTTTAGACACCTTGATATTGAAGATACCAAGACCTCCATGCTGGAACTGCTATTTAAGCATCCTGTGAGGAAGAGGGCAGCCTTCCACAAGGAAGTCTCTTCTTACAGTGAAAATGGGCACATCTGGGTGCAGGTGACTCAACACTTTAAGCAAAGAATTAAAATGGAGAGTCTCTTTAATGATCTGAGGCCGTTCAGCAGTCAAGTTATTACAGCTAATTCCCCTTGCTCTGATTCCATGCTCACCAAGCAACCTGCTGATAATAATTTGCTTTCCCACAGAAGCCTGCCCACAGGGAAAGAATGCACTTGTCATGCTGAAGTGAACATTCTGGTTCTCCTGACAGTTAGAGTATGTATTTTAAATTAATAAATTGTCATTCTTATTTTATATCATCAGTTTCCTGAGCTACTATTAATCTGCCCCCAGAAAGATCTGTTTTGGGTGTGCTATTGAATTATGGTCCAAAGTCTACAGGACAAATGGCCCACTCTGGCCATAGTAAACTCACCAAAAGCCATCCAAGAGAACAGCCCTCGGAGCTGTTCGGGGGGATGGGGAAGCAGGACATGGTAGAAGCCTGTCCTTTGGGGCCACACGCCCTGTTCTTGGATTCCTGCTTTTTCTACTAACTCATTACAGAATCTGGGGCAAATAAGCTCTGTAAACCTCAGAGCCAACCTGGGTGGGTCGTGGGGACAGGGCACATAATGAGAGTGTACATTTGATATTAGTTATCTTAAAGGCAGACCATTGATGTCTCTTTGTCAACATTTCTGCATAAACATTAGGAACAAATGAGGACAGCGAGTGTAACTCCTTTAAGACATTCTGCAATAAAAGAAAGGAGATAATGGCTGGGCGGGGTGGCTCATGCCTGTAATCCCAACACTTTGGGAGGCTGAAGTGGGAGGATTGTTTGAATCCAGAAGTTCTAGACCAGCCTGAGCAAATTGTGAGACCTGGTCTCTATAAAAATAAATAAATAAATGGACATAAGGGTGAACAGGTGATGGGACTTAAAGAGAAGCTCTGTTTGCAGTGAGGAGCTAGAGGGCATGTGGTAAACTGAGGGGTTGGGGCCAGTGGAAAGAGAAAGATTGAAAATATGAAGTAGAGTGACAGAAAAGCAAAGGAATTAGAGGAGATTGGAAAAAGGGAAAAGGAAGGAGCCAGGGCAGTTGAGGAAGAGACAGGAACAGTGCAGGCCAGGAAAAAGCACAGGCAGAGCCTTGGCAGCCCCCCTTGCTGGCCCAGAGACCTGCCCAGGCGAGCCCCTCCCTGTCTGTCTCCTATCTGAGAGCCTAGGGAGTAACTGAAGTGTCCCCACCAGGGTGGGGATCTTCTACTTCCTTTGGGTGTGGGTGCTCTCCAGTTCTCTGAAGACTCAGGAAAAAGCAGGCCAAGGAGGAAGGGACCCAATATGGAACATGCCCAAGCCCAGACTCAATATCTAACGTGCCCAACCCCAGATCTCCTTCTATGCTCCTTTCTCTGTTCCGTTCGGCTTGCCTCCTCTCCTCTTTGGAGGCAGAGTGTTACACAGGAGAGACTTTTAGAATAGCAAGGTTCAAGTCCCAGTTCAGTGGCTTTCTATCTAGCATTACTTTGAGCAAGTCATGTACCCTGCCTGAGACTCAATCTCCACATCTGTAAAGTGGAGATGGGAATGCCTTCCTCCAAGCTGTGTGAGGTTAAGTACACAGGTAAGAACAGTTCACTCCATAAAAGTGTGTTCCCTCCATCTCATTTCCACCTCCCCAGTCTACTTTTTCTCCTCTTACTCCATCTCCTTCTCTCCCAGTTTCCTTTCCGTTTCCCTAACATTTTTTCACAATTCTCAACAAGGCCCCTGCTTCCCATCCCAACCCACCATCTCTCTGAGGACTAACCCAACCAAGCGTGGAGAGGAAGAGGCTCCCTGTGAGGGCTGCACCAGTGTGGTCTTGAGCAGGAGCTGGGTCTTAGGATGTCAAGCAAGGATGACAGGAGGAAGGAACAAGCCCTTCTCTCCTCCAGCTGCCCAGCCCTTCCCCCTTCCTCCCTCTGGCCCTAGGTTCCCAGAGCCTGAAGAGCAAAGCCTCAGAGAGTCCTCCCACCCTGGGACCCATGTAGGGGTGACCTTGCTGTCCCACAGGCATCCCTGCCTGCCAACCCAAAATATTACCTGCAGCCCCAGTGCTGGCCCCCTGAGGAGCAGGTAGGATTGGGGAACTGAAACTCAGCCATGAGACCCCAGAGATGGGCGATCCAGATGAAGCAGAGTAATCTCAGCCTTGGGAGCTGAGACAGCGAGAGAAAAAGGAACAAGCCCAGGCTTCTGTCCTGCATGTGTGCAGTTTTGAGTGTGAGGGTGAGGGTGGGAGCTAAAGATAATTCTATTTGGTATCAGTGACAGCTGCCAATAGCCACAGTGCTTGTAGATTGTAGGAACTGTACAAAAGTAGAAGTAAAAAAAAAATTAAGCCAATCTGTGTATGTGTGTATGTGTGTACGTATGGGTGTGTGTAAAAGCCAAATTTATAAGGCCAGGAGCGGTGGCTCACACCTGTAATCCCAGCACTTTGGGAGGCCGAGGTGGGTGGATCACCTGAGGTCAGGAGTTCGAGACCAGCCTGACCAACATGGAAAAACTCCGTCTTTACTAAAAATACAAAAATTAGCTGGGCGTGGTGGCACATGCCTGTAATCCCAGCTACTCAGGAGGCTGAGGCAGGAGAATCACTTGAGCCCGGGAGGCAGAGGTTGCGGTGAGCTGAGATCATGCCATTGCACTCCAGCCCGGGCAACAACACGAAACTCCATCTCAAAAAAAAAAAAAAAAAAAAAAAAAAAGCCAAATTTATAAATGGCTTGCAACTACAGGTATATGCAATTACCGTGCCTCAACAATAAATTATTGTTATATTTACTGTATAACATACAGCAGGTTAATTGTTGTGAGTTGTCATGTCCATACAGGAGTCTCTTTATATTCTAGTCATGCAGCCATTACCCAGCCACAACATTTCAAAGCTTCTCTTCGTCCTCTCACATATCCCCTGTTCATTTTCCTTCTTGGTCTCCTAGTTTCTTTTTTTTTTTTTTTTTTTTTTTTTAATTTTCATAGACTATTGGGAAACAGTTTGGTTACATGAGTAAGTTCTTTAGTGGTGATCTGTGAGATTTTGGTGCACCCATCACATGAGTAGTATACACTGCACCCAATTTGTAGTCCTTTATTCCTCACTCCCTTCCTACCCTTTCCCCCTGAGTCCATAAAGTCCACTGTGCCATTCTTATGCCTTTGCATCCTCATAGCTTAGCTCCCACTTATAAGTGAGAACATACGATGTTTGGTTTTCCATTCCTGAGTTACTTCAATCAAAACTTCAGGCAACATTGGAAGTACTTACAGAAATGCATTCTAGTTTCCTTTTCTCCTTCCCTTCTCTTCCTTTCCTAGTCTGCTCTTGCTGGTCTCTTTCTCATTTTCCCCTCCTTGTCCTCATCCTGTCCCTCTTCTCTCAACCCTGCTTTGGCCATCTTCCTTCCTCTTCTCACTTCCCTATTGCTCCACCAGTGCTGGCGTTAGGCCGCCCAAGTTTGCTCCTGTTAACCCTAGAATCTCAAGCAAGTTCCCCTCCCTTCTAAGCTCCAGTTTTCTCCTCTGTGGACAATCAGAGTAACTCATAGGATCACTAGGAAAACTAAACCAAGCCATCTCCATAAAGAAATTAGCTCAATGCCTGCTGCCACAAAGTTAGTACTCAATAAGGGAAAGCGATGATTATTTTTATTTTTCTTAAAATGTATTTTTTTAACTCTCCACATGGAAAAAACCTCCTACCAAATTTGAGAACCATGTCCTCCCTCTACTGACATTCAATTATCAAAGACTTATCAGGTGCCTACTCTATAGCTAACATGGGCTGGGCATGAGGGAGGCAAAAATTCATTTCCAGTCTTTCAAAAGCCCACAGTCTGGGGAAGATGAGAGCAGACAGAAACATAAAAGACCATTCGAATCGTGAGTGTAGGCCAGACACAGTAGCTCACACCTGTAATCCCAACACTTTGGGAGGCCAAGGTGGGCAGATGCCCTCTATCTCCTCACTTGAGTCCAGGAGTTTGAGACCAGTCTGGGAAACATGGCGAAACCCTGTCTTTACAAAAAATTAGCCAGGCATGGTGGCTCATGCCTCCAGTCCCACTGCTTGGGAGGCTAAAGTGGGAGGACCACTTGAGCCCAGAAGCTCAAGGCTGCAGTGAGCTGTGATTGTGCCACTTCACTCCAGCCTGGGTGACACAGAAGACCCTGTCTCAAAATAAATAAATAAATAAAAATTTTAAAAAAGGATGATGAGTGCAGGGCTATGGTAGAAGGAGGGATGGAGAACTATGGAGGCAGAGGAAAGGCAGTCACCAAGCCTGCTTTGCAGAGTCAGCGAAGACCTCACAGATGGCAATTCTGAGTTGAGTCCTTTTAAAAGGAAAAGAAGAGCTTGCTAAATAAAACAAGGTAAGGACAAGTCAAAGGAACAGCGTGAGGAAAGGCCAAGTGTTGTGAAAGGGAAGGAAGGTTTGCGGAGCAGTGATAGTCATGGCAAGCAGATCATACAGGCATAGGAAGAATGTGCAGTGATATGGGGCTGGCAAGGCAGGTAAGAGCTGGATTCTGAAAGACAGGATCATCTTCATCATTGTCCTCATTGTCACTGCCATTCACTGGGGACTTGGCCTTGTGCTAAGAACTTGACACGTGTTGTCTTATTCAGTCCTCACCAAAACTCTACGAGCAGGAATTACCGTTATCCCCATTTTATAGATAAGGTGACAGAGAGCATTGCCATGGTCAAGATCCTGTGGTTGCTCCTGCAGGTTGCGGGGAGACAGAAGAGGTATCTAAGTAGAATGGCACAATTAGAATTCAGCCCTCTTTTCCATTATCCTTGTTCCCTTTTGTCTCTCTGTGCCAGTCCAGGCTGTCAGGGATTTTAGGAAGGTTAATCTCACAGTTTGGGCTGGCACAAGAGGAGATGGAGGAGCAATGACAACTGGCAAATGGGGCTGAATTCTAGAAATGTTTCCATAGTTAAATATGCAGTCTATAAATGATCTGTATGGGCCAGACATGGTGGCTCATGCCCGTAATTCCAGCACTTTGGAAGGCCGAGGCAGATGGATTGCTTGAGCCCAGGAGTTAGAGACCAGCCTGGGCAACATAGTGAGACCCTGTCTGTTCAAGTAAAATAAAATAAAATAAATGGTCTGTGTGTTTGGATGCAGAACAAGGAGGAATCTGGGGTGACTTCCAGGTTTTTGCCTTGGGACACTGAGGGAATAGAGGTGCCACTATGATGATAAATACAGCAGTGAAGGGAAAAGGAGGAGAAGGTGGAGGGGCAGAAGAAGGAATTGGGATGAAAAAATAATGTATTTAGTTTGAACATGTGGGCTTAAAATGCCTCTTGATCATTGAAAACATCCTCACAGCACTAAAGACAAAAAGACAGATTTGTAGACTTGGAATCATCAACATATAAGGAAGGAGTGAAGTCAAGGGGGAATGAATGACCTCACCCAGAAAGGACAAGAACAAAGAGAGGTGAGGAAAGGACAGAGGACGAGGAACAAGGACAGAGCTCTAGAGGGCGCTCAACTTCAAAAGAAAGGTCAGTGAAGGATCCATTGAAATGAAATGCTGTGGCCCTCCCTCTGTGACCTTTTCCCCTAGGCATCTAGTACAGTGCCCGGCACTGGGTAGGTACTCAAACTCCAGTTGAGTAAATAAAAGGAGAGAGAAAAGCAAGGTAGCTTTAAAGTAAGGAAGGAACATGTTTCCAAAAACATAATGATCAATAATATTTAATATTTAATTAGAATTTATTAATATTTGAAATATATAATGTTGCTAGGAGGTTACTATTTTTTAATATCTTTTCATGAGAGATTCTAAAAATAAATACTTGTTTCTAATTCTTACTCATGCTATACAAGAATTTAGATTACACACATTAAGTTTTGTTTTTTATTTTTTATTTATTTATTTTTTTGTGGAGACAGAGTCTCGCTCTGTCACCCAGGCTGGAGTGTAGTGGCCTGATCTCGGCTCACTGCAACCTCCACCACACGGTTCAGGCGATTCTCCTGCCTCAGCCTCCTGAGTAGTTGAGATTACAGGAGCCCACCACCATGCCTGGTAAATTTTTGTATTTTTAGTAGAGAGGGCGTTTCATCATGTTGGCCAGGGTAGTCTCGAACTCCTGACCTCAAGTAATCCACTTGCCTCAGCCTCCCAAAGTGCTGGGATTACAGGCATGAGCCACTGCATCTGGCCAAACATACATTAAGTTTAATTTCAATGACAGCTACAATTTCCAATTTACTTTTAGATGGTTAGTTAACTCTTTTCCTACTAAATGAAAATATTCAATATGCCACATATGAAAAAAATAAAATTCTCCCACCCACAAAAAAATCCTCCAGGGGCACAAAAAAAATCATTTGTTCCCTCATTTTTAAATATTTCTGCATGATGAGACAATATAAAGGCACAATATAGGTTAAAATAAATCACTCTGTGGTTTCTCAAAAAAAGTGAAAACAGATCCACCATATGATCCAGCAATCCCACTTCTGGGAATACATCCAAAAGAAAGGAAATAAGTACCTTGAAGAGATATCTGTACTCCCCTGTTTATTGCAGCACTATTCACAATAGCCAAGATATGGAAGCAATAATATTTCTTCTTGAGGAATAAAATTTTTAAATGTGGTATTTATATACAATGGAATATTATTCAGCCATGAAAAAGAATAAAACTCTATCATTTGCAGCAACATGGATGGAACTGGAGGATATTATGTTAAGCAAAATAAGCCAGGCACAGAAAGACAAATATCACATATCCTCTGTCATATGTGGGAGCTAAAAAAGTTGATCTCATGAAGGTAGAGAGGGAGAATGGTGGTTACCAGAGGTTAGGAAGGGGAAGAGGAAGAAGGGGGTGAAGGTAGGCTGGTTAATGGGTACAAACATACAGTCAGATAGAAGGAACAGGTTCTAGTATTTGATAACACGGTAGTATGACAATAGATAATGATAATTTATTTTTTATTTATAATAAACGATATAGATATAAACGATAAAATAAACGATATAGATAATGATAATTTATTGTATCTCAAAATAGCTAGCAGATTTGGAATGTTCCCAACACAAAGAAATGGTAAATGTTTGAGGTGATATATATGCTAATTACACATCGTATGCATATACCAAAATATCACATGTACCCCATAAATATGTGCAGTTATTACATATCACATAAAAAATAAAAAATACATTTAAAAAAATCAAAACTGAAATCACTCTGAGTTTACATTTTGTAGTAAAGGCCAGCATGGAGCAACAGCTGAGTAAAAGGGGATACTTCATGGGCACAGGTGTTGGTAATCCCACAAGAAAACCTGTGTTTCCTCATTTACTTTCTAACAAGACTTCAGCTTCCAATTAATGTTTTTCACCAGTTTTCTTTTCTTCAAAACAGCTAATTGTTAACCAGGGACCTGAGACACTCTCTTGCCTATAAACAAAACAACTAGAAGGATACCTTTTTCTGTTCAGACAAATTTTAGCACTAAAAACATAACCCTCAAACCTCAGAGGGATAGCTCAGTGCAAACTGTTCATGTCTAAAGCATAAATTGACCATAAACAATATATTGAATAGGTGCACTGTATACAAACCCCGTGAAAAAAATAAAACCAACTACTACCAAAGGAAGTGACAAAGACCTACAAACCAAGAAGAAATGTACCTTTATGCTACTATCATTGGTCATTTAATAGGCATGCTAACAGAGTAAAAAATAGACATTTCAAACAACAAAAAAGAAAATGTCACATCTCCCATTTCCAACTAACTCCCCCAAATTTATTTTTTAGCAAAAGGGGAATAATAAAGAATATTTGTGAAACCTTAGTCACCAAGATGAAAACAGCAAAACAAAATAGGGATCTGGAGAAAAGAAACAGATCGTTCCAACCAGCCCACAGCTAAATTTCCACTTCATCTCACTAACCATTGAATGCTACCCATCTACTCACCTCAACCCAGACTTAATCCTCTCCCCCAAAAGGAAGATTTCTCAGCAGTGCAGGAAGATCAAACAGGTATCCATTCCGTGACCATGCCAAGGAGAAAAGCAAGGCTACTCTGAAAGCTTGAGGGATGATACAGAAAACAAACTGGGTCTCTAGGGGGCATTCTCAAAAACCTGAGATCAACTCCTGGAAAAACACTCTTGACCACTTACCACCACCGGAAGCTGCTAGATGGCAATCAGAATCAGCATCTCATCAGAAGAAGAGGAAGACCTTACAAGAAAGCAGCTTCACTGTCAGTGAGGAATTGAGGGAGAAAAGCACTCCTTGGAAAAATGCTGAAAGCCCTGAAGAGCCTCTCCTCCCCTAGTTGCCTGCTCCTGCTGACAGGACAGAACTGGTTAATCTTGGGGAAACAAAAGGAAACTCCCAAGAGGCTGGCTTCTGAGGATGGCTTCCTCTGTGGGAATCAAGAATTCAGGAGGATGAAAATGAACAATGGAAGGGGACACCGGCTACCAGGCCTACTTACCAAACTTTTACCAGCCCTTGACTGAGGAAGATAAGCAAATCTGTTTGCAGTTCCCACCTGCTTTTGCAGAGATGAAAGAATCAGCAGTGGGTTTTTGTCACTTTTTTTTTTTTTTTTTTTTTTTTTTTACAGGGGAAGTTCAGCTCTCTTATGGATGAAAGCTAAGCATACTCAAGTGACATTTAGTAGGCAAAGCAATGACACTTCTTTCCCAACATCCTTAATTTCAGCACAGAGGATGCAAACATTAACCCTGATGGTACCAAAGAACAAATGCACATAGGAAATGGATTTACATCTTTTAGTTTGGAATTGCTTTTAAGGGGATTCTGGTTGTTAAAGCGGGATTAGATGAAAATAAAATATTTTGGTGCATATCTATTTTTAAAAGGAAAAATATGGCTTCTTTTAAATATGCCTAAAGCCATCTAGGAATTTTCCAGAAGTTGCATCAGATTTGCCAGTTAAGTACTGAAATCAAATAGATTTTAATCATGTCTCTATAACCAGAGCAAGCTAATCCCCTGCGCACCATCAACTCCACTCTCCTGGAACATCCTCACGCTGGGCCCTCAGGTTTTCACAGAAACAAGGGCCTTTTCCTACCAAGGTTCCACAGTAACAAGAAACTACAGATTTCTGGAAATAAGAGAGATGGCTTTCTTTCTTACATGATAAAAGAGGACCAAGAACAGCTTAGAGCAGGAAGCAATCATCTCTTTAAAATATTTAAAATAAAAAACACTTTTAAGTGAAAAACATTTTTAAGTATCACCTCTATACCATTTTTAAACCTATCATATGGGGCAAATATAAGTTTGGTAATTCCCTTTGTTAAAGAAGATATAAGGAAATCAGGGCCTTTTCCTTTTCCTATACTGTTAGTGGGAATATAAATTGGTAAAATATTTTTTAAAGGAAACTGAGTATAGTAGTGCCTATCAAGTATTGAAATGTGTATGTGTTTTTATTTCTTAGGAATTTACCTTATAGAAAACCACACACACGTGCAAACATATCTCTAAATATGTTAATTATAGCACTATGATAGCAACAACAAAAAAACACCTAAAAATGGCTTACATATAAGAGACTGCCTAAATAAGTTAAGGTATATTGATACAAAAGAGTACTATGTAGCCATTCAAAAGAGGGTAGAATTGGAGTAAGGAATCAGGTCATCTGAGTTTAGTTCTGTCTCCACCAGTGACTGGCCAGGTGACTATGCAAGCTCCTACACTTATCTGGGCCATCTGTAAAAAGATGATCATTATAGAACTTACCTCATAGGATTGTTGCAACTAAAACAGTGCCTGGAGCAAAGTAGAGACTCAATAAATTTAGCTATTATAAATAAGAGATAGGCCTCTTCAGACTGACATAGAAAAAGATGTCCAAGATGTACTGTCAAGTGAAAAGATCAAGTTGCAGAAGAATTGTGTATAAGATAATCTCATTTTTAAAAAATATTTTAAATGTGCTCGCTGTTTATTGTCTCCCTCCCACTAAAATAAAAGCTCCTTGAGAGCAGGGACTTTTGTTTACTGTTGAACTCCTGGTGTCCATAATAAGCACTCATGAATAATGAATAATGTCGAATGAATAATGATAACAGCAAGGCTCAGCAAGAAGAATAGGTGAATTCACAGAGACAGAAAGAGTAGAGGCTACCAAGGGCTGCAGGAAGAGAGTATGGGAAGGTATTGTTTAATGGGTACAGGGTTTCAGATTGGGATGATGGAAAAGTCCTGGAGATGGATAATGGTGATAGTTATACAACACTGTGAATGTACTTAAAGCCACTGAACTGTACACTTAAAGGTAGTTAAAATGATAAATGTCATGTTATGTATACCTAGCACAACTTTTTCAAAAATTTCTACTTTTTCTTCATAAGGAGTAGAAAGACGGGGAACAGAGAAGGATGTCCATCTTATAGAGGACTATTACTAGTGTGACTGCAAACCCTTGCTAATCAGAAAACAGTTTAAATTCTCGATTTAGGATACAAGAAAAAAAAAACCTTTTATTCCCATTATACAAAGGTAGCTAAACAGAGCTTAAACTTTCATCCCTATTAGGCAGTATGTGCACTGTCAGAACGCCAGGTCTGTGTTTTCAAGAGGCCTTATTTTGTTTTAAAGCCTTACTTTTGACAAACGTCCTTTATGTCTGTAGTCTAGAGTTTTCAAAGTGCTTTCTCAAGGATCATCTCAACTTGTCCTGACAAAAATCTCGTGATCATATTAAAGGAATTTTAATTAAGTATCTGAGCATTTGAGAGAAAAAAAGAATTCTGAATTTACTCACTCTTTTACCTTGTTCTCCAACTTTACACACATTTCATCAAAACGAAGAGATGGAAATTTTTATTCTTAAGAATCTGAAACCACACAACTATAAGTCTAATATACAACGGAATAAATAGCATCTTATGTTTCTTAGAACCTGTAAATATCTCTTGCCTAACTGCCAAGATAGCTAAGAAAGCCAATGAATTATGGTTTTAGATAAACAGATTAACTACCTGTAACAAGTGGGATGGCCTGGCCTATAGTTTGAAATCTACAGTTGGAAGAAATTGATCTAACATATTTTCATTCAACAAATGCAAATACTCTGCTAGACACTTTGTGGGACATAGAAAAGATGAACAAAATATGATTCCTGCTCCTGTGATGCTTATCAGCTGCTGGAAGGAATCAGATGTGCAGATGAGGAGATTCTGCAATTTAAGTCTCTGACATTGAGAATGGGATTGACAAATAGTAGATTTAGTCACTTTATGTCAATTCAATTTAATAACAATAAAATAAATTAAGATTTAATTGATTACCTGGAATTTAGTCATAACAGAAGTTTTAGGTTTTGTTGTGTTTGTCTGTTTGTTTGCTTGCTTGCTTTTAAGGCCAACAAGGGAAGATTGAGTTGATTGAAATGTCAAACCAAGTCCTTGGTGTCAGCCTAAACAGCAGAGAAGTAGCTCTGGCCTAAAATTGCAATTTGGGAATATGCACTAAATAATGAAAGAAAATCAGAACAAAGTATTTCATAATTCTATAAGCATATTCTTGAACTATCCACCTGCTCCAAGCAGACTAGAAGCCCACTTGAATCTCCTAAAGTCTACACTGGAGTCTACACTGCAAACCTACTCACTAAAGAATGAGAATTGCTGAAGTGTAAATCATAGAACATTGTGTAAATTACTCACCCACCTTAAGCCTTAACTTCCTGGTTGCAAAATTGGGAAGATTAAAACCTTCTTCTCAAGCTGTTTGTGAAGATTAAATGAGATATTCATTAAATAAATAACAAATGGATAAAAGTATGCATTCATATGAAAATTGTATATGCAGTGATAGAATAAGAATAAATAGCACACAACCCAGCACCTGTCACATAAGCCATTGTCTAACAAAGGTCAGTATCTTCTTTACTATCTCTCCAGAATCCAAATGCGACTACATTTTCTTTATCAGAACAGATAGGAGACTGAAGCCACCTTTGCAAAAATTATAACAGTGAGAAGATTATGACAGTGAAAGACATCTGACCTAACTGACTCCATCTTGCTTCTAACCTCCAAGCTGTCCTTGTCATTCCTGGGCATAGGCTGAACTAACTTTGGGAAAAATTTAGTTTATAGTTTAACTTTGCAACAAAGATGGTAACAGCCCTTCCCCAAACAAACCCCCTTCTTACCTAGGGACCAGTCTGCCTTTGTAGGACTAACAAATTAGCTACAGGATTAAAAATTATGGCTTAGGAGTCATGCAGCCAGAGGCTGCAAGATTCTGAACCTCCCCATATTGCTCCTGAATGGTTTACAGAATTAACCAGGAACAGAAGACAGCAAGGAAAACCCAGTTCAACCTCCTGTGATTTCATCTTCAACTCGACCAATCAGCATTCCCCACTTTCTGACCCCCTACCCACAAAATTATCCTTAAAAACCCCAATCCCCAAATTTTCAGGGAGACTGATTTGAGTAATAATAAAACTCCTGTCTCCCATACAGCTGCCTCTGTGTAAATTAAACTCTTTCTCTGTTGCAATTCCCCTGTCTTAATAAATTGGCTCTGTCCAGGCAGCAGGCAATGAGAACCCACTGGGCAGTTATGAGACCTTTGAATTCTGAGCTACTCCACATCTCCAGTTTTTTTCATCCTGATCCAACCATCTGTCTTCTCCTCTCTCTAGGGCAGTATTCCCCAAGCATATCCTTTCCATACACCATAAAACAGCATAAACAGACATTTTAAAGGGATGATATCAATAAAGATAATTCAAAGTTTTAGTATTTTCTTCCTGCACCCCAGAGCAGTTATTCAGAACCTCCTTACCTCAGCAGGTGACAGGAGTACAGTACACTAATAATGTTCCTGGGCCACCACGCCCCCTTCTCTCTAGTGATTGAAACCAATTTGCCTCCCATTCAAAAACAGATCCAACAAGTCTTTGAAGTAACATATGCCCTCATAGCCTTTAATATCTAAAAAGAAAGTATAGTTTTCTAACCTCTTGTAGTTTCATTTATTATCTGGCACTTTCCACTGTGTATTGGGCCGAAGTTCACCAAGAGAAGGTAACTCAACTCCTCCCCCACCCCAATTTCCCCACCAATTACTTAACCTTTTATGAAATAAAGGAGGTTTCTTTACATTGGCCAACATAAACGACTGACCCATTGTTGGTAGTGCCCTTTCCTGTGTGGGATTTTCCATCCTCCATGAAAAGACTCACAATTAAGTTTTACTTATTACTCAACTAACTCATGAAAAGAACAAAAAGAGAATAAGAGAATGCAAACAAGAAGTTAGAAGTTAAGCCACAGATAGAGACCCGGATTTAGAAGTAGAGGACTTTTCTACTCTACTAATAAAATTTCAGGAATTAAACTTAAAGTAATATAAATCCACCACTACATTACAATTAAGCTGGTAAGATTTTTAAAAAGAAAAAAAAAGATACCTAAATTTATGGGTGCTAAATGTCACCTCTGGGAACCAGCTCCTGACAGTGATCTGGACTTTCCCTCAAGGGCTCTCCTGAATATCCCTTTCAGTGCAGACACTCAGACACAAGCAAGAACAATAGATCCTACAGGGCTTGTTGTTATGCAAGCCCACTCACCAAAACCAGGTGATTTGCATTTAATTTGCCCTTTCAAATACTATCTGAACCATGTGTTCCAGAACTAGATGACCCAGCTTTAAACCAGACAGCCTAACACCAAGCCAGACTATTGGCAACTCTAGTTGTAAAAGTCATTCTAACAATTCATTTCCAAGTGATGAATGCTCCACAGCCAAAACTGGATCCTGGAATAGGCTGTTGGCATCAGCAAGAGAAACACTCCCTAAAATAATGTATCTCTTGCTATCAGGGGAGTATAGTATCTTCTTTGCACATAATGGGTATCCAGTAAAGACTTTTGGCCTCCGCTTTTTTATAGACTGACATCATAAGAAGTCCTTCCAACAATCAGGGCATTTACAAGAAAGGAGTAGTAGAACAATGAACCCGATCTGGATCAGTTTCAGGGCTACATGGTTCTTGTTATCTCAGAATCTCCAAGACCCAAGGAGCAGCCAGACACTTAGGGTCTTTTAACACTCACTCCAGCCCCATTTTCTCCTTAGCAAACTGTCATCCCAATGAGAAGAGACGCTCTGCTCTTCATCTCTTTACCCTTTTAGTCTGTCCTCCAGGTCACTGGGTGTGAAAATTTCCTACCCCTTATATGACACTTGGGAAGTGTAGGGTCCAAGATCAAAGGAGTTCAGGCTCTTAATCAGGACATGTCTCTGGGACATTTCACACATTCTTCACCATTTTCCAAGCCCCAATTCTGTATCAACCCCTCTGCAAGGCATTGGGGACCCCAAGGTAACTGAGACCTGGTCTCTGTGAGAACAGAAAAATAGCTCAGAGCAGTCTGCACTACGGGAGGTTCGAAAAATTTATCAGGCCCAAAAAGACAGGAGTCTAAGATTTCAGTCATGTGACCCCCAAACCCATCTGTGGGGGCAATTGTTTAAAGGCATTTTGTTCCTGACTACCTGCCTCACCTATTATCTTCATGTTCCTGGAATTTTAATACAAAGAAACAACATATAGCCAATCAATAACTTATGTTATTTTTAATGTAAATTCTTGGTAAACAACTTAGAAACTGCCTCTTCTTTTCTTTAAAAACCTGCTTGTAACTGCTGCTACAGCTTGTAACTGCAGAAAACTGAATCTATGCTCCCAGGTTGCAATCCTCAAGCTTGGCCCAAATAAACCCTCTAGTTATATCTATTTTGCCTGGGATTCTTTCTTTTAGGTCGATATCTGCCCTAACAAGAATCCTTCTAGTGGAAGAGAAAATAGTTGTGAACAAATTGTGACACAATGTGATAGTAACTCTAATTTAGGTGTCCCTTGTCCAAACAGGCTTCGGAACTACAGGAGAGGGGAAGCCATATTTCAGTGTGGGTGTGGAGGTGTCACGGGAAACCCTCAGAACAAGTGAAGCTGAGTCCTGAAAGATGAGTAGATGAGTTAGGGAGGGTCTTGTTAGTTCCTAACAAGCTAACAGTCCAAAAAAAAAAAAAAAACACTTCACTAATACTGTCAGAGGCGTCCAAGGCCTTTGAACCAGAGCAACTCCATCTTACATTCCCAGAAGATTAGTCATTCTTAGACACAGTTTCAGTTAAGGGAACAGGTTAATAATGTTTACTGAACAGACCCAGGAAATGTCCCGATGACCTGATATTGTTACTGGAAAGGGATCCCAATCCAGATCCCAAGAGAAGGTTCCTGGACCTTGTGCAAGAAAGATTTCCATTTGGTGGAGGTCCGAGTTTCTGAAAAGTAAACTCAGGGTCATATGTCAAGATGTTATCTTTAGCTTCTGTAGAGAACCAAACATCTTATGACTATAACTTCTTTAGCTATTATTTTAAGCTACTATTACTCTCTTACTTATCAAGTTGCTCATTTAATTCTCAGGACTAGCTAGGTGCCTGGAATTTCCATTGAAGAAACGCAAGATTTTCCTTTATTTCCATGCTTGGTGGAGGGTGGCAGGCAATCTGATAAGCAAGGAGGTAATAATAGCTTGAAACAATAGCCAAAGAAGTTAGAGTCCCAATAGAAACTAAAAATAACATCTTAACATATGTCCCTGAGCTGTTTTGCAGAAACCTGCCCACAGCCCCCACACCCCCCCGCCACCAAATGGAAAACACCATCCACTGGCACAACAGACCTTGGGGAAGGGGGAACTGGAGACTGAAATCTGACCACTGTTCTTCATTCTAAATTTCTTCCTGAGGGGCCTGGCAGAAGTTATACCTACAGGCCAGAGTTCAACATTCCTTTCTGCTGACCCCAAGTTTTTAAACAAATCTTAACCAATCGCAGATCGGGAAATCTTTGAATCTACCTGTAACCTGTGGACCCCCACTTCAAGATGTCTCCCCCTTTTTAGGTCAAACCAATAGCCTCCATGTATTGATTTATGGCTCTGCCTGGAACCTCTGCCTCCCTGCCTTTAAAAACTCTTACATGGAAGCCATCAAGGGGTTTGGGTTTTAAGATTAGCTGCCCAATTCTCCTTGCATAGCACCCTGCAATAAATGCTTCACTTTTCCTCACTGCAAATCAATCCCAGTGTTAGTATTTGGCTTTGCTGCATGGGCAGGCAGATTAACTGACCCATGTTCAGTTCAGTAACAATGGCCTTCCTCTACTGTGACTTGGGCTTCCATTCTAAATGGCTTGAGTGAGTCACAAACATACATCCCACAGCAATCGTGAATGTGGAGAGCAAAGGTGAGTTTGCCATCATCTCAGTATATCAGTCAATGTAATTTCTAGGTCCTAATGGATCAGAGACCAGGCAAAGATTAGGCAAGAATTGAGTCATGGAGGCCTCAAATGTTGCCTTATACACACTATCTCTGAGGATAGCAACCTAGACGCATTCTCTCTTAGATAAATAAACTGCTGCAGCTTGTGCTATAATACCGATTGCAAAGAAATTGATCCTACAGAACTAGAAGACTGCACTGGAGCAGGAGGTTAAAGCATCGGATGGCAGGAGGGAGATAAAACTGTTCAAGGCAGCTCTAGGACCATCCTGTCCTCTAGAGATATCCCATTATACATAGGGAGAGGAACAAACACCAGTAAGGTCTGTCTTTGAAGAAATATTAATTTCAGATGAACAATACCAAGGTGTGCCTCACTGTGGTTCTGCACACATCCCCACCAATGCTGAGCCATCTTTAGGTAGAGTGTGCCCCAGTCTCAAGGCCCAGGAGCTACAGCAGATGAGCAGATGATGGAGCTACTTCTTGTGCAACCCCATGTTTCTGTGCATTTCAGGGTAAGGAAGGTGCTACCTTCAGAGCTTCTCTTTTGAGTAAGCCAGTGTTTCGTTTTGTATCCAGTCTGTCAAGGAAAGAAGGAATTAATATCACCCCAGAAAAGCAGGAGGAACACTTATGGAGTTAAGTCATGCCAGAGACCAGCGAAAGAAGGGGAATCATGGAGACAGACACCAGAGTCCTGGGTTTTCCTAGCTTCAGAGCTAAACTTCAAGAGGGAGCTGGCTTTAGAAACATCCAGAGAGTTGGAGTCACATGGAAAATCTAGGCTAAGCACCCATTTCCTTTGGGTCTGAAGGGTGCCCTTCTCCATCAGAGCATCAGATCCAGCAAAGCTGGGAGCAGTATGGAACACTGGAGGAGAAAGGTGGCTGCAGATGCTTGAGGCTATGTTCCTGCCTCCTTGTGGCTGATGAAGGGCAAGGCCTGGGCCAAAATGACAAGATCTGCTTGTGCAAAGAGAATCCAGAGGACCTGGCATGGATCCAAGGCTCCCACTTCCCTCTACTGTCACAGAGTCACACAGGTTCTCTGTGATGCCATTCTGGAGAGAAGCAGGAGAGGAGAGGGACACCCAAAGGCCCTAAAAAAGACTAAATAATCAAAAGCTTATTTGAACTGGAAAAGACTGTGGTTGGTAAATTGATCAGTGGAAGGTTTATTGGGGATTATTTTTCCCTACTTACCCTTTGGAGTGTGTGAGTTAGTGAAAAAGGACAGATCCTTTGTAAAAAGTTAAGTAGGCTGGGCGCAGTGGCTCATGCCTATAATCCCAGCACTTTGGGAGGCCAAGGTGGGCGGAGTTCGAGAACTCACAAGGTCAGGAGTTCGAGACCAGACTGACCAACATGGTGAAACCCTGTCTCTACTAAAAATACAAAAATTAGCTGGGCCTGGTGGTGCGCACCTGTAATCTCAGCTACTCAGGAGGCTGAGGCAGAAGAATCACTTGAACCCGGGAGGTGGAGGTTGCAGTGAGCTGAGATCGCGTCATTGCACTCCAGCCTGGGTGACAGAGCGAGACTCCGTCTCAAAAAAATAAATAAATAAATAAAAGTTAAGTAGCCACATTTTTTAGGGCATATAGGTAATAGTGTGAGTAAATTGTGACCCCAGCTACCTCATGTCCATCACTAAATGCAATCTGTTTTTTTTTCTTGTTATCTTGAGGAGTCAAATTCATATCAAGAACGCTGTATTAGTTTCCTAGGGCTGGAATAGCAAAGTACCACAAGCTGGGTGGCTTAAAACAAGGGAAACTGATTCTCTCACAGTTCTAGAGGCTGGAAGACCAAAATCAAGGTGTTGGCAAAGCTGGTTTCTTATGGAGGTTCTGAGGGAGAATATGTTCCATGCCTCTCTTCAGCTTCTGGTACTTGCTGACAATCTTTGGCATTCTTTGGCTTGTAGACCCATCCCTCCACACTCTCCCTCTATCAACACATGGCATGCCCTTTGTGCGTCTTCTCTGTTTCTTCATGTCTTTATATGGCCCTCTTATCAGGACATGATTAGATTTGGGCTCCATTCTAATCAAATATGACCTCAATCTTAACATCTGCAAAGACTCCATTTCCAAGTAAGGCCACATTCCAACATTCCAGGTAGACATGAATTTTGGGCCACACTATTCAATGCAGCACAAATGCAAAAGGGGATTTTAATTAATGGCCAGTATTGAAATTATGTGGTAGACTAGGTCAAGAGATCGAGACCATCCTTGGCAACATGGTGAAACCCCGTCGCTACTAAAAATACAAAAATTAGTTGAGCATGGTGGCACGTGCCTGTAGTCCCAGCTACTTGGGAAGCTGAGGCAGGAGAATCGCTTGAACCCAGGAGGCGGAGGCTGCAGTGAGTCGAGATGGTGCCACTGCACTCCAGCCTGGTGACAGAGCAAGACTCTGACTCAAAAAAAAAAAAAAAAAAAAAAAGAAAGAAAAGAAAAGAAATTACATGGTAGAGTACTAGGGAGATTTTCATTTGCTATAAAGAGATCTAGAGGTCTCCACCACTTGGCCAGACTAGACTTCTTTGGTTCTCTACTCTATATGAATGTTGAGGCCTTTTCACAGCCTGCATAGATGCCCTTTCCCTGCCTTGTTTACCTGGCTAAATTTTCCACATCTTTCAGGTCTTAACTGCATTCTCACTTCCTCTAGGAACCCTCTTCAGAGAATTTTAAGAAATCAGAGCTTCTCTGGGCTCCCATGATATGCTGCCTTTCCCCATCATGGCACTTGCCTTGCTATAATCACACCTGTCCACTTGTCTGGGTCTCTAATACCTGAGGGTAGCAACTCAATTTCCCACTGGTAGCACTGGGCTTAGCACAGAATGTAAGAGCCCAGGACTCCTGTGATAAGATTACCCAGGCTCTGGTGAGTAACTGAGTATTCTTATATAAGTCACTCAACTTCTTGGGGTCTCAGTTTCTTCATCTAAAAAATAAGAGTCTTGGCTGGGTGCAGTGGCTTATGCCTGTAATCCCGGCAGTTTGGGAGGCTGAGGCGAGCGGATCACAAGGTCAGGAGATCGAGACCATCCTGGCTAACAAGGTGAAACCCCGTCTCTACTAAAAATATAAAAAATTAGCCAGGCGTGGTGGCAGGCGCCTGTAGTCCCAGCTACTCAGGAGGCTGAGGCAGGAGAATTGCTTGAACCCAGGAGGCAGAGGCTGCAGTGAGTCGAGATGGTGCCACTGCACTCCAGCCTGGTGACAGAGCAAGGCTCTGACTCAAAAAAAATTAAAAAAATAAAAATAAATAAGAGTCTTGGATTGCAATGTCTAAGCAACCCTCCTTAGTCTAACGTTCTATGTTAGTAATTGTATTAGTCCATTTTCATACTGATATAAAGAACTACCCAAGACTGGGTAATTTATAAACAAAAGAGGTGTAATTGACTCACAGTTTCAGCATGGCTGGGGAGTTCTCAGGAAACTTACAATCATGGCAGAAGGTGAAGGGAAAGCATGGCACCTTCTTCACAAGGCAGCAGGAAGGAGAAGTGCCTAGTGAAGGGGAAAGAGCCCCTTATAAAACCATCAGATCTCATGAGAATTCACTCACTATCACGAGAACAGCATGGGGGAAACTGCCCCCATGATTCAATTACCTCCACCTGATCTCTCCTTGACACATGGGGATTATGGGGATTATGAAGATTACAATTAAAAATGAGATTTGGATGGGGACACAAAACCTAACCACATCAATAATGATAGGTAAGAACTTCTAATAGCTATGCAGTACTTAATAGTTCTAAGTGCTTCATATATAGTAATTCATTTCATATTACAATAATTCTATCCTTTACAGATAAAGAATCAGAGAAACAGAGAGGTTAAAGAACTTTCACAAAGCTGCAGAGCTAGAAAATGGCAGAAGTGGAATTTGAACCTGACAGTCTGGTTCTAGAATCTATGTGCCTAACCAATCCACTATCTCTGCCTCTCTATAATGATTCTCCTTTTATTCGCTAGAGGAGCTGGTGTGAATGTTTCATCCCCAAGGAACCAGATATGTCTGATTCTTCATTTATATGCTAGAAATATAAGCTCTAGTTCATCACAATTAGGCAAAAAGGGGAGTAACATTTCAATATCTTATAATCAAATGTTTAACACTAATATATAAGCATTGATATACTTCAAACTCTTAGTAGTATCTTTGGAATAATACTAACAATATTTATATATTATTATATTCATATAATATTATATTATACTAATATTAACTGAAATATAAATATTTTAATACTAAAATACTAAAAATATTTATATTTCAATTAATATTATCATGTAATTAGAAATATTTTAAAAATAATGGTTATAAAATCACGCAGCTACTGCTCTTGCACCTGTTACTCAGCATTAGAAACAAAAATGTTTTGTTCTGGAAATTTAACCTGATTATATTTATATTAGTCCAAATTCTTATTAGATTTATTTTGTCCTTTCACTTATTTTTAAAGGTAATGCCAAAGGCCATTGTTTCTATGCCTGATTATAGTACTCACACACACACTATAATAGTCATTCAACAATTGGCCTGTGGTTTGGCACCCCCGAAACCAACTTGAAAATAAACAAGTTATTGGCAATATTTATTTAAGTACAGGCTGTATTACTATTAAATAATTAGTATTCTGTTTCATGACTTTCATAATAAAAAGTACAGGAACAGCCATCCTAAGCTTGCATTGGTAATATGAATATTAATTAGATATGGATTCTTTTATGGATCCATAAAAAAGTGGGTGAAGGACATGAACAGACGCTTCTCAAAAGAAGACACTTATGCAACCAACAAACATGAAAAAAGGCTCATCATCACTGGTCATTACAGAAATGCAATTCAAAACCACAATAAGACACCATCTCATGCCAGTTAGAATGGCGATCATTAAAAAGTCAGGAAACAACAGACCCTGCAGAGGATGTGGAGAAATAGGAACGCTTTTAAATTGTTGGTGGGAGTGTAAATTAGTTCAACCATTGTGAAAGACAGTGTGGCAATTCCTCAAGAATCTAGAAGCAGAATTACCATTTGACCCAGCAATCCCATTACTGGGTATATACTCAAAGGATTATAAATCATTCTACTATAAAGACACAGGCACAGATATGTTTACTGCAGCACTATTCACACTAGCAAAGACTTGGAACCAACCCAAATGCCCATCAGTGACAGACTGGATAAAGAAAATGTGGCACATGTACACCATGGAATACTATGCAGCCACAAAAAAGGATGAGTTCATGTCCTTTGCAGGGACATGGATGAAGCTGGAAGCCATCATTCTCAGCAAACTAACACAGGAACAGAAAAGCAAACACCACATGTTCTCATTCAAAAGTGGGAGTTGAACAATGAGAACACATGGACACAGGGAGGGGAACATCACACACCAGGGCCTGTTGAGGGGTGGTGGGCTAGGGGAGGGATAGCATTAGGAGAATACCTAATGTAGATGATGGGTTGATAGGTGCAGCAAACCACCAATGGCACATGTATACTCATGTAACAAACCTGCACATTCTGCACATGTATTCCAGAACTTAAAGTATAATTTTTAAAAAACTTGAAGTTTTGTACATACAATGGAATATTATTCAGCCATGAAAATGAAGAAAATCCTTCCATTTGTGACAACCTAGATCAGCCTGGAAGACATTATGCTAGGTGAAATAGACCAGAAACAGAAAGATAAATACTGTATAATTCTCACTTACATGTGAAATCTAAAAAAGTCAAACTCACTGGGCATAGTGGCCGACACCTATAATCCTAGCACTTTGGGAAGCAAAGGCAGGAGGATTGCTTGAGCCCAGGAGTTTGAGACCAGCCTGTGCAATATGGGGAAACTTCATCTCTACAAAAAAAAAATTACAAAAAACTAGCCAGGCGTGGTGGCATGTGCCTGTAGTCCCAGCTACTCAGGAGGCTGAGTAGCTACTCAGGTGAATCACCTGAGTCTGGGGAGGTGGAGGCTGCAGTGAGCCATGATCACGCCACTGCATTCCAGCCTGGGTGACAGAGTGAGACCCTGTATCAAAAATAAAAAACAAAAATAAATTAAAAATAAGAAAGTCAAACTCACAGAAGCAGAGAGCATAATAAGCAGTTGCCAGGGGCTGGGGTTAGAGAAATGGGGAGATGTTGGTCAAAATTTATGAACTTTCAGTCATAAGATGAATATGTTTTGGAGATCTAACATACAACATGATGATTATAGTTAATAATACTGCATTGTATACTTGGAATTTGCTAAGAGAGTAAATCTTAAGCATTCTCTCCACACACACAAAATAATGAGCCAGGTATGGTGGTTCATGCATGGAATCGCAACACTTTGGGAGGCCAAGGCAGGAGGATCGCTGAGGCCAGGAGCTTAAGACCAGCCTGGGCACCATAGCAAGACCCCACCTCTATAAAAAATAAAAATTTAAAATAAAAAAATGGTAACTGTGTGGTGATTGGATATGTTAATTAGCTTGATTATGGTAACTATTTCACAATGTATATGTATATCAAATCATCACATTGTATACCTTAAATATAGATAATTTTTATTCATAAATTATACCTCAGTAAAACTAAGGAAAAATAAATTAATATGTAAGAATGATAGACTGTCAGTGAGAGGGAAATGGAAAAAAAGAAAAATAGACTGTCAAAAGTAAAAATAAATAAAAATTAAAAGTTGGAGTTTAGCAGAAGAAATAAAACATAATGTAAAAATAACTATGGCAAGTAAACTATGCAATGATCAGCGCTCTTATAAAGGTGGAAAGAAAGTTGCAATGGGAAAGAAAGGCAAGTGAGAAGAGGGTCAAGATCAGAGCAGACTTTGGGGAAGAGAAAGCTCTTGAGCTAGTCCTTGAAAATTGGTGTGATTCCTGTATACAACAATAAGGAGTGAAAGCCATTCAAGTAGAAAGAACAGCAGGAACAAAGACAGAGAAGTCAGAAAACAGAGTATCTGCAAAGAACATCAAATACTGTACTTCAGTCTATCTGGCAAGTGGAGTGCATAGGAGATAACGGGAAATCAGGGGAAAAAACATATGTTAGGGTTAGATTATGACCCTTACAATTATCCTAGTACATGACAATAATAGCCTAAGGCAGTGTCAACAAGAATGGAGAACAAAGTATAGATTCAAGAAATATTCCAAATATAGAACTGACAACATTTGGCAACAGAAGGGGAAGGAAGAGGTAAAATGTCAAAGATGATGTCACATTCTTTGCCCTAATGGCTAGGGGAATGTTGGTGGCATTGACAAAAATAAGGAGAGTGAACGTGGAACAAATTCTGGTCCATCTGTTTGAGTTCTGCATACCAATGCTCAGCTAGCTCATCACAAAGCAGAAGTAGAGAACATTTCAAGCTCAACAGTCACTCTGTGACTCATCAGATGTGAGGGTGAAGTTATTTTTACTCTCACAGCAGTAAAACAAAACCTGAACATTGTTAAAAAGATTCTTCAGGTTTTCTGAATGTTCAAGTGGGTTGTCTAGAACAACAAGCCTTAACTTAGAGCCTCAAAATCTAATCTTAGAGGAAAATTTAAATGGTTTTATGTCCCCAGTCCTTTAGTCCTTAGCTGGTTGAAATCTAAAAGCTATCTTTTCTCCTTTTGAGATATGAGTGTGACACATCATTCATCTCTAAACTTTCTCAGTTTTCTCTTCATTAAATATTTAGTGTGACAAATTCAGCTTGTAGGTTGATAAGGAGGTACTCTACATTTCATTATCTGGATTTTCCCTCCAACAATATTCTGAATAGTTTTTCCATATTGCTCTCAATCTTTAACCACTCCACCATCACTTGACGGTGTCACACTTCAGAGAACCTTTCATTTTAACCCCATTTCCATGAATCATTATCATTGCGGCTTGCGGGAATTGCTTGAGCTATACCCAGAGCATCTGACCTGTCATATCTGCCCGAGATCACTTTATGTGACCTTTTATGTGCACATATGGCCACGCCCCTAGACATTCTGTAAATCTAAACTAAGTATGGGGAACAAACTCATTAAAAATCCAAGCACAAGAATTCCAAATGAGACTTTACCTGGTGGCACAATAAGCAAATGCTTTCCGCTAAACAAGGAATTGGAGTCTACTTTCTGGACATATTTTCACCAGTCATAATAACTGAAACCTGACATACATAAAACTGTAACTAAATACCTATGCCGTTGAAGCAGAGTACCATAAAGAGAAATGTCCTAGGCTCCTCTTATATCCAATGGGGAAACTTTCTATCCAATTAAGGGAACACACATGTAGCTTCAAAGGGCCTACAGAAGAATGCTAAATTCTCACTGGTAAACTCATATCTCCCCAAAATTAAACTGAACGGTCCTCTGACGTTTAATAATTCTTTCATGTACATTTCAATGAAAGGTGAAGCTGTTTTATTTAATCCAACCTTGAGCGTGGATACTTTCCTCTTCCGAACTATTGATATAACCATGACATTTAAATGCACACGAGTAGCAGCAATTCCATTTGGATCCCCTGATTGAGTCGATTACTGTGATGTTAAGCATGCCCATTCCATCCCAGAGTTTAAGTAAACAAGACCACCCCTCTCTGCTCTTAGCCCAGGATTTATGAGGGCCGTGTGTCTGGCACTCAGGGAGATGTTGGCTTTCTCTCACCAGTGATTCCATATACAACACTGTCATATAATTTTTAGATTTTTCAAAGACTTCAAAGTTCACAGCCTTCTGTGAAGTTGCTATCTGGGCATGTTTATCATGGCAAGGACTAAAGGCAGGAGGGCTATGCAGAAACTTCAAACTGTGGGCACTTCACAAATGCATTGTGTGCATCTATAAAATGTCAAAACATCCAGGAGAAAAATTAAAAAGCCAGTCAGTTCACCACTCATACAGGGATAAAGCCAGGCTGGGGCAAATGTGGCTTAAATGTTGGGTTGTAAAGACTGTTTGATTTTTCCATGATCAAGATATTGTATCCTAATTGTTTCCTTTGCTAAATGAGCAGTGCTTAATTGCTAAGTAGAAATTAGTTCACTTCCTCCCTTCTCTCTTTTTGAAAGTGAACAGATGTCCCATTTGGGGGGTTTACCCTTTGTGATGTGGTACTGAGAACACAGGACAAACTTTGTGTGTCTTAAGAGGCCACACTGCTTGATGGTGAGCGTGGGGCTCTGGAGTCAGACTGGCCTTTGTGTGAAGCCCAGCTCTGCCACGCAGCAGCTGAACACCACCAGACAAGTTACCCTGTGTGTCTCAGTTACCCCGTCTGTAAGATGGGGTTGATAGTAATGGTACTACCTCATTAAGCTGTGAGGATCCAATAAAATAATGTGCTGAGTACATGAAAAGTATTCCATACATATGATTTTATTATTATAATTGAAACACTGGACAAAAGAAATGAAAGTTCTTTTCTTCAGTTCAGGGATGAATCCCTGAAACATCAGTAAGGATTCTCTTATTTGGGTTCTGAATTCTGTATCCCCATAGCTTTTGGACATATTGATGTCCTACAATGCATCAAGCACTGTGCAAGAGGCTTCTCAAATATATTAGTCACAGAATCAAGCAACATGCTAGCACTGATTTAACGTCAATCTTCCCAAAAATACTATCTCATTCACTCTCTTTACATTCCATTCATCCAACAAGGATCTATTATGAGCCAGCCAATGGGTTACCCAAGTGGAGTTACCTAATATCCCTGGCTCTTACCAATCAAAGTAAATTCTTCTAGAAAAGGAATGTTTTGAGAGAAGCTGTCTAGATCCTCCATGTTAGCCGGCACATTCTGGAAGGCTCTTCAGAGGGTTAGCAGGTTATCAGACATCTTTCCATGCAGTCCTGACTGAGGAGAGCCACTGTGTCCTTTGCATGCTGAGCATCACTGTGCGTCATCATGACTCACAAGCGATCAATCACCGAATGACATTTAAACATCTTGACTAACTACCAGCAGCATTTTGCTTCAGTTATTGGAAGTGTCTCAGAGTGAATGTGCTCTAAGATCTGAATCACTGTCTCTGAGGGCAACAATGCAAATTGCCAAGAAATGCATAACAAACAACCACGGCACAAGACTAGCCTTGTTGCATGTCACTGTGCACCATGAGGCATCTGATGTTTCTGCCTCCTTAATCATGCTCACGATGCTTCTTCTTGTGAAGTGACGCACATGATCCTTAGAGACATATACAGTGTTAGAGCTGGGAGGGTCGTCATCTTGAAGATGAGCTGATCATCACAGAGAGGAGTGGAAGGAAGCTAACATTTATTAAATTCCAGGACCCAGGTCTCCTGACTGCTACTTTAAGGATGTTTTCACTGTACCACATCTAGTGACAAGATTCTCTGCTCAGCTACTCCCTTATCAAAGTTCTCACTTACCAACTTAATTGTCAATATTTTAGTAATTGTGAGCTGTGAGCACAACCTGCCAACCGTAATGCTCATCTTAGTATCGCTCTAGCCACTGGATGAGAGATTCTATCACATTTTCATCCTTCAGCAATCTGTAAACCACATTGGGATAGCTTGTCTCATACCCTGGTGGTGAGAGGGTAGATTGGTGCAATCTTTCCAGAAGGCAGCACTGCAGTGTATCAAACACCCCATGCATGTGTCTACCTTGGGACTCAATCCTTCTGTTTCCAGGAATTTACACTAAGGAAATGATCTGAGGTGTGTCAAAGGTGTGTGTACATGATTAGCAAGGGACAGAGCATTGCAGGTCCAGATAGATACATATATAGATAGATAGATAGGTAGATAGATAGATAGATAGATAGATAGATAGATAGATAGATAGATAGGCAGTCCATGATAGACAGACAGACAGACAGAGAGATGATAGATAGATAGAGAGATAGACAGACAGATGATAGATAGACAGATGATAGACAGATAGATAGACAGACAGATAGATAGATACCTGAATAAATTATCTGCTCAGTCATTGGTTACCCACACCTAAACACCCTAAAAGGCACCACTGCCACAACTTAATATCCTAATAGGCATCATCTCCCACCTGGTGGCAGATACTGGAATTATACAATGCCAAGGATGAACTATTATCTAAGAAGCATACCTTGTAAAGTCAACTGAATTTCACTGACTGGAAATATCCTCATTTCAAACTAGAAATTAGAAATTTTTAAAATAAAAACATTACTTCCCAGTCACTTCTTATCTTTTTCTCCCTTTATTGTTCTCTTATACCCATACAACCGCCACTTTCTCCTAGTCTTACACCTTCTAAGAAGTCTGTCTGCATTGTAAATCCTTTTTATTTCCAAAGTCAAAGTAGCATGATAGGACTTAATTGCCGGTATAGGGGAAATTGTGTGAATAGATAAGGTAATTAAATGTGTCTGTTCTCATGCTGGCAAGGCTGTGGAAAAAACAATGCTTTTACACTATTGGTGGGAGTGTAAATTAGTTCAACCATTGTGGAAGACAGTGTGGCGATTCCTGAAGGATCTAGAACCAGAAATAACATTTGACCCAGCAATCCCATTGCTGGGTATATACCCAAAGGATTATAAATCATTGTACTAAAAAGACACATGCACACGTATGTTTATTGCAGCACTATTCACATTAGCAAAGACTTGGAACCAACCCAAATGCCCATCAATGACAGACTGGATAAAGAAAATGTGGCACATATACACCAAAGAATACCATGCAGCCATAAAAAGAATGAGTTCATGTCCTTTGCAGGGACATGGATGAAGCCGGAAGCCATCATTCTCAGCAAACTAACACAGGAACAGAAAACCAAACACCGCATGTTCTCACTCATAAGTGGGAGTTGAAAAAGGAGAATACATGGACACAGGGAGGGGAACATCATACACCAGGGCCTGTCGGGGGGTTGGGGGCAAGGGGAGGGATAGCACTAGGACAAATACCCAATGCGTGCAGAGCTTAAAACCTAGATGACGGGTTGATAGGTGCGGTAAACCACCATGGCACATGTATACCTATGCAACAAACCTGCATGTTCTACACATGTATCCCAGAACTTAAAGTAAAATAAAAATAAATAAATGTGTCCGTTCGATGGATGAGTCAATACTCCTTAGAGTGACTGTAATAGATCAGACTAGTAGTTCAGGCATTAAGTAGTTCTCACTGTTAACAATCTTCCTGCAAAACTTCAAATTTTATTTTCAGAAAATTCACTGACTATCCTGGAATATGCATATTAGGGGAAGTAACTTCATGAACCACTACATCCTAAAGAAACTATTTTTGTTAGAGATCACATTTTCTCTTGAGTCCAACTGCACAGCAAGATGTTTTCTGCTTGATGGGCAGATAGAAATTAAAACTGGATAAGCACAATAGGTGTGTGAATACCATATGTTCTCACTTATAATAAATGGGAGGTAAGCTATGAGTACACAAAGGCATACAGAGTGGTATGATGGACTTTAGAGATTCAGAAGGGGAATGATGGAAGGGGAGCTAGTGATTAAAAAACTACATATTGGGTACAGTGTGCACTATTTGGGTGACAGGTGCACTGAAATCTCAAAACTCACCAGTATATAATTTATCCATGTAAAAAAACAAATGCTTGTACCCCAAAAGCTATTGAAATAAAAAATGTTTTTAAAGAAAGAAAATAAAAGAATAAGAAAGATGAGTACATTGAGCCATCACTGATATCTAGGAGCTCCCCCAGGGTAACCATGACAACACTAGTTTCCAAGAAGCAAAGCCTAGTAATGTGATAAGCCAAGCTGAACACTCCAGGCCCAGACTCCTGACTCTTCCGAGACTGGCCTTGGGATGTAGTTAAATCACTTACAATCCATTTCCTAATGTGTAATGTGTAAGCCATAATTATATCCCTGTCTACCCAGCACTGGGTTGGATCAACACTAGAAATTCATTAAATATTTTTTGATTGATTACCTCCCAGAGTAGTTATGAAAACTTAGATAACAAAGCATTTAGGAAGGATTAAGAGTGCCATAAATGTCATTACTCAGTAAATGTTATTTACCAAAGTAGATCAATATTTATCATGTATTAAAACCATAACATAGTTTCATTTGTTCTAATTCCTGGATTCAAAATATACAAAGAATGAATAACACACCATGCTTCTCTGGGGAAAACTACTGACATATGATTTTTACTATATGTTTAGAGCACTGGTTCCTAAACATCCACCTGAATAAATTGCAAGAGAATCAACAGGAGACCTTTTCAAAACATAGGGACTTTTAGGCCCCACTCCTGGAGATTCGAATTCTGTAGTTCTGGGATGAGACTGGGGAATCCACTCTTTTTTAAAACTCCTAAGGTGATTGTAATGTGCAGGCAACTTTGGGAAGCACTAACTGAGAATGTACAAATACTGATCTCTCTAAGACAATTAGACTATCCTTGAAAGAGAAAAATCCACTAGTACCTTCTAGAACTCCATCATGGAAGGAGCTGTTGGTCAGAGATCCCCACCCCAATATCTGTGACTCTGGTATGCTCTTGACCCGCACCTGCCTCCAGGGCCCATCTTCCTTGTTCCTCTTTCCCCTTTTCTTAAGTCTGACTCCATCTGCCCCAACCCTTGGGACATTCCCTTTCCAAGACCAGCCACAGAAAGAGCGGCGACCTCCTTTTCCTCTTCCTGTTTGGCTGCCCCTACAGATAAGCTCAAGGGCTCTTTTCCTTTTAAGTGATGCTAACTGATTAATACCACCAAGAATAGGGAAACCAAAACAAAACAAACTTAGAGGTGAAAGTTTCCAGACTCTCCAAGGCCTTATCACCATGATCCTGGGCCATGGTTTTTGATTCCTATTGGAGAAAGAGTAAGGCAAAAAGTTTGGGTAGAAATTCTCAGTAATGGGCTGAGAGGACCTCACAGGCAATCAGGGCAGGGTTCTTAGAAATACAATCCAATTATTCATTCATAATACTTATTGAGCGTCTCTTAAGTAACAGGCATTTCACTCACCAAGAGACTGATAAGGACAAAATCTTTCCCCTCAAAAAGCTCACGATCTTCCATGAGAGGAAGATATGTAAACAGGTGATTTATACACACATTGTGTGAGAACTTGTGAAGGAGCCGCACTGTGCATATGTGGCTATTTAATTTTAAATTTATTAAAATTAAATAAGAGTACAGAAAATGGGTGAATTTTATGGCATGTAAATTATACCCCAATAAAGTTGTTTTAAAGAGTTAAAATTTTTTAAAAGTGAAATAAAATTAAGAATTCCTTTCCTCAACCACACTAGCTGGGTTTCCAGTGGCTGCCATATTGGACAGCACACACAACATATTTCCCTGAACACAGAAAGTCTGCACAGCACTGTGAGAGAGGTGTTGCGGTAAGCCAGAGGAGGGAGCAACTTCTCTGCTTGAGGAGGGCACATAAGGCTTCACATATGGCATGTCTGAGGGGCTCTTGAAAGACGAATACGAGTTTTTCCTAAAATGTAAAAACTGAGGTAGGGAAAGAGGAAGTGGACAGAATGTACAAAGGCAGAGAAGTTGCATGGTGTGTTCAGGGAATGCTGAGAAATATAACTAGAAACACTGGTTGTGTGGGACTCAGGAGTGAGTTATGATGCTGAAGAAGTAGGTCCCGAACAGGAGCCATGGGGCAGCTCTGGATGCCGAAGGAAAGCAGCTTTTATCCCTGATGGCAAGGAAGCCAACAGTGATGTTCACTTGTTTTTATGTTCATTTTTTATGAATAGACTTTTTATTGCAATATAATATACATACAGAAAAACACACAGAGCATCCAGGACACAACTCAGAGTTATCACGAAAGGTACCCAACTGTATAATCACCATCAAGGTCAAGAAACAACATGTCAGCACCTCAAAAGCCCACCCTGTCACGCCCCTTCCCACTCACCATCCACTTCCTCCTCCCCAAAGCAACTCTAGCCTAGATTTAACCCTACGGATCTGTTTTGTATTTTAATAGAGGTTTTTCAAGCAGGAAAACAACACGGCTATATTTCATTTTGAAGAACATCTTGGCAGCTCAGTGGAAGAGTCTGTGGTACAAAGAAATGGTGGTAGAAAGCAACGAGGAATGATAAAGATGGCTCTAGTTTAAGGTAGTAATGAAAAGAGGCTGATGTCCAGGGAATCTTAGTAATAAAAATCATAGCATTTACTGAGTCCTGGATACTTTCCAGGCACTGAAGTGTGGGCATGGCATAGATCTTAACATTCAATACCCCCATGCAATCCTCCAAAGTCAGTAGGCATGCAGGGAGGGAGAGGCAAAGCCAAGACTCAATTACGCACACATCTGCTTCCACCATCCATGGCCTTGACTGTTACTCTGCCTCTGTTTCTACTATCCTCCCTTTTGAGAAGAAACGAACTGTTTCAGGCTCTGACTATGTATAATGCATAGGAAGGAGTTAAGAATGAATTAAATGCTTAGCTTAGGAGAGAAGCTGAAGACCTGGAGATGCCAGGACCTTCCTTTGAGGATATCAACCTCATCAAAGCCCTCATTTCCCTTAAAGGCAAGAACTTTTCTTCTAAAAATAGAAATTGAAGAGCAAGTAATTCTAGTTGGCTGCCAAAACTGTGCCATCAGAGGCTTGATGTTGTATTATCTATTGCTGTGTAACAAATCACCCCCAACACTTAGTGGCTTAAAACAACAATATAGTGTCTGTGGGTCAGAAATTCAGGAGCAAGTTGATGGGCAGTTTTGGCTTGCTGCCTTCAGTCAGATACTAGTTGATTCTGCAGTCACCCAGGGGCTTGACTGGGGCTGGAGGAATCATTTTCTGAATGGCTCACTCACATGGTGGGCACATTGGTGCTGACTGTTGAGTAAAGACCTCAGCTTCTCTCCAAGTAGATCTCTCCATAAAGCTGCTTTAGTGTCCTCATAGCATGCAGCTGGCTCTCCTCAAAGTGAGTGATCCAAGACACTAAAGCAGAAACTACAAAGCTTTTGATAAGCTAACCTCAGAAGTAACATATTTTTACTTTCACAATATTCCATCAGTTATTGACTATACAGAGTCAGCCGTGATTCAGTGTGGTCATTTCACAGTGCATGAGTACCAGGCAGCATGAATCTCTGGAGGTCAACTTAGAGGCTAGGTGCCACAGTAGTAAAGGGTGGCTTTGTGCAAATCACAAGTGTTCTATGAAGCATTTCAAATGGAAACAGGGAGGGATGATTCTGCATTCCTGACAGATGGAACAGCGTGATTAAAGGTACCATGTTATATGCCCTCTGTCTGATTTGGCTAAAGTGAACTAATCATGAGTGAGGGGGAGAAAACCCAGAAAATACAGGCCTACGTTGTAGACTGCCTTGCATGTCTGAAAAGGGAACATCAACTTCACCTGTAGATAAATGGGAGCCACACATGCTATCTCAGTGAAAGGATGACATGTAAGGATCATAAAACATTAGAATGGAAGGGCTTTTTGAGACCAACTTCCTATCAATAGACTGTTTTCATGGTGCCCTGGAAGCTGAGCCAATTCAGGTCCCTTTGTTTTACCAAAGGAAACATACTAGGTCAGGGTTGTGCCTTAGGAAGGCAATCCTGGCCACAATGTGGAAAATCGATTTAGAGGAGGGAAGAATGGAAGCAGGGATGCCAAGTTGAAACCTTAGTCCATTTCCCAGTATGAAAAGCCTAAAGTATGATGATGGTGGTAGAAATGCAAAGGAGGGGAAGAGACGTGAAAAACATTCTGAGATAATTATATTGAACATGATAGACTTTTGCATTCACAGTGTATTAGTCCATTTTTCACACTGCTGTAAAGAAATACCTGAGACTGGGTAATTTGTAAAGAAAAGAGGTTTGATTGACTCACAGTTACGCATGGCTGGGGAGGCCTCAGGAAACTTACAATCATGGCAGAAGGCAAAGAGGAAGCAAGGCACATCTTACGTGGCAGCAGGAGAGAAGAGCAAAAAGGGAAAATGTCAAACACTTACAAAACCATCAGATCACATGAGACTCACTCACTATCTTGAGAACAGCATGGGGGCATTACCTCCCACCAAGTCCCTCCCTTGACACATGAGGATTACAATTCAAGATGAGATTTGGGTAGGGACACAGAGCCAAACTATATCACAAAGTTAAGGCATGTTTTCCTTCACTTCATCATGAAAGAATAACCTAATATGAGATGACATCATTTGCAATTACCCTTGTTTTTTTTTTTACATCTTTCTTCCTATCCACAGGGCCTACCTTTCCCTAACTATCAACTCATATCTATGATTTCCTTCAGCACCTTTTTCAAAGTTCACTTACTCCTGGAAGCCGTCACGGACTACTCTCAGCTGATCAGATCACTCCTGCCCTCTACACTTATGGAAGCAGTTGCTTCCATATCATATTACACTACTGAATATCGTAGAAAATATTTCGTTCTTAAAGCCTAGCTGAGCCATGAAAAGCAGTGACTGATATTAAATAGAACTTTTTGCAAGATCTATTGAGTTAACCAGGGGTATGGTATTACCTCTACAATCCCAGCTATATGTACCACATCCTAATCTGAGTTAAAATGAACCTTGATATTTAGTTTACTTTTTGGCTTTGACTACTTTTTACTTGTTTTAAAAATCAGGATAAAACAAAATTGAACAAAAAATAAAGAGGTAAAGTGCATTCAATAAAGAGATTTTAATTAACACTGGGCATAAAAATACATTTTACTGAATCTTAAGGGTTTTTTAACATTTGCTGTTTATAGTATCTTGTCTGATTTGAGAGGCTATCAAATCACAGATCAGTCATACATTGATTCAGGATCAGTCTCTTTCTTTTTTCAGTATATTACATTACTGAGGGATAAACTGGATTTAGAGTTAATTTTAAAAGTTAAATTGGTATTACCTGAAAAATGAATCCATTTAAAATATTTCTGCATTGGGTGGGAGTCTGTCCTAAACACACTCCACAGCTCATCATTCCATGTAGGTGCGTCACCCTATCCCAGAACACAAAGGAAACTTATTCTTGGAGTGTTACTGCCATCTAGTGGAAATTTTACTAAATGTGAATAAATTCTTAAGGCTAATTAGGCCCCCTACTCTCTTCACCGCCACTCTCACCATGTCTTTTTTTCTTTTTCCTTCCTTTCTTTCTTTCTTTCTTACTATCACAGGTGCACTCAGGTACACCAAGAAGAGAAAATGCTTGCTCAGTCATTGGGAACTTTTTTGAAAATTGGTGCTTTGTGCCCAGCAAGACAATATTTCTATTTGGCCAAAGCTACTTTGTCAGAAGATATATGAATATGTCCTAATTTTTGCAAAAAAAGAAATGCAGAAAGGATTAACCAGAAACTAATGGGATTGATTACCTAAAGCAAAAGGATGAAAATGAATGAGAAAGATGGAAAAAGATAGAACTCTTCTGATTATATTTTTATATAGTTTTTACTCTTGAACCACATAAATGTTTACTTTTTTTTTTTTTTTTGAGACGGAGTCTCACTCTGTTGCCCAGGCTGGAGTGCAGGAGCGCGATCTCGGGTCACTGCAACCTCTGCCCTCTGAGTTCAAGTGGTTCACCTACCTCAGCATCCCGAGTAGCTGGGATTACAGGCGTCTGCCACCGTGCCCAGCTAATTTTTTGTGTTTTTAGTAGAGACGGGGTTTCACCATCTTGGCCAGGCTGGTCTTGAACTCTGACCTCGTGATTCACCTGCCTTGGCCTCCCAAAGTGCCGGGATTACAGGCATGAGCCACCACGCCCGGCCTACATTTTCAAATATAAAATTTAGTCACCAGGCTGGGAGGACTGTTAAGTTGAACAGAAACAGAAACAAATCAACCTAAGCATGTATCATATAAAAAATGTAATTATTCAGAACAAGAAAAATAATTATTCCAAGTAACTTGTGAATGTGAAATTCTAACTGGCCACCCTCAGGGAATATTCTAAGGATAATAATTAAGAAAGCCTTGAACTTTACCTGGTAAGGTAAGTTTGTCTTTGGTAGTGGTATTGATGTAGTAATTCTGAAACTACTTTGCGTGTGTTTTAGAATTTCAAATAGATAAACATATTGATCTTGCTGGTGTTGCAGGACTTTTCCTTAGTTCAGCTAAAGACAGGGTCCTTTTCCGTCCCATGGTCACCAACATTTAGGCTCATAGATGGTTTGAAGCGTGAGTAAAGCAGGGTTGTATTGGGTAAAAGGGAAAAAAGGGGAAACAGGGATCCTCCTAAGGCCAGAGTCCCTGCTAGAGAACTTCCCACCCACAAGTTCCACACAGGAAGAGGAGGAGCCTTGAATCCCAGGTTCCACACAGGAAGAGGAACCCTTCTGCAAATGTTGTGAACTTCTGTGTCTCCACCCCAGTGTGCACTCTTCCCAGTGCACAAGCCAGTTGGAGTTTTTCCAGGGATCCTCTTCCCACTTGGCTGTCTCACTGGGAACCAGTTTTCCCATTATGGGAGGGTTGTTTTTTGTTTTTTAAAAGAGATATGGAGTAAAGGAAGAAGACGCAAACTCTTTGGTGTTGGGTTACGAAGTTAGAGGTATCAGTACAAATTCGAGGTCTTTAAAACTATGTATTAGCCAGGCACGGTGGCTCACGCCTGTAATCCCAGCACTTGGGGAGGTCAAGGTGGGCAGATCACCTGAGGTCAGGAGTTCAAGACCAGCCTGGGCAACATGGTAAAACCCTGCCTCTACTACAATTACAAGAATTAGTCGGGTGTGGTGCTGCATGCCTGTAATCCCAGCTACTCAGGAGGCTGAGGCATGAGAATCGCTTGAACTGGGGAGGCGGAGGTTGCAGTGAACAGAGATCACACCACTGCACTCCATCCTGGGTGACAGAGAGAAAGAGACACTGTCTCCAAAAAAAAAAAAAAAAAAAAAGTATATACTTCCTATTTTGTCCATTGAAAGAGCCTAGAAGCAATAACCCTCCTGCAGAAGGAGTATACCTGCACCCTGGCTTCCATGTCTAAACACCATAGTCAAAAGACAAAAGCAGGATCCCACGGAGAAATGGTTGATTCCAGGGCTGGGTCAAGGGAAGCACAAGGTGATCCTGGAACATCTTTTGTTTCAGAACATCAGAACATGCTCAAAAGCTGATCGGGACCTGCCAAAAGACACAGGAGCCAACCAAGATCAATGACACAAAAGAATATATAACATTGAATTTTTTGAAAATTGCTGAGTCTATACCCAACCTTTAAAGGAGGAAAAAAAGAAAAAGAAAAGATGCCAATGAATGCATGTGGAAGGAATGATAGAAACAGAAAATCACCCTCTCAGAACCACCATAGAAATAATAGATTCAGGCAAGGATCATCAAAGAGTGCCAAAATCATTCAGTGGGAAATTGGGGCGTAAAAGAATATTTATACAATCTAAAAGTATAACTCCATGCAATACATATTAATTACAAAGAAGAACTATATCTTTCCAATGCATCTAGCAGTTAGCATTTCTACTAAGTGATCCAACTTAATACGAGCAATAATGGGACAATCAGGCAGCAGATGCCTCCTGGTCTGACACACTGAGAAGGACAGAACACCACTTCTTTAGTGTTCCTGCCAAACTGCAAAACCTGAATCTAATCATGAGGAAACATCACATAAACCCAAGTTAAAGAACATTCAACAAAATACTGGCCTGGACTCCAAAAATGTTAATGTCAATTAAAGACCAAGGAAAAGCTGGGGAACTGCTCTTGATTAAAGGAAACATAAAAGACATAAATAATTATATTTAATATTAAATGCAATCTGTAATCTAGATTGGCTTTTGGATGGTTTACAAAAAAAAAGCTATAAGACATTGCAATGGGTTGAATGTGTCCCCTCCAAAATGTAGGTGTTGCCAATATGACAGTATTAAGAGGTGGGGCCTTTAAAAGGGGATTAGGCCATGAGAGCTCCTCCCTCATGAATGGGATTAAGGCCCTTACAAAAGAGGCTTCATGCAGTATGCATTCCTTGCCATTCCACCTTCTGCCACGTGAGGACACAGCATTCCTTTTCTTGGAGGCTACAGCCTTCACCAGATAACCAAACCTGCTAATGCAAAGGATCTTGGACTTTCTAGCCTCCAAAACTATGAAAAAATAAATTTCTGTTCTTTATAAATTACCCAGTCTAAGGTACTCTGTAATAGCAGCACAAAACAGGCTAACACAGATATTATTGAAGTAATTCGAAAACTGAATAAGAATTCATATTAGATAATAATATTAAATGTAATATTAGATAATAAAATTGTATCGACTTCAAGTTTCCCAAGTGTTATAATTCTGTTGTAGTTAGATTACAAAATTCTCTTGTTTTAAGTGATACGTACTGAAAGTATTTAGGAATAAAATGTTATATTGTCTACAACTATCTCTCAAATGGTTCAACATCATTTCATCCATAAGTACTTAGTATGTATCTCAAAAAGATAAGTATCCCTTTTAAAAATAACAATACATCATGCTATTTTTAAAGCTTCCCAGGTGATTCTCTTGTTCATCTATGAATCAATACTACAGAGATGATAAGCAGAACTAATCTCAGGGGTTAAATGTGAATGTGGTGGTGGCAGTTGAGAACATTGTGTTAAGAACAATTCTGACACATGATTAGGCTCAGCCTAAGATAATGCCATGATTGATTGGCTAGGTCTGCCGTAGTGCCCAGTATGTCCCTGTATATTATCTGAGTCATGTCATAAGCATAAAACACAGAAGACAAGAGAGAGTAAGCTATAGGCCAGAAGTTAGAAAGGAGATCCTAGTATCACTGGTAGAGTCTGATCTGGTGATAGACTGCTGACCTCTCTTCCTCTTCAAATCAGTCAGACCTGTTTTCCTGGTTAAACAGTTTATAAGGAAACAAAAGGCAAGCATGGGAGGGGATAATATGTGTATGTGCACTAAGCCTTGAAGCAGATCTCTTTGATCATCACAGAGTCCACTGAGGTGGTAGGAAACAACTGCAGAGAGGAGCTCTTTAGAGAAATAACCACAATAATAATAATGATAATGATGATAATATGCTCAAAAGAGAAGTGAATCTAATGAAAAACTACTTCATTAGAATGAAATTCTAATAGAGGCATTTATCAACCTAAATAGCAAAGAAAGACTCTCTAAAAATAAATGATATGTATTTGGGAATAAGGCATTGCAGTGGGAAAGCACATGCCATAGTAAACTATGTGTGTATTCAGGGCAGTAAAGGAAGACAAAGGCTTTTAAGAGAAAAATTAAGAAAATTTCATAGTTGGCCGGGCACAGTGGCTCATGCCTGTAATCCCAGAACTTTCAGAGGCCAAGGTAGGCGGATCACCTGAGGTCAGGAGTTTGAGACCAGCCTGGCCAACATGGCAAAACGCTGTCTCTACTAAAAACACAAAAATTAGCCAGGTGTGGTGGAGGGTGCCTGTAATCCCAGCTACTCAGGAGGCTGAGGCAGGAGAATCGCTTGAACCCGGGAGGTGGAGGTTGCAGTGAGCCAAGATCACGCCACTGCACTCCAGTCTGGGTGACAGAGCAAGACTCCGTCCCAAAAAAAAAAAAAATTTCATAGTGGTTTTTGAGATAATTATCCTTGGCTACAAGGATCAGTAACAGTAACAAGAGTGACAGCAGGTGAGCTTGAACAGTGAGTTGCTGGGCAAATGTCCACATAAAAGTATTTTTTGCAAAAGGCTGTGATGGTCTTTGTGCAAGGTTGGGAGTTTTGCAGAGTCTTTTGTGATAGTATGTGTTATCAGGCATTTCATGAGAACTTTTCTCTGCATGGCCTACCCCAGATCCATTTCTCAGGGAGGATTTTAACACAATGGACTCCATTTTGATTCTGAGAACTTTCACACTTCCCTCCTTTTCATCAAGATCTTTCTCCAAAAGCATCACTGATCAATCAACCTATAGTTGGATTTTGATGTCCCTCAGTACCAGGATGGATTTGTCCCAGGTTGCTCATCTACACCCACATTTGGAAGGAATGATTGGTGACTACGAGTCATACTGAAACTCTTCTGGCCACATTTGAGCAACAAAGGGAGTTTGAAGCGAAGCTCTCAGGCTAGCCTACCTGGAGTCCATTATTAAGTTTAATTTTGTCTGTTTCGTAGGGGTTTGCTATCATCCCCAAGTTCTAGGCCAGCATTATTCTGTTCAGAGTTGTACCTCTGCAAGAATTTAACAAATAACAAATACAAAGTTTAAAATAAGAAAATACAACACAAAATTAATAGTAATATGACAATTCTAATTTGCATAATGGTTTTGAGACATGAACCTGGGCTAAGGCTAAAGACAACCAATTGAATAAATCAAATGACCATTATCCTGTAAAGTGAAAATGGTTGGCATTAACAGGGGTAAGAGTCTCATTATGATATGGATTCCTGTCCTAACATCTTGGGAAAAGCTGTCTAGAGCATGAAAACATCTCATCCTGGTTTGCAGATTAAATCTGTCTGTGGCATCAGGTGGTTTTGTAAATTGTTGTGTGACTCATTATCAGGCACAACTTCCTTAAAATTTATCTAGTTTCAGCTTATAGGGCTTCAGGAATGGAGCATTTTCAATTTTTAGCAATTCCATGAAAGAAAGTTGGATTGGAAGGCTCTAGAATTCAGGATTTAGTCTAGTCTGTAGGTAGATCACAGGAACTCAAAAACAATGCACAGAGTTACAATGTAATAACAGGTGTATTATAGCTTTTCTTTAGAAACATAACTTTTTCTATACATATTAATCACATAGGAAGCTCAGATTTTAAAATTTCTTTAGGCTAGGAAGCCAAACCAAGGCAGATTTAGATTTTACCTATAGTCTTAAGGTTCCTGGGCCTGCCAGAGAGTAACAACTTTTTGTCTATTCATTTAAGTCTGGGAACACTTGAAGCCAGTCATTCTATGCACACTGTCAAATATGATATTTTGGTCAAAGCCTTGGTAATATAACTAATGTTTCTGATTGTATTCTGCTATTTAAAAAGAAAGACCTCTGACATGGTCAACATGGCGAAACTCCATCTCTACGAAAAATTTTAAAAGTAGCTTGATGTAGTGGCACATGCCTGTAGTCCCAGCTTCTCTAGGGCTGAGGTGGGATGATCACTTAAGCCCAGGATGTGGAGGCAGCACTGAGCTGAGATTGTCTCCAGCCTAAGAGACAGAGTGAGAACCTGTCTCAAAAAAAAAAAAAAAAAAAAAAAGAGAGAGGTAAGATTTTTACTGGACTTATGCAAATAACTATATTGCCATAAGAAAACTTATGAACAGTTTCCAAATTTTTGAGGAATAGTAAGAATAAAGAGTAAATGCTT